>NC_000006.12:51997051-52642734 GCF_000001405.40 Homo sapiens
ATGAGTCATGAAGACATATTTGTTGGGGGGTTCTGGGGAAGAAATTTCCTTCTTCTGAACTGTGCTCATGAAAGACCCTTTCATTCCCATGTGATACGAATAGGAAAGCAAGTAGGCCTAGAAGCTACTGACAACCACATTGTGGCCACAGAGAAAGCAACCTTAGGTTGAATCTGACACTCTGCAAGGCAGGGAAGAGACATGGAAAGAGCCATCTCATTAGTGAGCCCTGAGCTGCTGGATCAAGCCATTCCTATGACTCCTTAGTTTTCCTGTGCTGTGAGCCAGTATAACATCTTTATCATCGGTTCTGTGAGCCAATATAGTCTCTTTATCAAATGATTTGAGTCATTTTTCCCTTGTGATTTAAGTCTTCATAACAAATTTTTTTAAGTAAAATTTAAAGAGAAAAAATGAAAGAGCATAAGTTTGGAAGCTATCTATAAACAGATTATAGAGAGCTATGGAAATGGATGTAAAATATATTCTTTATTTGAGGAAAGTTTCTTGATGCACAATATTCCAGTGTGTTTCTTAGAAGGAAATAAATAGAGACTTAGCACAGGCAGAAATGCCAAGAATAGTCATGTCTCCCCAGAAACTTCCACTGTTTGCAACAACATTACAAAGAAAGTGATTAATTTCTCAGTACTAGAAAATCCCACAGAGGATCTTCAGGGCATCAGGACTGCAGATGAGGGTGGAAACACATCACCGATGACATGGGAGGAGAGTGGGAGTCCAGAGGATGAAAAGAGGCTGAATGATATCAAATGTCCAGCCACCTTTCCTCACTAAGTCCCATCAGTCGTTTCTGCCTAATGGTTCCATCTCATAGCTTAACTTGTCATACTTGCCATCAAGAATGTAAATCCAGTTCTGATTCCCTGTAGACTCACAGAAAAACTAATTAAAGACACCATGTGGAATAGAGTGGGTCTGCCACAAGGCTGCAGAGCCACTTGTTAAAAATGGTGTCATCAGTTAAGTCTGGCTAGATTGCACGTGGCGATAAATAATCCCAAGTTTTCAGCGGAGCAATACAACAAAAGCTTATGTCTTGTTCACACAACATCCACTACAGATGTTGGCAAATCTCTTGGACAGAACAACTGTCCCCCATATGTTGAGGACGTATGTTCAGCCCACACTCTGGGCTATTTAGTCAACACAGAAAAAAAAAAAAGGCTAGAGATTTGAGCTCCAGAAATTCAGTGCTTCTACCCACATTCTATACAAGTCCTATGGCCCTATCAAACTTCAAAAGGCTGGGAAGGGAAGTGCTTCCTTGACCTCAAAATAAAGAACTGGATATTGGAGATCACTGTCACAGAGGGAATAACTGCAAAGCTGCTGCAAATTCTCTTAGGTAAAGGAGAAAAGGAGTCTAAAAAATCAACTAAGTATCCATTAATTTGAGGAGGTTACTAGCACTTAACTGGAAGTAAGGGAACTCTTCAAAATATTCCAAGTTATTCTGCATCTCCCATCAAAGGGAGAACCTGAGAAGACTAGTTTAGTAATTATAATATTCTAGAAAGGAGCTAGAGCTTTCTTTGTAAAACCTATAGAATCAAGGCATGCCTTTCCTGTTGTTTATTTGTTTGTTTTATTGTTTATTTTGTTTGGTTTTTTTCCCTTTTTTTAATGTATATACCCTTCAGGGTAGTTTATTCCCTCATTAAATGGCTACTTTTCTCTTTTATCCTCTAGAAAAAACACATTTCCTTTCTTCTGGTGTAGCTGAAATGATCCATTGGTGTGTATTTTATGGACAATATCTTCTCATCTGCACACTTTTCTGCTGATTTACATTTATGTTGGCTCCATGGAGAGATACAACCAGAAAGGGACTTTGTGGCATTGTTGGGATATCCACAACCCTGCCACTAGTCTACCATCAGCTAACTCCAGCCAAGGACAGCCAGGGGACTAGAAGAGGTGTTGCCTAACCCTCCTACCAGCAAAGCAATTCAAGAAGACAGTAACTAAAATAAGCTCTTAGAGGAGTTGTGCCTACACACCCTTATTTGACCTGCCCGAGGAGATTAGCTCAAAGCTGGAATGCACCAGTGGAAAAAGAACAGAAAGTGGAAAAAGCCTATGCCTGAAACTACCATTTTATAGAGTTAATGCAAGTTAACATCCACTCATACATACAGTAATACCATTAAGGTCATTTCTATCTCCAAGTAACAGCCTTTATCTAAAACCAGTTCAATATTCTTCATTCCTCCCAATGCTCCTGCCTCTCCCTTCTGGTTCCCCTTCTTTTCTCCTCTAACTCCCTGAGACACAGGAGTTTTTGTTTTTGTTTTTTTTCTGAGCTGATTTTCAATTCGATGAAGTCCGTTTCCATAACACTTTTAATATCTGAATAACCCATTCATCTTTACCCAAATTTCTTCACCTTCCAGGCTCCAGCTGCTCTGCGCTATCTGGTCAAGGTTCCCTACATTTCCTAATAAAGATGTGCATGTTAGGAGCAGTTACTGTGGCTCTTTAAAGTAAGAGCAGACTTCAGTGCTGTGGGAATAAAAGCAAGGTCTTTGGAGGGGAAGATTTATGGCTGAATCAACAAGAATTAAAAAGAGGACAACCCTGAGGAGAAAACCCAAGTTCTCCAAATTGACTGAATTGCCTTTTGTATCTCAAGGCTGAGATGATTATTTGTTTTTGCAAATAGAAATGCTATGTATATTAGACTCAAAACTGATAACATATTAGAGCTTTCAGCAAAATAAAAAATGTTTAACATGTCTAGTATAGAACCACATATCCAAACACTGATGAAATTCATATTACTCCTTACTCAACACAAATACACAACACATACCACAACCACCACCACTAACACACCACACCACATATACCACTGAAACCCATTCAACTACTATCTGAGACCCTTCATACCTGGGAAAGGAACCTACTCATAGTTGGGTGCCTTTAATTCTTCATCAGGCTTCAGGGAGATGGTAGTTTACTACTATGCATTCAAGAAATGGACCTGTGGAAAAGCAAGCTTTTCTCGCACATGAAGAATTAAATATACTGATAAAATAACATATTGACATATCACAGTTTTCACATTCTGTTACTAAGGACTTCCATAAAATCTTTCCATGTCGCTGGTCGAGAAATAGCAACTTGAGATTACAAAACTGAGTTATCCAGTCACCCAATGAGTCAGCAAGTAAACTAATTTGAACACTTCTGGTTCTTCAATTACCAAGCCTCACCTCCCCTGTAGAATCCAAAGAATCCCCATGTGAGGCCATTGTACCATCTATAGCAATTTCATAGCAAGCAGGCCTCTCTGCAGGATAGCTAAAGTTTCATATTTGGAAAGGCTCAGAAAAAAAATGTAAGCATTATACTCCTATAGTCAAAAACAAAAATCCCATGACATATGGTTTCATTGAGAAAATTACACACAGTATTTATTTAGAAAAAAATAATTTCAATTTATGAAGTTGTACTTTAGAAGGAAATAAATAATCATGTCACATTCCAATAGGACTACCTTTTGTCTGTCATTCATAGGGACATTTTCACAGGGCTAATAAAGCTCGCGGTTTTCCACTGAGCACAGAAACTGTTATTTTAAGATAAAAGTTAAGAGTAGTGTAGCTGAGATAATGCAAACTCCTATATGGTGATGTAATAATTACTCAGTGATATTATAATAAATTTAAACACATTGTAAAGAAAAATAAGGACTTTTGGGAGCCAAAATATGACAAACACTCATCAAAACCACAGCCTTATTTACTGATAACATATCTTGATATGAGAGGAGCAGGCTAATATCATAAACTCATTTGATACAAAGAGTCCCTGAGAAACAAAAGAGGCACAATTAACTTGTTCAGATGAGTTTAAGCTGCATTCAGGCTAATTTCCTGAATTCCCTCTTTTTTTCCAATTAGATATATTTTTATTTATGTGTTTGCAGAGTGTACAGTTTCAAACACACCAGGGGACTGTACCTAAATCATTTTTATAATATCATATTTAATGGGAAATTCAAAGTTGAATTATTTTAACATTGAATACAGAAACCCATTCATATGATTCTAAATACTTTTGGCATGAAATATAACTGTGTCATTGCTGAATAGTTAAAGGTAACAGTTTATTTCATATTATTAGATATAGCAGACCTGCCATTCCATTTCTATAAAATAAAAATGCATTATAATGTTTACATTGATTAATAATAATAACAATACATTAATAGTAGTAACAACATATTACCTAAAATCATTGGTAATAATGTCCTAGGGCAAGAAGATTGTACAAACCTAAGAACTAGATTTTCTTTCAAATCTTTCATCATACTCTTGAGAGAAAGACAGGGGAAAAGGCAAGAATTTCTTCCTTTTTTTTTTTTTTTGAGATGGAGTCTCACTTTGTCACCCAGGCTGGAGTACAGTGGTGCAATCTCAGCTCACTGCAAGCTCCGCCTCCCGGGTTCACGTCATTCTCCTGCCTCAGCCTCCTGGGTAGCTGGGACTACAGGCGCCCACCACCACACCCGGCTAATTTTTTTTGTATTTTTAGTAGAGACGGGGTTTCACCGTGTTAGCCAGGATGGTCTCGATCTCCTGACCTCGTGATCTGCCCACGTCGGCCTCCCAAAGTGCTGGGATTACAGGTGTGAGCCACCACGCCCAGCCTCCTTCTTTTTTAAAAAAAGAAAAAAACAGCAAGAAACAGAGGTATGCAAAGTCTTAAGTTCAAATAATTGACAAAGCCTCTTTCACACGGCAAGTTCTGATTATGACAACACCACCATAAACAATTATATAAATTGTGACACTTTAACTTGGCATAACAATTTACAGAGTACTCACAGACTGATTATCTTTCATAATTGTGTAGTCTCATTATGTATTTAACCAAAAATGATAATCCCTGGCACATTTCCAGGGCTGTCTATGAATGAGACACTGCGTTAAGTGCACTACATGCATTAATTAATTCTTACAACCCTACAAGGTAGGAATTAACAGACTCAGTGAAGTTAAGAAAATTTGCCCAAAGTTATATAACAAGTAAGTAGAAGGATCAGCCTCAAATCCAGTTTTATTTTAGAGTCCAAGCTCACAACTACTATATCATAATGCCATTGTTGAACTTTTAGGTTTCTCCTACTATTATACGTTTATAGGTACTGTCTTCCTCCCTCCAAAAGCTGGAAGTCAGCTAGTACCAATCAATTGAAAGGTTAAGTGAGTTGTTAAACAGTTGTAGTCAGACAGGGACATTGCTGGAATTAGAAGAGAGGCCCCAGGAGTCCTGTTCACTGTGCATCCTATTCTGACTAATTACCCTAAGAAGGCAAAGCCCTTTCAGATGTGAAACTGTCTGCCTTTCCAGCTTCTCCTCCCCCTGAAGTAGGTAATTCTCATACATTTGGAGCCTCATTTCAGGGAGAAAATACAGGCACAAGGGACTCAGTAAGTTTCCTCCAGGACAGCCAG
Organism: Homo sapiens; assembly: GCF_000001405.40. Lineage (NCBI taxonomy): Eukaryota > Metazoa > Chordata > Mammalia > Primates > Hominidae > Homo > Homo sapiens. The sequence goes on from NC_000006.12 coordinate 52,002,538, forward strand.
GTCAGGGGTCAATGGTTGAGTTTCTATACCCCTTTTCCCTAATCTAATAACTAGCTCAACCCTGCTTTCTGCAGCACTTCTCTCTGCAGGCACACAACCCTGAAGATGCACACTAAGTGGGTCTAAAAGGAAAAAAAGAAAGAAGGGAGAGAAGGAGAAGACAAGGAGGGAAGGGGAGGGAAGACAAAAGGGACAAAATTGTTTTTTGATTTCTGTAATAGGAGAAACAAAATTAATTAGGGAATAAAAAGTATTTTCAAATTAGCCTCTAAATAGCTATGTATATTATAAAGAAAATATTAAATTTGTCACATAGCTGGATTGCATGAATTTCCTAGAAGAATCTCCTTAAACAAAAAGTGGGGATAAAAATAAGCAGTGTGGTTTGCCTTTTAAACAGTAATCCAGTACAGACATATATGCCTTCATCCATCCATTCATCAAAGAGGAATCCAATATGAAGCTCACTCTCAGAGAGTGTAATGTCTATTTGGGAGTTTAAATATTTAAATAAATACATGTAATTTAAATGTAAAAGAGATAAATTTCTTAAAACAAGTATAATTAAGAACTATGGAATTTCCCAAGAGAAAAAAAATTCTTCAACTTTAAGAAAAGGAGAATCTTCCTAAGGGAGATATGCATTGAAGAGTCTAAATGAATTTTAAAATATAAATATTTTGGAAAAAATTATGATGACTTAAACATTAGGGTTGTCTGAGAGCTATTTTGTAGTCACTAGAAAAACAGACGAGATGAGAAACCTGTGGAGTCTTGGTCTTGTCAAATCAAGTAACACACTTAAAGACCACAGCTTTAATCAAAGTACCTTTAACTTAAGAAAATGATCTCTAGTACTAATGATAGTGAGCTGTGAACATGAGGAAGGTGCTACTCAACCACAATATTTATCTGCATCTCCCCTTTCCCTTCCTACTTGTGATCTATACCAGTTGCCTGCATTTCCTTGATACTCATATACTCCTTAACCCCCCAAAATCTGGTTTTTCTCCCCACCAATATTGTCCTGTGGCCTCAAATGTCACTAAGGACCTCTTTATTGCGGTATGTTTTGATTAGTCTCAACACACATTCCTTCAAACTCTTCCTTCACCTGGATTCTATGACACTACCACAAGAATTTTCAAACATACTGTTATCAGGAGAACCTTTCTTTCATATAAGATCTTGCCTAGAACTTCAACTGATTACCATAGCTTTATAGTAAGATTTAAAATCAGACTGTAAGTCCTCCAATTTTGTTCCTTTTCAAGATAGTTTTGGCTATTTTAGATTATTGCATTTCCATAATTTTTTAATCAGACTGGAAATTTCTACCAAAAAAACCTATTGAGATGTTCTATTGAAATTGCATTGACTTAAATGTTAATTTGGAATAACTGACATATTAACATTATTGAGAACTCCAATAATGGTTCTCTTTATGTTTCTTCTGCTTTGGATTCATTAAGCTTCTTAGATCGGTGAATTTGTAGTTTTCACCAAATTTAGAAAATCTTTGCATATTTATTTATTTAGATTTATTTTATTTTCTATCCCTTCTACCTCTCTTTTCCTTCTGCTACTCCAATGACACAAATATTAGACTACTTTATATTGACTTAGAGATTACTATCTATCCATTTTTTCCCTTTTCTTTCTGTTCTTCAGTTTGGATAGCTTTGATTGTTTTGTCTACAAGTTCACTGATCTTGTCTTCTGCAAGGCCCAATCTAATATTATCTAGTGAAATTTTCAGTACAGATATTATTTCTTTCAATTCTATAATTTTTATTAATTTTTGAAATAGTTTTCATTTTCCTGCTGGAATTTCCTATAACTTCTCTTGTTGCATCTTTGTTTTCCTTTAAAACCTTTAATATGCTTATAACAGTTGTTTTAAAGTCCGTATCTAGTACGTTTCAACATCTCTATCATCCATAGGTCTGTTTTAGTTGATTGCATATTTTGCTTTTTTTCTCAGGTTCTTGATTGTATGCTGGACATTGTGGATGCCATGTTCTTGAAGGTGGAGATTTTTTTATCTTCCTTCCTTTAAAGGGTGTTGAGCTTTGCTCTAGCAGACAATTAATTTACTGAAATAACAGTTTAATTTTGTTAAGCCCTGTTTTCAGGATCCATTCAGTGGGTCTAGAGTAGCTTTACTCCAGAGCTAGAATATTTTATTCCTAAAGTGTGGCCTTTCTGAGGTCTCAACTCAATGCCCTGGTGTTGAGTGGGGTTTCTCCACTCTAATCAGTCAGCATTTGAAATCTTCTAGTACTGTGCTGTTCCAAAGTACTCCCAGTACCTTAGAGGCTATGTTCACTTCAAGCCTCCCAGTAGCTATAGCCTGCTAGACCTCACAGAAATATACTCACTACATGATTGGTTAACTATTTGGCAAAGGACTCAAGGGACCCCTGCAGACTTCTAGAGTTCCTTTTTTGCACAGCTCCCTCCTCTCTGGTATCCTTCCCTGCAAATTCCACCAATATTAGCAGCCCTAAACTCTAATCTCTGATTGGAAACTGAGAGCACAGAGAAATGGAACCCAAAAAGAGTTTTTTGGGTTTCCCTGAACTCAATCTCAGACAGAAAGCCACATTCCTTGACTATTGAGTGTGTTGCCTCTCCATTCCCTCTGCCATTTCCCTGCCCCAGTTATCTCTCACCTAGCTGAGATGCTTCTACCTCTCGTCGGTTTACCAATCAGTTCATCCATACCTCACTGCCAGATTAATGTGACTATAGCTCACCTTTGATCAGTCACTGACTCCTTGGGGATTACTTGTCACCTGCTGAATCAAAGGACCAAATGCTTAACTCTAGATCACAATCCAATCCTAGCCCACCTTTCCAAACCTACAACTCACCATTCCCCTTCACACACACCATGCTCCTTGCTATTCCTGTGGGTTCTAGCCTTGCTGCCTTGCGCATGCTGGTTCCCCCACCAGAAATGCCTTTCCTCTGCATGCTGAATACCTAAACCCTGTCCTTCATAGCATAGCACAAATGCCACTGGCGTTAATAGAGCTTAGTTGGCTGCCCCACCTGAAGATGACCTTTCCCAACTCCGAGCCCCTACTCTGTGAGAGGGGAAGAGCATGGCATACACAACACTTCCCAGAGTGAAGGCAGCAGGACAGATGCCAGCCCCAAGAGAAATTCTGGGAATAAAGAGTTCCACAGGCAAAGTTTAGGTAACAGTCCACACCACAGCACTCCCTAGAAATCCACATTATGTATTCACGTATTGAAGGATCGCAAAAGTCCTTTGGTAGGAAAACCTACGTAACTTTTTTTTTTAATTTGTTTTGGTTTAAACTTTTATTGCCAACCTTGAAAAGCAACATATTAACCAGTTATCTTGTGATAAGAGGACAACTTGCCATTTTTCTTAGAATCTAGTAGGCAGTCCTGCGGCCCTAAAGCATGTGGGAGTGGCTTTTTGCTCACTTGGCTGTACCCCTCAATGGGAGGAAGCAATGGAAAGAAACGTTTAGCTTACAAACACATCAGGACCTCAAATTAAGTTGTTGAGCCACTTGATATTCTTTAACAAAGTAAGTACTGATCTTATCAATCTTCCCACACTGCCTCACGCCCTCCCATCTAGGTCACTAAAAAATTATATATATATATATATTTTAGACGGAGTTTTGCTCTTGTCACCCAGGCTGGAGTGCAATGGTGCAATCTTAGCTTACTGCAACCTCCACCTCCTGGGTTCAAGCAATTCTCCTGCCTCAGCCTCCCAAGTTGCTGGGATTACAGGCACCACCACGCTGGGCTGATTTTTTGGTTTGTTTTTTGTTGTTGTTGTTGTTGTTGTTTGTTTGTTTGTTTGTTTTGAGATGGAGTCTTGCTCTGTCACCCAGGCTGGAGCACATTCGCAAAATCCTGGCTTGCTGCAACATCCGCCTCCAGGGTTCAAGCAATTCCCCTGTCTCAGCCTCCCAAGTAGCTGGGACTACAGGTACCCGCCACCATGCTCGGCTCATTTTTGTATTTTTAGTAGAGATGGGGTTTCACCATGTTGGCCAGGCTTGTCTCGAACTCCTGACCTCAGGTGATCCACCCACCTTGGCATCCCAAAGTGCTGGGATTACAGGCATGAGCCACCACACCTGGCTGAAAAATATATTTTTTTAATTTTTTATTTCCGTAGGTTTTGGGGGAACAGATGGCATTTGGTTACATGAGTAAGTTCTTTAGTGGTGATTTGTGAGATTTTGGTGCATCCATCACCGGAGCAGTATACACTGAACCCAATTTGTAGTATTTTATCCCTCACCCACCTCCCACCCTTTCCCCTGAGTCCCCAAAGTCCATTGTATCATTCTTATGCCTTTGCATCTTCATAGCTTAGCTCCCACTTATGAGTAAGAACATACGATATTTGGTTTACCATTCCTGAGTTACTTCACTTAGAATAATCGTCTCCAGTTCCATCCAGGTTGCTACAAATGCCATTAATTTGTTCCTTTTTATAGCTGAGTAGTATTCCATTATATATACATACCATAATTTCTTTATTGACTCGTTTCCTGATGGGCATTTGGGCTGGTTTCATGTTTTTACAATTGCGAATTGTGCTGCTATAAACATGCGTGTGCAAGTATCTTTTTTGTATAATAACTTCTTTTTCTCTGGCTAGATACCCAGTAATGGGATTGCTGGATCAAATGGTAGTCTACTTTTAGTTCTTTAAGGAATCTCCACACTGTTATCCATAGTGATTGTACTAGTTTACATTCCCACCAGCAGTGTAGAAATGTTTCCTTTTCTAGTGTTCCAAGGTTCCCACACAAGGAATTCTTGAATTTGGAACAGGGACCTGGATTGTAGTCCTGATTAAGCACTTGTTGGTGCTGGTCTTCCCCACGCCCAGATAACCATGCATCATAATACTGGTGGCATGTTTTTCCCAGGCCAAGGTAGGGAAATTGTACATCCCAACATGGGTAGGGTAACCATGTATCACATATGTATGACAAGTTGTTCTGTTCCCAAGCCCAGGTAGGGTAATCACACACCCCAACAAGGGTGACATACTATCCCAGCATAATCATTCATTGTGAACCTTGCACTCTCAAAAGCATCCTGGTTTGGGTGATAAATTACATAGTCACTTAGTTATAAGCCCTCCACCTATAGACTTCATTATATCCAGTTCCTAAATCAAACCAAACCACCCTAACAAGAGTAGAATCTAGAATTAACAATTTTCCCATTATACAGAATGTTGTTTTTCTGGACTCCAGGCCACTGTGTGCCAGCCATAGTTATTTCCTAACTTCCACCATATTGATCCAGTCGATGCGACAGGACGTGTGCCTGAGACTCTTGTTCTATTCTTTAGGGTCCCATTGGAGCTAAACGCAGCCATAAGTTCAGACTGAGTTTGCCATAAATCCCTGCCATTGTTCCCTCGTGTGCTTCTGGCTACTTGATAGGGCCCTGCTCCCAATAGACTGTTCGAAACTATGACATTATCACTAACACTTGAGTGTAACACATCACATCTGAAACCTACAATGATGGTACCCATCTCCTCTTTACCCCCTCAGGACTGGAGTTCCCTACACACTGGCACTAGACACATTCCTAGTTCCTAAAGATTAAATGGCTTACTTCCCCCACAATGACTATAGCCACATGGGTTATGAGGCCAGATAACTACCGGTGTGACCTTTATCAACCACCCCTCATTATGAATCTCAGTTAACTCATCTCTGAAATGAACTGGCCGGTCTGTATGGCATCCAACATTCCACCCAGCTGTGATGAATTGACTCTATGTACCCTTTTTTGAAACTTAACTACTTCCACATAAGGCCTCACTTCCCAAATATCTCTTAAAAGTGGGGTCTCTTTCCATATATTTTTTAAATCTCCTTCAGAACATGGTAGAGAACCTTGAACATGGTTGGAACTCAAATGTATGTCACATAAGGATTTTTAAATGAGTGAGGCATTTAAGCCTAAAAAAAATCAAAATTAGACTTTGAGATGATGGGAAATTAAATAAATCTAAGAAGTGAAATGATCTGGTCAAAGCAGCAAGCACTATAGAAAAATAAATTCATATCATTTTCTAGCACTATGACTAGTGAACTAGCACTGCCAATAATGGCTAACATTGGACATTTACCATGTGTGAGATGCAGCTCTCAGTGGCGCACACCAACCCTATGAAGTGGGAACTATTATTGACCCTACTTTACAGATGAGAAAACTGAAGTACAGAGGGTTTAAAGAACCTGCCTAAAGTCCCCCAAGAAGCAAGTGATGTATTCAAACCCGGGCAGTCTAGCTCCAAAGTCCATGCACTTAAACACTAGGTCAGCCTGCCTCTCCCTCTTTCACAAGCATTTGCACATCTAAGCATCCCAACAACACCAGGTTATTACGCACCCAGCAGAAACTGAGGCCCAGAGAGGCTTAAAGATCACCCAGTGTCACACAGCAGTCTCAGCGCACTACAATACACTTTTGAAATGTCACTGACAGCTGACTGCTGAGAAACAGGCGCAGAATAAAGTGGAAGTGCCACTGGGGGTCAGCGGCTCTGGAGAGAATTAAAATTGGTAGTAAATTGAAAGGAAGAGGTGTTTGTGGGGGACACGATGAAGCGAGAAGTGACAGCCCCAGGCTATCACCTGAAGGGAAGGTCAAGGTGAGGGAGAAGCCTGCAGAGGCCACAGAGTGGACAGTTGAGGACCCAGGAGCATGGAAAGGTAGGCACGGAACAGTTTAGTAAGGACAGAAAAAAAATGTTGTTTGCCATCGCATACATTTTCAGCACCAGTACAAAAGTTATAGAAGAACACACATTTTGAAGCCAGGAAGCTGACTTTTGGATTAGGACAGTTTGACTGCAGCAGCATTCACAAGAGAATCTGGTACGGCGAGTGCCACATAATAGGCACTCAATAAATGTTTGTTCCAAATAAAAGAGACAAAAAGAGAAAAATCTGAGAACTGCTTTCATAAAGAGAAAGGCACCTAAGGGAGTAGGTGCTCAATAAATATTATTTTTTATCTTTGTGCCGTGAGAAGCCTGGGGAGCTGTAAAAGATTATCTGATCCATTTCCAAAGAGCCCTGAGCCTCTGATTGCAATTCTCGCAAATTCCCGGGGAAGGCTGTGGAATTCCTCTCTGGAGACTTACAAACATGCTTTTAGAAGAGCCACTTGGAGGGAGTGGTTTAGACAATTTCAAAATGGGTGAATTGAGGCAGAGAGGCTAGACCGAATGACCCTGAGGTCCTTTTCGTTTCTGATGTCCACGTAATCCCCTCAGAAGCTGAAGTTTCCACTCTGCTCCCCCATGGCACAGAGATGAACCGAATGGACCTGCAGACATTGCTGTCCCGCCAAGCTGAGGACGGCTGAGTGATTTGGAAGCCTTCCAGTAGGATCTGGTTAAATCGTAGGCCATTTATTTTGTGAAGAAATAAACCACAGAGAGCCCCTTTCAAACATGCATACAGAAATCAGGACAAAATGCCAAGCAGATTATCTGCTCAGAATTTGCTTTGAAAGAGCCCGGGCAACACTCATTTATTTTTGAGAAAATATATGATTAACCAGAGTTAACTATGAATTCAGATATTGTGCATTAGACCAGCTTCTCAAAGTTTGAGCACATTTAATATTATATATCGCTGCCATTTGGACTAAATTGTTTTTTTAATGTACACAATATTACAAATTTAATTTGAGCTGTTTGAATCAGTCTGTAAAAAAGATTTGATTATACCTGAGTGTTCTGGCCCCAGCGTTTCCGTATCTCAGTAATCTTGACGGTAATTGGCTGATTGGGCGTCTCACACTCCATCTCTGCCTCAGTTTCCATGGTAATGTTACAGGAGCTATTATAGATGAGAACTTCATCTCTTTCCAATTTAGGGCTGAAACGAGAGGGGAGGTTAAATGGGGTGTCATCAATCTTAATGAAATGCAATTATTTTTACTCTTATTAATCATTGCAAGCCATTAGCTTGTGGCAACTACAGGCCACCATTTGTCAAATTTTGCAAATTTCTGTAATTTTGTTTCCATTCTTTTATTGTTTATTTGTTTTTCCTTTTATCTGCACACCCTGCAATGAAAATGCACCATGGTAAATATCTTTCACTGAGGCCTTTCTCTTTTCCGAATCTATTAAAAACATTAGCAAAAGCTACTCCTAGCCCAGCTTAACAAGAAATGCAGGGACAATACTTCCAGTTCCAAAAAGGGTAACAAACGTCTGGGAGAGTTTTTGTTTTTATTTTTTTTCTTTTCCCCTTCCCTCTTCCTGCTCTTACTCATACTTAGTGTTGGGGGAGTAATTGCCTGAATCCCCCTAGGGCAGATGGAGAAATTGGAAAACCCACACAACTGGCTAACTGGTCCCTAATTCCAACTGTGAAAAAATGAGCTCATTTAGGCTTGCAATTCCCCCTTCCCAGCTGATGGCAATGAGGCTCTGTTGCTAGCAGTGGAACATTAACTTAGTAAATTAATTAAACTTACTTAACAGCCCAGACTAAGGAGATTCAATATATGTGCCAGTTATACTACCAGCCACTCGCTTTAAAAGTCCTCTTGCTTTAAGGGGAGAAGCCAGACTGGATTTAAAATAAAAAACAGCAGTGTAGCATTACAGAAAGTCTAAAAATATGCCATCTAGAGGTGAGGACATGGATAGTGAAGGGTGTCATCCTCAACAGGTGTGATATTTATTCAAGAATCATCCTGGCTGTAGGCATTTTTGCAACTAACTCAAAAATTATCAGTAATAATAATGCATGATGTTTCATATTTGTCAACAATTTCACATGTATGATCTCATTTCAGCCTATAAATTAGGAAGAGGTGTAAAAAGTGTAACCCAAAGAGATCAAGAGATTCTCAGAAAGTCAAACACAGAACTACGGTAGCTCCGAGGTCAAAACCAGATGGTCCTGTTTCCCAGAGCAGTGCTCTCAAGTTTTGAAATGCTGATTGAACATCAGCCAGGAAGATGGCAGATCCCATGGGAAGACCAGGAAGGGTGGAGAGAAGGGCAAAAAGGTCACCACTTGAGAAACTGTACACCATGTCAAACCCTACCATCTTTTTTCAAATCAATGTCAAAATGTTTTCTTCCACAATTTTCTAGAAATAATGAGCAGGATAACTAGTACATCTCACCACTTAATCTTCGCTTCTTCATGCTAAAATATTCTCCACTCTGTATCTACCTAAGACATGACTTCCAAACCCACAGTCCTTTAGACCTAATAATGTAGACTGTCAATATGTTAACATCATGCCACCCATATCTGAACGCAGATTGTTTGGGCTGACCACTGGGACTCCGGTCTGCCTTTATCTGAGCCTCCTTCTCACGGTACCTGATACTGTGTTCATTTTGAAGGCCACCGTGCTTATACTTAGATAGTGGTCAATTCAAAGTCTCAGAGCTGCAGCTTTCTGAGGATTTCACCATGGTGTGTTTGTTCAAATGATTTTCTGAGGAGCACTGGCATGTAAAGCTTAGGCTCAGAAGCAGATCAGCTGGATCTGAATCCCGGGGCAGATGGTTACCATCTACATGACATTGAAGACATTACTTCACTAAGCTTTGGTTTCCACATTTATAAAATGGAGTTGCCAATAATCAAGTACCTATTTTGTGGAGGTGTTGAAGAAACTGAGCAAAATGAAGCATATAAATAGATTAGCATGGAACCTGGCACACAATACGAATCCAATAAAGGCAGCTCGCGTTATAGCTGTTGGAGGTAGTAGTTTTAGTAGCATTATTGTTAAAAATGTAAATGTGGAAATTTACATTTATTATTGTTACATATCTCTCACTGGTTTAGACCTGTTGCTCAAATTTGTTTTGAATCTGTAGCCTGCTATCTAGCTGTAAATCCATTCGCTGATCCTTCGTCCACAGGGCAGACAAAGTCACAGGATAAATCCATCCTTTGCTCCTGGAGCATCAGTCGTATTCCAAGATTCAGAAAGGAAAAGCAAAGTAATTTAACTTTTAAATTAAAATGCAATGTAATATTTAGATCAATACAGAAATGTGATGGAATCAAATGCAAAATTCACGCAGACTTTTAAAACACCTCACTTCAGAGCAACTTGAGGCTTGCATCAGGCCACTTTGGGCTTTGCACCTAGAACCTTTTTTTGTTACTGGGGGTGGAGAAGTGGTTGGAATAGTTTGTGAAGGTCTCCCGCTATGTTTATATCATAAGTCACTTATAAACCTATCAGAAAGGAAATGAAGTTGGTTTCCCACACCATCACATTCTTCGTAAATCGGTTTCCAGATGGCTACTTTCATTTCTGAAGGCTCACAAACTATCTGATGAATAGTTCATTCTAGAATTTTGTCAGGGATAACACCAAGCTTAGTTGTCTAAATTTCCAGAATTCCTCCTCTTTTTTTTAGGTTCATAGAATATCTGCCCATCACCTCTGTTATGTGACCCCTTCTCATGGTTCATTGCCAGCAATAGGTCCTCAATCATAAGAGTGAGTTTTTTGTACCCAGTTTATGAATGATCTGAGACTACAGACTTGAACTCAAGGAAAGTAGTGACCAACTTCCTTCTACATCCTTTCTTGGCCTTGGGCTTCCACTTGCCTCATAAACCTTCTTATGCCCTTTCCTGACTCTTCGCTGGCAGAGGTACAAGTAAAATGGGCTGAGTCACTCTACCCTCTGTTTGCCTGTTAGGAACACACTGTTTTCACTAAGCATGTTATTCTTGCTCTGAAGAGAATTAAACCCCTTTCTGTTAGCTTGGACTTTTTGTTTACCAGCTTCAGCTCACACTTTTTTCCATATTTGTAACTACCTTGCTAGAAATGTTTTTCATTAAAAAGCCATCACCAAAATTAGCTGAGACACCAGGATATCCAAAATAGGTTAACATTTACAAAATTTCAAAGCTTCTAAATAGCTAGCTACTCTTCCATGGTTTCTTCCACAATAATCCTATGAATTAAGAAGCACAGTTGGCCATATTTAAATATAAATATAAGCATATATATATGCAACATAAGCATATATAGACAGAGAGATCAATATATGTACAGATACAGATACAGATATACATGCATACACACTGCACACACACACACATATTTACTTTGGGGGATATGGTTTAAAATATTGGGTAAAAATGGTGGCAAAGATTGTTCTAGTATCTAAGACTCCTGACTCCCAAACTATTGTTCTTTAGTTGATCTGATTAGATCCTAAAGTAAGCAAGTAACCTTGGCTGTGCTCCTTAGGATAGGTAGGGAAAACAATTTGCAGGCATTTTCTCTCCCTCACTTCCCCTGAAGTTGCTTCCTGTGGCTCTGAAACCTCACTGAACCCACAAAGCTCAGCCAGGGCTCTCACACTGAAGCTGCCAGCACAGCATTGCACTAAGCACACTGCATCAGAAGCCTTGAGTTCCAGTCTCAACACTGCCATGGCTTGACTGTGTGACTTTGGGAAATTACTTAATCTTCACTTAGAAGAGAATCCAAACTCTTTACTTTGGCCTTCAATGCCTTACATATCTCTCCGAGCTCATCTGGGGCCACTTTTCCTCCTTCTCAGTCTACTCCCACCCTCCTAGCCTCTGAACAGTCATAAAACTCGACAGTTCTTTTGCATTTGCTGCTGCCACTGCCTCACCCTCCATAAAGACACCTGCTTCTCTTCGTAACATAAAAGACTTCTTCAGAGAAGCCTCCTCTGAGTACACTCTCTAAAGTAGCCCCCCTTTATTTTTCTATCACTTTATAGCACTTATCACAACACGTGATCATCCTGTTTATTATCTGACTTTCTTCTCTACCCTTAAGGGGCAGGGACTTTCATGACATCCACGAATGAGCCACCAGTACCTGTCACAACACCTAGAACAGAGTAGGGATGTGATCAATACTGGATAGATGGATGGATCATGGATGGATGGATGGATGGATGGATGGAGAGATGGATGGATGGATGAATATACTGGATAAACAGATGGATCATGGATGGATGGATGAATGGATGGGTGGATGGATGGATGAATACACTGGATAAATGGATGGATCATGGATGGATGAATGGATTGATGGATGGATGGATAGATGGATGGATGGATGAATATACTGGATAGATGGATGGATGGATGGATGGATGGATGGATGGATGGATGGATGGATGGATGGATGGATGGATGAATATACTGGATAGATGGATGGATCATGGATGGATGGATGGATGGATGGATGGATGGATGGACGGACGAATAGACAGGGTATAATTTTTGCCACAGATGCACTTCTCCCTTTGCCAAATGACATCAAACCCCATAGATGTTGTGGATGGCAGGGAGATACAGCATTGTGTTCCCTGGAAAAACACATAAAAACTCAATGAAGAAAATAAATATGGTCAGTACTCCAACCACCTAGAGATAGGCACCATCAACATTCTTGGATACATCTTTCCAGCCTTTTCTCTAGTAACCTATGTGTGTACAAACATATACACTATATACAACAGTAGGATCAAATTGATATACTCTTTTGAGACCTGTGATTTTCACTTCTCAATATATTATAAATATTTCCCTGTCTGGTTAAATATTCTACATCCTAATTTTTAAAGGTGACTTAGTATCATATCATTTGGATACATTCTTTATTACTAAAACTTGTTTCATTGCAAATTTTTTTTGATACCTGAAACTTCAAAGAACATGATTGTTATAAATATTACACATTTCTATCTACTTTCTTAAAATCCTAAAAGAGAAATTGCTGGGTCACAGAGTATAAAGAATTTAAGGTTATTCGTGAATCGGCAAATTGTCCTCTGACGATTGCATTACCTTACCTTCCCACTGGCAAAAAGACCGCTGCCAGTTTCCCCCACTCTCATCCCCATTAAACTTTGTTTGTTTAAATCATAGGGCACTTATTATAATTCTTACTCAAGAAAACATACCCACTTTTGGCCGAGTGCAGTGGCTCACGCCTGTAATCCCAGCACTTTGGGAGGCTGAGGTGGGCAGATCATGAGGTCAGGAGATCGAGACCATCCTGGCTAACACAGTGAAACCCCATCTCTACTAAAAATACAAAAAATTAGCCGGGCGTGGTGGTGAGCACCTGTAGTCCCAGCTACTCAGGAAGCTGAGGCAGGAGAATGGCTTGAACCCGGGAGGCAGAGCTTGCAGTGAACCGAGATCTTGCCACTGCACTCCAGCCTGGGCAACAGAGCAAGACTCAGTCTCAAAAAAAAAAGAAAAAAGAAAACATACCCACTTTTGCCTACTGCAATAGCCAGAACATTGAGCAGCACTATTGAAATGATATTCATAGGTAAAGCTATACTGTCAATGCGTTCTGAGGCTCAGTTGCTTCAGCCATCCCATACAATGAAGAGGAAGAGCATGGAAGAACCCCAAAGAAGAGTTTTGGGGATTCAGATGAAGTCCCTGAATTCAATGGAGCCAGGACCTACTGACATGTACTTCCTGGTGTCCAGCATCAGTAAGTTCTGAAATCCAGTCTCACCTGAGTACAATACCCAGCACTCCATTTCCTGTGTGAGCTAAACAGAGTTCTTCTTGCCCTTTTAGAAAGCAACCAGCCAAGGAGGTTCCTCTTTTCCTCCAGCTAAACCTAAACCTCTGGTGCCAAATTCACACTAAAACACAAACTGTCTCAGGACATCACAAAGTCAGATGCCATGAAAAGAGCTGGTTATCTCTTTCACCGTGGGGAAGTGGTCTTGTTTAGTTTCATATTTTATAAGAAAAGAGGCGGGGCACGGTGGCTCATGCCTATAATCCTAGCACTTTGGGAGACCAAGTCGGGTGGATTGCTTGAGCTCAGGAGTTTGAGACCAGCTTGGCCAACATGATGAAACCCTGTCTTTACTAAAAATACAAAAATTAGCTGGGCGTGGTGGTATATACCTGCAATCCCAGCTACTGGGGAGGCTGAGGCATGAGAGTACCTTGAACCTGGGAGGCAGAGGTTGCAATGAACCGAGATCATGCCATTGCACTCCAGCCTTGGCGACAGAACAAGACTCTGTCTCAAAAAAAAAAAAAAAAAAAGAAAAGAAAAAGAAAAGAGACCTTCATTAGATAATCAAAGGTAGCCACTCTATCTACGTAAGACATAAAGAAGTTTACATGACAATGTTCAGTCATGAGACACTGCCCTGTATAGGAAAGGAACTCCTTGCTGAAATGAAAGCAATCCAGAATTACTAGCATGGTCACACTTCTTTTTTATTTGTTTAGAAAAGGGGGGTTAACTTGGAAAGTTGTGGTGTTTATTTGTCAGCCTCTTTTTTAAGTTAAAAAAATGCTTATACGCTTATGGCTTCTAAATCCTAGATCTACAGTAATTCCGCCTATGCAACCCTCCTTCTTTTGAATAAACATTGTACAATCTGCTGGATTTCTCTATGGCTTTTTTTCATACTTGTGAATCTGTTTGGAAAGAAAAGAAAAAGGAAAGCGGGGAAAAAGCCTTCTGTTTTTCATAACGTCTAATCTTTTTCCCCATTGGCATTCACCAGATGTTGCTTTGGATCGGAAGATAAATATTAAAATCTAAGCAAGAACAAAGCGAGCTGTTTACTGGGCAGATTTTTCAGATGTTCTCTTAAACAGTTGAAAAAGACAGGAGATGCTTTGATATGCAGGCTGGCTGGAATCCACAATGGAATGGCCCCTCCAAGAGAGTTGTAGCCCTTACCACGGCTGCCAGGCCACATCCACCCAGCCTACACTCTCTGATGGCTCCATCGGTCCATTGGCCAAGCATTTGTGGGGAAGTTCAGGGAGGGAGAAGGTAAAGTTACCTGATAAAGAGGCCCGAGAATGATGGAAACATTGACTCTGCCCAATGATCTGGCACAAAGAGGCATTGGGAACTTTCCTCGCAAATGTAGAGGTAAGGCCACGATTCAAGCAGTTGCTCTGTCGCCATGGCAACTGTCAAATCACACTGCACATAGGTGTGTCTGGCAGCCTCACAGCTGTCCTCCTCACGCTTCAGGCCACACAGGAAGGCCAAGGACACTGCAGGAAACAGTCACCATTAGGAAAGAACCACAGAGAGAACCTAAGGCCTCTAGTCGGTTTCACAAATGAAGTTCCTGTGTCCTCCTTTGACCAATAGGAATATGAAGTTAGCAGTTTACTTTTTTTAAAATGTATTGTATATGTGTAATGTACACAGAAAAATACAAGTATCATTTTTGTAAAATATGAATAATCATCATAAAAAAAACTCAAGTGAATTTCCCAGCCAACATAAGATATAAAACACTTATAATACACTTAAATCTGTGTGTTTCTCCCCAAGTTCGTCCCTTTCCTCCTCATTCTCAGAAATAACCACTTGGCATTTTTTAAATAGTTTTATCACAAACATTTGTATTCCTAAACAAGAGATTGAGTTTTCCTTGTTTTTGAACTTTATAAAATATGATACATGATAAAATATTCTTGGGTCTGATTTTTTCATTCCATATTATATTTTCAAGATTTATCCACATTACTACATATAACTATTGTTAATACATTTTCACTGCTGTTCAATATTGTATTGCATGAAACTACCACAATAAATTTATCTATTCTCTTATCAATGAACTTTTTGGTATTTCCTAGCTTTTGCTACTAAAAACGTACAAAATTTCATCTAGGGTGCATGCCTATCAAGAAAATTTCTTATTCAAAGAGTAGGTACAAGTTCAGCTTTACAAGATAGTGCCATATTGTTTTCCAAAGTAGTTGTGCCATTTTGTATTCCTACCAGCCATATTTGTAAGTTCCCATTACTCCATATAATTACAAGCACTTGAAATTATCAGACTTTTAATTTTTGCCAATCAGGTGTGTAAAATGGCATTTCACTGTCGTCTTAATCTGCATTTCAATCATTACTTTTAGGTTGACCAATTATTATTATTATTATTATTTTTTGAGACAGAGTTTCGCTGTGTTGCCCAGGCTTGTGGCACAATTTCACCTCACTGCAACTTCCGCCTCCCGGGTTCAAGCAATTCCCCTGCCTCAGCCTCCTGAGTAGCTGGGACTACAGGTGCACACCACCACACCCCGGATGATCTTTTGTATTTTAGCAGAGAGAGGGTTTCACCATGTTGCCCAGGCTGATCTTGAATTCCTGAGCTCTGGCAATCCACCTGCCTCAGCCTCAAAAAGTGCTAGGATTACAGGCATGAGCCACCGTGCCTGGCCAAGTTGACCAACTTTTTTATGTTTGGTAACAACTCATGTTTTCTCTTCTGTGAAATTCCTGTTTCTCTCATTTGCCCATTTTTCTATTGGGTTGTTTGTCTTATTGACTTGGATAAGTTTATGAATTTCTTGATTTTCACATAATTATAAACATTAGCATGTTATAGAGATAAAAAGCAAGTATTTGAAGCATGCTGACTCTCAGGCCATTTTTTTCTGAGTCATGACCCACATATAAAAAGCATCATGAGGCAGACTGGGAATGATCTTTAACTAGAAGATGAACAAAGCTCCACATGAGATGGTTTAGGAGCAGCTCTGTCTGAAAACCTTAATAAAGAGGGAAAATTTAAAAAAATCTCTGTAGCCTGCTTCCTCTGCAGCAAGCCTGCCCATGTGGGTAATGCAACAGAGGTTATCAAGGGCCGTGGGCTTAGACCTGTGCTTCCCCGCCTCATTACAGTGCTGTGGCAAGGGTTACATGAGATAAGTACGTGGGGGAGGGTTTGTAGTTATGCAATCATGCCCAAATAGTACTATTGTTGCTGTTATATTCTAAAGCACCTGGCACCTAGGAGGTTGGCTGTGAATGTGTTTTGAATGAATTAGAGCAATAAAAATGACTGACAGTAGGACTCTTGTATGAACAGACAAAACATAAGAACTTTCCAGTTAGTAAGCCCTAAGGCAAATAAAAACAAGCTCCACACCTATAAAATAATGAATTCATTAAAGGTGATTAAGTAGATGCAAATTGACAAGCAGGATTATGAAAATCACCCAGGGCTGGGGATCAAAATCTATGGGTTTTACTCAAAGTTCTGCCACTAAATAGCTGCGTGACCTTAATCACTTTAGCTTTCCATGCCTTATGGAAAAGTTAAAGTTTCCATGAAAATGTCATGTGGTATAATTCAAGGTATAAATGCAAGAAAGCCAAAGATCAAAGATTTTGCTCATTTTAAACAAACACAAAGTATTAGTTTCACCTAACAGGATGTTTTGGCAACTCATTACAAGAAAAAGGAAATTTCTCCTATGGTTAGAAGTACAGTTTGTGGGGATGGTAAAAATGGGTGACCTCCAAAATAGCAAAAGCACATTTGTAGAGCCCCCTGCTTTAACTCCCCCTGCCCCACACATGTAAAGAAAACATATTAGTTCTGTGGCACAGGCATAAACAAAACAATAATTAAGAACGTTTGAGTTCAGGGTCATTATCTGTAACCTGGAATGTGAAACATCACTCTATGGTACAAAGTCAAACTGAAGAAAAAAACTCAAAGCACGGGTCAGAATTCAAAGCGACCTTGGTAAATGAGAGAAGTTAACAGAAATAAACAAAAGAACAAATGAAAAGAGTAAGACAGTAAACTACAAAAGAAAAAAAGAAATCATATAAATATGAGGAAAGTCCAGCTGTGCACAGCCATGGTAGAAATGCGTGCGTGCACACACACACCCCTTGGGATAACAGTAGGTAACAGAAAGCTTATTAACCAGCAAGACTGCAGTATAATTGTACAAACAAACATGGGATCAGACGATACACAGGCATCTTACGATGCTACCCAATTTGGCCAGAACTTGCTTGTATAGAACAGCTTCCTCATTTGGGGCTTCAAATTAGGAAAGAATATAGGATTTCAGAGAGGGCTGAAAAGTGAGATACTAAAATGTTTACTTGGAAAGTTTCTGATTCAGTAGGGCCCAAGAATTCACATTTCTAACAAGCTCCCGGGTGAGGCCCTTGCAGCTACTGCTCTGGGAAGCACACTTCCAGAACTGCTGCCATAGAGGAACTAAGAATACTCCACTTTCCAAAGAACCACCCGCTGATTAAGGTTGAAAAAATTAGAGTAGGGGAGCATCCATTAGGCAGAGGATGGATTTCTCTGAAAAGAGCAACTGCGAAACACTTGTAAGGGTTGCTGCTGGGAAATTCTCCCCTGAAAAATCTTTAAAAATACAAGTGATTTTTAGCTAACTTGGTTGTACTCAATCCTGTCTGAAAATGGAGAAATTAGTAGTAGTTTCTAGTAATGTCTAAGACCTATCCCCTTTGACATTTGATGTCCATTATAGACCTACTTCCTAGGGAAAAAAAAAAAATACACAGTCATACACTCAAAATGCTTCATCCAGTTTCAGCGGGTTAACAGAATCCCCAAATCCCATCTTGGATCTTAAGTAAGAAACCTCTGGAGTTGGCTCTCACAATTTCCTCTCAATCTTTAGACATTGTGATTGAAAGTCTTTTAAAAGACTTTTTTATGAAAGGAAAATTAGTTAAATTATGCATTCCTCTAGAGTAAATGTGTGCCTTGCACAATCAATGAGTGTTTGGTGACACCTAGTGGCCATATAAATAGTTACAGTTTCCAACTAATTTTCCTCTTTAAAAAATCATGGAATGTTGAGTTCTTTTCTAAATCTTTCTAAACACAATAATTATTTTATTATTCTTCCCCAAGAAGTTATAAAACTTAAAATATCACAACTTACCTGATCCTGAAACATCATTGATTTTTATCTTATACTAGTTGAAATTAAGTGTTTTGAAATAATAACACGGGGCTTTTAAAAGTATATTAATTTGAGCAGTGTATATATGAAAGCTTTTTTAAAAAATGTAGCAGTATTAGTTAAAAATTAGAGCCTATAAATGTGCAGTCTTAGCTTTCTGTTTATGCTATCTCTCATTTATTCCTCACCAAGCACTAATTTTGCACATACCCTCTGCAACACTGTTCCTAGCAGAGGAGGTAGAGCAGTGAATCAGACAATGTTTTGAACTTCAATCTTCTATTGTATCTTAAATTTCCCATTGTGGACTCTATCTCTCTTCCATAATGTGTTTATATACATGATGATAATAGGAAACTCAATTTCTAGCATTTTAACAAAAATTTTTTTCTCCTCCCCTTCTTCTTCCTCTTCCCTCTTCCCCCTCCTCCTTCCCCTCCTTCTCCTCTTTGTATAAGACAACACAGCACAAATTTCCATCACAATAGCATTATCCATCATTAAATTCTCATCCAAGCTCAGATGATGTGGTGCTTTTATCATTTTGTAAATCTTTAGCCCACATTCAAGTTGCAGACAAATAAATTAGGAATAAAACTTAAACACTACACAGAAAGGAGGTATGTAAACGGTTAAGTGCACAGGTACAAGATTTATGATTAGGCAAATAAGGTAATCACCTGGCTAAATGTGAGCTATCTCAAATGTAGTAAGGTCCTGTAGTAATAACAGTAATTTCTTCCTTTTGACTTTATTTCCTGAAGCTCAGTGGGGTATTACCATGTGTTGTGAATCCCCAAGCTTTGCAACTTACTCTCTCATCTCTTTCCCCACAAAGACACGGCTTCTCATACCACAATTTATATGATCACTACGCAGCTTAAAGTAGTGAGCAATTGTGGTGTTTTACTGAATAAGAAATAAGTAATTATGTGAGTATTGCAAAACAAGAAGACAACATGAGTGTTGGCTCTTTTGCCTATAATAAGAAACCGAAAACTGAACACACAAAGCTAATTTTCAAGTGATATCCAGCTTGAAAATCTCCATCCCTTTACTGGTACCTCCAATAAGCAGATGTCTTCAGCAACCTCACCTCAGAACAAAGCCAAGAGCTTGTTTCCTCCATGACTCCTATAGCTGTCATTGAAACTAATATTCAGAATTCAGAATTACTTCCTCTGTCATCCTAAGACTGCAGTTAAGAACACAGGTGATAAGTGTTTCAATATTCATCTAACATTGACATATTAATATGACAAAAGTTATGATGAATCATTTTAACAGGTGGCCTCAGATTCTAACTATCATTTTAGATGAGGAGTAGAGAAATTCTTTTCCTAGGCACACATAGAGAAATTAGTAGTCAGTACAGCATTAATCACAAAAATAGAATTAACCAAAGAATATCATTTCCATATATATGCTTTAAAATATATGTGTGTGGCATCTTTACTCACCATCCAGGGGCAGAACCAAGCAGCTGAAGGCAGACACTGTAGCATTAGCCAGGACTCGGCAGGGAGCACCACACACAGCAGCTGAGACATTCCCTGGAGAAAATCCCGCTCCAAACACATGCACCAGCCTTCCACCCAGGCAGCCTTTAAAGACAAAGGTACAAGTTCTTGATCATACAGGCAAATCTCCCTTCTTTACTCAACTCAAAATTCAAACATTTGCTTCCTCACTACCCATTCTTCTTTTCACATCCTCAGAATCCGCACAACTGGCTTGAGGTGGCTGCTGGCCTCAGTTTCCTCTCCACTTAGGCTCTGGCCTTGTCTGACTCCAATCACATTCAATATCCTATTGTGTTAAAGAGGTTTTTTTTTAATGTAACAATTTTTATATGGAAAATTAATGCTTATTTATAGTTTTTAAACTTTTTATTCAAAGAGCCATAAAATGAAAATAAAAATTCCCCCAACCATCTGACTCCCTCCCCGGAGGTACCCAGGTATAGAGTTTCTTATGGCTCCTTCCAGAATTTTTAAGCATCTATGTTTCTGATTCAAAGCATTATTCTATCCATATTATTCTGGAACTTGCTTTTTTGCTTCAAAGTATAGCATAGATGTTTTTTCAAAACTCTATGGATCCAGTTCATTTTAGTAGCTACTTAGAATTCCATTATAGGGCCCTGCTACAATTTATTTGACAATTTTCCTATTTATTGAAATTTCCATTTTTTCTCCTCTTTTGCTATTGTTAATAGTGATGCAATAACTGTACATGTTTTGGGACATTTGTATGAGTAAAACCAGTCCACATTTCTAGTTTACACTGAGATACAGAGTTCCCCTCACTACTGCCTTCATACCAGGTCTAGGTGGTACTTAGCCACTTGACTAACTCAAAAATAATGCTTTTGGTTTAAGATGCATTTCTTATTTCCCTGCTCTTCCATCATAAAAAAACATGGAATCTTAGGGAGTAGTGCCTTTATCAAATAAGGAAGCTGAGTCTCAGAAAAGTCAAGCATAAATTAGCAAAATTAGTGATAGACTAGAGCCAAATCCTAGTCCCCACAGTGTTCCACCAAGCTGAGACCAAATTTTTTCTAAGAAATGTCTTAGTTAGTACTCCAACAGTCTAAGATTCTGTTTCTATAGTTTTTTTCCTTACTTTCTAAATCACAACCAAATTTGAACTATCTCAAGTGCAACAAGGCTTTAAGTGAATAGAAATTGAAAGCTTTTCTTCACTGGAGGGAAAGGCTAGGCAATTTTTGGTATATCTAAACGGAGAAAACAGTCCAACCAATTTAATTGTTCTGTGCATTTGGCTTATTATTGTTGAAATATGAGTCCACCTGTGAAATATTACAAAATGATAAAAATTTAATCATACTTAATAAATTTTAAACAACGCAAATTGGCAGATAGGGTCTAAAACTAGGTGAAGGCATTTACGTTCTTAAATGATCAAATTATGAGCTCTTACAAATGGTGTTATTTAATTTAAAATACAAATCCAGTTAATGCATCAAATTAAAATACAATCAAACATTTAGAGAATATGCACAGTTTCCTTGATAAAAATAAAAAAAATCTTCATAAACAGAGCATAACAAAGACAAGCCTCAGGAAGGAATTGGGATTGTAAGAAGCCAGTGGGCTTCTCTTTCCTTCCATCAGGCAGATTGTGTTAATTTTCTACTTTCCAGAAGTGAAAGGAGCTACCAATTCATTTACATAAAGAAAGTGTGCTGTCTTATTTGCTTGACTTACCGAAGTTCTCCGTCACTGCTGTAATAATAACTCTTGAGGTGAACACCAGGGCAGATGAGGCCCACCCTCTGATGCAGTCATAGCCTCTGACGTGGTACTCCCCGGCCGGAAGGGAAGGGACCACGCACTGAAGAACGGTGTGGTTACCAGAGACACCCACACAGGGTGACATTCCTATAAAAATGTCAATGTTTGCAGCTCCTGAGATCTGGGCCACTGCAAAGGTTAAGATGTCATCGCTCTGAGAAATAGAGATCAATTCTGGGGTAAAGGCCTTGTTATAACCAATGACTCCTATGTGATACCAAAGTCCATCTACCTCTATTTCCAGGGCAACAGAGCCATTCCCTGTGGGAACAATGCACCGGATGAGCTCAGCACCGATGTTCACCGTCAGGCAGGTCTGCTGGTCAATATAGACTGACGTGGTGTTCTGTCCTCTCAGGCCTGTGCCCTCTATGGTCAAGAGGCTTCCACCATGTAAGCTGAAATTCTTAGGAAAATAATGAAACACTTGGGGCATAATGTAGAAGTGTCTGGAAACATTACCAGAACAAGCATACCCATTTCTTGTATAAAAAACTGACAGGTAGTGGGGTCCTGGGGCCAAGTCTCTTGTCTGGCACACAACGTGGCTTGCATTAAAAAAAGTTACATTGCAAGGAAGTTGATCATCCACAAATACCATCGGCTCATCAGCTGTGGTGGCTAACCTCTGACCCCTAATCAGCACAGTGGTCAGAGACCCACTGGTGTTTGTGGACAAGGCATCCATGACAGGACTTGCCTCTTCCCTTATGAAAAGAGTGCAATTCCCCTGACACTCGCTGGTTAGCCCATTGACCAGGACTGTGACGTTCAGGGAGAAGGAAGCTCCAGGCAAGGGGTCACCCTCCAGGCTAACCTGGCAGAGAATGGTGTGGTCTCCCAAACTCAAAATCACACAAGTAAAAGGACCCGAGAGGTCAACCCGAACTGACCTCCTTCTAGAGTTAAGAAGCAACCCCCTCACAGTAAGTATGGTCCCACCACATGCCGAACCCTGCGATGGGAAGATGGCCATTATCCGAGGCATCACTGCAAATTGCTGGAGCACCACAGACATATTAGCAAATCCCATCTGCTTCTGACGTACTTGGAGAGGATAGATGCCAGCCTCCAGACTGTGAAGAGGGATGGAGCATCCAGACAGGCTCACGTTGCCCTGGAAGGACTGTGTCTCAACATCACAGTTCAGGTTCCCCAGAAGGATGACTGAGTTGGAGAGGTTACTTCCTCCCACATGCAGGCTCAGGCTGCTATTTGTGATTTCTCCTTGCATGGCAGTGACTACTGGTGTTGCTGCCGCTTCATACATGAAGGTGAAGCCTTTCCCCACCAAGCTTGGTGAAGGACCACGGGCGAAGAACCTGTTGCCAGCCCAGACCTCCACGGCAGCTGGAACAGTGGGAGCGCCCGCATCGGGTATCTGGGGGGCTGGCAGGGTTTCACACCAGATGCTCGCCTCCGTTAAGTTCACAATGTCACAGGACCGATTGCCCACAAGTACCCAAACCAAAGCTGGGTCCCTGCTGAAGCCTATTCCTGAGATGCTGAGGATGGTCCCTCCTAAAGTATGAATACGGAAAGCAAAATATTATAGCTGATATTCTGAACTAAGAATTCATAGCACCTGTGGAAGTCCTAGGTCAATTAAGTGGAAGGTAGGGCATGTGTTAGTGAAACCTCAATTATTTTTTCTCACCCCCACCAAAGCTAAATTTGTGATTATTTAGACAGGAGTCAGATGTGGTAAATTCACATAACAGTAAAATAATACAAATTGTTATATAGGAAGGACGTCTTCAACACAAACTTTTCAAGTACCTTTGTATATCCCAGAAGCCACCACTTTAATCAACTTACACACTAATGAAAAATCAAATTTCTTAGTCTTCTTATCATGTATTATATTATTGGAAATATTATCCTGTATGCTATATATAGACTATTTGTACATTGTCCTGTATACATTCAACTTATATGCTAATGAAAAATCAAATTCATTGAAGTCTTCTATCATTTATATTGTTCTATATAATATTCCAATATTCCATATATTATACATTCTAATATATTCTATTTATTGTACCATATATTCTATATTCCATATACGTGAGAGACATTAAAAGTCATTGAATCTTGCTGGTGAATTTGCTGCTACCTTCATAGAATCTTTGCCTTACTCTCCAGTAGAGAGGCCACCAAAGATCAAACCCCATCTTCAGGACAGGATTGGAGCAACATGACCCACAGCATAACCAAACTGTACAACGTGGCTTTTAAGAGGATTTTACTATACCCAAAAAGGATAATGTGCTATCTTACACATGATCACAACTATTATTGACATGCCACTAGATTGTTTTCCATTCTTTCTGAAAATAGTTTTAGAGATTGGTCTATTTGTCTTGTTCTTCCATCTCCCATATCAGCATGTGTGTTTCTATTTCTGAGTCTTTCATCTGTCTCTCTCATGGAAAGTGAAGACCCGCAGATTCAATCCTCCCCTCCTTGCATGCACAGCATCTAAATGGCGAATGCAGGACATGTTGCCCTTGTTTTTCTCATATCCACTCTAGAGTGTCACCCATCAGACGTTTCATCCTCTTTTCATTAGAAAAGCAGGCACATCTCGGCTGGGCACGGTGGCTCATGCCTGTAATCCCAGCACTTTAGGAGGCCGAGGTGGGCAGATCACCTGAGGTAAGGAGTTCAAGACCAGCCTGGCCAACATGGTGAAACCCCATCTCTACTAAAAATAGAAAAATTAGCCAGGCATGATGGAGGGCACCTGTAATTCCAGCTACTTAGGAGACTGAGGCTGGATAATTACTTGAACCCGGGAGGCAGACATTGCAGTGAGCCAAGTCAGCACCATTGCACTCCAGACTGGGCAACAAGAGCGAAACTCCGTCTCAAAAAAAAAAAAAAAAAGAAGAAGAAGAAGAAGGAGAAGAAGAAAAAGAAAAAAAAAAGAAAAGAAAAGCAGGCACATCTCCTTGTCATAAAAATTCCTTAATTTCCTGAGCAAATGAATCACCAAGTTTTAACACCCTTTTAAAAACACCCCTCAGTTCCTGGAGCCCGAGGAAAGTTTCTCTCCTGTTTCCCCTCTCTCTGACCTCACTGGCAAATTAATCCAGAAACAAAATCTGAATATCCAGCAAATAGAATTGCTGGATAATTGATAACAGTCACATAAGAGCCACTCACCCAGCAGGGACCCACAGCAAGGCTCGATGCTGAAAACTTCTGTGAGGTACTGGATGTGGAGATCAACCCTACAGAAGATAGGCAGATGTTTAGGAAATAACTGACAGAGAGAGATAAGAAAGAGTAAGCCAGAAGAGCCATATGTATTTTGAGGAGAAGAGCAAACTGTCTGTAAGTTCTCTAAGATTTGTTCCAATGTTATGATGTTCATGTCTTTAACCTCTAACTTCCAAGGGAAAAAGAAAATACCTAACTCAAAATTAGAATTACCTAGCTGAATGCTAGACCATCAAACAAATCCAAAATTAATGCAAGTGGTCACCTCACCCTTGTGAGTGAATGCTGACCCCATTGATAGAGACGGAAATTCTGTGGAGACCAGCTGGCAGTGGGGGCAGTGCCACCTCCAGGCCCCAAGCCGACTGTGTGTGAACCGGAGCCAAGGCATCCTGGACGTGGACTTCCACATCCAAATCCGTATAGTTCATCAGCCTCGCCACTCCAATGACCAGGGTCTCACCGCCTGTGTTGAGAAGAATCCAATAGCCTCTGACATGTGGGGTTTGTGGGCTCAACCATCTATTCAATTCTAAAACTGTCTTTTTGGATTAAATTCACAGTCACCCCTATGCATAATACTCTTAAGAGTTACGATACCAACCTAAATTTTTCAAGAAACTTCTAACAACTATTTTTTTTTTTTTTTGAGACAGGTCTCATTCTGTCACCCAGGAGTGCTGTGGTGCAATCTTGTCTCACTGCAGCCTCAACCTCCAGGGCTCAAGCAATCCTCCCAACTCAGCCTCCCAAGCAGCTGGGATTACAGGCATGTGCCACCACACCCAGCTAATTTTTGTATTTTTTGCAGAGACAGGGTTTTGACATGTTGCCCAAGCTGGTCTCAACCTCTTGGGCTCAACCAATCTGCCTGCCTTGGCCTCCCACAGGGCTGGGATTACAGGGGTAAGCCACCTTGCCTGGCTTAACAACTCTTTTAACAGAGATATGGTCTGTAACCTCAATAGTATAAAAAGAAAAATTGGCAGGACAATTGTATTCAAGAGACACTAACTTATTTCCATGCAAAGGCAAATCAAGAAGTTTGCAGAGCTAACGGTCTTTATAACCAGCAAAGAGCACCACATATTGGTTGCTTAACCTCCACTTTTCTACTGGTAGAAGTCTGAAGCTATATTTGAGTGTGCACTGAACCTTACAGTAATGCTGTATGTGAGTTTAGTAGCTCATAACTGACAGAGTACTTTCACGTATGTTATCCCACTTGGTCCACACACTATCCTGATGATTTATATGGGGCAATTAATATGACTGGTATTTTGCATTTGAGGAAACTAAGCTCAGCAGCCACAGCCTCATAGCTATTAATAATTACTAAAAAAGAAAAAAAAAGGTCAAGACCTGAGCCCAGTCTTTTGTCTTGCATTTCAGTGTCCTTTTAGTTTAATTAGCAACTCTATTAAAATGTGTACACTATGAACACTTTCATGCAATTTCTTTTAACTCAAATATTTATTGAGTACCATAAGGAAGATGCTGCAAGGGGCACAAAATAAGTTAAACACAGACTCTGCCCTCAAAGAAGCCTCAACGGTAGTAAAATAGGTGACAAAATTGCTTCAATAAAAGATATACTACAAGAGAGGTGGAAATTAAGCACTGGGATTGCTCAAATCAGAGCAACATTATGAATATCAGGAAAGATGGAATGGGCAAGATGAGAGTTGAATTGGAGCTTGAAAGATAAATCCAAAAAGAAAGTCATAGAGAAAAGGGGGCTTATCATTTATTTCTAGAAATTTCACGGTTTTATCCAAAGCCTTTCATAGCAATTTCTCACTTAATCACCCAGTGGCTTGGAGAGGAAAAAGAGAATTGGGTGATGTTCTGGAAGGCACAGGTAGGGTTCTGTTTTGGGGATAAGCCAAGTTGATGGTAGTCCTAGGGCCAAAGACCAAGAAAGCCAAGCCAGAGGGATGTCTGCTTAACTCAGTGGACGGCAGTGACCGCCAAAGACTTGTAAGCAAGGAAAAGATATGATTAAAACTGTTCTTCCAGTCTTTAAGATAAATTGAAAAGATAGGGGAGGAGAAATCCAATCTGCAGACAATTGTAGTCTTAATCAAGTAGACCAAATCAAGTGGGCAACAGCAGGAGTGGAAATAAATGTCCTTACCTTTCCTGTGTCCCAGTGTGGCCACTGAAACATGGCTTGGGCTAAAGCATCTCTAGCTCCTTTAGCCTGTAACATTTGAGGACTACTGCAGAGCTGGTATCTATGGGATGCCACGGCCAATTAGATGAAGAGGAAAAAGAGGTTGCTTGAAAGAGAAAAGTCAAAGAAGAGGGATGTGGTGTGGTGGGAAGACTATGAATCTGCATTCAAATCCTTGATCTGCCATTTTACTACCTCTGTGACTTTGGGTGATTTACTTACGGCTCTCAAAGCCTTGGATTTTTCATCAATAACATGGTTAATAAAGCCCATCCCATGTGGTTTGTTAGATATCCTGGGAAAGTATCTGGCATGATATAGCACACAAAAAGGCCTTAATTAACTTCATTTTCTTCCTCGTTCCCCATTCTCTTGACCGCATGTCTTCCCAATCTCTACTGGGAAGTCTGAAGCTTCAGTGTAGTGAGTTCAAGGGATTTCAGGGCTGATCAAAGAAAAAGACATGACTACGAGGTGACAGTAGCAAAAAACAAGCATTATTTGGGTGGTATTTTGACAGATTCACAGAGGAGGAGGAAGTCTCCCAGCATGAGACCTTCCAGAGGCAACAGTATTGGGCCACCATCCAGAAAGGGAAGAAGGCAAGGGAACTGGGAGGGGGTGGGAAGATGAGAGAGGGGGGTTCTGTGTCCAGATGATGTCACTCAGCAGCCTGGTGGGTAGCCTCTGGGACAGAGAGCTCCAAAGGCATCAGCGGCTTAGGGTATTTTATAGCCCCAGGGTTTTCTTACCTACAGCTGACTGATGGGTGCAGTTTCATGGGGCATGCAAAGCAAGAGGAATTTAAATGGCTAAAAATATGCTTATTTTGGCTACGCTGAAAACAAGTGGATGTGTAAAAGTTTGAATTTAGCACTGGCAGGCTTTTGAGCTAATGGATCCTGGGGTGCCATGAAGAAGTAAAAAAAAAATAGGACCAATAGGCAGGGCCTTTCTTTGGCTTGTTTATAAAGCATTCAATATCTGGCAGAATGATGGCATTCACTTCAACAAAGATTTATTGGTGCTTACTCTATGTCAATTCCTGGACCAGGTACTTTCATCTGCTTTATTTCCTATTTTCATGATTACCTTGAAAGAATTATTCCCACCTATCAAATGAAGGAACTGAAGATAAAAGAAGTTAAATATCTTACCCAAGGAGTATGGTAAGTTCAACTAAGTTTGGCCTAAGGCTGTCTCTGTACCTTGAGTCTCTACATAAAGAACTGCAACCCAACTTTGTGATAAACTGAAAGCCTCAACTACCTGAGCCTCAGTTAATCACAGGCTGCCAACTGATCAGACCATGCTCCAATAAGGCAAACAGGGAGCTGTTTCTGGCCTCACTTCCATTTTCTGTCTATAAATGCTGCCTGCCCATGTGGCATAGTGGAGCTCTCTGAACCTTTTCTGGTTCTACAAGTTACTATGATTCTTTGTTCAAACAAACTCTGTTAAATTTAATTTCTTGAAAGTTCTTCTTTTTAACAAGTGGTTGAGCTGGGATTCATGCAGATTCCATTTTTCCTGACTGCAGAAACCAACACTAATGGTCCTGCACATCAAATTCACCAGCACTCCCCATCCTTGGTCCCTCTTATGCTTTTATTTTCATTTCATCTCAGCCTCACGGTCATCATCAACATCATCTCTTGGATGGAGATGTGCAGCACTCCAACTTAAAAGAGGCATTCCCAAAAGGCTACGACACTTCGTGGATTTTATAACATGCTCCTTTTTATTCTGCTTGTAGAAAGATTTAAATACAAGTATAAATTTTGAAAAGAATGCATTGCATTGTATGTATCAACAACATAACTTTTGGAGCACTTGGTCAACTGTCAAGCTAATCCTAGATGCTTCCTTGGCACTGATATAATGTATTTATTCTTTTCATTACAGATAAGAAATTTTATTAAAAGCCAAAATCACTGAAATCTGAATATAACATGGAGCTCCCCCTCCCTTTTCTACCTCATCAGGAAGAATCTGTACCACTAAGGAATTTTACACACTTCAGTCACCTGGGGCAGCAAATTCTTCTTCTGCATTATCTGAGCTGAATAATATTGGAAGCTAAAGGACACTTCTCTTTATTTATGTACTCTTGAGCTATGGAAAATGAAAATAGTGCCAGAAAAATTGAGTTCAGACTTTTTCTTTGGGAAATATGATGGTCTTTTTACAATAAACCCTTAGATATGGCTACCACAAACCCTGTTATCTGGCATTCAGTTCACCAGAAAGGGAAGTTACCTGCTACTCTTCCAAATCTATATGGAATTACATGATAATAAATTATTATAATTCTACCTTGCCATATCCTCTGAATCATCAAAGAAAAATTCTTTCATGTAGTTGGTGCTAATGAATCCATTATTTTTATACGTAGAATGTCTCAAGAAACAAGAATTCTAAGTTAATCAGAGCATCCTATTCTCTAATCATATTAAATAACTGCTACAATAGAACCTGCTGTCAAAAAGCAGTATTTTACAGTTAACTACAAGTAGATAAGTACTTGGTATATACAAACAGATGACCTGTGTTCAAATCTTAGATAAATTACTTATTCTCTCCATTCCTTAATTTCCTGATCTGTAAATTGAAGCTAATAATCCTATAAATTAGGGGCAAGGATTAAATTACATCTATTTTATGTTTATGCTATCATTATTGACACTTACTAAATGCTCAAGGAACATATTTTGAATTGTAACTTTTGAATTCCCACATCCTTTTCATGATGGAAATGGTCCCATCTGTACAATGGTTCCATTTTACAGATGGAAAAGTAGATATCAGGAGATTGATTCGATGATGGCTAAGATGAAAAAAGCAATCTCCTAGCTTTCAAGAAAAAACTTAAATCCAAAATACAATAAATTTCAGAGGACATTGATTGCCCTTTTTATAGGACCAATGCTCTAAGAAGAAAAAGATCTTGCAGTATCACATATTTTACCTGCTATATTGCTTATGTTTCTGCTCAGAGTCACAATAACTGGATTTAAGGAAGAGACATATGTAAATGCTCTGGGAAGAACTGCAGAATAGTCCCCTCTGATCACAGTCACATTCACAATGCGTCCATCTTTCCCCTGAAAAATCAATTTTAAAAATTAAACCTCAGTTTTATTTTAAAGTAGGACTGACTTAAGGGAAGAGAACTCCATATAGAATTAGTTTTAAAAGTTAATTTTAAGAAAGTTGTTCCTAAAGGGTATATTTCCTACTTCCAAGTCTCTCTCTTCTCTACAACCCTGCACACTCTCCCCATCCTGCCCCCACACCCACAACACAGAGTGATAAGTGCTTGGACTAGTAGGCAAGTGCAGTGTTAGATGCATAATGACATGCTGTAAGGGGTAAATAAGAATTATTTGCAATTAACACACCAATTGTTTCTGCAAAAATATGGCAATTTCAAATAAATGTCTATACCTAGCTAAACTATCCATCAAGTATGAGAGTACTTTCAGACATGTGAGAACTCAGAAAATTTCTCTATGACACACTCTTTCATAGGATGTACTTATGGTTATTATCTCATAAAATAAATAATAATTTAAATATATATATATATCTGAAACCCAAGAAACAGTGACTACTCAAGAAAGCAATCAAAGTAAGTACTAGGATAAAATCTGTAGAATAAACCTAGAAAATAAGCAGGCTAGATTGAAACAGGAGAACAGAGATAGCTTCAAGGAAAATGAATGACTGATACGATGGAACTTTTTTTAAAAGATATTGGATTTAACTTATAAGAAAGACATGTTAGCCAGGCACAGTGGCTCACACCTGTAATCCCAGCATTTTGGGAGGCCGAGGCGGGTGGATCACCTGAGATCAGGAATTTGAGACCAACCTGACCAACATGGAGAAACCCCACCTCTACTAAAATACAAAAAATTAGCTGGGCATGGTGGTGCATGCCTGTAATTCAAGCTACTCAGGAAGCTGAGGCAGGAGAATCACTTGAACCCGGGAGGTGGAGGTTGCAGTGAGCCGTGATTGTACCACTCCAGCCTGGGCAACAAAAGCGAAACTCTGTCTCAAACAAACGAACAAACAAAAGACATGTTTAGAAAATAAAATAGGAACTCTAGGGGAAAAAAAAAAAAAAGAACTATAAAAGAAAAAAATATACTACCCGGTTCTGCCAGCATCATCTAAATAGTTAGAATAATATAAACAGGTTTTATTAATTTAAGATAAAAATGGTATTGTAACTATATTTGAAAGAATTAAAAGTTGTTTCAGGAAGGGGGACTTGAAGAAGGGGGAGGAGGGGCAGGAAAACATAATTTACTATTTTCCTTTTAACCTATGCATCTATCACTTGGATCAAAAGTAAAATTTATTTTTTATTAATGTTTATGTTCTCTGGTAAAAGAAATTAAGAGGTACATGTCTTACCCATTAAAATGGCAAATATATATTAAAATAATAAAGTGATAACCCAGTATTGGCCAAAGTGTCAAAAATCACACACGTGCACAATGATGGTGGGAGTATAATTTGAAAGGGAATTTCAGACAACTGGATACTACATATCAAAAGCTTTAGAATTTATATTAATTTATCCTGAGAAAAGAAATGTACCCCCAAAACATAGTTATTAGGATGATTAAAGCCCTGTTGTTTACAATAAGAAACATTTAGAAATTATCTAAGTGTCTGGTAATAAGGAATAGTTAAACAAATTAGAGTACAACCACATATTGGAATTGAATGTAGTGTACATATAAAAGCTAGCTTTTCATAATATTTAAGGAACTAGATGAGATTAAAATGTAGGACTAGTGATCAAAGAATATTTTGAAACTTATCTCCCAGGGGATCTTTATTTTGGGGTCATGGGTGTGCTAGGAATGTTGATGCTGCTTAAGTCAACTCTAAATAGAAAGTTCAGTGGCAGCAGTGCGTGTGACTCTCCCCAACAGTACCAGGGAAGGACCCAGACTCAAATCCCTTAATAGGCCATGATATAGCACTAATTGAAAGGAAAGGAAGAGGTCAGGGACTTGTTTTTAAGGGGAAAAGGAAGCAATGGAGAATAACTAAGAAGATATTTCTTAGAAATCACACACTCTAGAAGTTTCTAAGTTCTACAATTAATACCCATACTAGAAAACAAAATTGCTGATGAAAACTAAGTTATTTGTTGTTTGCTTAATAGAGAAGGGAGACTTTGAAATATATAAGCCTTGCAAGCCAACACCCAGAATGTGCACTAGCTAAATTTATTTGTTACGTGTCACTAATACTTACTGACAGTACAGACCAGAACTGCCTGGTTGTCTTCTTTTTAAGAAATTAATTGATGTTAATTACAAGCTCCATTGGTGGGGTCAGTTTCCCACTTCATAGCAAAACAGACAATATAACTACTACAAGCATACTATCATAATGAGAAGTTTACATCAGTTCATTTAGTTCTAAGAAGTGATTCACTGAAAATGTTATATTAACAGTGGTCACTCACCCAGAGAGAAAGAGATATGAAAGGAATCCACTTACCCTGGGTGGAACTTTGCACTGAATTCTGCTTGAATTGCTTGTAGCGACATTGATGGCACACGAGTAAGATCCAAATAATATCAGGCTAACACCTTCCAAACTAGAGCCTCGGATGGTGGCCCAGAGCCCTCCTGTAACAAAAACAGCATATTCAAATGGGATCACCAACCATACAGGCAGACAAAAATTAATTATGCACAAGATGGATAAAATGAAATTAAAATATGAAACTCCTTAGTCAAAACAAAGGCAATGCTCAAACTGCAGGAAAAAAACTGGAGTTAAATATATAAACTATCATATAGAAAGGGAGAAGTAGTGACAGGAGGGCAGAGAGAGGTAGCACTGCATCCTGAAGTCTTTTAAGAATAAAACCTAGGAACACAATCGTGCCACAAGTCTGAAGAGGTAGTCTCTGAAAACTCTTCCTGGCCTAGATTTTGAATATCATTCCTGCAATCCTATAAAACATATTCTTTTCCTAAGAAACCAAGTGCAACAGAGCATCATGGTGGAAGGAACAGTGGCTGAGAGTCAGGGTCAGGGCCACAGATTGCTCAGCTACTTTTAGCAGGTCATTGCAGTATGGTCCCTGAGCTGAAGGGTCAACATTTTCCTCATCTTTAAATAATAATGTTAGCCCTTCCAGCTTTGTGGTTTGACACTACACATACTAGGTTCAGTTCACTGTGAAAATATAGAAATGAGTGGCATCACTGCCCATCGCCATCAGAATTTCTCTACTGATCACTAAAGAGCAACCACAGAAATCCCCATTTCTTCCCTGCAGATGTTAGCAAGAAGAGAGTTGGCTCCAGTTCTGCTATCATGGCACACGTTTCCATGTGGAGGAGCAGCCTTTGATCTAGCTAATGTATAATGATTCTGGTCTGCCATCTCCCAGATACAAGAGAGGCAGTGAGGCCACCAAACAGCCTTACCCCCCCTTGAGGGTGGGGAGGGATGCAGAAGCAAGACTACTTTCAAGCATGTTGGGGACAGAAAGGGGAATCTACAAAATCTGATGAAAACCTTTGAGGACAGTGTGACTCGGTGGACTAGTACCCTGAAGTTAAGTGCATAACTAAGAGCAATATACAATCGTGATATAAAATATACAATATCTGGAAGCAAACTTCAAAACAAAAATTAAGAAGATAAAAAAATTGAAAAAATATTTGAAATACTCTTGAAGAACTTAATGGATGGATTAAAACTTACATAAGAAAACTAAAATAAATGGATCGAAAGAGTGAACACCATAAAGGTGACATATCTTTATAAATTAAAGCATAAATGCAATTTCAATAGACATATAAACAGAATTTGTACTTAAATTAGACAAGCTGATTCTTAAGTTTAATGAAAAATAAACAAGAATAGCCAGAAAACAAAATTTCAAAAAGAAGTGTAAAGAGGTCTTCTGCCATATCTTATACAGTAACTATGGTATCAACTATGTGGTAAAATAAAATATAGTCCAGAAGAAATGCAGATCAGTATGAGGCTATAGATTAGGATATAAGTGACATTTCACATAAGTGCAAAATAAATTATTCAGTAAATAAAATAAGTAAATATCACTGAAAAAAAACTAAATTTGAATTTCTACCTTATATGCTTCACCAAAATAAATTCCCAATTTATCAAATATTTAAATATTAAAAAGAAAGTTTTTTGACTAGAAGGAAACATGGCAGAATTTTTATTTTCATATAATTTCAGAGTTGCAAAGTCTATCCTAAGTATTTTAGAAGTCCTGAAGCCATAAAAGGAAGATATATTTTATTATGTAAAAATTAAAAATATTTACGAATTTCCAAAATAAAAAACAAAGAGACAAATGATAATAAAGGGCAAATATCCTTAATACATAAAATGCTCTTTAAAATCAGTAAGAAAGAACAATAACCCCATTAGAAAAAATGGGCTAAGGAGATAAACAGACATTTCACTGAAAAGGAAACACAATGCCCCTAAACACATGAAAAGATATTCAATTTCTCTCTCAATAAAATAAACACAAATTAAAACCACAATGAAATATTCTTCTTCTCCTATAAAATAGGTAAGTGTCAAAAGGGTTGGGAACACACCGTGTTAGTAAAATGTGGTAAATAAACACTCATATATGCATTGTTGCTTAGGCAATAAATTATGCAACCTCTAAAGAGAATCTTTTGATATTTATCAAAATTTTTAATGCAAATAACCTCTTGACCCAGCAATTCAACTTCTAGGAAATTATGCTACTAATATTTTTGCACATGTACAAAATGGGACAACTCCATATACAAAATAACAAAGTTGGACCCTGTTTAGGGCTGAATTATGTCTCCCACATCCCCACCAAAATTTAGGTTATTACCCTAGATCCCAATAACTCCAAATGTGACCTTATTCAGAAATGGGATCTTAGCAGATGTAATTAAACTAAGATGAGGTCACACTAAAAAAAAGATAAGCCCTAATCCAATATGACTGGTGTCTTTATAAAAAGGGGAATTTGGGCCAGGCGCAGTGGCTCACGCCTGTAATCTCAACACTTTGGGAGGCCGAGGCAGGCAGATCACAAGGTCAGGAGTTCGAGACCAGCCTGGCCAGCATGGTGAAACCCTGTCTCTACTAAAATTACAAAAAATTAGCTGGGCATGGTGGCTTGTACCTGTAGTCCCAGCTACTCAGGAGGCAGGAGAATTGCTTGAATCTGGCAGGCAAAGGTTGCAGTGAGCTGAGATCGCACCACTGCACTCCAGCCTGGGCAACAGAATGAGACTCGGTCTCAAAAAAAAAAAAAAAAGTTGGCAGGGGTGTGCAAGGGGGAAATTTGGACACAAGCAAGACACAGGGAGGATACCATATGAAGGTGAAGGCAGAGATTGGGGTGGTGTTCTACCAGCCAAGGAACACCAAAGATTGCCTATAAGACACCAGATGTTAAGAGACAGACATGGAACAGAGTCTTCCTCAAAGTTTGGTTCAGAAGGAACCAACACTCCTGACACCTTCATCTCAGACTTCTGGCCCCCAGAATTATGGGACAATAAATTTTTGTTGTTTAAAACACTCAGTTTGTGGTACCTGATTGCAGCAGCCCTAACAAACTAATACAGACCCCTACCTCATACCATGTACAAAAATTAACTCAGAATGAATCAGGTACCTACATCTAAGAGCCAAAACTATAAAACCCTCAGAGGAAAACATAGGCATAAATCTTTGTAACATTGGATTAGGCAATAGTTTCTTAGATGTGACACCAAAAGCACAAGCAATAACAATAAATATAAACTGGACTTCAACAAAATTAAAAATTTGTGTGCTTCAAATAACACTATTTTTAAAAAGTGAAAAGGCAACTCACACAATGGGAGAAAATATTTGCAAATTATTTATCTGATAAGTGATTAGTACCCAAAATACTTTAAGAACTTACACCTCAACAATAAAATGACAAATAACTCAATTTAAAAATTGGCAAGATTTGAATAAGCATTTCTACAAAGATGTATAAATGGCCAATAAGCACATGAAAAGATATTCAACATTTTTAGTCATTAGGAAAATCAAAATCACAATGAGGTATCATCTCATGCCCATTAAGATGGCTACTGTGAAAAATAATAATAACAAGCACTGGTGAGGGTGTGGAGATATTGTGATATGGTTTGGCTCTGCGTCCTCACCCAAATATATCAAATTGTAATTCCCAATGTTGGGGAAGGATCCTGGTGGGAGATGATTGCATCATGGGGGCAGATTTCCCCCTTGCTGTTCTTGTGATAGTGAGTGAATTCTCAGAAAACCTGGTTGTTTAAAAGTGCATAGCGTACCCCTCTTTGCTCTCTCTCTCCTGTCACTATGTGAAGATGTGCTTGCTTCCCCTTCACCTTCTGCCATGACTGTAAGTTTCCTGAGGAATCCCCAGTCAAGCCTCCTGTATAGCCTGCTGAACTGTGAGTCAATTACACCTCTTTTCTTTATAAACTTTCCGGTCTCAGGTAGTTCTTTATAGCAGTGTAAGAATGGACTAACACACATTGGAACCCTCTTATATTGCTAGTAGGAATGTAAAATTATGCAGCCATTTTGGAAACAGTTTGGCAATCCTTCAAGAAGTTAAACATGGAGTTACCATATGACCCAGCAATTCCATTTTTAGGTATATACCCAAAAGAACTGAAAGCATATATTCCTGCAAATCATTGTACACAAATATTCATAGCAGCCTTATTCATAATAATCAAAAAGTGGAAACAATCCAAATGCACATGATGAGATGGATGGAAAACAAAATATGGTATATCCATACCATGTAATATTGTTTAGTCATAAAATTGAATAAAGTACTGATACATGTTACAACATACATGAACCTTAAAAATATCATGCCAAGTAGAGAAGCCAGATGTAAAAGGTCACATGTTGCATTATTTTATTTATATTAGATGTCTAAAATAGGCAAATTCACTTAGACAGAAAATATATCTGTGGTTACCAGGGATTGGGAAGAGGGAGAAACAGTGACTGACTACTAATGTATACAGGTTCCTTTCCATGATGATGAAAATGTTGTTGAATCAGGTGGTGATGAGGTATACAACTTTGTGAATATACTGAAGACTGCTAAGTTTATACTTTTTAAAAATGAGTTTTATGATATGGGAATTATATCTCAATTTTTTAAGTTAAAAAAGAGATCCTTGGGGTAAAGAAAAGAATAAAATATCCTACCTATTTCTAAGGTATACTACCCTAGGCCAAGCCAACATTATCTCTCCCCTGGA
Organism: Homo sapiens; assembly: GCF_000001405.40. Classification (NCBI taxonomy): domain Eukaryota; kingdom Metazoa; phylum Chordata; class Mammalia; order Primates; family Hominidae; genus Homo; species Homo sapiens. The sequence continues at coordinate 52,040,378 of NC_000006.12, forward strand.
TGTCTGTCATATCCTCCTAACCGGTCTTGCTGGTTCCATCTTTGCCTCCCTACTGTGAGTTCTCACACAGCAGCCTAAGTCAGATCATGTCACTTCACTTGAAATCCTCCAATGGCCACCATCTCACTCAGAATAAAAGCTGAGTGAGCTGAGGGCCATTCATATCCCCCAAGGCCATATAACTTGCTTTGGGTCATCTTCTACTGCTCTCCCCTCACTCAATCTACTCCAGCCATGGCAACCTCCATGACATTCTGGAACAAGCCAGTCTAACTTTGACTCAAGACTTTTTGTTCCTTGATGTTCCTTCTGACTTGAACTGTCTTCCCCAAGATTTCCCCAGAATTCATTCCTTCACTTCACCCATATCTCCCTTCTCTAAGGCCACTCATGTCATTCCTCCAATGCCAATGACTATACCATCACAACCATCTACTCCATCCCTCTTCATCCCCTTCCCTTCTTGATTTTTATCCTATACACTTACCATCACTGCCCCAAGAACAGAGGATTTGTTTTTATTTACTGTATCCCCAGCATTAATAATGCCTGGTAATAAAAGCTAAATAAATTGTCATTATGATTATTGTTGATGGTAACAATTAAAGGTTGAAGAGGTGATGATATCTTGCCATTCTCATTTGAAAGTTTAGACTATGGCCACACAAGAGTCCGTACCTTAAAGAAGACAATGCTATCTCAGCACAAAAATGAATGAAGAAAGTATGTAAAGCAAAGCCAAGATTTTCCTCAAAAAAATCCTTTCAAGGGTTTTGCTTCTGCAAATGGGTAGGTGGTGATTTATCACATTATTGTATCCATTCATTACATATGCAAATATTCTGTAAATTTCTTGCTGATAGGCCCCAGCCTGGTTCTCTTTAAATACCCCAGAGCATCATTTCTCAAACTGTACTCTTCATAGAGATTGCCTGAGGACATGTTAAAATGCAGATTAATTCAGAAGGTCTGGGGTGGAGCCTGAGACTCTGCATCTCTAACAAGCTCATGGGTATTACAGATACTGCTTGTCCAGGACCACACTTTAAGGACCAAGGTCTTCAGCACCTCACACAGGGCTAAATGGGATGGGCCAATCAGTGTTGAGTGAGTGAGTACTGATTAACTCATAGGTGGCAGGGCAAAGGAAGAATTAATAGAAAAAGTTTAAATCCAGTAATAAGGAAAGCAGCAGCTAGAGCCTCTCTCTCTCCCTCTCCCTTTCCCCATAGTCTTAATAAAAGATAATTTCTACCCGCTTGGCATATCCCTTCTCAGAGTTTTCCATCTTTTGCTAAAATAATGTACAATCCTCCTAGAAATCCCTTCACTGAACAGCATGTTCTGATAGGGTAACCAACTCACTCCAATTTTCCTAGGACCAAGTTTTAGCACTAAGAGTTCTGCATTCCAGTTTTAAAACTGAGTCTTGTGTCCTGGGAACCCCCTCAGTCCCAAGCAAACTGGGAAAGTTGGCCAACCTACCTGTGCAAAGCACTTTGTCTAGGGGAAACAAAAATGACTGAGTCACCTGTTTGCCTTAAGGTGGAGGGAGCTGAAGAAGGTATGTGTGGCCTGAACAGCAAAGGTAACTTTGAAAGAAGATCAAAGCCCCTTATAACTCTATAGAGAAAACTACACTATGCCCTACACTCAAACCAATAATTACTGGGTTAATACAGAATATGATCTTTCACTCTGAGCTCCATATATCATCTGACCTTCCTTAAATCATGGAGAAATAAGTGCAAGTTATGCTTGCTTTGTTTTATGTGCAGAAACAAGGTGGGGTGGGCCTCATAATTCACTCTTCTAGGCAAAATAGGGTCAGAAAAAAATCTGTTCTTTTGAACAATGAGTTTGTGGCCAAACCACACTGCTTTTAAATATGTTCTAAGCTGCAGTCCTCTGGACTCCAGAATAAACCATGACAAAAATCCAAAGCATTAAGGAAAAGGGCTTTATGCTCTAATGTTTATTCGTTAACAAACATAAGCATCAGTATTCCTGAGATTCTTGCAATCTGGCTGGGTTGTTTTTAACTGGCTGTGTCCCTCAGAAAGCAGAAAGTCATGGAGAAATATTTGATTTTCCATAGAACTAACCCAATTCATAAGGCTATGTTGACAAGACCCACCACCCTCTGTATTGCCCACTACTCAAATGGCAATCAGTTTTCCATGCTAGCCAAGTATCCCAGTGTGCATCAGTTCACAAACTTATGAAATATCAAACATGTATGAAAGTTATGTAGGACCCAATTATGCCTGACACCACCAGCCAAACTATAATCCTTTATGTGGCAAGTGAGTTCATTTAAGGGCTCAAATGTTTGTTGCTCATTTAAATACTTATGTCAGTAAACAAAAGACAGTGAGTCACAGTGAATATGGAATTCATTACACAGAAGGACTAGATTCCTATCAGCAAGAACACTAGCTTCAGAGGGTCAGACATACTGTGAGACCCTCCCCAGATTACCAATATCCGCAGCTCTGGAAGGCTCCACCATATCCAGTCTAGGTTTCACATTTAGGAAGAGGTCTTCTCCAGTGGCACTGATGGCAAGACCAGAGGGTCTCACCAACATCAAGATCCGATGCATTCCAACAGGTAGCAAATCTGTCTGACAGACTACATTGGTCTGGTTTGAGAAAATAACTTTGCAACTCGTTTTGTTCACTGTAACCTGCAAGAACTGGGAGTCACCAGAGAAACCAGTTCCGGTAATGTAAATCATTAGGTTGATGTCACCATCTTAAAGGAGAAAAGAAATTAAAAAACAAATAAAATAATCTCTCAGTGATATTACTTCATTTGAGAGACCTCTCACTATCATCAAATGTTCCTTCTCTGCCCCCATCCCCTCCCAAAATTCAAGGAGCTGAATGCTGAATTAAATATTGGCCATCTGTATTTGTTATTGTAGTACACAGCCCCGATCTTAAATTTTCTCTAACTAGTGAGAAGTGATCACTGCTCAATTTTTTAAAAGAACATAATATTTCAAAATAAAGGACAAAGACAATAAAACATTTTTAGTCATCAAAAGTCCATCTCTCCCCATTTCAAATCATGACCATATCCCTTAGATGGACCAAAAAATACACTTTCTGCTACGTCACTCAACCTCTGCCTAATGAACTAATTTATCTTCTACCCACCCATCACCAGCTACATGGCCTCTAACAAAATCACTGCAAGTCTCCGGCTTAAGCCCATCTCAGAGCCAAGTGACAAATCATACCAATGGAGTACCACACAGAATGGACACAGGGAGTTGACCCTTGGAGGTACTGGAAAGAGCAGGAACCTGGGCAATGAGCTGGTACATCATTCACTCGCACAACCACCTGAAATGAGGCAAAATTTCTTTTCCATTTTATGCATTTCATATCTACCAGGGTATTCATAAAGTATATGTGAAGTGCTCCCAAGCTGACACGTGTTCATGATTCGCTAATTCTTATTCCTTTTTTCTATTTTTCCAGTAATTAATCTTAAATTGCAATGAATGGCTCAAAACACATGAAGCTTTCTTAAAATGATGGTGGACATGCTGAACCCCATTTCTGTAATTAAATGTGATAAATATTGAGTAAATTTATCTCTGTCATATAGAAGTAAACTTCATAAACTTAAACTGCATAAGGACTTCTTATCACTCTGTATTTCCAACCAGGTACCTACTTTATGTGACAAGCTCTTTATTTGCTAGTAAAGACCAACAAATTTGGTGCATTCCTTCCACCACTCTGTGAATATATAACTAAAGACTAGAGTGTATTTGGACACTTTACTTGGGGTCTCTTTTGTCACAGAATGGTAGATTCCTAAAGAGAGACTATATATCTTTCCCTTTCACTGGAACTAATGTTAATCTAATAGAACTCAAAAACTACTTGGAAATGAGAAAGGTAAAAAAGATGTGACCCCACTGATTCTCTATGTATAAAAAATGCATTAATAGCATACAGATTATATTCATGACAGTGTTTCCTTATTAAAGGAAGAGGTATTGCAATGGCATGGACAATAAAGAACACTTCAATTTTATCTGTACTGTTTCATTTTTTCCATAAAGACAAAAAATATAAATATATCAGAATGTTGACAATGTCAATTTTCAGTTTGGGTCCCCAGGTGTTGATAATATTATTCTTTATTGTTTTTGTATTTTAAAACTTTATCAAATTGAAAGTAGATGACCTATAACAGAAATATGGAAAGATAGGAAAAAAATAAAAGGACTTTTTAAAGACAAAAAGAATGACTTAGCTCATTTACTTTTTGATACCACCAGGTAGAAGCATAAATCATATTTAGCTATAGAAATTATCAATTTTTTGTACCATAACAACAGTATCAATAATTATAATAGAATATTGTGGTTACAAGGCATTTATATTTTCAGGGAACTGTACATACCCTGTGGAGGTAGAAAAAGGACAGCCATAAGTACCCCTGTTTTACACATTGGCAAAATGACCCTTAAGAGCTAAATCAATGAGTCCATGTTACAAATCAGTGAGGAGTGAGTTAGACTTGAAACTGGAGCTTGCACTTAGGGTGGCCCATTCACTCTCACCTGAGTATGCTGGTTGGCAGTAGCCAACATGTCTCCAAATATGGGTCCAAGAAAAACTCCACCATCATATACCACACGCGTGGCTGCAGCAGGATTCACTCCAGTAAGGTTTTCATCAGAGACCTGAGATGGTTACATTTCTGGTAAATTCTGTCATGGAACCGAAATCTAATCTCGTCTAATCAAATAATAAAGAGTTTTTTCACATTGTGTTTCAGATAATCAGACAGCTAGAAAGTGAAAGCAGAGTAACAGAGAATTGAAATATAGAAACGTAACAGTAAATAATGGCTGAGGAAAGTCCCAGTAGATTAGAGAAATATTCATTTGCAAGTGGATTGCCAAAAGAGGTACAATAAATCAATCTTCTCTCTAAGTCTTGAGACACTTTGCTTCTCCATGCTTTTCCATTTTATATGTTTGCAATCCAAAATATTAAAATAAAGTGGAAAGAAACAGTGCCATGAGATAAGAGCAAGGTCTCCCATTCTTCCTCCATCTCCTTTCTAGAATTTCGATTGAAAACCAGATAACCCACAACACCATACAACTAGGAAAAATTTTCATCTTGGGCTTCATTTTATAATAACCAAATGCTAGTTGATCATTAGATTATTTTTTAAGACCCTAAATATGCAAGAGCATCTGGTTTTGTCATTACCCAAAGACAGCAAATTCTTTTCTAAAATTCCTTCTGCTATGCCATCTGCTTCCACAATCATCTAAGTCAATCACATCTGCTTAAATTATCCAATAACAGATGTAGAATTATTGCATGGTGGACACTGACCAATAACTTCACTACCTACACTGAGTTAGGAAGGGAGATGTTGGGTTTAAATTGCTTTTTCAGGGATATGATATACAAAATATGTGTTGAAAACTTCCAGAAAGAAAGTTCATAGAATCCCTTTACTCAAATATTCCAACAAAATTAATAATTCATGACAGTTTCCATTTGTATAATTCTGATTTTTTTTTTTGCAGAATTTCTCCAGGGCAGCAAATCCATGCCACTAGAAGGGATACTATACATACCCTGATAAAATTGGGCAAATCCCCAATCTGAGTGGACCAGGACAAGGTCCACACGTGTTCGTAGCAAGTGTATAGATCCTCCTTCACAGTGAAGTCACTGGCATTGAGGTACCTGGATGTGAAGTCATCGGCATTATTCTGTAAGAGCTGGTGAAGGTGATGAGCAGAAATTTGTACAGGGACATCTGTGAGAGAAGGTTTTGATACAGAAAACACAGACACTAATTAATCCACCTTACAGAGTTTCATCCTCAAGGATAACACGATACATACTAGGATGCCTATCAAATTTTCAGGAGACCCTTCTGTCAAAGTAGAACTTCAGTAGAATCCCCAGCCATAATTAAACCATTTTTTCCTAAGGTAAAGACAAGTAGATGCCCACTTTTTATATTACACTATCTTTCACTCATACCATATCACACAGCAATCAGAGAGCACAGCCATGTCAGATAAAACCATCTCAACTGTCAACTCAAAATGTAAACTCCACACACCCTTGTAATGCCTGAAAGCATAATTAAATATTAGATCTTCCCTGGAAAAATTTAGCTGGCCCTGTGAACAGAGAAAAATTGGCCACTTTTCACAGGGAGTGAGGGAGGCGTACAGCAGCTGACACCCATAAAAACTTGGCCAGCCCAGCTGAGGAATGTTGGCATTTAACTTCAGTTTCTCTATTAGAATTTTCTTTAAGCCCAACCACCTGCTTCCCCATTCCATGTCCCCACAGAAGAATAACAGCTCTCTGTATTTGAACCCTGCTTTGTGCTCTACCAGAAGTTCCCATTTCATTAGCTGCTCCCAGCAGCCCTGTGAGGTGGGTCATTGGGTATCCTAATGTCTACTTTAGGGATGAAGAAAATGAAACCCAACCATATGCAGAAGCTTGCCAATGCAGAAAGACAGGTTTACATGAAAACACAGGTTGCCTTCTACCTACTCAAGAGCATTTCTCTTGAATTCCACGCTGCCCTGAAGGGCTAATAAAATATCACTGCGTTTCTAAATTGCAAACGAAATTGTTATCCTTTTACAAATCATGTTTCTACATTTATACAGAGTTTCAGATCCATCATCATTCAAAAGGCCAGGCCAAGGCTGACTTTCCCAGTTGTTTTGCAGGCGGTGATCTGAGGATCATCAGTGATAGAAATCAGTAGCAGGAAGTCTCTACGGATGAGCTGTCTTCCATGAGAAGTAAAATCAAATATAAATAGCACAGTAATGAGCCTCATAGAGGCAGGGCACGATTGATGTTTTTTCCCCCATTTACCAGAATCAACACCTAGGGATCTTCGACTTCTCCTGAGTCACCCTATTATAATAAAAATACCACTCTGTTCCTCTCACCCAAGAAGGTCCTGTGCAGGCCTAGGGACTTTCTGCTTGGGAGGGCAAAAGACTTTTGGACCATGTTCCAACTTTTATACAGCCCCTCTCAAGTTCTACTGAGCCTTGCTTCTGATTCCCCATGTTTCTACCAAATAAGTAACGTATCATTATCACTTCTAATCTTTGTTCTTTGTGCATTGTATGTATTCTTGAAGATTTACAAACACTACTCTAATTGCATCTGAAAGTTCTTTCTACATTTGTTGGGACCACTGAAATCCTCCATAGTACATGGTGTCACCATTAAGTCTAACTCTGACGGACCATGGCTACCATGTATCTTGGTCTATAAAACTCTAGAAAGAAGAGGACTGACCCAGGAATCAAATACCTGGGTTCACAACTGGACCCTGTCATCAGCTATTTGTATGACCTTTTGGCAAGCTTCAGTGTAGTTGGCTGAACGGTGAACCCCCTAAAAGATGGCCTAATGGCCTAATCCCCAGAAAATATGAATGTTAACTTATAAAGCAAAATAATAAACTGCATATGGCAAAAGATGTGGCTAAGGGTCTTGAGAGGAAAAATCTGTCCTAGATTATCCCAGGTGGACCCTAAATACAATTATATAATAGGTACCCTTATAAGAGAGAGGCAGAGAAAATTTTGAGATAGAAGAGGAAGAAGCAACGTGACCACAGAGGCGGTGGTTGGAGTGATATGGCCACAGCCAAGACATGCTAGCCACCACCAGAAGCCAGAAGAGGCAGGAGCAAATACTTCACAGGAGTGTGGCCCTGCCGACAACTTGATTTTGGACTTCTGGCCCCAGAACTGGGGGAGAATCATTTTTTGCTGTTTGAAGCCACCAAGTTTGTGGTTAACTCCTTACAACAGTCCCAGGAAGCTGATCCACTCAGTTTCCACAACTATACATCTTCCGCATCTACAAAATGTAAAGGTTGGGGTAGCATTAACAATAAGTCCCTTTCCAAATCTTTCACTTTAAGAATGTCACTTTCAGACACTGGAAAATAAATAAAATAGCTTTAATATTATCACCTGTCTGACAACCTCCCAGGATGTTGTTCCCTTGGGAATGTGAGTGAGAATATGTGAGTGAGAATTGTTGCAACCCCAATCACCCCTTTACCAGAAATCACTGTATTAGGAAGCTGGATGCGAAAGTGTCCTCCTAGAGGTGGACTTGTCCGCTGTCGTCTCTGTGTCGTCACCAGGACCAGTCCAGATCCCTCTTCTGTTCCTTCAGTGGGCACAGAGCTGTGGCACGTCAGAAACAAAGTATTAACGTCTGGGTTGGGGTGTGCACCTAGGAGGACCTTGTCTGAAGGATGTCCTGTCTTGCTTAGGCTGCAGCCTTCCAGAAAGAGCTAAGGGACCTGAGGAAACTCAGTAAGGGAGTTTTCAGGACCACTCGATGTGAGAATCATTTCAGAGTAACTTAATTCGTGTCTATCATTTCAGAGCTAAAAACGTTGGCATTTAGAGCCTACCGATATGGTGGGCTTCCTCTCTGCCACTGAAGATGTCTCACCTCTTCATTTTCAATGGATGGTTTTATTGCTTTTCCTGCCCAGAGGACCATGGAACAAACATTTAGTCAAGGAAAGTAAAGCACGGGTTCAAACTTTCTGCACCTGCCTTTAATATGCCATTGCAGCATGCTGTAGGTACGAGAACTCATTTTGGAACATATGAGAAAAAGATGAGAGAAAGAAACCTATACAGTTATGCATCACTTAACAGTGAGGATACATTTTAAGAAATGCATCCTTAGACAGTCTCATCATTGTGCAACCATCATGCAGTTTACTTACACAAACCTAGATGGTACAGCCTACCACACACCTAGGCTATATGGTATAGCCTGTTGCTCCTAGGCTACAAGCCTGCTGCTGTACTGAATACTGTAGGCAATTGTAACACAATGCTACATATTTGTGTATCCAAACATATCTAAACATACAAAAGCTACAGTAAAAATATGGTAGTATAATCTTATAGGACCACCATCATATATTTGGTCCATCACCGACAGATACATTGTTATGTGGTGCATGACTGTATATTTAGACATATATGTGTATACACATATATACACTGTGAATATATATATCCCTACACCCACATATACATATACATACATCAAAGGCAGAGCACTCAATTCTTCCCATTCTACTGGGGTTTAGGTGAAAAATTAAAAGAACAAATTAGAGTATACATGTGTTCCAGAAGCTTAGAAGAAGCCTGATCCTTAGTTACTGCTTTGTAAACTGTGGCTAGAAATGGTTATTATGAAGCAATGCTTATGGGGCTTTAGTGCCATCTGGTGGTGAGTTCTTAGAAATAGCTATTTTTCTTCTCTAGACATTTCATTTCAAAGGATTTCAACAAGATTAACACATGAGGAATGCAATGAAAAGAACAACAACAAAACAAAACAGTGGTGATGTGAACCTCTGAACAGCACAAAATGCCACTATTTTTAAACTAACTGACTCGGAATTAGTTCTCAAAGCGTAGTCCCCAGACCAGCAGAATCAGCATCACCAAGGAACTTATTAAAAATGCAAATTGTCAGGTTTTTCCCCAAACCTACTGCCTTAGAAACTCTGACAGTAGGCCCAGTAATTTTAACAATACTTCCAGGTGAATCTGGTGCTGCATTCTCAAGATTGAGAACATTGCTTTAAGCAACAAGACAGGTAGCTTTTCCTGAAAAAAGTCACACCTGTGTCCCTCAAGGCCAACAAGCATTCTTAGGAGAAGGGACAGGTGTAAAAAAGCCACTCCTTACCGTGCAGTGATGAGCGGGAGCTCCGTGCCACACCCCGCCAGCCAGGAGGTGACACTGTAGACCGGAGGGGATCCCACCACAGAGACTGATTCCACCAGATTGCCCCCTGGGCGAGCCGTTCCAGAATCAGCTTGAGAAACTAGAGACCAGTGATCCAATTACTATCAAGTGACTTAAGATGGTAGACTTGCTGTGTGGAAAATCCCAGTTGGAAATGTGAGTTACTCAGATCTCAGTACACACCTAAAGCATAGATTCCTACTTATCTGCTGCCATAAAGAACACATGGAGAGGACGCAGGAGGATAAGCCATTCAGTTTAGTACAAAAAGGAAAGTGCAAGGTCCTGATTTAAGGAGATGAAGATTGATTCCATAGAAAAGTTCAATAACCCCACAGCTAGTAAAATGTCACTCCCTATGCTCTTGGAGGCACTCCTACACAGTTAATCTATTGCAGTATAGCCTGCCACCCTTTCCTCCTTTCCTTCCCACAGCCCCTGGCAACTCTAGGGATGTTTAGCTGATCCTCTTAGGAGCACTGAACTCAGAGGCATACACAGGGGCACTTGGGTGTTTATCCACAGTGTGGAGCCAGCATGTGTGCAGAAAGGGTGCAAGCTTTAAGAGAGACCACTGGTCAAATCCTGATTTTTTCACTTCTATTGGATTCCCACTCAGCTAATCCACACACACTCCATAAGACTCAGTTTTCTTATGTGTAAAGCGGGGATTATGACATGCATGATTGATAGCAATCAATCTGACAAGGAGAGCTTAGTGAGATTTAAGATTTAAAATGATCAGCACAATATCAACATCCTTTTAGCTTCTTCCCCAAGATTGGTTACAATGGAGACTTTAAAGAGTTTAAGGGCAACACCTTTGTCTAATTCGTCTTCTCATGCTTGATGCTTAGCACATGCTAGGCATAGACTAGGTGGTCAATAAATGATTACTTGCTCAGCTGGGTAGATCAGTTCGAGGGTCAGTGATCATTAGATTCCGATCTCCTCCACAGCTCCGCTGTGTGAATTGGGGCAAAATACTCCACTCCTTTTAGCCTTGGTTTCCCCACCCATAGGTGGGGATAACAGGACCAACTCATGGGCTTCTGAGAACTAAACGAGAAATAAATGGAAGCTACCACTATCCAGTGGTAGTGGGAGATACAAAGAAGTTTCATAGAGGACATTAGTCAGGGGAATATCATCAAGTATAAAATTGAGATCAGATAAATGATATACAATTAACTATGAATATTGAGCCCAATTGTGTAGTTTATGTTGCCATTAAATAATTCTGAAAACAAAGCCATTGCCAGCAGGGTTAATGTGATAAAGTGGGAGGCAGACCGTTTCATGTATGCTACCCCCATCTTCCCTCTTGTCTCCGCCCTCTCCCTTCCTGCTCCCACCTCACCTCACCCCTGGATGATTCCAGATACACAGAGAATTTGGTGGCAAAGAGGTGAGGGCAGTAAGAAAAAGTTCTGAATCCTTGGCTTCAAGTGTTTGGCGAGGCAGAATGGCATTAAAGGGAGAGAAAAGAAAACTGAACAGCACCTATTATCCAGTCCTGAGTTTTCCAACTAGTGGACTCCAGTGTATGAAATATTGATTCCCTCAGCCTTCTGGAAATTGAGGCAGCACTTGGGGTCACCAAAGACCCCCAGCCAGTTGTCTTGGGCACCAAAAAATTCAGGCAGTCACCCAGCACGTCACTTGAGTAGTGTCATTTTCTAAGTGTGCCAGAGCACAAACAGGTTTGGAACAATAAGCAATGACCCAGATGTCCCCAAAACACTTAAACTATGGAAACAGAGGAGAGATGGGATTTTGATGAGAATCAAAGATGATGTAATTTCAAGGCTGATAAAGAGTCCTCTTGCCACCCATCCCCAAGTTCCCCTGCCTTCAGTACTGCAATGTTTAGGCAAAAGACTGAAAAGTTGTACATTTTCTAAATCAAAATGTAAATTAAGGTATCATCTTTTTCTTCTTGGAGAGGGAAATAAACTATAAAAAGTAGGCTAGCTGAGCCCCAAAGCCACAAGGGATTTGACAGAGAAGGAAACATGAGCAAAAGTTGGAAGCCTGAAGACACTGAGGGCAAACTGCACCATTCTGCCTTGGCTGTGGGCGCACATCACACACAGACACCTCAGCAGGGCCCAGGAGGAGGACTTTGTCCCTAAGACTAGCGGGCAAGAGCCAGGTGAGACCACTGTGCCCAAGAGTGGTCAAGGGAGAGTTCGGGAAGGAAGAGCCGGGCCTGATCTCTAAATAATGAGTAGGAAGAGTCTGGAGAGACAGAAAGGACAAGGGCCTTCTCTCTGAAGAAGATGATTACCTTCTAACTCTCACTGCGTCTGTCTTGAAGGTTGTAAATCAGACTCTTGGCCCATTTACAGAGACAGACACTGCTGAGTTCCTTCCAGCACCTGGTATGACATATTAACTCATGGAAAGGTGGAGAAATCCTGCTAGTCTAATGATAACAATAATAATAACAATAATTGCTTATATTTATTAGACACCTTCTATGGACAAGACCAGTAAGGAGTACTTTATATTAAACTTTAGTTAATCTTCACCGTAATCTAATGAAGTAGGGTCCTTATTATACCCATTTTACAGATGAAGAAACCAAGACTTCCCAGCAAGAAAGTGGGAAAACTGGAGTAAGAATACAGACACCAGAAGTAAGAGAAAATCGTGGGGAAAATAGGAAAGAAGAGGGACTAGAGAGACATAGTACCAAAGACACATAATCCCAGCCCCATCTGTTTTCTAGAGCCAAGGCAGGCAAAAAGGAGGATCACCTGTTCTCTCCTCATTAAAAAAAACAGTAACCCCTAGCAGGAAAGTTTGAGGTAGGCATGTGACCGGCTTGTGGAGGAGAGAGAATTTGATGATTACCTGTTACGTTTGTGTCTGCAATAATAATTTCATCCACATAGAACAGGCCCGTCTCCTGGGCCAGAGGGAGAAGGTTGATCTGATGAACCAGCACTGGGGAGTTTGCCGGAGGGGGCTGGAGATCCCCGAAGCAACGCACACAAGTCTCCCAGAGGTCAGTGCAATCGAACTGCCAGCTGAAAAACAGCATGGAGCAGAACTGGGCTCTCAGGGAGCACTTGCAGTCCTCTCCGGTTAGAGCCCTTGTTCCCAACCTGGGGGGCCTGTGAGCTATGCAGCCAGGAGAGAGACCCCATGAACCCCTGCACCCAAGCAGTCCTGGGTGCCAAGGCTACAAACATCCCACCCAAGATGGGATCAGCTCAGCCTTGGTTATAATGCTAGTAGTCACCTTTTAAGTCAATCATTCATCCATGACATGCAATGTCAGCAGCATTTTCAAATTACAGTTTAACTGTGTGTCTTAAGCAAATTATAATGTGAGGCTGTAACCACAGAGAAGATTGATACTTCTGGACATTACCAGTTTCATTTAGGTTTAAGACCATTTACAAGACCCATGAGAATTATGTGGAAAGCACTGAATCAAGGGATCAAGACAGCTGAATTTTATTCCAGGGTCACTAGCTGAATGAATTTTGATGAATCACAAATTCTTGGGGCCCCAAATTTCCTCTTTCTGTCATGTCAAAGAATGTTCTCTAAGGTTTCCCCCAACTACGCTGTTCTACAATTCTATCCCTATGAGAAATGTCAGACTCCCTCTAGGGAGTAGTATATTCTTAACAACTAACTGCTCTGGAGTCAAACTTTTTTGTCAAATAAAATATATTCAAATCCCCAAATTAGTGTATGAGGCCCAAATATAAGACCATTAGTGCCTGAGGTGGGTAACTGTCCCCAAAACAGTGAATCCTCCCAGCTGACTGAATTCCCACCACGCCTCCCCACCGATTAGCTACCTCTCGGGGCTGGTCCTCGTGAGACTCCAGTCACAGGTGGTATTCTTTACCATGTTTTGAAAGCCGATTGTGAAGGACACAATCATCTTCAGGATCTTGTTCATGTGGCCTTTGTATGCAAGACACAGCTATGGACACCAAATAAGTCCTTCAGTTCTATTAGTGCAAGAAGCAGTCATTCAAACAATACGTAGTGAGGAGTCCACATCCCTAGAACCCTGCCATAGGCTCTGAGAGAGTCAGCACAGTTCCTGCCCTTCCAGAGCTTACCAGTGTAGCCAGAGAGACAAATAACTTAAATTGTTATTTCCCTACCTAAATAAAGCTAAGGAAAAATACAATAAATACTTTTTCTGAGACCAAAAAAATGTCATCAAACAGAGTTTTTAAATGCTTAGCACTGTGCTTGGCAGTGAGGATTTTAGAGTATCTCACTTAAGAAAACCCCTGTTCTAACCCAATTACCCGTGCAACCTCGAGCAAGTAACTCAACCTCTCTGAGCCTCAGTTCCTCAACTCTAACTCCCCAGCATCCTTGGTTTCTAACTCAGTTAAAGGCAAAGCTGTTGCCACAAGAAGACTTTAGAGCAGGAGTTTTCAGCCTCGGCACTATCAATATTCTAGGGGCTGGATAATTCTTTGTCATAGGGGCTGTTCTGTGCATTATAGGATGTTCAACAGCTTCCCTGGCCTCCACCCACCAGATGCCAATAGCACTTCCCCAGTTGCAACAACGAAAACTGTCTCCATACATTGCCAACTCTTCCCTGGGGGGCAAAATCACCTCCACTGGGCGCCCCTGCAGAAGAGATGAGGCTGAAGAAGGGAGGAGCTCAAGCCTGAAACATTTAGCCCCAACTCCCACAGCAGCCCAACTAGGAAAAGACTAGAAACTACTGCCATGAGCTCCACCACTCCAGCAAAACTCACTCTGGTTCCCAAAGGGCAAATCAGCTGCACTTCTTTTACAAGGGTGGTGGAGCTATCGAAGCAAAGGATTTAAGAAGTGTTTGCGAAATGCATCAGACAATTCAATCCATCAATAATGACAACAACTAGAGTAATAATAATTAGCCTTCACTGGGTCCTAACTGTGCAGGCACTTTACTAGATTATCTCATTTAATCTATACCACAGTCCTGAGAGATAGACCACATTACTGTCCATTTTACAGATGAGTAAATGAAGGCATACTGTACTTAAGACAGACATGGAAGGTACATTGGGTGTGGAATCAGGATTTAAAACCAGATAGTCCAATGACACAGTCTGTACTCTTAGAGATCAAAGAAAATATTGTAGCAAATAAAAACTTTCACAAGTCTCACAGCTAATACAAAGGCATTTCCAGGTAACAACACACAAGTGGGGGCCAGTGGTGTCCATTCATACCTGAAACAGCAGTCGAGAGACCTAGAACCTCAGCCTGAAACACCTTGGGCAGATCACAGCAATCACTCCTTTGTGCTTCTGAGTTTTCAGTCTTGAATCCAGAGAGCAATACCAATACCTACCCACCTGACCCAGAAGCACAAAGACTGCTACTCACGTGTGTATACTGATCTAGCCGATAGCCCTTCTGGGCAGCCGGGGGAGTAAGGACAAGGTGTCGAGGCTGACGGAGGCTGAACCTGCCACAGAAGGGCTCCGTCCCACTGGTGAGGTCCCCATCAGAGTTGGAAACTTCTGGGCCTGGATGCAGTTCAGATAAAATAGAAAGGCAGGCATAGATATTAAAAAAGACAGAGCTTCCCTACATGTGTGCATGAGGATTTTAGAGTATCTCACTTAAGAAAACCCCCGTTCTAACCCAATTACCCATGCAACCTTGAGTAAGTAACTCAACCTCTCTGAGCCTCAGTTCCTCAACTCTAACTCCCCCAGCATCCTTGGTTTCTAACTCAGGGACAAAGTTGTTGGCACAAGAAGACTTTAGAGCAGGAGTTTTCAACCTCAGCACTATTAATATTTTAGGGGCTGGATAATTCTTTGTTGTAGGGGCTGTCCTGTTCACCATGATATGGGCCCCTCAGCCCTGGGAGGAATGGCCACAGCATGAGTGGTCAGCACCCCTGGCTTGAAAGCTCCAGCTATAAGAAACTCATTCTGTGTTCCCTGGAGCCTTGAAAACCCTTTAGCATTTTCTCTGTGTAGCAGGATACGGAAAACTATTGAGAAGCAAAAAGACAAGGAATATCAAGATGGAAGAGGTGTTCAAAAATAACTAGAATTTAGTTCGCCTTAGTAGTAGTTTTAAAAACATACCCTAACATTTTAAGAATTTCTTAAGACTACTTTCTTAAGTAGTAATTCCTTTAGATGTAATCTGAAGATTAGCATGGTTTTGGCTATGTTTGCATGTTTCTCACCTATGTCTTTGACCTTTTCCCACCGTGTGGCATGGGGAGTATAGGAGGGTGCTGCACTCTACCTAACAGCCCAGGAGGAATGCCTTTCCTTTCTATTGACACCCACCGAGCATCAACCTCCCAAGCACAGTGCAGTGCCAGTCCCTCAGCCACTCAGTGTCCAAATCCAGGTTTCATATTTTTTTTTTACTCTGTTATCACCTTGGAGAGGAAATGGGGATTGTTCTCATTTTATAGAAAGAAAGAAGACCATGATGAAAAAGACAATCAGAATGAAGCCACGGACAGCACCTCGTTCAAATCCAAGCCGGAGAAGGATGTTAGACCAAAGGGGTTCCAGTTTGCATTTTACTGCAAGTAACTCCTCAATGGTTGTTTGAATCTATTACAAAGGAAAAAAATGCCAGGAATTTATATCATGAGCATAAAGACCACCCCCAGTTCTCCCACTCCCCTCCCTCATTTTTTGAAGAAGTCTCCCACCAGATGGGCTGTGGCATTTGCAGGGATTGGCTGACTAGAGACATTGTCCCAAGTAAGGAAGAAGTTTCCTCTGCCTGATACATTCAGCACCTAAAAAAGTCAAGACAGACAAGACTAAATGATGGTGCTAATTAAGCCAGAGAGACAATCTAAGAACACAGGACATTCCTCCTCAACTTGCTATTTCCTTTTTATTATAATTTTAACTTTTCAATGCTTTAACATTCAGAAATCTCTGAGGAACACAGCATCATTGCCTAATGAGAACTTTTGTTGGACTAACAGAGATGTCAGTCTTCCTATTTATCTGTGCCCCTTGATTGAGAGTATGAGATGTAACAGTTGCCATTGAATGCTGCACTTTCAGCCCCTCTCACCAATTGCTTTCTCCCAAGGGTAGCCCAGCAGGCAGAAGCAGCTCCATGGCATGCACCCTCTCTTGGAGGCTTATGCAGTCTCTGCTTTGCTTCCAACACATCAACACATTCCCTGTAGGGCACATTATAGTTTTGCTACTGAGTAAGTTCTATGCAGCTTTTTTTTTTTTAGATGGAGTTTCACTCTGTCACCAGGCTGGAATGCTGTGGCGTGATGCCGGCTCACTGCAACCTCCGACTCCCTGGTTCAAGCAATTCTCCTGCCTCAGCCTCCCAAGTAGCTGTGATTACAGGCACATGCCACCATGCCCAGCTAATTTTTGTATTTTTAGTAGAGATGGGGTTTCATCATGTTGGCCAGGATGGTCTCGATCACTTGACCTTGTGATCAGCCCGCCTTGGCCTCCCAAAGTGCTGGGATTACATGCGTGAGCCACCACACCTGGCCAGCTTTTAATCTCTTAAATCAATTGTTACTTTCTACTTTGTTCTATGGTTATTTGTGCACATGTTTTACTTTTAGACTGTAAGCTTTAGAGGGCAGAGTTCATATTGATTTGTCTTTGTACACCAAAAAGTGAACAACAAAAACTATAACACATAAAAACTCTTCAAAGAAAATATGGGGCACAGCTGAGAGACCCAAAGGACATGACCTTTTCAAAGTAGACTTAGAAAACACAGGCTATAGGGAAATAGGACCTCAATCAGTCAAAAATTATGGAATTTAATGTGTATATGCTCACATGCATGCACGCATACATGTCGGGCGTGTGTTTAGAGGACCTTGTCTCTTTTCTGGGAAATAAGTTTCTAAAAGAAGACTTGCTTGGAACTTAAATTCCTAAAACTAACTCAATGAGTAAGATAATCTCAGGAATAAGACATCACATTTTTGTAAACATCTTCACAATGCTGTTAAAGAGATATCCTATTTCTTTGACAGCAAGGTTATAATGACCCCTCAGGTCGCCAGACTCCCAGTCAGTGCTCCTGCTACATGGGACTTTATTCCTTCCAGAGTTCAGCTCCATGGGACTGGAAAGAGACACAGACCTGTACTTCTGGAAGCCTCTGGGCTCGGACTCGGATCTGGTGCTTCTCCCGTAGGTAAGTGGTGACCACATCAGGATTCAGCCAGGTGTTGTGAATCTGGACACCAATCCTCATCCCCCTGCTTGGGGCTATCCCATGATGCTCTGCTTCCAGGTAGTACATGGCTCCACCCAACAGCTCCAACTTGGGAGTCTTCTGCTGCCAGGTCCCTTCATCCCTATTCTGCTCCCAGGAGTCAAACCAGTCAGCAGTGCCGACGCTGATGGAGGCCACTTTCACCTATGCCCAAATAAGCATATCATGATCAATACTATGCAGCTTCCAGGCATCTCTTTCTCAAACACTAAGTGTCTGAACTGCTACTATCAAGAGAGTTTTGAACTGGTCTGCCTTTTTAACATATTAACCCAGTTACCTCAGCCCTGTGGTTATTTATGCTTCTCCAGCTCTCTATCTATCTATCTATCTATCTATCTATCTATCTATCTCTTACAATTGAGTAGTACTCAAATGAGAATAGATGGGCCATGTTCAGAGAAGGAACAACCAACCTAAACCCTAGGATTACATGACACTATGGAGAAGGTAGTATTAAGCCCTTCAGAGACCTCGAATGACTTGATCACATCAAAATCTATGACATTTCTCCAATAAACTAGCAAATCAATTTCAGACATACATAGTAATAATTTGAGGAAAATATTGTGATTCTTTGTCAATAGCATAAGTGCATTTTGGCTGCTGTTAAAGGCATCTTTTCTTATCCTTCAATGTTGTTGAGGAATTCCTACATACAGCTGCCTACATCTCCACCCAAAATTAGTGGAAAAGGCACAAGTTTTGTAGTCAGGTAAATTTGGGGTTGAATCCTCAATGTGCCTTTTGCTATCCAAGTGGATTGGGCACACAATCTTTCTTTTTTTTCTTTTTCTTTTTCTTTTTTTTTTTTTTTTTTTTTTTTGAGACAAGGTCTCACTCTGTTGCCCAGACTGGAGTGCAGTGGCAGCCACGACTGCCCAAGGCTCAGGTGATCCTCCTGCCTCAGCCCCTCAAGTAGTTGGGACTATAGGCATGCGCCACCATGCCTGGCTAATTTTTGTATTTTTAATAGAGACAGGGTTTTATCATGTTGCCCAGGCTGGTCTCAAACTCCTGGGCTCAAGTGATCTGCCTGCCTCAGCCTCCCAAAGCACTAGGATTACAGGAATGAGCCACCACACCTGGCCCACACAATCTTTCCAAGCCTCAATTTCTTCATGTGGAAAAGATACATACATATATCTTTATGTATATATGTGTATATACACACAAACACATACATAATATATATACATATATACATACATACATACATTTTGCAGAGATGCAGTGAAAACTAGAGACAAGGTCTATAAAAGATGTAGCATAATATTTGGCTTACAGTAAATGCTCAATAAATAGTACGTTCACATTCAAACAAGTTCTTTTTCAACAATTAAAGTTCCTGATCATCCAATGGCATGTTAAACTATCTGTAAAACATGAGAGCCTTAACTTTGATTCTTTCTTTCTTCATGGGTATGGGACTGGCAACAGAGAAAAGGAAAATGAGAAGACAGTGAATACCTTAGTCCTTGGTTCCTCTGACCAACTGAAATGCAAGGAAGCTTGGCTATCTGCCTGAATCCAGAAAGTGTAATTATTTGTCTCTGGAGCCACAAAGAACCCACTGAGCCGTGCTCTGTAAAGTAGAACATAGAGTCAAGCAAGAGTAACCAAGGCCTGAATCACTGAACCAACAAATGACTGCCCTTGTACTTTGTCTTCTTTTATGGTAATAAAGAAGAACAACCTGATTCTTATGCCACACAATTGTCCAGAATATTCTAGAAAGAGATATAGCACCTGCCTAGTCTCAGTAGCCCAATACATCTCTACACTGGACACAAATACCCTTGCTGTTGTGTCATGTTTGGGAAAGTTGTAGCCACAGCACACAGCTATACGGAAGCTTAGCTGACAAAACCACCTAACACAGCTATTGCAAGCCCTGGATCATGGTAGAAGCTCAATCTATAGTAAATACTATTCTTATTATTAGAAATAAAGACAGATTGCTTATGAGAATTTGCTCTGAGCTTACCAGCTACCTCAACACCTGCAGAGAGCATTTTTCTAATTAAAAATATTATGATCCACAGATAAGCGTCAATTCAAAATGTCAACAATTTCAAATTAAAACCCATCAAATGCAACTTTGAAGAAGATTACAGGCAATTTCATAAAACATTTTTTAAAAGATAATATTTTTAATATTTAAATTCCAGCAACCTAATATTATAGGCAGATATAGTTAAAGAACTGATTAGACTCTGTAAATAAATACCAAGAATATTTTCTGATAATGCTATTTTCTTAAATCTTCAGATGATCAATATAAAGATGTTTTTAAATTTTGCTTTAATGTACATACATTATCTTTATTTTTGAGATAATTTCATACCTAAAAATAGCTTCAAACATAACTACTTTAAAAGTCCACAATATAATTATATTAACTTACCAATAAATGAATATTTTAATTTTTTAATTTAAAATTTTTAGATTTTAAAGAGATTAATGAGAGAGGGAATGGAAAATTAGTTACTACCTGGCTTGTGGTTCCTCAAAATGGCAGTTAAAGGGACATACCCTGCAACACTTACTATAGAAGTCAAAATGTTCTTTTGCCTTTTGGGGTAGGCTGACTCACTCCTTAACACTCCCAAATACACCAAATGCAGCTGAAAGATTTTCCTTTGAACATTATTAAATGGTCGTTAAAAACTATGATAAATATGAATTATTAGGTGCTACAATGGACCACAAATTAACTGCCACATTTTTGTTTATTTGTTTCTTTGTTTAAAGACAGAGTCTCACTCTGTTGCCCAGGCTGGAGTGCAGTGGTGTGATCATGGCTCGCTGCAGCCCTAACTCCTGAGCTCAAACAATTCTCCACTTCAGCCTCTCAAGTAGCTACAGGTGCACACCATCACACCTGGCTAATTTTTTATTTTTTACGTTTTAGAGACAGGGCCTAGTCCCAAACTCCTAGACTCAGGCGATCCTCCTGTCTCAGCCTCCCAAGTAGATGGGATTACAGGCTCAAGCCATAGCATCCAGCCTTAACTGCCACTTTAAAACCATAAACTCATGGTTAAGTACCTAGTAAGTAAGGCTTCAGGAGACACTTTCCTGCTCACAGATTACCAACCCTACTTGGCTTATTCAATGCCTAAAAATTCTCTAAGCTTTTCTTTACACAACTGAGTTGAAATCTATTAGATTGGTGCAAAAGTAATTGCGGTTTTTGCCATTACCTTCAACGGTAAAAACCGCAATTACTTTTGCACCAACCTAATAAAATGGTAAAATATTTGGAGGAGGTCACAGACTGACTGAAATTCACACTCATGAGTCACAGTCATCCTCTCTAAGAAGGATTTCAAAGGGAAAAGAGATCCATCATTCAGTAAAGGATCCATCCTTCAACATATACACTGAGAACACACTAAGGAAACAGTGTGTCTAAGCAATTTTCAAGCTTTTATATTTTTAAGTTTACTTTAGAATACTAGAAATTTTGGCTACATCCTTGAAGGGACTAAAAAGACTAAAGGAATTACACACCATTAAACAGGAAAATTAGAATCATGATGCCATCACTACTACTGAAAACAATGTCTCACAGAACCCGCAAGAGCTTCCCCTACTATACAAGGGCCATTGGGTTGACCTTCAGCACTGGAAGGCTGTTCCTACAGCATGCTGCCTAGGCTTTGCTCCCTCATGTACCCAAAGGGCAAATTCTTGGATCTTTCTTTGGCATCAACCAGATGTTAGTTTTACCTCTTAACCAGGTACCTAAAGCATGTTTTACTCTGCTGTCTTTCCAGTCTCCTGGCCTGCTCAGCTCAATGTTCTAGTTGATAATCATCTCCAAAACAGATTGTAAACTAAGTTGTGGAAAATATACATATTACATATTGATCAAAATTTGTCCCTGCACTAGCATGACCAACACTGATTGAGAATACTGTCAAACTCTGTTGTTGTTGAATTGGCTAGTGTTATAAATTCCTGGAAATCTTGATACCTTCCTTATCTGTCTCCTAGCCTCACCTAGGTTAGCAAAGGTGCTTTTGATGTGGGCTCCCACTTTTCCTACAACATACCTGAAAGGTTGTCCTTCCTGTGACCAAAACCCAAATGGAGAACTGGCATTAGGGACAATCTGCCACCTGTACCCTGGGGTGGCTTCAGTCAGTTCCAGTCCCTCAACAGCATCTCCAACTTCAAAAAGAAGCCCTCGATTGCCTGTAAGACATGTAGATCGCATAAACATTACAGGGCGCACCTTCCCAAATTGGGGAATTACTTTATTTTAAATTACAAGGTGAAAGATGACCCAGATGCTACCTGTAAAGGTAAGTCAACCTAGAGCCAGATAGAGTAGTTATATGAAAGGTTCTGTAGTTAATATGAAATACAAATGTTCCGGAAAGTAATAAACATTCCATGGGTTAGGAGTTAGCCTTTTTTAGCAAGAGTTCCTAGAAAAGAGAATCAAGTCCTGGAGAAAATGTGAATTGAATGAGCAAACAGAAGCTGAGGCTGAGTAAAAGGAGGACAATGTGACTGTGTGCTGGTGACGTGGCTTGGCTTTGTGCTTCCCAAAGCCAGAAGTGGGCTTCAGTATCTTTTAAGTCCCAGTTCTGCTGTGAAATTCAATTCTCTAAAGTCTTTTTTCCCCATAACATTGGCAATCCTTAAGTTTCTCAAGTGTCATGGCCTCAATTTGTGGACCTGCACACAGAGCCAAATATGTGGCATGCTGCTATTATGTGACATTTTAAATGATATTGTATTAATTTATATTTTGTGTTAAGCAAACCCTGAGGCCAAAGGCACAGGTGCAATCAATATTGAATGCTAACTTGGGCTGAAGGCAAAACTCTGGAATCCCAGCTAGACGTGTAGCTTTGAGCAAATTCCTTGATGTCCTTGCATCTTCATTTTCTCATGCATCAAAATGGGACCAATAATAAAATAGCAATAATACACTAGGACCAAGGGAAAATATATACTCAAAGAGCCTGGAATACAGTAAGTGCTCAATAAAGGTAATTATGGTAATTATTATTTTAAACTAATACTGTTGTTCCTCAACAACTCCTAAAAGGGAGAGGTGGATAAGGAATAAACAGAAAAGTAAGAGCATATTTTGAAAATATTACTTTAAACCAGGGTTTCTCCACCCCAGCACTATTGATATTTTAGGCTGGGTAACTGTTGTGAGGGGGTGTCCTATGCATTGCACAATGTCTAGCAGCCTTCCCAGCCTCAGCCCACTAGATGTCAGTATCATCACCACCACCACCACTTCCGGTCTAACAGCCAAACATGTTTCTACACATTGCTACGTGTCCCCCGAGGGGCAACATTGCCCCTGGTTGAGAACAATTGGTTTCCATAGTAATTCGCCCAGCTTCTGTGGAAGAAACTTCAAAAGCCCTTCATAAAGGACAACACTAACTGTCAAACCAGCTGCATTCAGGAAATTATCCTACCACTACCCAAGTAGCTAAAGCAGGAAATACTGAAAAAGGGAGCAGACTCTCTATTTCCTGACAGGAAACACACATTATCTTGATTACTTGTTTCAGTAGTTTTGTTTCCTTGGATGGAAGCTTTCCCTGAGTAAAAACTGCAGATCTGGGAGCTGGAGAATTCTCAAGCCAAAACTTTGCATGCATTTTCACACCTGAATGCCCTTTCTTTAGAAAGGTTTCTTCCCCTGCTGGGCAACTTTCCTTGTAGGTGCTGTGCCTCTAGAGTTGACTCTCGCTGCCTGTAGTTTAACCATTAAGTCAGGCCCTTGGGCACAGATGTGCAGCCTGTGGTTCTTGGCTGAGTAACATACCAACTGCCCTTCATCCCTGACTACACTTGAGCCTTCAGTTCTAATGCTCAGCAGAAAAGTGCTCCAGTATTGTGCTCTTAATTTGCTGCTGTAGGGTGGATGCTTTAAACAGAGAAGGACAGCTGGAAGCTCCCTTGCCTCCTCCATTTCTGCCCACTTCAGGCATAACCTGGTGGCAACATCACAATATATCCCTGTTTCTCAAAGCAGCAGACAGATGCCCACAAGAGAGAAAAATTCATATTTAAATGCATCCCATTGTGCCCTACTCTCCGACCTTGTCTAATGCTGTTGTTTTGAGCATAGCAGAGCACACTCTAACGCTCCTGTCTTCTTAGCCAGTGGACGTGCAACTGACCCATTGAATGAAGGCGGGCAGTTTGGGGGTTTCTTCCAGTAGCTATAACAATATCTTGAGGGCAGTTATGCTTTCTAGACCATGGTCTCTTCTGGACGCCACTGGCCATACAGCTGGCTGGAGCTAGAAGTGCAATGTCACTAAGCACCTGAATAAAGCTAAGAGCCTTCCTGAAAGGAGAGCCTTGACAATGGTATCATGGACCCAGGGCTCACTGAGTAAGCCAGTCAAATAGATGAGAAAGAATTCAAACACTTTTATTTCTACTCGCCAGCCCATCATGATTAAAGATATTCAGAGTTTATTGAACAGCCCTGGTGGCTTCCTTACCTGGCTGAGGGGTGGTGAGCCTCACATCTTTTCCTGGAGCCCGAGTGGTGCACTCAATCTTCCTGGGAGACACGTGTCTAATATCACATGGAATGCCTAAAGCGAATTAAAGAAATTTATGTATGTGTGTGTGTGTAGGTATACATATATATGTATATGTGTGTGGGTATATGTATAATTATATATATATATATATATATATATATATATATATAGAGAGAGAGAGAGAGAGAGAGAGAGAGACAGAGAGAGAGAGAGGCAGTCGGGAGATGTGATGGCAAGACCAGACTGAAGTAGACAGGCTCCTATTCTAAGGCAAAGGGCTGGGTGTGGATGGAATAGCGAAAGTTGTCACCCCAATTGAAGGAGAAAAGAGAGAGTGCAGAGCAGCAGAGCATAGGGCAGCGTGGAGTATTCAGAAGGAAAGCCATGCAATGGAGTGCTCTTCATTGGGGACGTACTGAACCACCTAACTGAGCATGGGAGGTAAGTGTGACATGACAGTGTGAGGACACCCTTGGTGTCACCAACTACAGAGGCATCCCACCTGCTACAGGACCTGGCAAAACAAAAGGCTCTAGACAGGTCCATAAAAGGGTTTGCCAAGGTTGGGGTGCGGGGGATTTCCAGAGTAATCTGCATAGCAAATGCCCACCCACTCCTGCTTGTCTATATCAAGACAGCTAACAAGGGAGAGTGAAGAGAGGGGCTGTTTTTAGTAGAAGTAAACCTTTGTCAAGAAGGAGCTGTATTTCTTTCTTTCTCTTCACTCACAAGATAGGGGCACCTGAGGGAATTGCCTATGCATTGTGAGTGTGTCTGCAGGACATTCCATTCCTGTGACCCATGTACTGTAGGACCAAAATCCCACCTGGTCTCAACCAAACACATGACTTATCAAACATGATGAGTCAGAAGGGGCAAAGCTTGCTTCCTCCTGCATCCCTCATGCCATACAGACATATAATCTCCTAGAGCATCTAAAACTATGAACTATTTTCAGCCATTTCATCATAGTTACCTGCAATGGTAACCTGGGCAGAATTGTCAAAAAAGTCTCCTGTAATTGTGATGTTTGTTCTTCCCCCAAGGCTCCCAGTTTCTGGAAACACAGATAATATTTCTGCAAGAGTTAAAAAAAAAAAAAAGTAAGCTTCCAAATATAGACCAGAATATGACCTAGATAATAATATAATAATAGGAGATATTAATAATTTCTTACTTTAACTTTCTAAGTCCAGCAACAGTTGAATTTTTTTCTAGTAATAACTATTTAAAAATGCACATAATAAGAAAAAGACCAGAAGTATATATTATCGAGGATCAATATTTGAAAGGAAGGGGAAATGTGGAATCATTCATGGTATCAGCAAAAGCCCCTAGTACCATGACATTTTCTCAGAAAATCTGTCTCCTGACCTCAAGGACAATATTGACAAGTCAGGGAACAGTAAGTTACAACACAAGGAGGAATCAACTTTGGGTACACTGGGAAAGGCTTCAGTTCACCCATATGAATCTGTAATTTGCTCTAAGCAGAAGAATGAATTTCACTGTCTTTAGGACCCTCCCACTCTTTCCCACACTGAATGCTCCTTCCCCACATGTACCTCACACCTCATACCCAGTTCTTTCATGCTGCTCCTGATTGTTTAAAATTGCCTACAGTGACTCAGGCCTGTAATCCCAGAACTTTGGGAGGCCGAAGCGAGTGGCAGGTGGATCACCTGAGGTCAGGAGTTTGAGACCAACATGACCAATATGGTGAAACCCTGTCTCTTCTAAAAATACAAAAATTAGCCGGGTTCCGTGGTGTGCACCTGTAATCCCAGCTGCTTGGGAGGCTGAGACAGGAGAATTGCTTGAACCCAGGAGGCGGAGGTTGCACTGAGCCAAGATGGTGCCACTGCACTCCAGCCTGCGTGACAGAGCGAGACCCTGTCTCAAGAAAAAATAAAATAAAAAATTTAAAAAAAGAAATTACCTACAGTAATATGACACATAGTCCTCAGAATTTAGCTTTATCTCATTCTTTCCTCTCCTACGATCAAGCTTTGACATTTCTAAGATTCATTCCCTCCAGAGAAAAGAGGAGTTGCATTTTGTGTAAACTGAAGGTACAAAAGCTAATGATGAATGGTTACCCCTGAAAAATAGACATTTTAGGAGGTTATTTTATAATGCTTTTTGCCCATGAGACAAAGCAGAGGAGACATATGGAGGCAAAGATTGATCCCTTACACTCAGATACCAAAATTCACCACTAAACCATAATAACCCCCTGCTTTTAACCCACTATTTTATAATTTCTTTTTTTTTACACTAGCACTGGAATTTTGTATCAGCTTTACGTAGAGATTAACACATTCTTTTGTTATGCATTCAAAATTACACAGATCAAAAACAAAATTTATGAAGTTCTTAAACTTTTAACATAGTTGTAGATATTTGATAATTTTTTTCAACATTCACAGAGCACCTATTATATGGTACTAGGAATATAAAGATGAATACAAAATAGTTCCTGTCCTCGAGAAGATCAGCATGGTAAGGCAGGTATGCAAAACTATCATTTAATACCTTGGGTCGGAGAAATTAGAGAGTATATGAAAGAATAGAGAACTTTGGGAGTAGGATGGGAGTATTGAGGTGTAGAAGAAAATGTTTAGAGATGACACTAATCTGAGTCTTAAAGGATGAATTAGAAGTGGCCTAGCGAAGAGGAGAAGGAGAGGGCATTTAAAGCAAAAGATAGCCTGAGTGTGGACAGAAGAAATTGCACAGTGCATGTTAAGTGTGGCTGGAGTATGAGAGACAGAGATAAAGCTGGAGAAACAGACAAGGAGGAGGTCAGAAGTTTGCCCCATTTCCAGTAGGGGATAGCAAGCCATAAGAGGATGGTGAATAGGAAGGAACCATGCATCAGATATATGCTTGATGTAGAGAAAGCCAGGGAGGGGCTTGAAGGGGCAGAGGGCAAGTCAGGGCCTCTAGAAACCACTGCAGCATGTAACACAAGAGGTGATGGGGTCCAGAAATGGAGAGTTGCTGTACAGATACATCATAAATAAGAGAGAAAACTGGCAGAAATTGGTGATTGAACAGATATGGAAAGGAGGAGGAAGGAGAAATTTTAGATGAATTCCAAGATTCTTGCTCCTCTACCTCTTTAGACGACTTTTGGAATAAGAAGGATAAGCACCACTTTGTCAGTTTTAGAGATGCTTAATTAAGGCTCAAAAAGCTTAAAAGGCTTAACTAGTGATTGAATGTCAGCCCCTGAGGAGCTCAGCCCAGGGCTCTTCATGGCTGTCTACACCCTCTCTTCCTACAGCCTGCTCTGCTGTGAAGAAGTTCTGGCCTGTGAGTCCTGATCCCAAGAAGACACTGCCCTGGAAATGTAAAAGAGCTGTGTCATCAGAGATACCTGTCAGCCTATCAGTCATTCTAGGGTTTGATAGCAATGGGCAGGCTCACAAAAACCTTGGAGTGGAGTGGCAAGAAGAGTGTGCTTCCCACCATATATTGGCTATGGACATAAGATTTGGAATTAGAACTACACATTCTAGCTCTAAGACCTTTGGCTTTGGACAAGATACTTTGTTTATCTGAGTCTGTTTCCTTATCTGTAAAATGGGGCTAATGTTAATCCATCTCATAGTTAAGTGAAATTAATATTGAGATTGTATGTAAGACACTTAACAAGGTCTGACATTCTTTCTATAGCAGCTATCGTTATCACCATCACCTTGGGCGCTTCTTCAAACTTACCCCAAATAGACTAGCAATACTGTTGAAAGAAAGGAAAAATCAGGGTCAAAATGCAGCTGTTGCAGGATTAGGCTATCTAGAGAGTAAATGACATTTTCTCCATGACCTGTGAATTATCTTGCACTTTTGACAAAGGTAGATTTTGATTGCTTCTGGAATCTGAACCAACCCCACAGACATTTCTTCAGTGGCTGTGTGACTGTATTCCATTCTAGAATCTAAGTATTCTTTAGTAGCCAGCTTTCTACTACCAAATCGAGTTCACAATTCCAAGCAAGCTTCCAATTTTCACATTCATTTTTTTAGTATGAGGGTTTACTCATCAGATGGCAACAGAACAGCTTAATATCAATATTAGTCATAAATTATTGAATGAATGCTCAGAGATGGATGTTAAAGTAACTGGAAAGATGTGCTTTAAGACTTTTTAAGTGCCACCTTTTTTCTTTTACTTTCAGAAGACAGAATAAGGCAAGACTCTCCTTTCTTTTATTCAGTTTATATCCATAGAATTTGTATAGAAGTTTATTATCAAGTCTCTTTTAATATATTAACTAAACCTGACATGGATACAAGCAATTTAATCTCAACCAAAAACACCAGGCTGTCTATGATTGTAGGGACAGCTTCGGGTGTTAATGGTCATCAAGAAATGGCCAAAAGATAGGGAAGGAGGGGCCAACATTGAGTGAGGCACAAGGGAAGGGGTACTTGGTGAAGGGGGATAGTACCTGAGTGTGTCTGGTATAGGAAAAGATCCTGTTTAGCACTGATCAGCCATGCCTTCTTGTGGACCATTGACCTTCGAAAAAGACAAAGTTCTGTTTTGAATGAAAATATCAACTGGGATTGCATTTTTTTTAGTCGGCTGCCTGAAAGGAAGATTGGGAACTAACCTCTATTGATCTTTAGAACAGTTGAAATAGCAGCTCCCTTGGATAACTAAAGAACAATACCAACAGGACAAAGTTGTTTTCTGATATATAAAATTATCATATGGGAATAATGCCTGCTTCATAGGATGTCCCAAATGTTCAATGAAATGATGAGTGTGAAAGGGCCTAGTCCTTAGTTGGCCTATAGTCAATACTCAATAGACATTAATTTTATTTCTTCCAAAATGAGAAAGAGAGAAAATCTCCATACTTTGGGCTGTATAGCTATAATTGTCACTGTCATTACAAGGCAATTATTATCAATTAGACCCTACGCTTTTAACAGAAACACCTGTCAAATTATGTAGGGGCAAAATATAAGGTAAGGATTCAGAATTCCAGAATGCTAATTTATCACTTCAAAGTGTGATAAAATGTGGACCCCTTCCATTTTCAAGAAGGCACTTCCTAGATGGTACAATGTATTTCATGAAACCATGTTCCTTATAAGATACTTGTGACAGTTTTCAACCTACAGTACTTTGAAATTACTTAAGATTTAATTCCCAAAATTCTGCAACACCACCATATTGAAACACACATTGCCTACAGATTAGTGAAGAGGACACAACTTCATTCACCCAGGTAAAAAAGTCAAGGAGTTATATGTGGTCTCATTATACTATTCTGTTTTTATATGTTTAACATTTTCCGTCATAAAAAGATAAAGAAAGTAAGCAAGATGAGAGAGATAGGTAATATAAAATGAAGACAAATTTGCCTATTTCTATACCCAGTTACTTACTTTCCTTTGTTAAATACTGAGAAGCTAACATTCTGGGAGCCTGTAACACAAAGAAACACACATTAACTCAGGAATCTGCACGAGTCTTCTGGGCCAGGCCATTGCTTTCATAAGCCCAAAGACTCCAATATCATCAAATTACCACCCAAACCTGTAATTTCTTTAGTGGTTCCCCCCCGCAAAAACAAACAAACAAACAAAAAAACAAAAACAAAAAAAAAACACCTCATAAGTTTAGCATCATTAGCAATGTGGACTTCTAGCAATAAAAGGGCAAATGCAGTATTGCATAGCAGGGAAGAGCCCAGGCTTCGAGTTAGATGGAGCACCATTTAAATATTGATTTACTGGTAACTAACTTCAATTTTTCTCACCTGCAAAGCCAAAAATAATACCACCAACTTCACAGGTGTATGTGAGCATTAAATTAGTTTCTATATGAGCTGTTTCATATAGTAGTATTTTCCAGGGAATTCTTAACAAATAGTAATTATTGTTATTATTATTATCCTCATGAGAACCAATCTTGCAATTGCTTTTGTCCGGATACAGAGAAAGAAATGGATAAGACTTTAAAATTATGTTACTTCTCTAACAGACCGATGTAGTCGCCTTCCACATGGCACTGCAGAGTCCCAAGACCATGGTCCTCCTGAATAGGATAACTAAGGAAAAGACAAACTGAGGTAAGAATGACCAGACAACTCACTACCAGAAGATCTGACTCTTTAACCAGGAAAGTAGAAAGCAAAAGAAAACCAAATTTGCTAGAGAAAATGGTAGACAGAGAAAGTATAATGAGTTCATTAGGGCAAATGCTTAGGGTAATACTAACTAGTATTACCCTTTATATATACTAGTTAGTAATACCCTAAGCATTTGCCCTAGTGCTAACTAGTACTACCTTAAGCATTTGGTCCTTTCTTTTCAAATGTGTCATATGACAAGTATAACAAAACCTTTATTTTTAAAAAATCTGTTATCAAGTATGAACCCCATAAAGGACAATTCTGAGCAAACAAAATGCAGACACAAGGAAGACTACACACAAGGGCAGAATACACACCAGTCTGAAAAAGTGAAACCATAGAGTATCATTCTTGTAATGGCCTCAAAGGAGGGGCAACACACCCTGTCCAGAGTGAAGTAAAAATCCAGCAAAACATTGGGTATTTAAACTGGAGAGTGTAGAAACTTATTTCTAAATTTTTTATTATTTTTACCTTTGGCTAGTCACTGAAGTATAGTGGTTAAGATCATGAACTCTAGGGGATGATTAGTTAGACAGGGTTCAAATCCCAGGTCTGCCACTTGCTCTCTGTGAGACCTTGTGCAAGTTACTTAACTTTTCTGTGTCTCAAATTCCTCATCTATAATGTGAGACTAATAACCATACATACTCCCAAGATTATTGGGTGACTTCAATGTAAAGCATTCGAGCAGAGCTTGGCCTATGGTAAGCCCCTAACAAGTATTAGCTATGTGTTTTCAAGGAAGGTTTTGGCATCCACTTCAATACGCACTTTGAATCAATCCCTGTGTCTTTTTCAGTAGTCTAAAGATAAGGTAGTAAATAGCTATGTGTGATTTATATTTTAAAAAAACAGATATATGGTGAGTGGGGAGAGAAAGAGAGAGAATGTGTGTGTGTTGTATCCATGTGGACGAACTTACAAGCATGTGCATTGGCAAGATAATAAGACACTCACCAGCTTCCCATCTGCCTATTTATAAGAGAGCAAGGAGTAACCCATTTGTCTCCTTGAGCTTCCAAGATCACTGGGCTGGATTTAAAAAAAAATGAAAACAAAAGACAAGAGATAATTGTGCAATACTCCCAATAAACATTCCTCACAAAACTCAGAGGAAACATGGCTATGAACACTCTCCTCTGGATTTTTCTGCACTATTGCAGGTGGCTGAAGGCGGATGTCAAGTCAAATTCTCAGCAGAGAGTAGGGATGCACTCATGGCTCATGCTTTCACACTAAACAGAAAATAGTTCTCCCTTCCCAAAAAACCTTCATCATCTCCACACTGGCTATATTGATTCTACACAGAGATAATATTGCATTTATGCCTTTATTCCCCCTTTCAAAGGCTGTATCCCAGACCAAGGCTGAGATGGGATCACCTAGCAAAATATGGCACATTCCCAAGGATGTAGTAGGAGTTTCTACCCCCCACAAGAAGAGTAGTTTTCTTGTAAGGTAAGTTGACCATTGCTTAATGCCAGAAATGTCAATCCTGAGAGTAATAAGATCATATTCTCTTCAACTAGGGCAAAATCAGACAGATGGAGTAGAACAGAAGAGGATGCCCCCAACCCATCCAGAGTGAAGGAAAAATTAGACACCATGTATGGAATCTATGCAGCTGAGTATATAGTAAGATCATTTTCCTTCTACCTTATAAATGCTCAGTACAATTGCTTCATTTGTTGAATGATTACAGTTGCTTAGAGCTTCCTACAGCCTCTACAATTTCAACACTTTTTGTCTTGTTCTCTCTCTCCAGTGTGGATGATTTAATAGTAACACTTTCCACCACGTCTCCAGTGAAGAAAGTCATGTTGACATCCTAATCATTCCCAGAAAACATTAAAAGCTCTATGGCTTTTAATACCTGTGTCCATGTTTTCCTCTGACCCCACTAATACAATTTTTAAAGCACAAATGGATAACAACCAAATAAGAAAGTTATAATGGGCTTTTGGGTTTACACATCATTTTATAAAGAATCTATTTCAGGCTGAGAAACAAAGGAAGGAAGGGTGAGAATTCAAAAAGAAAATCCACAGATGCAATTACAGTTCATTTCACACTGAGCCCAGAGTGACTAGTTGTCAGTAAATAAATGGACCAACTTAATTGACCAGTTGCAATTACATTAACAAAGTTTGCTGAAGCCCAGCTCATGAGGGACCATAAACTGCAAAAAGGAAAATAGCAATTCTGTGCCAACTGCTTACAATTTATTGCCATCAGGGAAGCTGGTCCCAGGAAGCCATGCAGCATGTATGTAACTAGTTAAACACAAAAACAAACACACACTTACCTATCAATGTACTCAGCATCAAAATCAAAAGTTTCCAATCTTCCAGTGATAATCCAGCCATATACATGTATTAGTTTTCCTGTTTGAAGAAGAATTTTTTTAATTTAATGGACTTAGCTCAAACTCAATGTATAATAAAAAACCATGTTTCTTTTTGGTTGTATATACTCAATATGGCAAAGCAGGTCATGGCCCAGAAAATTAATACTTTTAATAAATTGTACAACAGTAAGGTCAAGGGTATGATTTAGTGATCAATATTACACAATATAAAAGCTAAAATAAGCAATTGTTTCAATCACAGACTTAATCTTCTAATGCATGGAGCATAGAAGGAATAATGGGTCTTCTTCACAGTCTCAGATTGTGTGAACATTTCAGAAAGGAGGGGCTCATCTCCACACACTGCCCTGTTCCATTCTCTTGGCTCTGTGGAGACCATCTACCCAACACGAGATTTAAGGACAATGTGCCTTGGGTGCTCCAGGCTTCATGAGACTTTCCTCTGGGCATTTGCTAAAATGAACATGTGATATGAAGAGGCTCATATCACACAATCTGATGGGTCTTCAGGGATCCCAAGTATGTGCCTTCCAAATAATTAGAATATTTAACCATGTATACTTAAACCATCACAGACAATGTTTAGAGATAAAAGAATGTTGGTTAGTGAGATAAACCTCAAGGAATAGAAGAGAAAAGCATACTGAGGGACTCATGAGGTCATGAAATCCAGAAGACTGAGCCTCTTTATAGACACTGAATGCCACCAAAGAATGTGACAAAAAAGATGTTCCCTTCCTACTGCACTTGTGTGTTATTAGTAAGAAGTGACTTTCATCTGCACTCATTGGATGACTCTCACTAAAACAACAGAAATCTTTCGGAAGGTATTACAGCCACAATTTTATAGGTGCATGGGTAGAATGACCTAATGACAGGCAAAGGTCACAGAGTTGGCAGAAATCCAGAGTCTCAAGTTTCCTGTTACTGCTAAAAAAAATCTGGCAGAATAATTCTAATTTTAATAGGGCTAAATGATCGATTCCCTAGCCTTGGTGAGTATGACTTCTAGCTTTGACAGGCACAATTTTAAAACTAACAAAAGACTGTAGAAATTAGGAATTTCTGTGGGTTTTTGTTTTGTTTCTAAACGAAGATGGCCAGCACAGGCTGACAAATGGCCACACCAGAGCACGGTGATGGGGGATTCCATGTCGTAGTGAAGGACTGCTAACCACGTATAGAAACCCAACTGCTCAGAAAGCATCGTCTCTCTTGTCCCTACCACCTCCCCCATCTCCCTGGCTGCTACACTGGGCAGGCTTCCCAAATGAAATGAGAGTATTCATCTGGAAAGTGATTACAAAGATGCAGTCGTATGGATCCTGCCCAGGGGGGACCACTCCAACCCAGCCCGCCACCAATCCTTTCCCCAGAAGGTGGAAGAGACACCGAGCAGAACTCCAACTTGGTGGAAGAAATGGGCTTGGCAGATCTGGGCGCCAGCTGACATTCCATTTCACACCTCTAATGGCTGTCTGCTTCCTCATCCCTCACCCTAACAAGACTTCTGCCATCTACACAGGAGTTTCTAACATCAGAGCAGCAGGGACCCACATGTCTGCATGTGATTTTCACAGACCACATCCCTCTTTCATAAAATATCAGGTCCCAATGATTCAGACAAATGGAAAGGAGCAGATCTGTGAAAAACCCACATGAGCAAGAGCATGCCAAATTCATATTCTCTGAAATATAATTTAAATTCACTCATACATAATCTGTGTCTATACACACAAACACAGAAAATATAAAACGCTTTTCAATAACTTAGATCTTCATTTTGACATGCTTGAGCAGTTGAGCCAATCAAAACAACAAGATCCGTCTATGCATTTAGACACAACTATAATAAAAATTTAGCAACTTTTTAGCACACTCTTACCATTTTGGAAACTCTAACAAATGGAAAACCTTAAATAAAGGTAGGAATTTGGCAGGAATCAGACAGCAAATTATATATAATCCTAGTTGTGTTTGCTACTTAGTTTTAAGGCAGATTTAGCAATTCCTGAATCCACTTCTCAGTTGCAATCCCTTCTTTTATGTAAATCCCCCAGCTTTATATAATCTTCTTTTCTATCCTCCTGGCTTTTAAATATCTGTGTGCTCTCTAACTTTATAAACAAAACCCCTAGATGAAGACTAGAGTTAATGACCTTCCAAGTGGCATCCAATGCTGCTCAAAATATGACAGAATGGTGGATATATGGGCCACTCTGGATTCTGGCTGTCTGGTTCAAATCTCAGCTGTGGTATTTAGTATCTATATGACTTTCGGCAAATTTCTTAACCTTTTGCTACCTCATTTCTTCAACTGCAAAATGGGAATAAAAATAGCTCTTCTATTATCAGGTTTTGGCGAGGATCTAGTAAGATATCTGAAGAGCTTAGACTGGAGCCTGGCACACAGTTTAATAAAGGTTTATTATTATGGGAATGATTATAAAGTTAAAAGCAAGGATGACTCCTCTTTCCTCCAGTCTCCAACATCAACTCATTTGATTTTGCTGTCCTCTTTTTCTTTTCATGTTTGGATTCCTTTTGTTATCAGTGAAGTAATAGAGCAAAAGTGCCCAGAGGTAAAACCAAAGCACGTTAAAAATGAACCAGAGGTTGACTCTTATTTTCAAAACAGCATCAAAGAAGAAGTTAAATTTTCCCACTCATAAAAACCACTCACCTAGGTTTGCAACAAGCTTTGGCAAACAGATTCACAATTATTCCTATTTTAATAGAAGATTTCTTACCTGGAACACCACTTGGTGGATAAACTTGGTGAACGATGGGTGTCTGCGCCTTGGAAAACTGTTTAGAAAATAGTACCACAAGTGAGCATGTCATTAAAATATTCACAAACACAGGAGGCACAAGCCTTTCCTCAGACAGCATTACTTGAAGGTAATAAATGCTTATATTTACTCATGTCACCCTCACATCTGTCTAGTTCTTTTTATCTTTGTAATATTTCTATGAAACAGAAATGATAGATATTATCATATTTCTCCTATAGATGAGGTAGAGGTAATTTGATTAAGGTCACATAGCCCTCTATTCTGTACCATATTGTCCAAACCTTGACAAGCCTGTTTCTACCTGCCCACCTTCCATACCCAAGAACACATTTTACTAGAAGGAAAGGTAGACAGGTCTTTGTGCAGAATGTCAGTCTTTTAATTCCATTGTAATTTGATGTTTTGGGGCCTTGAAGATTTTGATTTTTCTAGAAAGGAATGCACTTATTTAATTGAATCAAAACTTCAAATCATTATCAGCCAGCACCTTGGTAGGTATCAGTAAGCTACAAAAAAATGAGAAACTGGATAGGCACACAACTGAGGTGCTTACTAGGGAAACTGAAGATACCTGCTGTGAGGGAAATGACTCAAAAGATTCAAGGAATGGGAAGCAACATTGTTCTTCAAGGAGGAGGAAAGCAGCCTCAATGGGAGCAGTGAGAGCCTGAGAAAGCCTGGCGGTAGCATTCCAAATCATCTTACAATGCCCCCTGTCCCCAAAGCACACCCTCTGTTAACCATAAGCTCCACAAAGGCAGGGACAATGCTTGACTGAGTCGCTGCTGTGTCTCTGTGCATAGACTGGTATGCAGACGACATTCGAATTTTTGTGAATGAAAAGAGTCACCCAATCTGGGATGACTGATATACTGCCTGGAAGGAGAGGTGAGAACGAGGCAATCCCAGGAACTCCATCTCACCTGTAGGCATCTGTGTTAGTCTAAGATTAGTGCATTACTCCATCAGGAAATCACAGCAGGGCCAGTATGAAGAAACAGGAAAGCTTAAGGATGAACTGGCCAGAC
The DNA here is from genome assembly GCF_000001405.40 of Homo sapiens. Taxonomy (NCBI): domain Eukaryota; kingdom Metazoa; phylum Chordata; class Mammalia; order Primates; family Hominidae; genus Homo; species Homo sapiens. The sequence goes on from NC_000006.12 coordinate 52,077,349, forward strand.
CAAGGCTTGACCTGTGAGCCAATTACTTACCTAGGAAGAGACCTAGTCTCCCCTTCCCTCCCCTCCCCCAATCCCTTCTAGATGCCTAGACTACCACCATTCCACACAACCTACAGTGCTTCCCATTTGCAAAACAAATTACAGCAGCAAATTGTTTTGTTTGGTCTGCTTCCAGCACCTCAGGAGTCTACCTTCCCAGAGAGAACATCACCAAAGAATAACTCGGTTGTTAATCAACAGCCTTAATCAGATTGAGAATCAACAGACATTTCAACAAAGCTGATGGTGGCTTGCCAGGCGTAGGTTTTAAGTATTGATCCATATGCTGTATAGTCTGCCATGAAGGCTAGTTTCCTCACTGTCTAAAGGAAAGGGTTAGAAAATAGTTCACAGAAAATATGTGGTGTCAGGGGGTCAAAATAACAATGTTGTTACTTCACAGCTTGGGAACTGGCTCTGATCTCACCAAAAGATAAAGATTAATACAGTTACACACACACCTGCCAAACATTCAGTCCCCACCCCACCCTCCCAGCCAACCACTGCCCCTAGGCCTTCATATCAACATTATTTCAACTGGACTATATCATAGGAGCTTAGTGAAGTACAGTAGTGGTTATTGACCTATTTCACAGATGTTTAGAACCTGAGGCAGCTGGAACAACTGAGTCCAAACCAAATAAGGAAGCATACCTCTCTATTTCAACCTGAAATCTAAGAGCCACCACTCAGTCTATAATCCTTCTACCAGACTTCCATGGGAAACACAGCAACTCCTTTATTACTCCCTCCCAGCTCGTGAGATCGTGGTGGGGCAGGCTTGGGGTTAAACCTCAAAAAGGGCTTCACTTGTGATTCTCTCTGAGCTGACACAACATAACATGGTACGTTTCTAAGAGAAACAGGCCCCTGGTCACCCACCAGGCTAGAGACATGACAAAGTGAAAAATTAATGAGCTTCCAAATCAAGCTTCCCGCATGCTGATCCTCGGGCCCCAGTGTGGTCAGTAGAAGCAAAAGAGGGGAGAGGAAATGCAGCAGATTAGGATGAGAAAGCTGCAGCCACCAGCTGTGTGATCAACCTTCTGTGAGTTATTCAAACTTGTCAGCGCCCACAGCAGGCTCTTTGCAGTGGACTGGCAAGATGGGATTAATTTTTAATACTCATGGTTCCCCAGTCCCAGTCCCAAAACAAAGAGACACGCCGTGTTTTATTTAGCCTGGAATGCCTCTCATTAACTGCATCCCCTGGTGATTTTTCATCAACTTGCCAAGATAGTTGAACCACTGACGGACTTGTTTTCTTTCATGTGCAATTTTAGGAAACGTTTCTCTTATTTCCCCCTCTCGCTCCTAACCAATCTTTTAATAAGCAGGAAAACTACCATCTGGGGTGAAAAGGATCATGGTGATTAATGCTTGGACTTCTCTCTTCTGTTATGTTCCCTGAGACAGGATAGAGGTGGTGGTGCAGCTCTTAGTAAAAAAGAATGATATAATGTTTTTTCTTTCTGCTGCATATGTGCAAAAGCAAAATTCCAGAAAACAAGATTCTCTTGGATTAAGAAACAAGTTATTAAACCTGAAACAACAGCAAATTCCAAATTTCAAAACCAAATAGCCTATATGAAACACGGATCGTAGGAGAGACAAATTTACAAGGTGAAGCCTTATTCCGAAGGAGCATTCATTAGTGACTGCATTGTATGTTTTGAAACAGCTCTTAAACAGAGGTACCCCATGTGAAGGGCAACCACATCGACAGGAGTACCGCCAAATCTCTGCCTTTCATAAACCATCTAGGACCTTTTCAGAGATTGTTTAAAACTAATCTGAAATGAACAACAGACTGAACCAAATATAAATGAACTCCCAGTATAGGTATCAAGGCTGTAAAATAAGTCAGGCATGGCTTCCTAAACACTCTCTCTCTACTTCCTTTTTGATCTCCCTGAGCATGAAGGAGAATTCCAGCAGCAAATGCCCTTTTGGTTCAGTGTTGGAAAGACTTAGCAGAAATATACCAGGAAGCAGGGAGAGAGGTAGAAATTGGGTCTCCTCACCAAGGAACGTGGGGCCTTGAGTCTCTTCAACATGCTGAGACTCAGCATGATCTGAGCTGTAAAATGAAACACCCACAAAAGTAATCTTGGTGGCCCCTCTATGGGCTTCTATTTTGATGAGAATTTAGAACCAGATGCAAGTTGAAGTCTTGGTTCTGCCATTTACTGCCTGATGACATGGGCAAATTATTTAATCACCCTGAGCCTCAGATTGTTCATTTGTAAAAACAGGACAGTAAATAGCTACCCCATAAAATTGTGAGCATTGAATCAAATGATGTACATAAAGCATTTAGCTAAAGGCTGACATACAAACGTTCAAAATTCATCTTTCATTAGTATAATATAAGAAACTCTGTCATTACCATCCACCATTTTCTTTTAACCCGGTCAAGCAGACACGCTGGCTCATTTACAATTTGCCTTTCAATAACACAAGCACACCCTTAGACTATGTAAACATACCTTCCTCCAGCCTTAGAACCCACCTTGAAAGTACAGCTATCTCGTGGTCCTGGATTTGGACTGCTTACCAGCTGTCCCCCGAAGTATGCTTCCAGGAAGTACAGACCCTCATGTGCTTCAGACAGCACAGATCTGAGGACAGAAAGTGGAAATCCTTATGAATCAAAAACCATGAATTCCCAAAGCTAGCAGCCCACTTGCCACTTCAAATTTCCTCCTTGCACTTTTAAAACAGAGCTAACCAAGGATTCCCAGCAGTCACCTTTCACCTCTTTGATCCACTCATAATTATTAGACTTTAAGAACTGGGTCCTTCAGCAAAAAAAAGTTATGATTTTTTGTGTTGAAACTCCCTGAATTGTTTTTAATATGTCATGTTTCTCAAAATCATAGGTTCATTGGACTTTAAGAATTAGAAGAGACTTTGATAATCTATTCCCCATTTCCATGTTTCAAAAAATGTCAGAAAAACTAAGAGACTTATGTGTATGAGCTTCAAACGTTAAGGGCAAAGTGGGGCTTGAATTTAGGCTCTTTCTGATAATTGTCCAAGCAGCCCATAAATACTTCATGTAGCCATCAAAACAGAGTCTTGGATCTTCTCTCCTCTTTATACAAATATTGCAGTGGCTTCATTGCCACCTGATGCTGACATCCATGTTGATTTTTGTAAGAGGAAGAATATGACTAATAAGAAAGAAACCATATTTAAGACATGCCTCCTCTCCAAACCTTCCCAACAAAATCTTTAGTATGACCTTAAATATTTAGATCTGAATTGTCCATTGTGTTAGCCACTAGTCTTATGTGCTTATCAAGCACTTGATATGTGGGTAGTCCCAATTAAGATATGCCATGATTATAACATGCACACTAAATTTTGAAGACTTGGTATACAAAAAAGATATAAAAGTATCTCATTATTAATTTATATAGATTACATATTGAAATAATATTTTAGATATGTTGAGTTAAATAAAATACATTATTAAATTAATTTCACTTGTTTCTTTTGACTTTTTCAAGTGGCTAAATAGAAAATTTTAAATTACATTTGTGTTCACATTATATTTTGATTGTGAAGTGCTGCTTTTGATGCTGCAATGGCTGTTTTAGAGAAAACAATTATGTACATGTTTTTATGATAATGATGAATAAGACATATTTTGTTCATGAAAAACTGTACATTTTTCACACTTAATTGAATCTGATATTTGTCTTCCAATCAATTAGTATATTTAATAGGATCATATTTCTTTTCTTTAAAAAGATGACATAAAATCAATGGTGCATCCAAAAATCATTAGTATGTTGGGATAAAGGAGATAGGACATGTAAATCTCCAGAGCTTTGACTTGTTTCATGGCAAGTCTTTGCAGAATGTCTATGCCCAAATGTGCCATAAAATCTAAGGGAAATATATAACCCAGTTTTAAAACCAATAGTAGTGGTATAAAAATGTTAAATTCAACAGACATTTATTGAACATCCTCTACTCGTAAGATATTGCGCAATGCATCATGAGGACTACAATGGTGAAATTAAACACATCCCCTGCCCTCAAAGCACTTAATTCTGTGAGGAGGAGTCTGACAAGTGGGTAACTGACATATAAGTGTTATGAAAACTCAGAGCTGAGGCACAGGGTCACTAAGGCTACACGTGCTGTACCTTTGTGTAAATTACAAAAAAAAAAAATCCCTTCGGGGTGATGAATTGCACAGAAAAGTGTGGGTACACACACATACACCCTGTGGATGAATTACTACAAGTTGTTCCTTCTCCTTTCAAAAAAGGGAAAGATAACTTAGTTGAATGTTCAGGGAAAAGGTGGCATTTGTGGTATGGTTGGTGATTTCCATAGCCAAACATGGAAGAGGGGGAGACTTCCTCAAAGAGAGAACAGAAAAGAAAAGGAAATAACAGTGTTTTTTTTCTCTTAACCAATCATCTACTTGCATGCACTTTATTTACTCATGCCTAAGACATGAGTAAATAAAAATGAACATGAACTAGTCTAAATTTCACAGGGCAACAAGAAGTTGAGTAGAAAAACAGATTCCCTGGAGTCTTATAAAAATATTTTCTAAATAGAGGTAATGTCAAACTCAGCAAACAGAGCCTAAAGCAAATTTCTTTTCTAACCAGTTTGGGGTTTATGTGCAATCATTGCAATTATGCCTATTCCAAAAGATGAGTATTTGCAATGGCAAAATGGTACCATTTATTAAAATCTTAATAGCCATAGAACTCTTTGCAAAAAAAAACAAATGGAAACACAATCCAGCCCCTCCTTACGAATATCTCAAAGTTCTTCCCCATACTCTCATCCTCCGTTAAGTTCTAGACCCCAGATAGGGACCTTTTAGAAAGCATATTCACATGAAACTTTTTTTAACAACTATGGCTGGCAATTGAATCACAGCAAAAATTGCTCTAATATGTCACCAAAAGATACTGAGATAAGCAAAAATCCCTCATCCTGTCTGGTCTTCCTATTCCCAGACAGGTATACCTGGTCCGGCATGTCACCACAGGCAAATCCAAGAAAACAGGAAAGACGTCACAGGGAACACTCCGCAGTGCGGGCACCACCATGTTCACGTTCACCAGGTGTATCTCCAATTGAGAGCCATTGTTGGGGTAAAGAACACCCAACTCCAAACCTAACACAAGGGAAAGAAATCTCAGGCTGCATAGAATTGTCATTGACACAGGACAGTGTGAAACTGTGCTAAGATCCTGGGGGTAATGTAAGACATTAAATTTGCCCAAGGATTAAATTAATACTCCTCATTTCCTCATAGATGCTGTATAAAGGAGTTTTCTCATTTATGATTTTATGAAAGAGTTTTCTCTCTTCAGGTTCACCTAAATCCAGAAAAGAATTTTTCAGCCCTCAGATTTACTCTTTACTCTGCTGGGGATGGATATGCTAAGCAATGGTGCAGAAGCTCCCAAGTAGAGGACTGTCTTTAAGGAAGATAGCCAAGATTCTGGGAGATGCATTGCTGAGCACTATGCTACACACTTCCATATCATCTCATGTAGAAATCCCAGAGTCCCATCCCACAGCCTGGAATGGGAAAGTGGACACAGAGTTGTCATGGTATGCTGTGCTTTGCTTCTGTGACATTAGCAAGCCAGTATCTAGAAAGACAGAAGTTGGTCAGTCTGTTCGTCTCCCTTCAGGCCCACTTTTACACCTGTCCTTAGAAAAGGAAGAAAACCAAAGACTCATAGTCTTTAGGATTGTGGGTCAATACATAAGAAATGTGCACTTGGTAAAACCCCAACCTACCATCAAAAATGACTGTGATCCACGTTCCCCCTGCAAGGCTACCTTCTTCAGGTTCAATATGTAAACTCAGGTGACGTACTGTAAGTAAGTGAAAAAAAACATTGGTTTTGAAGGTCAGATTCAAACCACTACCTTCTGCAATATTTTAAGCAATATTTAACCTGCCTCAGAATCACCAGAAAGGCTTGATTAAGCACAGGTGGTTGCACCACATCCCCAGAGTTTCTGGTTCCGTAGGTCTGGGGCAGGCCCAAGAATCTACATTTCTAACCAGGTGCTGCTGGTGTGGGAAACACATCATCAGAAGCCCCATTTTAAGGAAAATTTTGACAAATTCTTCTTATCTTAGACATTCAAAAACCCTGCACTCATCAGGACAATTCTGAATTTCTACTTCCTTTGGAAAGAGCCTCAAGGACATATTTGGGTCCTAATCAAACCCATACTGTCTCTCTCTGCTCTCTTTCCCACTCTTTAATCAGGTGGCCATATTTCCCTGTAAAGATCATCAATCATTTCCAGTCCTGGAGAGAAAAAAGGACTTCCATTAGGTTGGTGCAAAAGCAATTGCTGTTTTGCATTCCTTTTAATGGCAAAACCGCGATTACTTTTGCACCAACCTAATAGAAGCTGTTCCTATTTCAATTCTCCTGCTCAATATACTGCTTAATATACTAGTTTTCCCTCATGATCAGAATGACTTCCCAAATGAATACAAAATTATCTAGATTCTTGCCTTGCCTGCTTAGAGAGGGGGTGAAGCATGGATCATTGCTGGAATTTCCTTTTGTTTAAAAAAAAAAAAGGCAGTATAGAATTTATATACTAGGCTAGATTGGATTCTCCTGTATAGATCACCAGCTAAGCATGGGCCTTAATCTATCCCTCCATCTTTGAAGATGTTCCTGGACAAGTCTTGATGAAGGAAAGGCCAAGTTAAGGAAGCCAGCAAAAATCATGCAGCTGCTCAGTGAGGTAATAAACAAGGAAAGTGTTACCGACAGAATTATTTATAGTTTCTTTAGAAGAAACTGTGTCTAGCCCAGGACTTCCCTGTACAGTTATTCTCATGATGCACTTCACATCTGAAGGTGGTGGGGAACCACGTCACATTAGCACAACCATTTATGGCAGCCCCAGCCAGACTAGACCATCTTCCAAAGATGATTAGATACTTCTATCTAAAGAAGCCCCAAAACAAAGGCCATAAAAAGATACAGAGGATAACCAAATTCGCAGAGAAAATTGAACAGATGATTTGAGATAATACAAGCAATCTAATGATTATGACAAGTTAATCTCTTTGGGAAAGTCCGACAGCAAAATCTAAAAAGAATTACATCACATAGCCCAAAAGGAATTATAAAAGAAAGGTTATAAGTTATTATTAAAAGCTCTGCACTACAACAATAATCTTCACTGACCATTAAAAATTGAAGTATATAGTCATAACATTTCAGTATATAACCTCAGCTGTTAAACAGAAAATAAAAACAATTATTCAACATATAATTTAAACCCAAAAGCAAATACCTTAACACCTGCTCTGAAAACAGTATTTTTAACTCAATTTTTTGATTGGCAAGTTAAAAATGCATATATTTATGGTATACAACCAAAATATTACTTTAAGTTTCAATAATAGTTCTCAAGGTAACCTATTGTGTTCTTACCTATAATTCCTTCAAAACACATTCTACTGACCTGCCAAAAGTAGTACTTCAATACTCATCAGAGAGATCAGCCAGGCAGTCATTCTGTCCACTTAAATCAATACTCTTAAGATTGCTCAGACATTAAAAGCATTTTCAGTTTTGATTGGAGCAGCATAGCTTTTGTGCTTTATAAAAACAAAAAAAGCAAAAAAAAATTATCATTTTGTTTACATACGATTATTTTGCTGTTCTGAAACCTGGGAAATTAAGGAGATGAGATAAACATGGCCTTAGTGTCTTCAAATGGAGCCACCATTTTTCCAAGCTCAGGAGAAAAGGATCATCTGAGAACCTTGCATAAAATCATCCCCACTCTGCCCTCCTTGTCCCACCAACTTATTTTAAGCTGGATAAATAATAACCTCTTTCATTAACTCATTATTGAACAGAAGCTGAGTTTTAAAAAGAATTCTAGAAATTAAAATTCTAGTTCGTGATAGGGTGAAGTCTGTTTTGCTTTGCCCTGTGCTGGCGTCCAGCTTTCCCTCGTGCTGCTCTCCAGTTTGAACCCTACACTGCAGCCACACGCCGTTCTCACCGTCACTCAGACAAGCCTTCCACACATCAGCCTCTGCCTTGGCCCCTGCTGGTCCCTTCCTGGATGCCCTCAACTCTCTCCGTGGCCTCAGGAGATCCTGGCGCACCTTCGTGGTGCTGCTCAGGAGCCCCTCCTCAGCTGATTCTTTCCTCCGCCATTCCAGTGCTCACCACCTTCCCCCTGAACCTCTAACTTCCGTGCTGTAGAGCCTAGACCAGATAATGTGGCACACATAGGCCTCTTCTTCCAGACGGCACGTTCCTTGAAGAGACCCAGGAACCAGTCTTCTATTTCCACAGCCTTCCTAGTGTGAAAGTGTGAAGGTCCCACACAGCGCTCAGTACATTGGAGTGGATGAAGACATATTTGAATACCCTAAATCTGGGTTTACCTAATCTGAGATGAACAGCTTTCACTCTCATGCCTGCTCTAAGGAAAGTGCTGAGCTGCTCTCCAGCACCTCATGGCAGAGGGCATCGACAAAATCCTCTTAAAAATAGTGCCTCTGAAATTTTCTGAAAGTTTGAAAATTACAGAATTAAACACCCACATGTACTACTAAATACACGTTTAATATATATTTAATTATGTTTATGTTTATTACATATAAATATATAAATATATTTAATATATATATACATACCTACATACACACACACACATACACACACACAAAGTGTGTGTGTATGTGTGTGTGTGTGGCAGGGTCTCATTCTGTCATTTGGGCTGGAGTGCAGTGGCATGATGTCAGTTCACTGCAACCTCCATCTCCCAGGTTCAAGTGATTCTTATGCCTCAGCCTCCTGAGTAGCTGGGATTACAGGTGTGCGCCACCACACCCGGCTAATTTTTGAATTTTTTGTAGAGACAGGTTTTCACCATGATAGCCAGACTGGTCTTGAACTCCTGGCCTCAAGTGATCTCCCTGCCTCAGCCTCCCAAAGTGCTGGGATTACAGGCATGAACCACCACACCTGGCCATTTAATTTATATTTTTAAGAAAACACTGAGATTAGCAGAAGTAGTTACATCATTTCTGAAAATATAAAAGCTACAATATACTCCCCCCCTCAAAAAAAAAATCTGCAAAAACTTTGCAATAAACTCACCTTACGGGCATGTTCTGATTGAGACAGCTGGAAATCTATAATCATTTCTATTTAATTCAACACTGCAAACATTTATTGTATGCCCACTACGTGCTAAGCACTATACTAAAAGTTGGGAAAACAAACAATCTATGTACCTGCCCCCGAGTCATTACCAGATAGGGTAAGTGTGGAGGCTACTTGGATTTAAGAAAGGAATTCTAGTATTTTCAAGTGGATTCAGCAAGTGTTCCTTTTCGTTGCAAAATTCCCAAACTTTTACGTCTATTTGAAATAGAATTCAACTTATAAATATACAACTTTCAGAATACATCTACCACATAGGGAAAAGTACCCAAGCGTATTTGCTGCTTAGTCCAAAAGCATGAGATCTGACTTGCTTGTTACACAGACAAAATATACTCAGCACAGGAGAGTCTATTTTCAATCTGGCTACGTGATTTTAACATTTCTTCTTAATGCCTACTCCCAAGCTCAGAACAATAGAAATAAACATTCGCACACTGGTTTTCTTAAAACCCTACATTTGGAACTGCATCTTTTTCATGTCAATTATAAATGTAATTTTTTATTAGTCTATCCACTAATTCTTCCTAAAAATAAACTCAGACTCTCTTTATTTCTCATAACTAAAATTTTTCAACCACAGAGGAGAGCTGTGTGCATTTATTTAGTCATGTTTTTGTTCTCCTCTCTCTCTCTCCTCTCTCTGCTCTCACTCCCTCTTCCCTTCTTCCTCCCTTCCCTCTCAGCTTCTCCTTTGGGACATCGAGGGACAAAGTTGCAAGGCACTACTATAGATCTCCCATTTCTTCCTTTTGTTCACCAGAACGTTAACAAGAGATACAACACCTAGAAAACAGAGAGCAGAGACTTTTCTGGATCAAACAGTACCTTTTTTTTCTGTTTCTGTCTCCTTGTGACTCAAGGGAGAAATGATCCTTTCTTTCTAAGTGATCTTATTTCTCTCTGTCAAGAATCCGTGGACATGTTATCTGGTTAGAGCTCAGCCTGCAGCCACCACGCAGGTAACTCACTCACGTTAGACTATAACTCACCTAACTCGTTTGTGTCCCAGCCAAATGTGTACCAGAGTAAAAGTTCAGACCTGACCATGGGTAAGTTTAATGATTAACATAAGCCACTCAGGCTTTTTCCTCAGGGCTTGTTAGTAATGACCAAAGGAAAAGTGTCTTACATTTTTCTCCACTTACTGCATGTGCCCCAGATAAGAATTTTAAGTAAAAGTCCACCCAGTGAGACAAACAGGCATTCAACATTGAAAGAATTTGCCAGCAAATCAGCGATTGAACAGAGGGCTCAAGAGAAAGGACCACTAGAGGGCAGATCCCCATTCATGAACAGTCTCTCACTCTTCATCCCGAAGAGTGACTCGTAAATACCAGGTTATGGGCTGTTATTCATATACCCACTGTAGGGGTATGGGTCTAAAGAAGTACAGAAGGGAAGTAACTTGGTCCAAGTCTTGCTGAGAAAGGGTTGATTGATTCTCTTCATTTTTCTACTCCTCATCCTCCCTCTTGACCTTGCTTTTTTAACCAAGAGGAGGTCCTTGACTTGTACTCATCACCCTCCAGTCGTACCCAGACCATGGGCCTCAGTCATCGGTTGAACTGGTGGGCCTAGGAAGGTCAACAACACCTTCTTACTTGGTCCATGTCTGACTTCTCTGTTCCTGTCCCACTGCCCATTCTGATTCACATCCCCCAATTCCTGATCATGTTTGTCTACGTCTGGCGATACCTGACCAGAAGACGTCCTTATCTTCTATCCTCTCCCTTTCCTTTGAGGGAGAAGTCATTTTGGTAAAATTTGATAGCCCTGAGTCTCCACCTTCAAGGACCAGCAGTAGACCTGGAGAAGCATCTCCAGCAAAACCAGATTAAAGCCATGGAAATACGACCACAACTCTGATGACAGTAGTAAAACTATCCTCTAGAAAGTGTGGAAGTTTACATCAACTCTGCTGTATATCACAGTTTGGCAACCCGTGACAAGCTGAAAAATTTTTGTAGCCCTGAAGCTAGTGGTGTAGAGAGAGGGTGCTTGGCCAGATTGGGGCAGGTAGGGGGTCAGTCACCCCACCACCCTGCCTGCCTGCTGAACCTCTCTCAGTTTCCACTCTGGATCTCTTCCATGCAGGTCAACAAGCATCATTTGAACCACATTTGTGTGCCTGGCATGTGGGTAATGGGAAGGAGGGGGAAGACTAGTTTGGGGGTAAAGGAGATTTCAACATTATTAGTAACTTTTATTTTTATAAAAATGATATGAATCACTTAGATAATTCAAAGTTATATTTTTAAAGAGTATGACACAGTTTCTGCCTTCAAACTGCTTACCATCTGGCAGAGGAGACAGAAATATAATCAGATTATTTTATTATATTGTAGAGTCTCCTGATAAGTTTCCTAAGACTTATGTTTTATTTCTTGTTATTTCAACAAGAGGTTTCCATAAATTAGCCCCACATCTATCCTTGGCTAAAAGGCCTATAATAAATATTTATAAGTATTTTTGGCAGCCTAGCTATCAAGGCCGCATCCTAAAATCACCCCAATTTTCTTATGAGGAGACAGCCACCTCTCTACTATGGACTAAAAGAATCCTAATGACACCCAGGACTTTGGTTTCTGTGCTCTGTGTTATAGGTATTTCGTGGTGGACAATCAAGCTCTATTGTAAAAGAAATAAAGGACAATGAATCATTTCTTGCCTTGAGGCCTAAAAGGAAATGTTGTAGAACTCTAGAGAAAGTGGCTATACCACATGAAGCTTTGGGGAGCCTCCAGTATTCCTGTCATTGGGATATGTCCATGGAATATAAGCCCCTTACACTCCAAAGCCTCTTTCACATAGAAATTCTAAAGCCTTGAGCTCAAGTCTCTGAAAATGCTTCTCAGGAGGCAGGCTGAGCACCATTTCTCTGCTATTCCAAGGAGGGTAGCCATGCCCACCACAGACATTGACAACACTCTACAAGAAGTAATTCCTATGAGTGCTTATAAAATTCTCAGCACAAAAATTGTTACTCAGGCCTATGATGCAAACTCAGGGAGGTCAGGAGAGAGGGTTAATCTCTGACCCCTTTCTCTTGGATTCTAACACTGCTCTGAATTCCTGGAAAACTGTGGGGGCCCATGAGAATGCACCTTGCAGATCTCCAATTACAAGAAGCATAAAAGATCAAGGGCCTAGTTTCTTTGCCATAAAATTCATCACTGCATTTGGACCAAGGCCACGCTTCTACATGCTGCTCCCAGCCAAGGACTGAGTGTGGAAGGATAGTAAGACAGGTCCATCCAGAGGAGACACAGGACTCCTCCAACAGCAACTTTGCCTTAAAGCCTGCCTGATGACCTTGCTGAACCTTCCTAGAGTATGTGGCAACCTAGGATGCTTCCACCCCCTCTCTTTCACTGTGGTCAGACTGGCAGCTTGCCCAGTGTTCTCCAGTTCCAACCCATCTTTTCTCACAGGCACCACCTTAATAAAATCCTTGCACGTTTCATCCTGTTTCAGCATCTGCTTCTCAGAGGACCCAGACTAACACAGGAACCCTGTGGTAGGAGAACACTATTGATAGGCACTTTGGACTTTGCATTAGTGGCCCCAGGAATGGTGTCAATTGTGAAGAGTCTTTAGAAGGGTTCACAGGCTATGGATATTAAACAAAGGAAGCCAGAATAGAAGAGGAAGGACAAAATGAGCATCATCTAAGAAACTCTGAAATTAGCATGCTGGATACCTTTCATTTAACCCTCCAGACCTACTCTCTACCCTTCTCCACCCTGCTGTGTGCCCTTGGAAGGTGACCTGTGTGGGCTGCACCAATGCACTTATTGCCCACAAGTGTTTCACAAATGGAGGCCACAACCAGGAACCCAGAGGAAGGGGCAGAGAGACAAGATGTGATAAGAGTATTTTCCCCCACTTCCATCCCTACTAGATCTCAGCTTCTGACAGAGGGGCCTTTCCATATAGCACCCTCACTCTCATTCTCTCACTCTCTCTGCAGGTTCTAGTGCCCCTCCTCTCTTTATTTCTTCAGGCCTAAGGGTGGTAACAGGTCCTACTGTTCCTAGCTTGCATACACTGCACCATCCCTTCTTGCTCTTCCTGAACCTTGGCCACACCTCTTAGAAATAATTTCTTTATTAATTTTTCAGTCTACACATGCCATCTCTCTAGGTCCTAATGAGACCCTAACTAGAATAGATAAGCTCTAAGAGATAGCTAAGTTCACACATGGGTCAATGTAGAGTTCAAAGCCATCAAAATGTGGGTGCAACTATAAATATGCCCCCATGTGTATGCATAGGCTGATGATGCCAGCCAACACTGAAGTTATACACATCGTTCCCAAACAGGATGGTATGGTTCTTTTTTTTTTTTTTTATACTTTAAGTTTTAGGGTACATGTGCACAATGTGCAGGTTAGTTACATATGTATACATGTGCCATGCTGGTGTGCTGCACCATTAACTCGTCATTTAGCATTAGGTATATCTCCTAATGCTATCCCACCCCCCTTCCCCCACCCCACAACAGGCCCCAGAGTGTGATGTTCCCCTTCCTGTGTCCATGTGTTCTCATTGTTCAATTCCCGCCTATAAGTGAGAACATGCGGTGTTTGGTTTTTTGTCCTTGCGATAGTTTACTGAGAATGATGATTTCCAATCTCATCCATGTCCCTACAAGGGACATGAACTCATCATTTTTTATGGCTGCATAGTATTCCATGGTGTATACGTGCCACATTTTCTTAATCCAGTCTATCATTGTTGGACATTTGGGTTGGTTCCAAGTCTTTGCTATTGTGAATAGTGCTGCAACAAACATACGTGTGCATATGTCTTTATACCAGCATGATTTATAGTCCTTTGGGTATATACCCAGTAATGGGATGGCTGGGTCAAATGGTATTTCTAGTTCTAGATGCCTGAGTAATCGCCACACTGACTTCCATAATGGTTGAACTAGTATACAGTCCCACCAACAGTGTAAAAGTGTTCCTATTTCTCCACATCCTCTCCAGCACCTGTTGTTTCCTGACTTTTTAATGATTGCCATTCTAACTGGTGTGAGATGGTATCTCATTGTGGTTTTGATTTCCATTTCTCTGATGGCCAGTGATGGTGAGCATTTTTTCATGTGTTTTTTGGCTGCATAAATGTCTTCTTTTGAGAAGTGTCTGTTCATATCCTTTGCCCACTTTTTGATGGGGTTGTTTGTTTTTTTCTTGTAAATTTGTTTGAGTTCATTGTAGATTCTGGATATTAGCCCTTTGTCAGATGAGTAGGTTGCAAAAACTTTCTCCCATTTTGTAGGTTGTCTGTTCACTCTGATGGTAGTTTCTTTTGCTGTACAGAAGCTCTTTAGTTTAATTAGACCCCATTTGTCAATTTTGGCTTTTGTTGCCATTGCTTTTGGTGTTTTAGACATGAAGTCCTTGCCCATGCCTATGTCCTGAATGGTAATGCCTAGGTTTTCTTCTAGGGTTTTTATGGTTTTAGGTCTAACGTTTAAGTCTTTAATCCATCTTAAATTAATTTTTGTATAAGGTGTAAGGAAGGGATCCAGTTTCAGCTTTCTACATATGGCTAGCCAGTTTTCCCAGCACCATTTATTAAATAGGGAATCCTTTCCCCATTGCTTGTTTTTCTCAGGTTTGTCAAAGATCAGATAGTTGTAGATATGCAGCATTATTTCTGAGGGCTCTGTTCTGTTCCATTGATCTATATCTCTGTTTTGGTAGCAGTACCATGCTGTTTTGGTTACTGTAGCCTTGTAGTATAGTTTGAAGTCAGGTAGGGTGATGCCTCCAGCTTTGTTCTTTTGGCTTAGGATTGACTTGGTGATGCGGGCTCTTTTTTGTTTCCATGTGAACTTTAAAGTAGTTTTTTCCAATTCTGTGAAGAACGTCATTGGTAGCTTGATATGGGTAGGCATTGAATCTATAAATTACCTTGGGCAGTATGGCCATTTTCACGATATTGATTCTTCCTACCCATGAGCATGGAATGTTCTTCCATTTCTTTGTATCCTCTTTTATTTCATTGAGCAGTGGTTTGTAGTTCTCCTTGAAGAGGTCCTTCACGTCCCTTGTAAGTTGGATTCCTAAGTATTTTATTCCCTTTGAAGCAATTGTGAATGGGAGTTCAGTCATGATTTGGCTCTCTGTTTGTCTGTTATTGGTGTATAAGAATGCTCGTGATTTTTCTACATTGATTTTGTATCCTGAGACTTTGCTGAAGTTGCTTATCAGCTTAAGGAGATTTTGGGCTGAGACAATGGGGTTTTCTAGATATACTATCATGTCATCTGCAAACAGGGACAATTTGACTTCCTCTTTTCCTAATTGAATACACTTTATTTCCTTCTCCTGCCTAATTGCCCTGGCCAGAACTTCCAACACTATGTTGAATAGGAGTGGTGAGAGAGGGCATCCCTGTCTTGTGCTAGTTTTCAAAGGGAATGCTTCCAGTTTTTGCCCATTCAGTATGATATTGTCTGTGGGTTTGTCATAGATAGCTCTTATTATTCTGAGATACGTACCATCAATACCTAATTTATTGAGAGTTTTTAGCATGAAGGGTTGTTGAATTTTGTCAAAGGCCTTTTCTGCATCTATTGAGATAATCATATGGTTTTTTTCTTTGATTCTGTTTATATGCTGGATTACATTTATTGATTTGCATATATTGAACCAGCCTTGCATCCCAGGGATGAAGCCCACTTGATCATGGTGGATAAGCTTTTTGATGTGCTGCTGGATTCAGTTTGCCAGTATTTTATTGAGGATTTTTGCATCAATGTTCATCAAGGATATCGGTCTAAAATTCTCTTTTTTGGTTGTGTCTCTGCCAGGCTTTGGTATCAGGATGATGCTGGCCTCATAAAATGAGTTAGGGAGGATTCCCTCTTTTTCTATTGATTGGAATAGTTTCAGATGGAATGGTACCAGTTCCTCCTTGTACCTCTGGTAGAATTCGGCTGTGAATCCATCTGGTCCTGGACTCTTTTTGGTTGGTAAGCTATTGATTATTGCCACAATTTCAGAGCCTGTTATTGGTCTATTCAGAGATTCAACTTCTTCCTGGATTAGTCTTGGGAGGGTGTATGTGTCGAGGAATGTATCCATTTCTTCTAGATTTTCTAGTTTATTTACGTAGAGGTGTTTGTAGTATTCTCTGATGGAAGTTTGTATTTCTGTGGGATCGGCGGTGATATCCCCTTTATCATTTTTTATTGCATCTATTTGATTCTTCTCCCTTTTCTTCTTTATTAATCTTGCTAGCAGTCTATCAATTTTGTTGATCCTTTCAAAAAACCAGCTCCTGGATTCATTAATTTTTTGAAGGGTTTTTTGTGTCTCTATTTCCTTCAGTTCTGCTCTGATTTTAGTTATTTCTTGCCTTCTGCTAGCTTTTGAATGTGTTTGCTCTTGCTTTTCTAGTTATTTTAATTGTGATATTAGGGTGTCAATTTTGGATCTTTCCTGCTTTCTCTTGAGGGCATTTAGTGCTATAAATTTCCCTCTACACACTGCTTTGAATGTGTCCCAGAGATTCTGGTATGTTGTGTCTTTGTTCTCGTTGGTTTCAAAGAACATCTTTATTTCTGCCTTCATTTCGTTATGTACCCAGTAGTCATTCAGGAGCAGGTTGTTCAGTTTCCATGTAGTTGAGTGGTTTTTGAGTGAGTTTTTTGATCCTGAGTTCTAGTTTGATTGCACTGTGGTCTGAGAGACAGTTTGTTATCATTTCTGTTCTTTTACATTTGCTGAGGAGAGCTTTACTTCCAACTATGTGGTCAATTTTGGAATAGTTGTGGTGTGGTGCTGAAAAAAATGTTTATTCTGTTGATTTGGGGTGGAGAGTTCTGTAGATGTCTATTAGGTCTGCTTGGTGCAGAGTTGAGTTCAATTCCTGGGTATCCTTGTTAACTTTCTGTCTCATTGATCTGTCTAATGTTGACAGTGGGGTGTTAAAGTCTCCCATTATTATTGTGTGGGAGTCTAAGTCTCTTTGTAGGTCACTCAGTACTTGCTTTATGAATCTGGGTGCTCCTGTATTGGGTGCATATATATTTAGGATAGTTAGCTCTTCTTGTTGAATTGATCCCTTTACCATTATGTAATGGCCTTCTTTGTCTCTTTTGATCTTTGTTGGTTTAAAGTCTGTTTTATCAGAGACTAGGATTGCAACCCCTGCCTTTTTTTGTTTTCCATTTGCTTGGTAGATCTTCTTCCATCCTTTTATTTTGAGCCTATGTGTGTCTCTGCACGTGAGATGGGTTTCCTGAATACAGCACACTGATGGGTCTTGACTCTTTATCCAATTTGCCAGTCTGTGTCTTTTAATTGGAGCATTTAGTCCATTTACATTTAAAGTTAATATTGTCATGTGTGAATTTGATCCCATCATTATGATGTTAGCTGGTTATTTTGCTTGTTAGTTGATGCAGTTTCTTCCTAGCCTTGACGGTCTTTACAATTTGGCATGATTTTGCAGTGGCTGGTACCAGTTGTTCCTTTCCATGTTTAGTGCTTCCTTCAGGAGCTCTTGTAGGGCAGGCCTGGTGGTGACAAAATCTCTCAGCATTTGCTTGTCTGTAAAATATTTTATTTCTCCTTCACTTATGAAGCTTAGTTTGGCTGGGTATGAAATTCTGGGTTGAAAATTCTTTTCTTTAAGAATGTTGAATATTGGCCCCCACTCTCTTCTGGCTTGTAGAGTTTCTGCCGAGAGATCCACTGTTAGTCTGATGGGCTTCCCTTTGAGGGTAACCCGACCTTTCTCTCTGGCTGCCCTTAATATTTTTTCCTTCATTTCAACTTTGGTGAATCTGACAATTATGTGTCTTGGAGTTGCTCTTCTTGAGGAGTATCTTTGTGGCATTCTCTGTATTTCCTGAATCTGAATGTTGGCCTGCCTTGCTAGATTGGGGAAGTTCTCCTGGATAATATCCTGCAGAGTGTTTTCCAACTTGATTCCATTCTCCCCGTCACTTTCAGGTACACCAATCAGACATAGATTTGGTCTTTTCACATAGTCCCATATTTCTTGGAGGCCTTGTTTGTTTCTTTTTATTCTTTTTTCTCTAAACTTCCCTTCTCGCTTCATTTCATTCACTTCATCTTCCATCACTGATACCCTTTCTTCCAGTTGATTGCATCAGCTCCTGAGGCTTCTGCATTCTTCACGTAAGTTCTCGAGGCTTGGCTTTCAGTTCCGTCAGCTCCTTTAAGCACTTTTCTATTGGTTATTCTAGTTATATATTCATCTAAATTTTTTTCAAAGTTTTTAACTTCTTTGCCTTTGGTTTGAATTTCCTCCTGTAGCTCGGAGTAGTTTGATTGTCTGAAGCCTTCTTCTCTCAGCTCATCAAAGTCATTCTCCATCCAGCTTTGTTCCATTGCTGGTGAGGAACTGTGTTCCTTTGGAGGAGGAGAGGCGCTCTGCTTCTTAGAGTTTCCAGTTTTTCTGCTCTGCTTTTTCCCCATCTTTGTGGTTTTATCTACTTTTGGTCTTTGATGATGGTGATGTACAGATGGGTTTTTGGTGTGGATGTCCCTTCTGTTTGTTAGTTTTCCTTCTAACAGACAGGATCCTCAGCTGCAGGTCTGTTGGAGTTTGCTAGAGGTCCACTCCAGACCCTGTTTGCCTGGGTATCAGCAGCGGTGGCTGCAAAACAGTGGATTTTCATGAACCGCAAATGCTGCTGTCTGATCATTCCTCTGGAAGTTTTGTCTCAGAGGAGTCCCCGGCTGTGTGAGGTGTCAGTCTGCCCCTACTGGGCGGTGCCTCCCAGTTAGGCTGCTCGGGGGTCAGGGGTCAGTCACCCACCTCAGGAGGCAGTCTGCCTGTTCTCAGATCTCTAGCTGTGTGCTGGGAGAACCACTGCTCTCTTCAAAACTGTCAGACAGGGACATTTAAGTCTGCAGAGGTTACTGCTGTCTTTTTGTTTGTCTGTGCCTTGCCCCCAGAGGTGGAGCCTACAGAGGCAGGCAGGCCTCCTTGAGCTGTGGTGGGCTCCACCCAGTTCGAGCTTCCCAGCTGCTTTGTTTACCTAAGCAAGCCTTGGCAATGGCGGGCGCCCCTCCCCCTGCCTCGCTGCTGCCTTGCAGTTTGATCTCAGACTGCTGTGCTAGCAATCAGCAAGACTCCATGGGAGTAGGATCCTCCAAGCCATGTGTGGGATATAATCTCCTGGTGCGCCGTTTTTTAAGCCCGTCAGTAAAGCGCAGTATTAGGGTGGGAGTGACCCGATTTTCCAGGTGCTGTCTGTCACCCCTTTCTTTGACTAGGAAAGGGAACTCCCTGACCCCTTGCTCTTCCCGAGTGAGGCAATGCCTCGCCCTGCTTCGGCTTGAGCACGGTGCGCTGCACCCACTGTCCTGCGCCCACTGTCTGGCACTCCCTAGTAAGATGAACCCGGTACCTCAGATGGAAATGCAGAAATCACCCGTCTTCTGCGTCGCTCAAGCTGGGAGCTGTAGACCAGAGCTGTTCCTGTTCGGCCATCTTGGCTGCCTCCCAGGATGGTATGGTTCTTAAGGAAAAAAATTTATTTGTATCCCTTCATATCCCAAAACATTTTGCCCTGTACCTTATATAGAGTAGGTACACAGTAACATGGATAGGAATGTGTTAGGAACCAATTTGAGGAAAAGCACTCTGGAGTGGATGAAGGCAACAAAAGTCAAATATAGGTTTTAAGTGGAAACTAAGAATGTTCAACGCTTTTTTGCTCTTTTATCTTTCTCCTCATCAAACTTGTTTTATTATGTTCTCTTCAACTTATAGGCATTTCTGACAGAAGGCAGGTGGGTAATCCAGAGAGCAGAACACCAGGATGGCCCCTTTATCTAGGTGAGAGCTTCACTGGGCAGGAGGGGCCCTGAATTTCCTATTCTTCTGCAGGCTCATCCCATGGCGCTGTGGCCCAGCTATACCCTCATATTCTCTGCAGCATCAGAATCCTCCCCAGGAAATTCCCCTTTTACATGTCTGGGACTGAGCCAACTTCCTCCTTCCTTTTTCTCAAATTTTCTCTGTCTCCTTTCTTGATGGAGACACAAAACTCAGGCAATTACATTCCCTACGGTTTAATGTCATATTTCCGATTAAATTGAGACCCTAAGATAATGAGTACATAGACCCAAATTTGTAGGGAAAATACATCGGTTCCACCAGAAGTTCTAAGCTATGTGTAAAATATTTACTTTAGACAAAGTTTATTTTTAAGTTTCTTTAGACAAGTTTTCTTTCCCTTGTCTACTACTAAGTAAAACTACTCAAAAGTAATTTATCATTATTGCCTCTGTCCTAAGTCCTTTTTGCTCATTAACTTATTTTGAGAACAATGATTCCTCTTATCCAGAAGTCAAACAGTGGTGACCTCCATCCTGAAAAGTCCTGAAAACCTGATGAAAAGTCTTGAAAACCAACAAGGCCACTGGGCAGCACAGGTGCAAATAGCTTACAAAGCCCTAGTGGGTGGCATTGAAATACAGGTAGTTCCTCGCTACGACAAGTAGAGCAACTGGCTACTCTTAACATGCCGTGGTCTGGGGCTCCAGCGCCATACACTGCAACTGCCCTGAGGTCATCACTGGTTTACAACACTCAACATAAATAGTTCATAGTGGTGACATAGAGTCATCAGAAAACTACAAAATTAAGGCCAGGCGCAGTGGCTTACACCTGTAATCCCAGCACTTTGGGAGGCTGAGGCAGGTGGATTGCTTGAGCTCAGGCATTCGAGACCAGCCTAGCCAACATGGCAAAACCCTGTATCTACTAAAAATACAAAAAATTAGCCAGGCATGGTGCTGTGCACGTATAATCCCAGCAACTCAGGAACTGAGGCGGGAGAATCACTTGAATCCGGGAGGAGGAGGCTGCAGTGAGCCGAGATTGTACCACTGTACTCCAGCCTGGGCGACAGAGTGAGACCCTGTCTCAAAAAAATAATAATAAAATAAAATAAAAAGAAAGCTATGAAATCAAGTTCACATTTAACTATAAGGTGACCAGCTGTCCCAGTCTGCCTGAGCCTGGGAGCTTTCCCAAGACCTAGAACTTTTAGTGCTAAAAGAGGGAAAGTCTCAGATGGTTAATCACCCTGCATCTGAGAAAGCAGGGAAATAAGTTCAATACACTTTAGACAGATCTTATTCCAGAAAAATTAAACATTTTCTAAAACACTTGGCACTCAAAGCTGGTAGACCTCTGTTGCTCACAAAATTCATTGAAGTGGAGTAACTCAATCTCTGCCATGTCAGATAAAATAGATGTTGCAATATCCAGTGTTTTCCAGACCACAGAAACATTTTCTTTGAATTCGGTGCCTCTGTGAGAGATGTGGGCAAAACAACATATGTCAGTTTCTGAATTGCAATACAACTCCTTCTCCCAGGGTTCAGCAGAATTTAAAATAAATCATACCAGCAGGGAGCAGCAGCACAAAAGCAATTAATTTTTTTCTAGTTTGATACCATCTTACTATCTGAGGTCCAGGAGCCCCACTGAGATTTCTGAAGTGCATCTCACACTTAGTTTTAAAATTATGAGTGACATTGAAGTCATACATTTCTGCAGCTCAGTGGAATGCTTGCTTTAGGAGCAGAATTTTATGATCCTGTCAAATTTTTTTATCTTAAAGAAGACTGTTTAAAAAATGGAAGAAACATTTGCCCCTTCTCTGGCAAATGTTGCACAGCTGACAAAACAGCATCGAGTCCAATACCTGATATGAGGGACATATAAACAATGAAATCAAGTGGACTCCAAAAATCTAGAGGTAAGACTGCCTTCACACCTAAATGATGAAAACAACAAGTAATGGATCAAATTGCTTAGTAAGACTTAAAGCTGTCCATATAGTGTAGAAAACCTTTCAAACAGACTGTTTGTGAAGATGAGGAGTATAGCGGTTTTAATTAAACGGTCACAAATTATTTGTCAATTATCTCATTGAAAGGTGGGATCTGTATCTCCCTCCTCCTGAATCTGGATGGACTTGAGACTCACTGAAAGCCAATAGAGGCCAGATGCAGTGGCTCACACCTGGAATCCCAATACTTTGGGAGGCTGAGGCAGCCAGATTGCTTGAGCCAGGAGTTTGAGACCAGCCTGGGCAACATAATGAAACCCCTTATCTACCAAAAATACAACTAGCTGGGCATGGTGGTGCACGCCTGTAGTCCCAGCTACTCAGGAGGCTGAGGAGGGAGGATCCCATGAGCCTGGGAGGTGGAGGTTGCAGTGAACTAAGATTGTTCCATTGCACTCCAGCCTGGGCGACAGAGTGAGACCCTGCCTTAAAAAAAAAAAAAAATTAATAGAAAGCAGCAGCCCCGCATTTGGCTACTGAGACTGAAACCTAAGGACAAAAGAAGTGTCAGATACTCACCACCACTGCCAAATTGCATCAAGCCCCTCCTCATACTGAATTAAACATGGCTGAATAGGCTCCAGCAGTAGGGGCAGCACCCTTATTGTTCATAGGCTAGCACATAATAGGTAGTCAGCAAACATCTTTTGAATGAATAAGTGAATGAATAGGACCAGTATACACTCAAGACAGACATTTAATACTAATAATTAGTAATTATTAGCCTTTATTGAGCTCTCTGTTAACTGTTTTACTACTTCATTTATTCCTTACAACTGCCCCATTAGGTAGGCTCTACCTTTATCCTCATTTTACACAAAGGGAAAATGAGGCACAGAGAAGTTATGAAAAGTGTCCAAGGTCACCTCGCTCGCTAGTGAGGGGTAGATCTGCTGATTATGCTCCAGTTGCCACCCGTTTGTGGAGAACGTGGCATTAGGTATGTAAGCTGGATGCCGTTAAACATTCAAATCCTGTCACCAGCACCGACTTTTGATTCCATGCTGCCAAACAAGCCTCTGATTACAGTCTGGCTCTCACATGCATGTGTAAAGGGAAAGGATCCCCAGATCACAAACTAATGAACATTGGAGAATAACACTGTAGACTCTTAGAATTTGATGAGGAACTCATCTAAGCAATAGATATCCTTGTTCTGCTGGTGAATCAGTTTTCTGAAGGGGGCTTCATCACAGACTTGGGTAGTTTGCCCAAGAGATTACTGCCACCTGCAAGGACTTGTGTGAGTGCCAGTCAGCCTTCCCCAGGTGGTACACGCAGCTTCACCATATGCTGTATAAGCCTTTTAATGTTGGTATATCATAATTGGTACACTACAGGTGCCAATAATGGTAGATGGATGGACAGATAAATAGATGATAAAGATACAAATCATGAGCAAGATTATAGCAACACATTTGCTGTATTCATTATGTATGAGACATTATGCTCGAGATATTCATATCCTATAATAATATAGTTGGGTTTTTCTTGCAGTAGGGGTGTTTGTTTTGCTTTCTCAGTTTGACCTTTTTTTACACAGTAGCTCATGTAATCCTTATCACAGCCCTGTGGGTTATCATAGTATTTCATGGATGGAAAAATAGTGGCACCCAGAAAATATCAGACAACTCTTCTAAAGTCACAGCTAACTAGCGTGGAGTTAGCTGTGTCTAACTAAAGAGTAGGTTGATATCTATGGATAAAACACAAAGTTTTTTTAAAGAGGTACAATTTGATCCAGTCCTCCTTTGGTGCCCTCCAAACCTAAAACTGAGGCTCCTGGCCCCCTCGGCTAAAGCTTCCCAGAATCTGCCCTCCTCCGTCTTCCAAACCTGTTCTCTTCATCTATCTGCCTCTGATTGCAGACTCGCTCATTCAAAGCTGGTTTCCCTCAGCCCAGTTTTCCACTCCTGAGTAACACTGCCTTTCCACTGTTCCTGTAGCCCTGGGGCAGCATCTTGCACTCCCTTCTGAGCTACACTCCCCATGTCTCTCAACCAGCCCCACCCACTCCTGGCCAAGACTGCAGAAAAATAGTTATGATTGGCTGTTTATTTTGTTATTTCCTGCAAAGACCAGTAGCATCACCTTAAGAAATAATTGAAATAATTGCATCCCCAAAATAAGCCGAACCAAATGAGTTCAGTGTGGGGTAGGGAGCAGAGCCTGGACAGATTCAGAAGTGGCAAGACTGATCATTATAGAATAATCTCTGACCTTCTCAGGTTTCAAAGGCAAACAAACAAACTTAATCGGATAAGACACTAACCAGATTATTTTAAGTTAAAGCAAGTGGAACATAAGAGAAATTGGAGTCCACGCCTGGTAGCATGATTCAGATCTGAAATTAGAACCATAGCTCCCACTCCCAGTATCTGAGTTTTTAGACAGTCCTTCAGAAATAGACAATTTCTCCATATTAATCTGAAATGTAAACCTCAGCACAAAACCACCACTCTTCATTCATTAATTCATCAACAAAAACTCAGTGGGTATCTGAGAATGCATGAACATGTGGCTCTGAGAAGCACTAGGAGAATGAGAGAAATACTGACAGGCAGGTGGGATGGATCAACTTATGAAGAGCGTTTCTGACCATGCCATGGAAGTCATTATTTTATCCTATTGGCTTTGGAAAGCTGTCAGTGTTTTTAGGTCATCAATTGATATAAACAGACACAAAAGGATGACTCTGGGGACTATGTGGATTGGTGGAGGGGAAAACAGAGGCAGAAAATGGCAGGGCTTTGGGAATGGTCCAAGGAAAATAGACTGATATAATGATAATGATTTGATAGATATGCATGAATAAAATAATGATGATTCCCTCAATTCCAGCAGTAGCCAGAGGCATGGAGGAGAGCAAGTTTCTAGAATTCTGAAAGGAATTTCTAGCACAGATCAAGAGAAGTTGCCCCATGGTGTAATGTAACAGAAAGAGACACTGAAGATGAGTGAGGTTTCTAGTTTGGGCAGCTGGATAAATGGCAGTGTGATGATTGAGATCATGTGGCAGCAGCTGTGGATGCCCAGGTCAGATCCCTTTACGAGGCTGGTGTCCCCACCCTCTGGCTGCTATGAGTGTGGGTTCCCCTGCAGCCACACCCTCCTCCCAAGAATTACCCTCAGCCCTGGGAGCCACCTTGCCCAGGAATGCCTGGAAGATTACATCCTTCCCCCAGAGCAGCACAAAGGCATGGACTGACTGCTGAGGAGGGCAAAAGGACAGCCTCCTTGCCTCAAAGAGGAACAACTCTCTGGTGCATTCACTCTCTGGAGCTCCCAGGGGGATCAGGCTCAGGCTATACTTGAGCTAAACCATATCTTTGCTTGGCTTCCTCCCCTGCTCAGTCTCTTTACAAGTTATCTCCTGAGGCTACTTCCTTAATAAACACCTTGACCAACAAAGCCTGTCACAGGCTCTGATCTACAGAACCTAGCCTAATAGAGACAGCAAGACAACTAAGAAGAGAGGATGGTTTAGAGGCAAGATGATAACTTTAGTTTGAAATGCTTCCAGAGAAACTAGTATTTTAAAAAGTGTTAGGGACAGGGAACAGAATCTGAAATCAAAAATCAGGCAAACATGGCCTCAAATCTACAATTAGTCTTGTAGTCTTGGACAAGTTACTCAACCACGAATGGGTCACAGGTGTACTGAGGTCTTGCCATCTTCAGCACCACTGCTAGGTGGCACCTTGGGCAGTTGGAGACCAAGGCCAGTTACCTGCCGTGAGTGTCTCTCTCAGTTAACCTCAGGATGAAGTTTAAATATGACCATCATTCATGTGTGCCTAGAAGTGAAAAATTAGAAGCATTGATTAACCTCTCTGTAACCCCAGTTCCCCATCTATGAAGTGGAAACTCTTATGCCCCAAATCCAGGGTGGGGTCATGAGGATGAGATGAGATAGCCTAGCATAGTAGAGTCAAGGATAAGACAAAAGTAAACCCCAATCAATGGAGTTATCATTAGTGCTACCTCCCAGGGGGATACCCAGGAGGCATCACTGTGCAGGCAAAGTCTGAACTGATGTGGGCTACTGGGTTTTCATCCAAATGCTCATTTCTTTTTTCTTCCTTCTTGATCAAGGGAAGCAAAAAAGAGATTGCTGAGTGTGACAGAGCTTTGATTATTCTCTCTGGGGCCTTCATGTATTTTTTACACTAAGTTGGAGGTGGGAGGATTGAGGAGAGGTTGAGGAAGAAGAATGAAACCAGGATTCCTCTCTAACACCATCCTACACTTTCAGTGTTCTTGTAAGTGAGCTGTGTCCTTCATCTTGGGGCTTTGATGGCACTAGGCATGCCTTATTTATAGACAACAACTGGTACAGAACTTCAAAAGGGGCACATATCCAAGCCAGAGATGTGGAGGGAACACTCTGAAGTGCTAAGTTCTCAAATTTAGAATGGAAAAAACGCTCCACAACAACTTCTGAGACCTGGCTCTGAACCATGCCAAGAATGCCCAATTGTCCCCCAGTGTAGTAGACGGCCAAAGCTCTTTATGCCCATCCCAGAAGTCTAGCTTTCAGCCAAGGCAGGCAATCCAAGTGGGCTTTATTTGCCTTTCTGCCACCATCTGACAAACTGTCATGTTTACCAAATTAGCCCATGTCCATTAGAGACCATTACTCCCAGAAAATGAACAATTAATTTTCATATTAAAATATTTAAAAATAAATAAAAGCCAATGTAGAGGACTGAATAATGGCTCTCCCAAATATGTTTATGTCCTAATCCCCAGAATCTGTGAATAGGTTACCTTACATGGTAAAAGGGGCTTTGCTGGTGTGACAAAGTTGAGACGAGGAGATAATCCTAGGTTATCCGGTGGGCCCCATGTAATCACAGGGTCCTCAGAAGAGGAGAGCAGGAGGATTTGAGTCAGTCATAGAAACTGTGATAGAAGCAAGAGGTTGATGTGAATGGGAAAGGGGCCACAAGAATGCAAGCGCCTCTAGAAGCTACAAAAAAAAAAAAAAAAAAAAGATAAGAAAACAGATTTGCACCTCAGAGTCTTGAGAAGAAACAAGTCCTGCCAACACCTTGACACTAGCCCAGTAAGACTGATTTTGGACTTCCGTCCTCCAGAACCATAATGGAATCCACTAAGTTCCTGGTACTTCGTTACAGCCACTAAAGCAGTCCACCACATCCAAGAAAGTTTGTCATTTGGTGCCATTAGAAGTGCATATTTTCCTTTTAGAAGACATGGGTACAATTATCCATAAAACATAGTGGGTTACTTAGCTCCTGCATTATCCTCGTAATATTTCACCCTTTCTCTCCTCCTACCCTCTCCAAATGACCAAAAATATCCAAGGAGCAGGTTCTTAACCGAGGTTCGAGTAAAATGTCCCCCCAAAAAAGGCAAAAAAAATCTTTTTTAGTTTGGTGGGATATAAACTTGTATGTACTTGTGTAGATGAAAGAAACTGAAATGACATACACATCAAAATGGGGTTAGTTAATCATTCACTAATATGATGACGAGTTTTTAATTTCTTCATTTTCATATTTTCTCATTTTAAGAGAAATGTACCCCATAGTCTGTGTCATAAGGGATTTTAAGTGACATCATGTACAGTAACAGTATTATCTTTTGTGATTTAAAATATTTTATTTTGCAGACACTGCCACAGTCACTTCCCAAGTTTAGTATAATTCCATAGAAAACTCAGGATCTGACTGGACCCACTGGGAGGCAATATTGAGCCCTTGAAGATGAACACAGAACCAGATTGCCATAAGTAAATACTAAGTAGGAAAAGATGATCGCCGAAAATATTTTCCCACCAAATCAACTTCACGGAGAGCATTAGAGCAAGTTCTTTCATTTGAGGTGGTCTTCAAAAGTATATTCTGTGCAACTCAGTAATTTAGAAGGGCAGTCCACGAAAAAATAAGTCTGTGGTCACATTAGAAAATGATAAAAGTTATACTCTTCCCTAAAGATTTACAGAGTGTACTGACTTATTAAAACCTCTGAGAAATACTGCATAATGGAATCCTATTTAAGTTTGTTCAAGTATTTTCCAAATACTTATTTCATCACAGAGCCATTGTTTTATTCGGATCTAGTGTTTTTAATATTCTTTAAGAAACTCTGATTTACAGATTTGGATGCAAAAAGCCCCAGTATGTTTTCTGGGAGAAGGAACATATTCTACAAACACCAAATGGGATTTCGGAAATTGATTTTTCTGTAGACTGGTAGAGTTCGACCATTTCCAGAAGAACTAGCTACATGGTCCATGCTGTTTATTCTTTTGAATGCAAGCACATCCCTTGTTCACGAAAGAACTTATGAGCTAGGAGCAAAGAGATTTGATCTCTAAAGTTCTGGCATGTAGAACCAATGAAAGAGCTTAGAGACATCCTGGGAACTACGCAATGGCATCATTGCTTCTCATGGAACTTTGAGCTGGGGGAACCCCAGGTATTTAAGCCCTTCTACAGAAAGGTGATAGAATAAAAGTGTGCAGACTCCAGTGTTTCTCTTCAGATGGTCCTTCTCAGCTATGTGGAGGAAACTGAGGCACCTTAGCAAAGTCATCATCACCAGGTAGCCCCTGAGAAGGAATCATTCCAGAAGATAGTGGGGCATCATAATGAAGGGAGTTAGGTCTGGAAGAGCAACAGGGTGTAGCTGCGTAGATTAACACCAGCAGGGGCCAGGAGGGAAAAGGATTCTGAAGGGAGTCACAAAGCAAAACATGTTCAAAGGTGTTTAAAAGCAGAGAAGTGACATCCCACTGCTCCATAGTCTTGCTGATCTCGTGGGCTGGGAGTCTTGACATTTGCATCAAGGGATATTAGAATTATCAATCTATTGATTATAAATGTCAATATTATCATATCAATCACCTCATCTAACTCCCTCATTTTAATGATGGGGAAACTGAGGCCCAGAGACAGAAAATGGTTTGCCCAAGATTCCACAGCTGGCTGGGAGCAGAGGCAGACCAAGAACCCAGCTCAATGGCTTGCCCATTGCACATGAACTGCCTCAAATGGGCCTCCTTCCCTATCAGAGGCACTGAATGAATGGAAACCCTAAGGCATGTTGTATGTGATTTTTCTTGTGGCCTTAGCATTGGCTCCTTTTACAAACCTGGCCTCAGTTTACACCATGCTTTTAGAATAAGCTGTTTTCTCCATTTGTCTATCTCGGGGCAAAGAGAGTTAATTCTAGTAATTTACATATAAAGACAGGGAGCAGAATATGACGAATATCCAGCCAAACCTCAAAGGATGGGGTCCAGATAGGCTGGCCCCCTTTAATAAATATAAAGCTCAGAAACAGATCATTCTCTGAGTTTCACCCTCATTATACCAGAGTCTACCCAGCAGCATGCCTATGCAGGTGAAATGCGGATAAAATGAGTTCCAAGTGCTGACTTACATAACTCAAGACATGTAACATAGCACTTAAAGGGAACGGGAGGAAATGGAGAGGATCTGTCCCACCTGGTTGTTTTGCCTTGATGGTAATGCACGAGGGAGTGAGGGAGGAAGAGTTGTGGTGTGGGATATGTATACCATTCCCCCCAGGTTTGCCTTTTTGTGTGCTGGGTTGTTTAGCACCAGCTGGCTGCCTTCTTGAATCCCAGCCCATTCCTTTTTCACTAAATCAATGCACCATCACCACACCCCAGATCAATGCACCATCACTCCCCACCCCCAAGTATGGGATCTGAGAAAGTCACCTGATTTGGGTGGAGTGCTGTTACAAAGGGGCTGGGCCAGGCTCAGGAGACACACCAAGCCTCTGGCAGGAATTGAAAGTTACTGAACTAAATTAGAAACCAGACCAGATTTGCCTTCTGTCCTTTCACCTCCAGGAAGCCAGCTTCTCCCTCTTCCTCCACCCCCTTGTCCCATATTTGCTCTGGAAAAGTCTTCCAGCTGGAGCTGTTTTCCCAGGGTCTTTCAAAAGATTTACAGATATGCACCATTAGCTGCGAACACTTTCTAGTAAATGACCTCCTTTTGCTCTATCCCACTGTCAACGGGCCCCTCTTGGGGCTAAGATTCTCCTCCACTCTGTACACATGGTGAAGGGAAAGCCACTGTGGAGAGGTAGAAAGAGCCTGGTTTGACTGCTGCAATCCCTCAATCTCTCTGTCTTTCAGATTCTTCCTTAGTCAGATGAAGGAGGTAATTGATCTGCTACTTCTGGAGATTAGATGACAGAACAATTATAAATATATTTTGTAGACATAAAGTGCCCTCAAATGCAAGACATTAGTGTTATTTGAAAATTTTACTAAGAGGATGTATTCCTGCATAGCGGGTGTGATTCAAAAAATAGAGATGAATGGTACTGAGAATGAAGGTAATGAAATAAATGAAGGTAATGAATGACACTAACAATATGTTTCAGAGCCAAATGAGGATAAGACAGAACATAAATACAATAATATTATTATGTGCTCAATTAATTTAAATAAATTACTGAATTTAAATTAGATTTCATAATACTATACTTCAAATTGGATTGGAAACTAAACTGAAATGAAATAGAAAAGTTTAAAAGGAAAGGTAAGATTAAATGAAACAAATAATTTTTAGAAGTGTAGGTTGTTACGATGCTCATCATTCACTTCCATGCACAGTTGAAGGGAACACAGGAAGTTTCTCGTCCACTCTGCCCACCACTCTCCAGAAGGCCCTTCCCAGCCCAGGGCCTCGTGACTCATCACCCCCCTTTGGAGCTTCTGATCCCCAGCACACACTTCACAGCCATCCTCAAGGCTTCTCAAGGGCAATACGAGATTCCTGAAACGTGATCCCCAGCTCACTGTCCTGGGGACAGTTGTTCACAGTGGAAAAAATCTCCCTGTGGTATTCAGCCTGGTTGGCAGTCTCTGCTGAGGAAGGGGGAAAATTTGCAAGGGATTTGGTGGCACATTGCTAGCTTGCCCCACCTGCTCCCTCGCCTCCTGAAGGGCAGCAGCTGCCTGTCCTCAGAGCATGCCATCTCTTGCCCAAGAATTAAAAGATCTGACTGCACTCCCAGGTGCTTTGGAGTCAAAAGCTGCCTGGAGAAGCCACGTAGAAGACCCCAGCACAAGCAAGATATTCATTCTAACAGCTGCTCCTAAGAAACCTGAGCAGAAGCAGAGTGAATCATGCCAAGTTGCTGAACCCAACCAAATTTGAATTT
Source organism: Homo sapiens (assembly GCF_000001405.40). Classification (NCBI taxonomy): domain Eukaryota; kingdom Metazoa; phylum Chordata; class Mammalia; order Primates; family Hominidae; genus Homo; species Homo sapiens. The sequence goes on from NC_000006.12 coordinate 52,108,641, forward strand.
AAAATAAAATTTAACAGGACAACCAATTGAACCAATTTAAAAAGAGAAATCAGAAATGTAAAGAGGAGGAAAAGGGACTCATATTTTTCACTTATACCCTTTCACACTGAACTTTTTACAGTAAATATGTAATGACTTTTTTAAAGTATTTTAAATAGAAAAAGGAAAAAAGCCAAAAATAAATGCGTGATTTTCTACAACTGACTTGGGATAAAACAAAGATACTAAATATTCACAGAACTATATCAAAATCTTCTTTCCATTTAAGACACTTCCATTAGTCCTGCACTCCTTCGTTCTTGAGCCATCTATTCTCTTGTTCCCTCATAACAATGAATAACAGGGATCTGATCATAGGCACACACAGAAGCCCCAAAGGGAGAAAAGTGCTCCAATCTGCAGCAGGGCTGGGTGACTGTCACCATCCCTCACTCCTTCTTTATAGCCAGTTGGTAGATGGGTCAGGCTCTCGGGAGATGCAGAAGGAAGACCTGAAAACAGAACTGAGTCTAATGACAGGGTTGCAATTGTGTCCAGAGTAATCCTGATGGGAGGGTGACAGATAGGACTCAGTGGAAGGAAGAGGTTGACCTTTGAAGGTTCCAACTGAAGACTGAGTACTATAATATGACACTCAATATAGCAAATGAATCTCCCCAGAGAGAAATAGCCATGTTGGAACTGTAAAAATATTCAGTGACTTTTGGTCTCACAGGTGCAATCTGATACCAGTTTTTGTTTATCATTCACTTCCATGGCTTCACATACTATCTGTATGCCGATGACTCAAATCTTCTGAGCTCCTGACCTGAATATCCAACTGCCAACACAGTATTTCTACTCGGCTATCTCTCAGACAGCCAAAACTCAGCAAGTCCAAAGACTTTGAGCCCTTGATCTTCTGCCTGAAATCTCTTCCTCCTCCAGTGTTTTCTGTCTCCAGGAATAGAACAACTGTTCACATAGGTACTTGTACTAGAAACTTGAGATTTGTTATTAACACAGCATAGCTTCCCACTTCTTATAAATCACCACATCTTACAGATTTAGCCTCTTAACTCTTTCAAATATACCCTCTTCCGCATCCCCACTGCCACACCCCTAGTTAGGTTATTATTCTGTCTCCCCTGAACTTCTGCAAGATCCCTCTAATTTTTTTTTGTTTCTAAAATTCTTTTATATGTACATTTTTTATTATACTTTAAGTTCTAGGGTACATGTGCACAATGTGCAGATTCGTTACATATGTATACATGTGAACAATGTGCAGATTTGTTACATATGTATACATGTGCCATGTTCACGTGCTGCACCCATTAACTCATCATTTACATTAGGTGTATCTCCTAATGCTATCCCTCCCCCCTCCCCCCACCCCACAACAGGCCCCGATGTGTGATGTTCCCCTTCCTGTGTCCAAGTGTTCTCATTGTTCAATTCCCACCTATGTGTGAGAACATGCGGTGTTTGGTTTTTTGTCCTTGCGATAGCTTGCTGGGAATGATGATTTCCAATCTCATCCATGTCCCTACAAGGGACATGAACTCATCATTTTTTATGGCTGCATAGTATTCCATGGTGTATACGTGCCACATTTTCTTAATCCAGTCTATCATTGTTGGACATTTGGGTTGGTTCCAAGTCTTTGCTATTGTGAATAGTGCTGCAACAAACATACGTGTGCATGTGTCTTTATACCTGCATGATTTATAATCCTTTGGGTATATACCTGGTAATGGGATGGCTGGGTCAAATGGTATTTCTAGTTCTAGATCCCTGAGGAATCATCACACTGACTTCCATAATGGTTGAACTAGTTTACAGTCCCACCAACAGTGTAAAAGTGTTCCTATTTCTCCACATCCTCTCCAGCACCTGTTGTTTCCTGACTTTTTATGATTGCCATTCTAACTGGTGTGAGATGATATCTCATTGTGGTTTTGATTTGCATTTCTCTGATGGCCAGTGATGATGAGCATTTTTTCATGTGTCTGTTGGCTGCATAAATGTCTTCTTTTGAGAAGTGTCTGTTCATATCCTTTGCCCACTTTTTCATGGGGTTGTTTTTTTCTTGTAAATTTGTTTGAGTTCATTGTAGATTCTGGATATGAGCCCTTTGTCAGATGAGATTGCAAAAATTTCCTCCCATTCTGTAGGTTGCCTGTTCACTCTGATGGGAGTTTCTTTTGCTGTGCAGAAGCTCTTTAGTTTAATTAGATCCCAGTTGTCAATTTTGGCTTTTGTTGCCATTGCTTTTGGTGTTTTAGACATGAAGTCCTTGCCCATGCCTATGTCCTGAATGGTATTGCCTAGGTTTTCTTCTAGGGTTTTTATGGTTTTAGGTCTAGCATTTAAGTCTTTAATCCATCTTGAATTAATTTTTGTATAAGGTGTAAGGAAGGAGGATCCCCCTAACTTGTCACACAATGTCTACACTCATTCTACCAATCCAAGTCACCAAAGCCATCATTTTTCAATGGAAAACTAATTGGCACTTTTCTCCTCAAAATTGTTCAATGGCTTTCCTATAAAGTCTAGAATTTGTAATGGAGCTGCCTGCCACAATCTACCTAATTTTTTTTTTTTTTTTTTTTTTTTTGAGACGGAGTCTGGCTCTGTTACCAAGGCTGGAGTGTGATGATGCGATCTTGGATCACTGCAACCTCCACCTCCTGGGCTCAAACCATCCTCCCACCTCAGCCTCCTGAGTAGCTGGAACCACAGGTGCATGCCACCACGTCCAGCTAATTTTTTTTATTTTTGGCAAAGACAGGGTTTCACCATGTTGCCCAGGCTGATCTGAAACTGCTGGACTTAAGTGGATCCGCCCACCTCAGCCTCCTAAAGGGCTAGGATTACAGGCATGAGCTGCTGCACCTGGCCTGGAATCCGTCTAATTTTTCATTCACTCAGTAAATGTTTACTGAGAACTACCATGTGCAGGGATAGCACAGTCACTGAAATTCTGCAGTGAATAGAACCGTCAAAAAGTCCTGCCCTCAGGAAGCTTACAGTTTAGTGGGAGAGAGAGATAGTAAACAAGAATAGTAAGTAAAATAAATAACAGGTTAGACTGTATGAAGTGCCAAGGAGAAAAATATAGAAAAGAAGAGAGGAGATCTCATGATGGGAAGTAGAATTTATGATAGGGAAGTAAAGAAAGCCATGAAAGAATGAAATAGCAAGCCCATAGATGTCTTGGTGAGCAAGTTACTACCAGCAAAGGGACAGCAAGTGCAAAGACCCTGAGAAAGGAACATGCTTGGCATGTTCAACATTTAGTGAGTAGGCCAGGGTGACCAGAGTAGGAAAGAAAGAAAACGAGTTCAGGGACAGTGGCTGGTATAGTACAGGAGATGTTGCATACAGGAGATGTTTCATACAGGACCTTTTAAGTCATCAAAAGTACAAGGCCTTTACTCAGCATAAGATGGGAAGAAGTGAAGGGTCGTGAGCAAGGGAGTGACTTATGATTACCCACTGTGCATTCTGGGGATTTGTCGCAGGCACTGGGGATTGAGTATTAAATGAGATAGTCAAGGTCTTTGTTCCCACCCAGGTCTCATCCTACTGGGGGAAGACAGACAATATGCAGTAAATAAAAAGTGAACAAGATAATCTCAGATCTTGAGAAACACTATCAATAAAAAAGTAAAATCTATAATGATGAGATGGGGGTAACAAGGTTGCCCAGCATTTTCAGACGTTCAGGGAAAGCCATTTCAAGGCAGTGTTTGCTGAGACTGAAATGTAAAGAAGGAAGTAGCCTTGTGAAGATCTGGGGGCAGAGATTCCACACAAAAGAACAAGTGCAGAGGGAGTAGAGTGGGCATGGGCAGGAGTATATGAGGAATGGAAGGGAGGCCTGTGTGGCTGGAGAAGAGTTTGTGGGTGGTGGCAGGGGCTGACATGACAGAAGCCAGCAGGGTGTATGCAGTTTATGGAGGAGGTCATAGCAAAGCTTTTTTCACATTTTATTTTATTTTATTATTTATTTATTTTTATTTTTTATTTTTTATTTTTTGAGACAGAATTTCGCTCTGTCACCCAGGCTGGAGAGCAGTGGCACTATCTCAGCTCACTGCAAGCTCCGCCTCCCGGGTTCTTGCCATTCTCCTGCCTCAGCCTCCCGAATAGCTGTCATATTTTATTTTAAATAAAAGGGAACACTAGCCAGACACAGTGGCTCACATCTGTAATCCCAGCACTTTGGGTGGCCGAGGTGGGAGAGATTCTAACTAGAAAGCTTTAGACCAGGAGTTTGAGACCAGCCTGGGCCAAAAAAGTAAGACCCTCATCTCTAGAAAAAAAAAAAAAAAATTTAATTAGCCAGGCATGATGGTGGCCTGTGGACCCAGCTACATGGAAGGCTGAGGCAGGATGATCACTTGGGCCCAGGAAGTTGAGGGTGCAGTGAGCCATGTTCGTACCACTACACTCCAGCCTCGGTAACAGAGTGAAACTGTCTCAAAAAAAAAAAATGCAAAAATTAATTCAAGATGGATTAAAGACTTACATGTTAGACCTAAAACCATAAAAACCCTAGAAGGAAACCTAGGCAATACCATTCAGGACATAGGCATGGGCAAGGACTTCATGTCTAAAACACCAAAAGCAATGGCAACAAAAGCCAAAATTGACAAATGGGATCTAATTAAAGTAAAGAGCTTCTGTACAGCAAAAGAAACTACCATCAGAGTGAACAGGCAACCTACAAAATGGGAGAAAGTTTTTGCAACCTACTCATCTGACAAAAGGCTAATATCCAGAATCTACAATGAACTCAAACAAATTTACAAGAAAAAAAAACAACCCCATCAAAAAGTGGGTGAAGGATATGAACAGACACTTCTCAAAAGAAGACGTTTATGCAGCTAAAAAACACATGAAAAAATGCTCATTATCACTGGCCATCAGAGAAATGCAAATCAACACCACAATGAGATACCATCTCACACCAGTTAGAATGGCGATCATTAAAATGTCAGGAAACAACAGGTGCTGGAGAAGATGTGGAGAAATGGGAACACTTTTACACTGTTGGTGGGACTGTAAACTAGTTCAACCATTATGGAAGTCAGTGTGGCGATTCCTCAGGGATCTAGAACTAGAAATACCATTTGACCCAGCCATCCCATTACTGGGTATATACTCAAAGGATTATAAATCATGCTGGTATAAAGACACATGCACACATATGTTTATAGCGGCACTATTCACAATAGCAAAGACTTGGAACCAACCTAAATGTCCAACAATGATAGACTGGATTAAGAAAATGTGGCACGTATACACCATGGAATACTATGCAGCCATAAAAAATGATGAGTTCATGTCCTTTGTAGGGACATGGATGAAACTGGAAGCCATCATTCTTAGCAAACTATCATAAGGACAAAAAACCAAACACCGCATGTTCTCACTCATGGGTGAGAATTGAACAATGAGAACACATGGACACAGGAAGGGGAACATCACACACAGGGGCCTGTTGTGGGGTGGGGGGAGGGGGGAGGGATAGCATTAGGAGATATACCTAATGCTAAACGACCAGCTAATTGGTGCAGCACACCAACATGGCACATGTGTACATATGTAACAAACCTGCATATTGTGCACATGTACCCTAAAACTTAAAGTATAATAATAATAAAATTAAAAAAAGAAAATAAATAAAATGGTACCCATTAGAAAACTTTATAATAAAAAATCTGATTTGTTGTAGTCAAATTACTTACAATAAAACATATAAATAATCACATTATTTATAATAAAATTATCTGGTTTTAAAATATTATAGCTAATTTGGTACATTAATTAAAGGGAAGTAAAATCTGGCAAAAATTACCAATGGCATGGAATAAGGTGGTGACAGATGGGAGGAGGTAGATATGCATGCTATTTTGGAGGACTTGATGAAAGACTGGGTATAGAGTGTGAAGAAAAAGAGCAATCAAAGATGCCACCACCATGAATATGGGGCCTGAGCTACTGAGTGTCATTTTCTGAGATAGGGAAGAACATAAAGTAGGGGTGAGAATACAAAGTTATGATTTAGCCACATTAAATTAGAGATACTTCTTAGACTCCCAAATGGAGAAGTCAGGTGGGAAGTTGGATATATGAGGAGAAAGATTGAGGATAAATAAGTCTGGAGTCATCTGCATGTGGATACTATGTAAAGCTTTGGGGCTGTGTAGAATCACCTAGGGAGAGATTCTAACTAGAAAGGTGTAAGAAGTCACCAGGGCACTCTAACATTTACAGGCCAAGCAAAGGGCCAAGAAAAAGTAACTGAGAAGATGCAGCAAGTGAGTTGAATACTGCAGCTGAAATGCCAATACAGGACCAGGAAAACAATGGTTGAGCCTGGCAATCTGAGAGTCACTGGTGACCTTGCAAGAGTGATTTCACTGCAGGGAGGAACAGAAGCCATCTGTTAAGAGGTGCAAATAAGATGAAAGCATGGATACAGAGACGATGAACAACTTTTTTGAGAAGTTTTACTACGGCAGGTTTTTGTGGTGCTGGGGGTTGTTTTTAGTGATGATCTTGAAGCATGCTTGTATGACCACGGAAAAGTTCCAGGAGAGAGAGGAAATGATTCTCAGTAAGGGGTGTAATCCTACTGCACTATTCAGACTTTGTCCTAATTAATTCCAAGTTCCCAAAGGTGCATTCCAGTTGATGTTTCTAACCTTCCAGAACCATAGATTGTGCCTCCAGCTGTGGCCAGTCATTGGGGAAAAGATTGTCCTTAGTCATCAGGAGGCTGGATGATAGAGCGTGAATGAATCAACTCAAATCCATTTATACAGCTGGGAAAGAACTCCAAATGCAGGCCATAAAAAGAGTGCATCAGCAATGGCACCAAAGTTACATGCAGCTGATTATTGTTGACTGACATACAGAACAAGCCTGCTTTTAAATTTGGGGGATGTTCTCAATACCCAGCAAGGATAGACAGCACCCCAGGACAGAGAATGTCTCTAAATCATTCCAATATCCACAGCACCTAGTATAATAATGGGCATACAGGAAGGAGCTATGCAATAAAAGTTTGTTGGATGAATGATAGGAAAGAAGGAAGGAAGGAAGGAAGAAGGAAGGAAGGAAGGGAGGAAAAGGAGGAAGGGTAGGGGAGGGTTAAGGGAGGATGATGGGAGGGAAGGAGGGAATTTTGTAAGACGTAAGATTACTGTCCATATGCATAAGTCTAGAGATCTAAAGTATAACATGAAGATGACAGTTAATAAAATTGTATTAGGGACTTTTGTTAAATTAATAAATTTTACAAAAAAGGTAACTATGTGAGATGATAAATATGTTAATCTGCTTCACTATTGTAATCTTACTATCTATATGTATTCTATAATAGCATGTTGTAAACCTCAAATACACACAATAAAATTTATTTCAAAAAAAGATTACTGCCCCTATCATGGCTCTAATGACCCATGTGAGTTTCTGTTTGCCTTTTTTACTTAACACTCTTCACCAACACCAAGTAAACTAAAGCACCTGTTAAAATTTGAATTTGTTAGTAAGCCACTTCTCAATACACATGCACACCGTCCACACAAAAGCACACAATTTATGGATGGTGTATTACCCTCTCTTGGAGATAGGCAAAGGACCCCACTTGATCAGCCAAGCTTTTAACTTGCAATTAATCAGTAAGGGTAAAAAAAAAAAGAAGCATAAACAAATTCACCAGGATCCCTTTCCCGCACCTGTAAAAAGACATTTATGATACCATAAAGATCAAAATGATAAGAGGCCCGGGAAGACCCAGAGGTAGGCTGCCTTGTTATTTACTTTGCAAAGCAGAGGCTTATTTCAGTGCTTCCATGGGAATGGGAGTCAGCCTTGTGGTAGAACCACCCACCAGTGCAGTAAAGCATGCTTGCCTCACCCTGATTAAGGGAATCCAAAGGAAAATATGGCCATGCATTTTTGTCTTCAAGAAAGAACCTGGATCCCTGCACTTATGAGCTCTGAGCTGGATGAAGAAACCAAAGGGACATCTATACCAACTATAGCTGCTCCCATTTCACTTCCTCCCCTTTGACAGCCACTGGGTCTGCTTCCACAAGAAATTTATGGTTTATGCAGCTGCTTTGACAACAGGTTTGGGGCTTCTTTGGTTTCAGCCATCAGCTCAGCTCCATGCAGCCCTCCTATATCTGCCAGGGCTTAGGAGGTGTGCTACCAGCCACCCCCATCACAGGGGCAGCAGATGTTCTGAGTGAGGGGAGGGGGAAAATGAATGTGTCTTTCCCCCTCCACCCTTACCATCCAAACAGCATAGAGTGTCAACTCTGACTTTCTACAGGTAAGGTCAGAAATAAGCTGGGAAGATGGATGTATACCACTCAGTAGCATGGCACAGTGTTCTCCACACATTTGTTTATTCAGTGATACAAATATATAGGAGGGGAAGAGAGGACCAGTCAACTTCCTTGCCTTAAAAGTAAAGCAAAGCTGTCACTGATGATGTTCAAAACTTCATCTTCAACCAAGTTCCCTCCCACCTCATGATTCAAACCATTTATCATGTATCCTACTAGATATCATCACAACATGCCTAAACTGAACTCATAATCTACCCTCACAACATTTCTGCCAAATGGACATCTTCCTAAACTTGTTCCTCCCCTCCAAGCCCCCTACAATAGCCAAGTCTATGAAGTCCTCGTCTTATCTCTCAAACTCAGTTACCTCTCACCTTCCCCACAGCCATTACCCTCACTCTAGCACCTAATACCTTTTGCCTGAATTACCATTGCTGTCTCCTAACTGGCCTCACTTCCTCAAATCTTGGAAATCTCTGCATCTAACAGTATGTGACAATACACCCTAAGGTGACCCCACTGCGCCATGCACTTGTATAACACCCTCCCCTTGAGTATGTGCAGGACCTGTGACTTGTTTTAACTTAAAAAAGAATATGGCAAAGATGGTGGGCTGTCACTGCCTTGATTACATTGCATTATGTAAGAATCCATCTTAGCCAAAAGAAGTGAGAGATTCTCCTTCTGACTTTGAGGAAGCAAACAGCTATCTTGGGAACTGCCTATGGTGAGGGCCATGTGGAACAGAGCTGTGAGCAGCCTGTAGGAAATGAAGGGGGCTGACAGCTGACAGCCACTAAGAAGCCAGGACTCCCATCTATATAGCTGCAGGGAAATGAATTCTTAAAAAAAAAAAAAAACACTCATTGAACTTGAACTTGGAAGCAGATTTTTCCCCCAGTCAAGTCTCAAGTCTCAAGTCTCTGGATGAGAATGCAGACGAGGAGACACTTGACTGAAACCCTGTGAGACTCTGCAGAGGGCCCAGTTACATTGCGTTTGATCAGTCAGGTAAAAAACTGAGATAGTCATTGTGTGTTGTTTTATGCCAGTAAGTTTGTGATAAATTGTTACTTAGCAATGACAACCAATAAAAGCCCAATACTTTATTCATGTTTAAACTCAAGAAAAAGCAGTTTGATTATTTACTTCTTCAAACCCGTACTCCCTTGACTCCCACGTCCACTCCATTCTTTCTAAATCAGTGAGTGTTCCTTCTGCAGTGCATGTCCCTTATACCCTGGCACTTCCCAGGGCTCCACTGTTGACCACTTCCCCACTAGCTCTTTGTAGTCTCCTTCGTCAGTGTCATCTACTCCCTCTGACTCTGCACTGGTAAGTCTCAGATTCAGACCTATCTCCTGAACTGCATAGGGGACAGATCCAGCTAGAGGACTCACAGGCCCCCAAAATTCAACCTGTCCAAAAGTAAAGCTATCATCCTTTCTGTTAAACTTGTTCTTACTCCTCTTCTCTCCTTATTTTATGGCCAGAACCTAGAATCACCCTAGACCCTTTCTCCCTTCAAACTGATGCCTTGTCAACCACCAAGACTCAACAGTTTGCCTTCTATTTCTCTATGTCTACTGCATCCCATTCTCTCCATACCTATCACCTTTGACCTGGGTCAGGTCTTCATCCTCTCTCATGGTGTATATCACAAGGATCTCATAATAGGTCACTCTACTTCAAGTCTTGCCACCCTAAAATTCACCCCCTGCATAACTGCCAGAGGGGCTATACAAAACATAATCTGACCACTATTCAAACTATTCAGTGTAGCATCATGTCAAAGATACGCAAGATGCTCCACAACCTGGCCTTTGCCCATCTCCCCAATCTGAACTTCCATCACTTTACAAAGCCAACTTTAGTAGCTTTACTGAAATATAACTAGCATATAATAAGCTATACTTATTTAAAATGTAACATTTGATACGTTTGGGCATATGTATACATCCATGAAACTATCACCACTATCAAGATAGTAAAAATATCTATCATTCCCAAAGGCTTACTCATGCCCTTTTGCAATATCTCCCTCCCACCTTCCCCAACTCATCTTCCCAAGCAACCACCCATCTGCTGCCTGTCACTATACATTTATTTGCATGTTCTAGTTTTAAAATAAATAATTTATCTAGTAATTCTTATTTCTGTCTGGATTATTTCACTCTGCATAGCTATTTTGATATGCATCCATATTGTTGCATGTATCAGTTAATAGTTAATTCCTTTTATTACTTAGTAGTCTATCATGTGTCTATGTCATAATATGCTTATCCATTCACCTGTTGATAGATAATTGGTGGTTTCCAGCTTTTTGGTTTTTACAAATAAATGCACTGTGAATATTTGTGTATGCAAGTCTTTGTATGAATATATGCTTTCTTTTGTGGGGGTAAACAACCAGAAGTAGGATGGCTGGATCATAGAGTAAGTATATGTTTAACTTTTTAAGAAACTACCAAACTGTTTTCCAAAGTGGTTGTACCAATTTACATTCCCACCAGCAGTATATGAGAGTTCTAGTTCCTCCACATGCTCACCAACACTTGGTATGATCACTTCTTTCTCTTTTAATCATTCTAGTAGTATCCCATTATGGCTTTAATTCTCATATCCTTAACAACTAATAAGTTTAACATGTTTTCATGTGCTTATTTGCCATCTATATATTTTCCTTGGTAAAGTGTCTGTTTAAATCTTTTGGTCACTTTTTTTGTCAGGGTAGACATGGTTTACTTTTTATTATTGAATTTTGAGAGTCCTTTATATATTCTGGATAGAAGTTCTTTATGAGATAGAAAATTCTGCAACTATTTCTCCCTAGTCTGTCTTTTTTTAAGCTCTCAACAAAAGATTTTAATTTTGATGAAGCCTAATTTGTCTTTTTTTTTTTGTGGATTAAGCCTAAGAAAATTTAGGCTTGACCCATAAAAGGTATTAGGCTTAAGAAATCTTTGTATAACCCTAGGCCACAGAGATTTCTTTCTATGTCTATTTCTAGACATTTTATAGTTTTAGGTATTGCATTTAGGACTATGATTGATTTTAAGTTGATTTTATTGATTAGACCACGAATCAAAGTTTTTGTTTTTGTTTTTGAGATGGAGTCTCACTCTGTCACCAGGCTGGACTGCAGTGGCGTGATCTCGGCTCACTGCAACCTCCACCTCCTGGGTTCAAGCAATTCTCCTGCCTCAGCCTCCCGAGTAGCTGGGACTACAGGCACATACTACCATGCCCAGCTAATTGTTTTGTACTTTTAGTAGAGACAGGGATTCACTATGTTAGCCAGGATGGTCTCAGTCTCTTGACCTCGTGATCTGCCTGCCTCAGCCTCCCAAAGTGCTGGAATTATAGACATGAGCCACCGTGCCCAGCCAAGGTTGTTGTTTTTTTTGTTTGGTTTTGTTTTTTGTTTTTTGTTTTTTTTAGCATGTACATATCCAATTGTTCCAGCAACACTTGTTGAAAGATTCTTCTTTCTCTACTAAATTTCCTTTCCACCTTTGTTAAAAATTAGTTGTTCATATACATGTGAGATTATTTCTGTACCTCTATTCTGTTCCATTGTCTATGTTAATGCCAATACCAGGCTATGTTAATTATTGTGGCTTTATAATAAGTCTTAAAATTAGATAGTATTAGACTTCCAAATTTATTCTATTTTAAAGTTGTTATGACTTGGTCCTTGTGAATTTTGGAATCAGCTTGTCGTTTTCTACTGGTAATACCCATTTGCAGCGATTCTGTTTGAAATTGCATTGAATCTGTAGATCAACTGATATCTTAACATCACCGAGTCTTCCAACTCATGAACAAGGTATATTTCTCCATTATTTCTTCTCCTTTAGTTTTTCTCAAAAGTGTTTTATAATTTTTTTTTTGAGATAGAGTCTCACTCTGTTGCCCAGGATGGAGTGCAGTGGTGTAATCTTGGCTCACTACAACCACCACCTCCCAGGTTCAAGTAATTCTCATGCCTCAGACTCCCAAGTAGCTAGGACTACAGGCATACACCATCACACCCAGCTAATTTTTGTATATTTAGCAGAGACAGGGTCTCATCGTGTTGGCCAAGCTTGTCTTGAACTCCCGACATCAGGTGATCCACCCATCTTGGCCTCCCAAAGTGCTGGGATTACAGGCGTGAGCCACTGAATCAGGCTGTGTTTTATAATTTTCAGTGAAACATAGCCACCTTGGTCTCCTAGGAACCTTAGCTTTGTGACCTTAATTCAGGAAGTCTACCTCTACTTGGTTTCCCTCCCTGCACCATAACCTGGAATCTATCTCAACGCAGCAATATGGGGATATCTTAGAGGTCATTCTCAAGGACCACTGTCCATTCCCTGATGTCCAGTTTCTTTAAAACTGTGTTTTACACTATTTGTCTGAGTTTTTCGGTTATTCCAGGCAGGAAGCTAAGTCTGCCCGTTACTCCTCTTAGCAGAAGCAATAGTCTCTGTAAGCTGATTGTCTTTCTCCCCAGCATGCCGTTCTGCTTCCTTCTCCCATGCTTTGCTCATGTTTTTTCTTCTACATCGAGTGCCTTTTCCCCCTTTTAACCTGGGTAACTCTTGCTTATCTCTCAAAACAAAACTCAAATCAAACATTAACTTCTCTAAGAACATCTCCCCCGTATCCCAAGGCTAAGTGATGCTCCCCCTCCTCTTTATCCCCATATTATTCCATGGATGTATCTGCTACTCTCATCTTTACCACTTTAATTTTCAAATTACCTGTTTATATAACCATCTATACACTTGATTAGAAGCCCTCAAAGAGAAGGGTCAAGGCTTATGTTTTTTCTAATTTTCTTTTTTTTTTTTTTTTGGGGGGGGGGAACAGAGTAAGAGACTCTGTCACCCAGGCTGGAGTGCAGTGGCACAATGATCACTCACTCTAGCCTCAACCTCCTGGGCTCATGTGATCCTCCCATCTCAGCCTCCCAAGTAGCTGGGAATACAGGCACACACCATCATGCCAGGCTAGTTTTGTTTTTTGTATTTTTGTTTTGGTAGAAACACAGTCTCACCATGCTGCCCAGGCTGGTCTTGAACTCCTGGGCTCAAGCAATCATCCTTCTTTGAGCCTCCCAAAGTGCTGAGATAACAGGCGTGAGCCACCATGCCAAGCATACTTCCTAACCTTAATGTATTGTGAAGGCTTTGGTACATAGTAGGCACTCCGTAAATATTAGTTGACCCACATCTTTGAAATACAAATTATGAACAATCATTAAGAGATGCCTTTCTTCCCTTATAGACTATAAATGCCAGGAAGGCAGGGATGGTGTCTCCTGAAAACAGCAGTCAATTCCACTAATTAAATTCCACTATTGCCCAGCGTAAGCTGAGTAAGCTGCTTCTAGAAGCCGAATTGCTGGTTTAAATAGTATTTTAAACAGAAATAACTAATGGCAAATTATTCTCCAGAAAGCTATCAATAATGTATAAGAGTTCTCATTTCTACTCATCCTCAGCAACACTAAATATTATGCCTGTTTTTTCAATGTTGCCAACCTAATGTGAGAAAATCGTTCTAAAAATTACAATTTAGTACTTATTTGTGAGGTTGAGGAGCTTTTAAATGAATCTAATGTTTATTAGATACTAAGTTTTAAACTGTGGATTTCTATTTATCACTGTCCTATTTATCCTCTGTTTCCTCCCTACCCCACCACATCCATTCTTTACTCTCCTATGCTGTGTTCTGTACCATGCGGGCTGACTTGTAAGAACTGCACCACTCAGGCTCAGACCCAGGAGGCAAGTCCCCTCATCCAGAACTCTAGCTCTCTCCGAGCTCCAATAAGCAACTCCTTCCCCTGATGCCTGCAGATCTAGACATGGTAATGGTTTCTGGATTTTGCTAGTATTTTTGTTGTTTATTCTCACAACCTGGCCACAACTCTAAAGACTGTTCCTTCGTTAAACTCTTCACTGAAATTCTTTGAGTAAGCCATTGTTTCCTGCTGGGAAAGACAGACAAGAGACACAGACCTGGGGGAGGCATGAAGATAGAGCACTGGAATTGGACTGGAGTTTAGAGACTCAAGCCACATCTCTAAGTCATGATAAAATTGAAACATGACCGAGAAGATACAATAACTTTGCCTGTTTTGATATCGTAATTTCATTTTATATGTAATGATTTGTAGGAGCTCTTTATATATTGTCGATATATTTCTCTTTGCTAGTATATACATTGCAAATATTTTCTCCCAATTTGTAGTTTGGTTTTTGAGGTAGTCTTTGTATTTTTTTTCCTTTTTTTTTTTTTTCCTTTGGTTCAGCTTAACAGTTGCAACACTAAATCAGAAGGGGGTTGGGGGCAGGGAACACACTCTGGCTTACTCCCAGATTTTATTAGAAACTTATTTATATAGCATTCTTAATTCATTTCCTGGAGTCAGGTTAGGTCTTTCCTGGAGTTAATACAACCTGGATTACATCAGGCTAATTTAGCATCCAAGTGCTCCCAGCCTTCTATTTAGAGATTCCTGTGGAAGAATTCAGATTGCCATAGGCCTCATAGCTGTCTAAGCTTCCTCTCTCTTCAGTTGTCCAATGGCATAAGTAGGAAAGATCTAACTTCTCTAATATACTAAGCTCCAAGAAGACGGGGATCTTGTTTCTATGTCACCACTGCATCCCCAGCTTCTAGCAACAGTGCCTAGCATGGAATCAGTGTGTAATAAATATTGAATGAATGAGTGAATGAATGAATGAATGACAGAGGAGAAGGAATAGCATTTCCTCTCTACCTTCCTGCTCCTCAATTCTGTATCACCATGACACAACCTCGCTGATGTTGGGCCAGTTATTATCCCTTATGAAATGCAGTTTTGTTGCTTCTTCTATCCCATTAAATACCCATACATAGCATCTATGCTTCCTAAGA
Source organism: Homo sapiens (assembly GCF_000001405.40). Lineage (NCBI taxonomy): Eukaryota > Metazoa > Chordata > Mammalia > Primates > Hominidae > Homo > Homo sapiens. The sequence continues at coordinate 52,123,907 of NC_000006.12, forward strand.
ACCTTTATAAAGTCAATGAAAAGTGTGAGCCCAGAGGTGAGCAGTCAGATTTCACATGCAGATAATGTATTTGTCCTGTAGCAAAAATCTTGACAGACTATAAAGTTGTGTTTTTGTTTCCTTTTCTTCATCTTAGAACTGTAAAGGTAGCTCCCCTTTGGAGGGGATATATGTATGGATCAGGACAGCTATCCTAAGACTAGAAGAAGGAATGCTATCATTTGGATAAAAGAGTAGAATCAACATGTTGTTCATTTTTTCTGTGAGAAGGCTAAGATGAGGGGCAAGAGAGACATACTGGGGGGAGTTATGGAGATTGGGTATTGGAACTGTACTGGAGATTGGATACCTGGACCATATCCCTGAGTCATGATAAAGTTGAACCATGGCCCAGAAGATGCAAAAGCAGTGCATCCGGAAAGCAACCACTATGTGAATCACCCAGCCAGTCTTAGCAGGCTGTCCCTGATGTGAGTAGAGCCATTCATTCAACAAACACTCTTCTAATTATTTAGGATACATCAGTGAACAAAATATCAAATTTATATTTTAGCCATCATCTTTTCTGTGCACTGAAACCTTACCTATTCGCTCTCCAGATATTGCCTGTATGGAAGCATGACCTACAGGTAAAAGTTCTCTAATAGATATTCATTTGTCCACTGATGCCCCAGATACTTATAACCCCTGAGGCCAAAAATCACCTCTAGAGTCCTAGCAGAGTGGAGAAGCAAGGATGCCTATGTGGGGTCTGCTAGGACACTCCCCACAGGAAAGAAGGGATGTGGGTCCCCCTGGGACATGTTCTTTCATTCTTATCAAACAAATCAAAATAAAATACAGCTTATTCAATAGAGTCTTCCATCACCTCTTATTCTCCAGAGCAGAGGCTGAATGTCAAACATTTACTTAGTTCTTTCTCTTATTGCCAACATAAACCACATTTAATCAAAATTCCAAAACATTCTTCCAGGGTGGTTAGGAGAGGTTAATGATTGATTGCCTGTCACAAAAGAGCTGACAGGATGATCATTCTCAGAAGCTGCTTGAACTGAGTCCTCCACTGAATATTTAGCTGTTCTGTGGACCCATCTCATGGCCAACCTTGTAGCTGGTTTGTGTTCAAAGAGTCCAAGATCCATACTGGCATCTGGGATCCACTGACCTTCTTAGTGCTACACGCTTGCCCTAAAATTCTAGGGTCTTCCTCAGAACTTTATTTTTCCTGACATAAATGCTAATAATATTTTCCCTGAGAAGCTGAACTTCCATCTCAGCAGCGATTATTTGAGGTAATACATCTAGTGTTCTCTGCCCAAGAGAAATTCAGGAGGGGGGTTTCAGCATGAAAGGCTTTTGTATTTGGGGGGAGGTGGGAATTTCCTACTGTTCAACAGGTTTTTGTTGTAAACATTAACTAGGTGACCTGCCAGCCTTGGGTTTGGAGGGCAGGGTGAAGCTGGGGAAACATGTGGGAGGGAGTGCCACTTCTGTCCCAGGAGGGAGGCCAGGCACCAGGCAGCCTGCATTCACCATTCTCCTGACGTCATGTGGGGACCTCCCTCCCAATTCTCCTTCAAATGATTTTCAGGAAGACTGGTGATCTGTATCGATGTGTCCATCAGAGGGTTTAGACAGAAAATTCACTCTTGTTTTGGGGGAAAAAAAAGGAGAGAAAGGCTCACTTCAACCAGAATTATTGCAAATGAGTAATTTCCAGCCCTAGCCTTTTCTGAAAGTGGGAAGGCACTGGGGATGGTAACTCAAGAGGCAACTAGTAGGGAAAAAAGAAGGGGTTTCACCAGTTGCTGCTCACCAAGAACTAAGGGTTTTTTATGTAACCTGAGTTTCCACTGGCCCCTGTCCCCTACATACATTGGAATGTAGTGGCAGATAGGGTGTCATCATCAACCCAAATGTCACAGGAACTTGCTCTTTTCTACACGTTCAGCAGAACCTTAGCTTCCTTCCCCCCAACATGTTAAAATTTCTGGCTCTCCTCTGAGAAGTTTTATATGCTCACAAGTAAGTGCATCAGCTACCAATGGCCTCTGCTAGATGCTACTGGCAGTTCCTTGGGAACCAAAGATTGAAAAATGGATGCCACACTACTTTATGTGCAATATAATTAAACACCCCCTCTGACTCAATCATTCTACAAATTTAATTTATATACATTTTACATACACCAAATATTAATATAATAAGACTCACACGTAAGCCAGGCAAGGTGGCATGCACCCATAGTCCCAGTGACTTGGGATCCCTTGAGCCCAGGAGTTGCAATCCAGCCTAAGCAATATAGCAAGACTCTGTCTCAAAAAAAAAAAAAAGAAAAAAATACATAAAGAGCAAGAGAGCAATGTGGCCTCTTTATTCTTGTATGATAATCTCCTAGATGGAATTAGTGATAGGTGAAACTATTGCTCCATTACAAAAGGAAAAAGCATAATTCCAAATGGTGGAATTCAACCTGGTACTCTGAAGAAAGTTGATTTTTCATTGTGGTTGAAAAATGTAAAAGGCAGTCACTTGGCTGTCTCTCCAGTTTGCCTGCTTTTGTACCCTTAGGCATTTTCCAATGGTGTAAGCTTATTTCACCATTTTATATGCAAGTATATTTAAATCTATAGAATCCATGACTGTCAAATATCATAGCCCCTGAGGATGACAAACACCTTCTTCACTCAGCTCCATGCCATAATAGTGTAAAATAATTAACTTGAAAGAAGTCAGCCCAGAGTGCCACAAAAACAGTCACTTTTTTCCTCAGCTCTTCTCTGCTCTCACTCCAACCCCAAGCAAACATTTTTCAGCTGGTTAGGCTAGATGTCTGAAAACTGGAGTAAACAGAGACCTTCTAACAGGTACAAGGACACAGACAGTTTTAGGGGAACCGCTTCCCAAATCCTTGGCTCCCACATATATTCAGAGAGTACTCTGCTGAAATTCATTTCTCACTACTTCAACCAGGTTGTCCATTTCTATTTCTCCTTTCACAGCCTTACTTTTTCCACTGTACAGAAAGAAATATACACCTTTAATTTCTCCTGATTCTTCCTGTGGTGCATTTTCCCAAGGTGTAATAAAAACTCTGGGGTGTCAAAAATGGGCAATTCGAAATGTTGGTGTCTGTAAAACCTGCTTCAATCAAGACAATGAAGCTACAGTAGAGCTGCCTGTCTTTTCCTTCTTTGATATATTTCTGTTACTACAAAGTCTGGCATTAGAAATGGGAATTTGAGCCAATATTAGGGTGTTCTAAATTTAGATATGTAGAAGAATAGGATGGCAGGAGTGATGACAATTTTAAATTAATGACTTTATCTCTTTAATTCCATATCATTAAAATAGACATGGCTCCAGAGAGAAGTCGCATAAGATTAGATATAAACAATTATATAAATCTTGCAGTATCTTTTATTTTCAAACATCTAGATTTGAAAAATAAAACTATTAAATTTTTGTTAATGAAAACTGAGGAGATTGGCAAAAATGTAAATAATTTTAATGTTTTCATGTAGTTATCAAAGTTGACTTTGGAAAATCTATTACAAATTAGCAACATTCATTGCAAAAAATGGAAAGTATTGTATGATTGTAGAAAAAGTTATAATTCTTTATGCACTGTTGATAGCTACAATTATGCTAGATGCCAAGAGCATCACTCATTAACTCCGTGATTCATTAATTCACTCATCCACCAACTGTTGTTGGATGAATGAATTCATCCAACAATTAATTCATTCATTAATTCATTAATCCAAGGGCATCACTCGTTAACTCAGTGATTCATTAATTCATTCATCCAACAAATATAAGTAACTACTAAATTCCAAGCACTATTCAGGGTAATCAGGATACATTAGTAACAAAATAGAGATTTCTGCCCTCATGGTGTTTATAAACTAGCAGGTAAAAGCATAGAGAAGTATTAGCTATCTATTATGGATATCAAATTGCCCCAAAACTTAATGGCTTAAAAGCACATACATTTTTTTGTACACAGTTTCTGTGGGTCAGAAATCCAGGTACAACTTGACAAGATCCTCTGCTTCACAGTCTTTCACAAGATTGCGATCAGAGTGTCAGCCCAGGATTTGGTCTCATCCGAAAGCTCCAGTATGGAAGGATCCACTACGAATTTCATTCAGTGATTGTTGACACTGAGTCAACAGTTCCTTGTGGGTTGTTGGACTGAGAGCCTGTGATTATCAGGCTTCTGGCCAGAGGGCGTCTCAGGTCCTTGAGACATGAGCTTCTCCCACATGGCAACTTGCTTCATCAAAGAATGCAAGTTGAGAAGGCAACAGACAGAATCTGCTAGCAAAATAGAAGTCAAAGTCTCATGTAACCTAATCATGGAAGTGACATCCCTCAACTTTGTCATATTCTGTTAGTTTGAAATGAGTTACTCAAAGAGAAAGGATTGCACAAGGCTGTGAATACCTGAAGGTGAACTGGGGGCCATCATAGAGGCTGCTTACCGCAGATGGTAAAGGGGAATTAGGAGTGTAAGCCAAGGAATATGGGTAGAAATTTTTAACATTAATAGCATTCCCAGAGTAGGCCTCATTAAAAAGACAACTGAACAAAAACCTAAAGGAGGTAAAGTTGTCGGCCATATGAATATTTGTGGAAAACATTTCAGGCAGAGGAAATAGTGACTGTGAAAACTCCAGAGTGGAAATACCTTTGGCATGCAGAAGAAACATCAAGGAAGCCAGTCAATGTTGTGAGGGGAGTGGGCAAAGGGGAAGAGTAATAGGGGATGAGCTCAGGGAATTGGGTGGGGAATTACATGGCCCATTGTAAAGACAATGCTTTTATTCTGAGTAAAAAGGGCATGCTGCAGGGCATCCTGCAGAGAATGGACATCATCTGACTTATGCTTTTAAATGATTGCTTCAGCTGATCTGTTGAAAATAAACTGTAAGAGGGACAGGCAGAAGCAGGGCTCTGCCTTCTTATGAGTTAGGAGGCTATTGCAGTAATTCAGACAGAAGAAGACAGTGCCTCAGGGTAAGGTAGATATGGTGGAGGTGGTGGGGAATGATCAGATTCTGGATATACTTTGAAAGGGAGCCTATAGGATTATGTGATCAAATGGGTTTGAGGTGAAGATGAAGACAGTAGTCAGGGATGACTGACCTGAACAACAGGAAGGATGAAGTTGCCGACAACAGAGATTGGGAAGGCTGAAGATGAAATTATTTTAGAATTAAAGATTAGGAGTTCAGTTCTAGAGATGCTGAGTTTGAGAAATCTGTTGGAAATGATGGGGGAGATACTCAGCAGGCAGGTGAACATGCCATTCAGGAATTCAGGAAACAGCATTTCTGTAATTAAAGGGATTCTCTAATCAGATACCTTGGTACCTCATTGAAAAGATAGTTGGCAGATTGTCGCAAAAATTGCAGTAGACAAAACATCTCCCTTACCTATTAATGAATCCAGGGATATTTTTACTCTCTCTCAATTAATAATCTATATCCACTATTACAGCAAAGGAAATAGCATTACTGTTTAAAAAAAAACTATAGCATGCAAAGACTTTTCTGGTCTTGCATTGGAGAAATTATTTTCAAATTTTCCTACTTTTATTTGTGTTGATTTGGGCTTTCTTTGGAAAGAGTGAATAAGAACATCTATCATCTGTGGAGCTGCTTCAATGCCCAGGCATGGGAGAGGCTTCATTTTTCAGATCCATTCTTTTCATCTTAATGAAATGCTACTTTATTCATGAACAAACTTGAGTTGCCAAAAGGTTGAGTCTAAATTTGCCCAGAACATTAGATATTGCCTTTAAGATGGCAAAATGGTATAAAGCTAAGAGGACTGAATTCCATGTTTTTGAGGAGATACGTAAAGAAACTCATACCCATTCATTGTTTTCTTCAGAAATAAAATGGATGTCCCAAAAAGACATCTAACACATTTATTTGGATTGAAAAAAATAAAGGCAGATAAGTGACATCAAATAAGTTTATTTTGGCTGATTGTCTGACCAATAGGGATAGGCTTTGCCAATCAGACATTCCCAAATATCGAATGAACTAAGTCTGTGGCTCCAAGTTTAGATGAATTTATATTTAAAGAACATGACAATATTTTAAAGTGATTTTCAAAAATATCATATTGACAAAGGTATACCAAAGCTAACAAATTTAAATTTTGCCAACACTTTGATTTTATTATAGCAAACAGGGCATCTCCATGTGAAAGAGTAACTGGTACAATTAGCCATCATTCAGTGAGTTGGGGTAATGTCTTCTTGGCATTCTTCCCAGAAATTAAAAATATAAATAAGTCAGGGTCTGTGAAGGATCTGGGATTTTTTTCTACTTGCAAGCTAATAAGCTAGTCTGCTACAATTTCATGGACAAGACATGGAACTCCTGGCTCAGAGACTACAACCTCTATTATTCTCAACACAGCAAGAAGCATGAGCGTGATGTTGGCTCATGTCAGTTTCCCATGTTCCCCATGTTGGTTTCCCATGTCCCCCATGTCTAAATGGATACTGTGTACACTGTGGGTTTGTATCATACTGAGCTTGGGAGATTCACCACTTTCATAGAAGCAGAAGCAACTCTGGTGTGTGTGTTTGTCTGTTTGTTTGTTTGTTTTTGGTGTGGTGACAGATGTAAACTCATCTCAATGTTGCTCGTTACTCTGAGAAATGTCCCTGGTAAAAAGCAATAAGAGCCTTGCATTCTTGGCATACTCAACAAGAATGTGCAGGAACAATCAGGGCCCATGGCAGAATGCCTCTCCCAAGAAAATACTCTCATGATTGGGTAACAAATTTCTCTACAAGTTGCATCATTTCCATTTCTTAACCTTGAACAAAACTGAAGGAGAACCTCATCAAGTTGTCAGTGATGGACCATTAATAATAATCTTCATAATAGAATACTACATGGTTTCTGACAGAAAACTCAGATATAGTTAAAAGAATTTTGTGAAATTGCCATAATAAAATTCCTTCCATTCCCACCTTCTTATTTATGTGAGAGCAAACACTCTCAGTGCTCACATCTGTAAATGGAAAAAAAGAATAGAGTCAATGCCAAACCTTCATGCAATTAGTAACATCCATTCTGGATATATGAACTCATGGAAAAATTAAAAGCCCTATCAATTTTTAAGATCTATTTCCAATAAATGTTAATTTTAATATTTAGTAATTATTGTTTGTAACTTATTTATGCTATTTCGAGTAACCATGTACTAGTAATAATGATAATGATAATTCAGTCCAAATGAAAAATGTTAATACTTAGCTCTATAGTTGCTAGAAATTAAAGCAATTTTATTGATTGATTGATTGATTGATTGAGACAGGGTCTCCCTCTGTCACCAGGCTGGAGTTCAGTGGCATGATTGCAGCTCACTTAACCTCTGCCTCCAAGGTTCAAGTGATCCTCTCACCTCAGCCTGCTGAGTAGCTGAGACCACAAGTGCACACCACCATGCCCAGCTAATTTTTGTATTTTTTTGTAGAAATTGGGTTTCGCCATGTTGCCTAGGCTTACTTTTATTTTTAATTACAAAGTTTAAATTTGAAGTTTAATTTCAAGTTTGTATATACATTTATCTGTTGAAGTCTCTAATAGAGTAATAAATAACATATTTGCAAACATAATGCATTACAGTACGATAAAACTTGTCATGGGAAATAAAATGGGATAACACAGGTTCCGGAAGGAAAAGGAATGCTGCAAATTTCCAACTGTTTAAAAGAGCTTGCATTTATCTTTCTTTAATGAAAGAGGGTGGGTGTCAAATTGCTATGGATTAGATTTCATTGCATATACTTGGAAGAATAAAAGAACATTTGAACTGAAATGTCAATATTTACAAGACACCAGAAATTAAGTCCTTTACATAATTATAATTTTAAAATTCAGATATAAATTTTCAAATGTGTTAGAGGATATGTCATTTTTAAAAGTTATTTTAAGTAGCATACAAACAAGACATAGGCTATATTTTTAAAAATAATAATCTGAAGGCAGTAGAATATGAGAGACAGGGAAAACCACCCCTATTCTTGAAGCTTAGCATACATTGGGGGCAAAGAGAAGTTTTGTAAAGATTAAATGAAAAAAGTGTATGAAAACACCCAGCTTGGAGCTGTCTCATACCAGGGATCTGATACAACATAGTTTCCCTTATATTGAACTAAAATCCCTTTGTTGCATTGAAATCACACGTTCTTCTCTTATATACAGGGGAAACAATCACACGACTGGTAATCAACCTTCATTAATACCTCTTCATAACCTAAGGAGAGTTAAATCACCTTTCCAGTTTCTCTTAAATAAGCTTTAAATGTTAATATTCTTAAAAGAAGAAGAAAGAAAGGACAAGGGAAGGGAGAAAGGAAGAAAAGGGAGAGAGGAAAGGAGGGAGCTTTTAAACACTACAGCACTGCTTTCCAAAACAAAGCAACTGAGATAACTTTTGTGTTGATTTAAGCACACATTTAGCCAAATGAATTTTCCATTGTCCCCACCTGTTTCCCAAATAGTTTCAACTGTTTTGCCTTTGACCTGCTTTAGCCCAATCCTATATGAAGTCTGTGCTCTCGGAATGTCCACTTCTGGACTCCTCCACTGCAGGGTTGCCCTTAGCAGCAGCTGGGAAAACCTCCTGGGGAACAGCTGGTGTCCAAGGCCCCAAAGCTCTGCCATCACCCAGGGTGATTACCAGTTTTCTGCAATAACGGGCTTTGGGGGACACATTTCAATAAAATAACACTTCACATTTGTGTAGCATTCTACTGCTGATGGATAACTTTCACAATCATTATCTCGTTTGTTCTCACTTGGTCATGAGAAAAACCTGGCAGACTCTGTAACATCATAGCTTATTCCAAGACTGACAATGGGGAGAAAAATCACTTTAACTCTCAAGAACCCATTTCCTTACTACACAATGAGAAGCCCAGACTAGATGTTCCCTTGAAATGTATAATTGTGGGCAAATGCCTCATACTCCATCTACTGCTGAATCCACCTTCATGAAACCCAAACTGATCTCTGTGCCTTCATCGCACTACTTACTGCTTACACACTCAAAGGACAACTAAAACAACCAACACACAAACCAAAGAAGTTACTTCACTTAAATCCTCCAAACAAGCTAGTAAGAGAGGTGGCTAGGTTATTATTACCTCTGGATTTTAGAAGAGGACATTAAGGTGAGAATCAATGACTTCGGCAATTACACAGTAGCAAAATCCTGCCTTCTAGTTCAAGGAAACTAAACCATCTTGGAAACAAAAAAGTTAACAGAAGTTTATTGCTGACACTATCTTCATGGATATCCAGCTCCACAACACTGACAACTGTCAACCATTTGGTTAGAGGCAGGATAATAAACTAGGGCACATGATGCTTTAGTTTATCTCTGGTCTACACAAGCCAGTTCGTGGAGCCATACATGTCTCTACATCAAACTTGACATTCTGAGCACATTTTCAAATTGCTAATTCCTTAAAAGCAGAGATGGTGTCTAAACTGAAGTCTTCACCTCCAAGAGGCTCTGCCCTGTGTGTGCCCTGCAAATACTTGTTGATTTGTTTCTCCTGTATTGGGGTGGGTCTCTCCTTGACAACTGGGGTCCACATTTAGCCAAGCAGCTGCCCACTGGCATCTAAAGCCTGCGATATGTAGTTCTGGCAGTATCTGAAAGGATTTATTATTACCATCCCATGATTTCACTATTATTACTATCACCCTTATGACAGTCAGTGGCTGAGCATTAAAACAGTTTTTAACATGGAACAGTCTGTTTTCTGCATTCCCCCACACTCCCACAGTTACGGAGTTTTTTCACCTAGTTTCTGCTCACTATTGTAGGGCTCTAAGAGATGGGCCTCCAGCCACGAATAAGGCAACCTGAGTATTCCCTTCACTATTATCACCCTGTCCCAGTGGTGGCCTTGGGGAAGAGAAGGCTCTTCAAGAGGCTCATGACCAAACAGGAGACAATCATGATGCCTGTGTGTGATACAAAGCACACTTACCAAGGAGTCAGGAGATGCGGGTTCTGTGACAGGGGGCAAGACTCATTGCTAAACCGGGCCTTGGTTCTCTAACACACTAAGTAAATAACCAAGTAAGATTTTCCTGAAGAATACTTCTTGCTCAGGACCAGCTCTAATTTAACCTTTTTCCTCGCTTCTGGAGATTTCCACAGGAAAGATCATCTCACTGGAAAAGATCTCAGGAACAGTCCCCACTCCTCATGTTCACTTCTAATACTTCACTCATCAAGTTGCATCATTTTAAAACCAACCCGATTTACATAAGAATTTAGAGAAAACGAAAGTAGTTCTTTATCAGGAAGTCAAAATTTCTGACCTAAAAGGTGCTGAGGTGAAAAAAAGATTTAATTAGGAATTATAAGGCTTGAATTTGATCCTATATTTTTCAATAGATGATCTCATCTTTTTCCATGTGGCCCTCAGCAAGTCTGCTCATTCTTCATCTTCCAAATTTGATTATCAATACCTTTGGCTTACCTAACCAAAATAGTGCATGAGACTCATAAGGATTTGTGACTTGAAAACCTAAAGTATAATCCTATATATAGATGAATTATTAAATTAACATCAGTTCCCTCTTTTCACCCTAGAAAAATCTCAGAAGAACTAAAGGCTTGTCACGGTATTCAGAAGATGTTTAGTAATGTGGCCGCTGGGTTTGTATTTTGTATTCTCTTGGACAGTTTTAGTGTTTTAGTGAACCTTTTGATCCAATTTGACTTCAGCAACCATTCATTGGGAGGCCACTGTGTCCTTATATTGTGCTGCAAACAAGAGAAGAAATCAAAATAAGTATAAACTTGACCTCCAGAAGTTTACAGTGCTGTGAATTCTAGACTTACATAAAAAGAAATTGTAAAAAAAAAAAAATGAAACAGGAAAAAGACATGTTAAAGTGTATCTAGACCCATAACAAATGCATAATCCAGCCAAGGTGGAATCAAGCTTTCAGTAAGTGGAAAAAGTGATGTTGAGTAGACTTTAGGGCCAACTGTGTGAGGGAGACAGAACCGGTGATAGACTGTGAATGAGTGGGGCTAGCAGTTTTCTACATTTATAACAGCAGACCTTCAGTAACAAATGCCAGAAAAAAAAATAATAATAAAAAGACTTAATATTCTAAGGATTAGAGAGAAATGTCTATTTCTCTCTGAATATTCAATAGCAACAAATTTCAGACCATGATTATTCAGATAATAATTATCAAATCATCCAAATTCATATGCATTTATAGAAACCATATCAAAACAGAATAGCACTACTCTTTTCAAATATAGCTATCTGTAACTGTGTGGTCTGAAGGAACTCTTTAAAACATTGCCATCTCCTACCATGAGTATAGTTTCCCAGAAGGGCTCTTTGTGCCCGAGGCCTTTCCCAGGCTGACCCCTTCACAAAGCATTGGATCCAGCCACAGGTTAATCAGTATTTCCTGAACACACTCTGCACATTCCTGCCACTATGTCTTTGCTCAAGCTGTTCCCACATCTGAGAAAGCCCTTCCCTCCCTCTCCATGTATATAAGCTCTCCCTATCATTCAGGACCTAGCTGAAACCCGTCTCCTCCATGAAGCGTTTACTACCTGGCCCACCACTTGTTAATCTCTGCTTCTGAATACCGAGAGTGCTTATTTGCCATTCTATCAGTCTGTAATTATTATATTTTATATATGTGTATATATCTGTGCGTGTATTTCCCCCAGATTCAAGTCCTATCCCCAAAAGAGCCTGTAAGTCTCTCAAGAGCAGGGAACATAAACAACTTATTTCTAGTGCTTAATATGGTGCACTGTGACCTGACAGGCAGTCACTAGACACATGTTATCAAGCATCCAGTCAAGCCCCACACCACCCATGTTTCCCATAACTCCACTATAACTACATCCCACTTGAAAAATGGCCCAAATAACTTATTAACAAGCTTAAAGAGCTGTATCTGAGGTCATACATAGTGATACAACCTAAAAGAAACCCAGTATCAAGAGACAGGGATTCATTCATTTGAAAAAATTAATGTTCTTACTCTTTAAAATAACACATGCATCATTTCAGTATATTCCATCAACAGAGGCATTAATATAGATTTGCCTATCTGAAAAAGGATTTAGCAGAGATCGTTTCTCCTTGCAATGGGACAGCTGAAGAGGTGTAATTTAACAGCTTTCAGAGGCCCGTCACTGGGGTGATTGAGGTGGACAGAAGGCATGGACAGGACCAAGTCCCTTAAAAGACACAAACAGGTGGGAGAGTGTGCTGGGGGTGGGCAGAGGACTGGAGAGTACAAAAGGAGGAGGCTCCCCTTCGGAGAGCAGAGATAAGAGGAGGCAGGGAGTGAAACTGCCTGAGGAACAGAGAGGAGAGGGGAGGAGAGGAGAGGAGAGGAGAAGAGAGCAGAGGAGAGATCAGATCTGTAGCTAGGTCACATCTGGACAGGACCCAAGTCCAAGGTAAATCGAGAACAAGTGATGGAACTAAAGAATGAAGGAGAAATGGGTGGACAGGGCACAAATTGGGGAATGACAGCCTATTCAGTGAGGATAGGAAATGCACATAAAGGACAGATGAAGATGATTTCTCTGTGTGTGATTAGAAGGATAGCAATTACAAAGATAAGAGTGAAAGGAGAGGGAGGAAAGGGGAAAAGGGAATAAGTAAGAAGACAAAATAAGCAATGAGTGTCTAAGTACCGATCTGAATGCTTAGAAAATCACCAGGCTGTTAGGCTGAGCCAAAAGAAGAGCCACAGCCGTACCCAAGAGGGGACCATCGGAAAGACAGAAGCAGGCAATTTAAGTAGCTAGCTACTGGGGTAAAATGAAAAAAAAGAAAAAATAGAAGATGGAAAAGGTGAGAAGCAAAAGAGGGAAAACCCAAAGGAGACACTGGCCCAGAAACCTTTTTAACTTTCTGTAAGAATCTTCAAGGCCCCAAACTAGGCCAAGATTCTGACTGACATTTCTGAGCTCACCAGCTGCCGTTTCCTTGAGAGAATTCTGACAGGAAGGCATAGAAATGCGAACCAACACTGCCAGCTCTGGAAAATAAATAAATAAGTAAATAACTATCCACATCCTAAACACCTCAGTGGGGGCCGAAGCCTGCTGGGGAAGAAAGCCCAGCGAGGAGGAGGGACCCGCCTGCAACTTTTCCCCAGGTATGTGCTGAGCTTTCCCCGCGTGCTGCTTTCTCCTCCAATTGTCCTCTGGCCGTTCCTGCCTTGCCCATCTGTCTTTCTTTCTTTGTGAATTTTTGGGAAGCCCTGCAGGCGATCTGCTTCTGTCATCTGAAGCCAGCAAGGCAGCGTCTGTAGAAGCAGGTGAAGCTCCAAGTTCTGCATCTCAGACAGGTGGGGGCAGACAGCTGGAGTCCAGATCCGACAGGCAGAGCCAGGCATGGGGAAATGAATAAGAGAAAAGCCCCCAACCCCCAGGCTGAGTGCATGGGAATGACTTGTTCGCCAGTACTGACAGTGGACTTGCTTCTGGGTGCTGGAGACTGAAGCAAAGGCAGAGGGGGAGGAGGGTGGGCCTGGAAGACAAGAGGGACAATGAGGGGAGAGATTTCAAAGTAATCCCCGAAAGGGCTGGTCAGTTACCTAAAGAAGAGCTACCGGTGTTAGGAGAGACGGAAGAGAACCTGACAGCATGTGACCTTGTACTTGTGGCTTGCCCTTCGAATGCCTTGGCAAAGTATTTTGAATATCTATTGAATTTTGCTCTCAAGCAATTCAAAGGAATTTATTTTTAATATTTAATTTATCTCAAATATTCAATTGCTGCATGAGGATGGGTTTTTGGATGACCCCATAGATGTCCCCACTAAGACAATTTAACTATTCCACTAAGAAATTAAGTCCCTGAGCAATGTATTTATTTGGAAAACTAGGACGAGAACCCCATGCTCCTGACTTGGTCCCTGGACCTTGGGCAATTCTTAATCCTCACTCAATTTAATAGGTGCAGGTACAAATTTTTTTTTTTAAGTAACAGTTTTGGGAGCTGTAATAAAAAGCTTCATCATTATTCTGTATTATTAAATTGTATTATATTATCTTTATGATCCCTCTGCAAATGTGATATAAAGTCAAGTGAGTCAGTGGACTCTCTGCTGGGCTATCTTCTCAAGAAAAATACTCATCTCATTTTATACACATTCTTCACCAAAACACACAGAAAACTTGTTGGTAAAATTTGGAAACCAATGAAATCATTGCTGGTGGCAAGCAACTGCTCAAGCCAAAAGCACTAAGTGACTTCCAGCAGTGTTTCCCTCTCTTTTGAGTGCTGACTGCCTGTCCGCACCCTCATCAGTGAAAGCACCTACAACCATGCCCTTGGAAAGGGCTCACACCTTCCTAACTTCTGTGTGGTTTCTATTCCTCTCCCTCATCTCTTTGCTTTTAGGAAGCTCAGAATATAAGGGCCAATTTTTTGCCCTCAAAGTGTGGAGTGTCAGAAACATTGACCTAGAGCAGTGGTTCTCAGAGTGTGGGCCCCAGACCAGCAGCATCAGCATCACCTGGGAACGTGCTAGAAATGAACATTCTCAGTTCCTACCCCGGCTTCCTGAATCAGAAACTCTGGGGGTGAGACCCAGCAATCTGTGTTTCAGCAAGCCATTCACGTGATTCTGATGCACTAAATTAATCAAAAGGTTAAGAGTTTTTAAGGACCTCTTCCCAGAATCCTCAGTATTCAGATCTCCTTACGTGCTGATCATCTACAGAGCTAGAATTTGTAAAAGAGACCCGTCCACCAAAAAACAACCTCTCAATTCCTTGTTCCCTCCACCTGTAAAATAGAAATATTTCTAATATACGTGTTACAATGCTTAAAAAAGACCTGCACACTGTGCTCTGTAAGGGTGGTGGTAGTGGTGGTGGCTTTATCCGCTTGACCCTTACTGTGCAAAAGGCCTTTGGCAGATGGCTGAGAAATCAAACATGAAGCAGTTAGAGTGCTGGCCCTCTAGGAGAAGAGATGTAGACGCATTACAGGTACACGAGGAATTAGACTGCAAAATAACATGTGATTTATGCCCAATTACAGACATAGGAACTAAGAAGAGGAAGAGAATGGAGAGGAAACTTTGGGAAGAAAGTGGTTTTGAACTTTGGGAAGAAAGTGGTTTTTGAACTAAGCCTTAAAGCAAAGAATTTTAACTAGTGAAGTTGGGCAAAGGAAAAGGAATATTCCTGGTGGAAACTGAGCCTAGGGAATATTGGGAAGGTTAGATATTAGTGGTCACCTCTAGCATTCCTGTCACTAAGATGTTGACTACTCATATTGTACAGAGGGATCACCCTGTTTCTGGATCTAACCATTTATCACCATGTTTGCAGAAATTCATCCTTTAACCCAAACTAAGTAATTTTCTTTGGACTGCTGTGAAGTGAGTCCTTTCCAGGATTAATGATTTTATTGCTATAGAATCCATATCCCTCTTTCTTGTTTATTTTTAGATCATTGTTTTTCAAAGTCTTCTGGCCACTTGTAACAGAATAAAATGGTGGGGGTGGGGAGGACGATGATGTGCAAAAATGCAGGTTCCTGGGCCCTGACCCAGATCACTTATCTCAGTGTCTATCAGATCAAGTCAGAAGAATCTGCATAGAAACTTGGGATTCTAACATTTCTTCAAGCATGAAAGCAACTGTCCTAGAGCTGTTATTTCCTAAATTTGCTGAGCATAGAAGTCACCTAGGAGTGATTGCTTTAAAAGTGGATCCCCAGCTATTACCTTGGAGATTCTGATCCCGTGGCTCTGGAGTGGAGTGCTCCCCTACCAGGGAACAGGGATATTAATAAGCGCCTCAGAGACACCAAGAATCAGGCAAGGTTTGGAAATACAGCATATTAGAACAAATGTGAGCTTTGGGTTAGAGAGTAACATCAAGTCATAAGTCTGCCATTTACTTGCTGAATGATTTTGGCAAGTTTCTTAGCCACTCTGTCTCCAAATTACTTAGCCTGCTTGTGACAGTTTCATCAAATGCCTTTCACAAGATTGTTGTAAGCATGAATCCTCTAAACAAACGGCTTAGTATAATGTTGGCTCCCTCTCCTCCCCTTACCCTCCCCTCCCCTGAAGTTCCAGCTCCAATTCTCCTGGATGAGAAGCAGGGCAAGGACAACAGTGATGGTGAAATGCCACTGATACTCACCTCTTCTGGGGAAGGTGGCAGAATGCCAGCAGGAAGAGAAGGTGGGCTCTTGGAGCTGGCATTGCTCTTGGCTGCCCCTGGGAAGTTAAATGGGACTCCTGTCTAAGATTAAATCAACATTCAGAACTAGCCAGTTCTCTAAAAATAGCAAGACATTCTGGCTGAGTCCCAGAAAAAATAAGGTCTTATCCCGAATTACTACCCCATGCTTGCCTTAAAAGGAGGGACCTCTACTTTATTTCCGACCTCCTCAGCCAGATGATGGTAAGCCCCAAATAATTTGGCTTTCACTTAGTGAGCAGCAGAATCACTTCTGTTTCACAGACAGCCACCAAGAACACCAGGAAGAGATACCAGTGTTTAAGGTCACAAGTCCTCAGACTTTGAAGTGGGTGCATCAGTGCAGGCCATGCCTTCTGCAGACACTAGTAGGGCTCTAATTCCCATAAAAGCATACAATTCTGATTACATTTTAGCAAGCTAGTATCAGTTGTTTAAAACTTCCAAGCTTCACCAGGGGCAGAGAAGGAATAGGGAGAGCTAAGATGCCTATATTAGAAATTCAGAGAGTCACCTACAGGTGATTGTTCTGCAGAGAATCCTGGTTTTCTATCCTCATCCAGCAAACAAACTAAGATCAGATCTATTATCAGAGGGAAAATCCCCTGTGGTCAGTAAGGGGACAGTCTGAGCATCTCATCACATATATCCTTTCATAAAACTCCTAAAAATGAGACTGGCATCCCAGACATTCGGAACCTGTAATGATTCTTGTCAGAAATGATACTGATTAATACCTTTTTTTAACAAATCTACTAAAATTGTACGACGAATATTTTTGATAATATTTTTGCTTTCTCAAGTATCTTTGAATCACCCCTTACATAAAAACAATTGTCATGTTAATGAAACCCTTTAAAGTAGATCAAATATAAGGATTTCCATGTAGTAAGTAGATTCCATTGCCAGATTAATACTAATTAATATATCAATTACACATTAATTAATAATATAATACATATAATTATTAATAAGATCAATATTATGTTGATTGTATATTATTAATAGATAATGTTAATAATAGTAATAGAGATTATTTATTAAACTTCAAATATTATGCTCATGGCACACTACATAAATCTAATTCCTCCCGTTGAGGAAGCACTGTTAGTCTCACTTTACAGATGAGGAAGCTGAGGCTGAAAGAGGTTAAATAGCTTGCTCAAGTCACAGATGTCCAAGCCATGCTGTTTCTCCCTGCACCCCTCATAGCCAATAACCTTGAAGATCACATTTGTCTTACTCAGACTTCTCTCGGTCTCAACCTGTCCTTGATTTTACCCAAATCCAATAGGCTTTCTAAGGACCATTAATGAGAAATAAGCATCCTTCTATCTCTTTAATGTGTTGAGTCATTTATGTTCAAATACTGTCCTGCTCAGCAAAAGAAACTGAAAAAGAACTGTGATTGCTGTTTATGCTTTTGAGGCTACTTTTTTACTGTTACTTAAGTCTGGAACGCTTTTAAATGGTACTTGCTTCTCAGGACAAGGGAAAGGACATGTTAGTAATTTAAGGGTTTTGAGCAGTTGTCTGATCATGAGGCAGGGCTGGGGTGTGGAGTAAATCTTGTTTTCAATAACCTGTTGAGTGACATTTTATATTGCCATTGGCCCATTCTCCTAAGAAACTCAAGATATTCACATGTGTTATCTCATTAATCTTCAACCCATTCTTTGGTGGGCAGCTGGGGTTACACAACTGCTATTTACAGATAAGTAGCATGGGATTTGGTATAGGAATGAAGACAGAAAGCTGGTAATTTGGCTAATATCACCCAGCACACAATTGGCCAAGTGACACACCACATCTCCTAATTCTTTCCATTAACAGTGCCTACTAAAGTCAAAAGATTTGGGTAGATAGGAAACTAGATAAATAATCTGGAAAAAAAACCCACATCCAATTGTCATATAGATGCCCTTGCCCTATGCAAAGCACAGAGAAACGTGTCTTTATGTTCTCCATCCCAGATTTTTTTACCTACTATTTTTGTCTTGTCTGAAATATGTTGGTTTTGCCGTAGTTTGTTTTTCCAGTCTACCTTTCTCTCCATTTTCTAACCTGTTCCATGACTTTTCTTTCTTGTGTCTTAAGCTAGATGTCCAGGAAAATGGGAAGAAGGTTTAAACAAGGCTTTCATCATAGATATTCCCATTTCAAACTCTCTCTCTCGACTTTCAAAATTCTCTATTCATTCTAAAGTGATAAGAATTTAGTTACCTGGACTCATTAATTGTCAAGTAATTGGTTATTAACAATTTGTTTTTCTCCTGCAGATTTTGCAGTGAACTTTTAAGTAATCTTTTCACCCTACAAGGTTGGGCTTGGCAAAGACAAAACAATTCACACCCAAATGTTGGGGACAGTCTAATGGGATAGTTTACACTGTCTTGGCTATCTCAAATCTTTTCCCTGGAAATCTTTTTCTTTTGTATTCCTACATAAATGTATGAAGCTCAGCCTGGCTCATGAATAGCAAGTCTCTTAAAGTTGGCTCTTTCTAGTTCTTTGAACATAAAACTTGATGGTTCCTCTCATCGGTGCAAACCCTCACTCCTCACAACTCAAATGCCAAACACTTTGGAGGATCTCCATCTGACAGATGTAACTAGTTAAAATGGACATTTATTCAGCTCTTAAGTTCCCTGGTTCTATGAAAGAAATGAGACATTTTTATTTTCTTAGAGGCACAGACACACCTCCTTCCTCCTTTGACCAAGCTGCCTCCCTGCCATCAGCCCCTGATAGTGTGTTTTTGGTTGCCCACTGCCCCCAAACTTAGAGAAGGAAGGGTAGCCCCAAACTCTCACTTCTATGAAGTTCATACTTGACTATGGGAGAAAACAGTGTTTTCAGAGCAGAAGCTTACATAGCCATTGGATGGAATTGGATGAGCCATTGGATGATTCCCAAGGTCAGCCCGAAAGATTTTGACTGGGATGCTAGAGACATTTTCCTATTTTCCTAAGAAACAGTATGGTTTCTAAGCCACCTCCATCAACAACACCCCAAGCGCAGAGTTACAGAAAGGATAAAGGTACACCAAGTCAAAAACCCATAGTGTTTCCTTTTCTTCCTTCTCAACATTTTTTTTACCTTCTAAGCCTCTCTCCATGGGTTGATCCAAAACTGTGCCTCCAATCTGATTAGTTTTTTTTAAATAATTACCATTTATAAATATGATAATTAATACATTTCTACGATCCTCATTTTCCTCATCTGTAAAATCAGATAAAATGGCTACATTTCATAGAGTAGGTAGGAGTCAAGGTGCTCACATACGCAAAACACTGTAATGATTCTGTTATAGAAAACATACTTATAAAAAGTTACCTCTTATTTTTTATTACTGTGATTAAATGTTTTTAACCACCCCAGCCAGTGCTGTGAGCCTCAAACCTTTTTTGGGGGCCAACTCTTCCTTTGGCATATGTTTCCCCATTTTCTGGCAGAGAATCAGATACCACAAAGTTCAAAACCCCATCTCCCTCCAGCCAGGGTGGCCATCCAGACCCTGAGTGGCTCAACAGCTGCCAATGTCCCTCATCCTTCTGAGGCTCAGGCCTCACAGATTGTGGGGCAGGTGATGGGCTAGGGGGAGCAGAAGCCCGACAAAAGGATCCTTCCCACAGTGAACAATGGTGCTTGGAATGCTGGATGGGCAGCTGCTGCCCATCAACAAGCACCCAAAACAGATAGACGTACAGTAGGAAGTACAGGAGGGCCGGTGTGTTTCTAAGCATGAGTGGCTCTCTGCGTGAATGTGGAAAATTTCTCTGTTGGATTCTCTCTTCTTTTTAATTTTCCCTTCACTGGATCCCAAACATTAAAAAAGAATCACATTCAAAATGCACAAAAACAGCAGCAGTGAATTAATTAGTAGTAATAACAAAGGACTGGATAGACTGTAGCTGCACAAGAATAAGCCAGGGAAACGTGGTGCTGCTTATCTGTGAACAAACAGTAGGAAGGATTTGGTCCCAAGCAGCACTGCCATTCCTCACAACAGATTTATTTCAGCATGATTTGGTCGGGCGGGGGGGATTTAGGATGAGTTGAGATCCCAGTGATCTTCTCGCTAAGAGTTTCCTGCCTGGGCAAGGAGGAAAGATGCTACAAGTGGCCCACTTCTGAGATGCGGGCTGCTTCTGGATGACACTGCTTCCCGAGGCCACATGCTTCTTTATATCCCCATATGGATTACTTTGCTATGGAATGTAAGGAAGTGTGTGGTTTCGGCAAGTGCCTCCTCGCTGGCCCCAGGGTACCACCCGGAGCACAGGTTTGGTGACCTTCTTCCTCATCAGGGCTTTGTGCCAGCAAATGACTCCCTCACCAAGGAAGCAAGAGCCTCTGAATCCCATCTGGGCTCTTCCTGAACACCCCTATCTCCCCCTCTTGAGGCGTCCTCGCTCAGCCCAAGGTTTCAGGCACACTGACTGCTGTCCCACAGTCCCCGCTGTGGCCAGCCTCCCAGACCTGGCTCCTCTGGCCAGCCTGGTGAGGAAAGGCCTTTCCCCCAAAGGTTTTTCACAGAATCAGCCCTCACCCTCCTAGTTCCTTCCTCTGGTCATATTACTTCTGAAATGAGAGGTTTCTATGAACCAAACTGAATCATAATCTCTTTCAAGCCATGTGTATTGCAAGCGTTTCTCAGGGCTTGCATTGTACTGAGGCAGGTGCTGTGAGTGAGGTTCAGGAAACCATAATAAGTAGTTCATCCGGGGTCACAGTCCCCTGACTCTGCTCTGCTGTCCTTTCCACTTCACACCACAACCCTGTCACAAATGGACTCTGCAAGGCTGTTTGAAGAAACACCTTGAGATGCTAAAATAGCGATTAACTCAACTAACAGGCAAGTTCCTTTCTCCTCTGTTTCCTAAACCCCTGTGTTCCCAGCTCTGACTCCAAAGGGCTTGAACCCACACCAAGAAAGTGCTGAATCTACAGAGGGAAGCCTTGAGCAGGAGGGGAGGCTGCAGTCACCCAAGGCTCATGCCATCACCCCACGAAGAGTTTCAGAACAAGGGAGGAAGATGAAGAGGCCTCCTTCCCTCACTTAAACCCCCATTCCAGGATGGCTCTTACATCCCACACCTCTGACTCCTTGTTTTTAGGGTGAGTGTGTGTGAGAAATTACAGCTGGGACCACACTACATTTACACCTTGAGTTCTTAAACAAAACCACAAAAGAAAACCCGAGAAGATTTGACCAAAATGTGCCAAGATGCACAAGACAGGACTGTCAAATGAAACTGAGCAGCAGCAGAACAAGGACATGGGAGAGGAGGAAAGGGAGGGAAGAAGGGAGGATGCACCATGTTTGCATAGGAGATGGCAGAGGAGTGCACAGCAGCTGGTGATGAGGGGCCCCCTGCCCAAGGAGGCGACAGCACCCAGAGCACTGGGCCAAGGCTCCCCTCTGCCCTAACTGGGCTCAGTAACACCTGCAACACAAGCCTCTCACCTCTTCCAGAAACCAGACAGTTATCTAATGGCCTTTAAGGGCATAAAACCTGTATTTTTGGGGGGGTGGAAGGAACTTGGAAGAACATGGTAAATTACTAGAGATGGGACAGCTACAGAACTGAGCACAGAAACTTCTCACTTTAGATTAGTGGCCCTTCAATTGGAGATGATGTCGTTCCCCAGGGGCATTTGGCAGTGTCTAGAGACATTCTCAATTGTCACAACTCGGGGGTTCCTGGCATCTAGGGATTGGGGACCAGGGATGCTGCTGAACATCCTACAATGCACAGAACGGCCACCCCAACCCTCCAACACGCAGCAAAGAAATATCCAGCCCAAAATGTCAACATGCTAAGGTTGAGAAACCTGGTTTTTTGATAGTGGTGCTTTGAATAAATGAAGTCTCTGACATCAGCATATTATGGCACATTATATTTTGCAATGAAAATTACTGTCCTTCATTCTAAAAACTTTGGTCTTCATGTCTGTAAAATAGGCGGATAGCTCAAGGTTGTCCTTCTTTCCAATGACGTTTTCCCTTTCCTAAATCATACCTGTTCTAATGATACACTTCCTTTTCCTATCCTGGAGTTTAATTTCATGTCCTCTGCTCAGAAACTGGGGGTATGTTGTATGGGTGGCTGTGCTGCTGGGGGTGGGGCAGGACGTGAGTAAAGAAGAGAAGAGAGAGATGGTGGGAGAAAGTGTCCAGAATTGAAGAAACTGCACAAAAAAGAGGTTTGTCATTCTGGCTGGCAAGCTGGACACATGTGCTTTTCAGTCCTGATTTCAGACCAATGGGCTGCCCTCTGCCCCCACAACTGCCTGCTTCCTTGCTCCCCAGGAGGAGCTAGAGAAGGAGCAGAGGTTAGCCAGAGGAAGAGCTGGCAGGCAGCAGCTTCAAGACAGCTATGTCACTGGCAGGAGGAGGCAGAAGGTAAGATGCCAGGACTACAGGGCCAGGAGAATGCACACCAAGGAGGAGAGGACAAGCCAAGACAGAAGCTTCAACGTAACCCTGCACAGACCACTCTAGAACCAAGCCATGTTCTGTGGTGCCCTGCTTTCTCACCACCACCATCATTGTGGGCTTTTACCTTGTTGCCATTTCTACAGTGCCTTATTGAGTGCTTTGATGTCTGGGATATCTTATTTATTCCATACAGAGCTCCCAAGCTGGAGTCCATCTTGCAGAAGTTGGCATCGCTGGTTAAACTCATTCTGTGTTTCCTGATCAGCAGTTTCAACAATTTCAATGATGAAGTGCAAACACTTGCAGCTGAGGAAGGGAAACATGTAAAGGACAGGCTGGAGTTGAGAGTGAACTTCTTGGCCTCCAAAGCAGTCAGGATTGTCTCTAGGACTTTCCCACACCCCTGACACTGTCCATGGTGCCCACTAGGGACACAGTGCACCTTTCCTTCCTTGTCATTAAGCCTCGCAACAAGCAGGCAGAGTAGATACAACCTTCTCCTGCTGTGCAGATGTAGAAACTCAGGTTAAAAGATGTTATGTAACTTCCTAGAAGCAAAAGAGCCAGGAAAGCATTGGTAGGATTTGAACCCAGATAAGTGTGACTCCAAGGCCACATGCATTCCACTTAGTTTTACTTGTCTTCATCAGGAAGAGAAAATAAAAGGGCTGCAATGCCTAGCCCCCAGGGAGAAGGACAATTTTCTAGCATCATTCAAACTATCCTTTCTGCCTACCTCTTTTCCCACCTGCTCCCATACATCGTGAAGACTGGCAGGCCACCTTTCTGGGGAGTTTCTTCTTCTTAGTCAGCTCTCTCCCACAGCTCACACCTCCCTAGAAACAGAGAGAAACCAGTGGGTACTCCTATTAGTTCAGTGGTTCTCAAACTTGAGCTGCATCGGAATCACCCAAAGGGCAGGTTATAGCACTAATTTCTGGGTCCTACTTCCAGATGTTTCGGGCTGGTAAGTGTTGCCATTCTTTTACAAGGCCAACATACAAATCCAGAGTTCTCCTTTAAAATCTGCAAGAATCAAAGATTTTTCCACCTCCTTTGAGAAACAGTTTAGTCAATGCTATCCCCTTGTTAAACCAAACAACCTCAATGTCTATGGCTGGGAGAATAAATAAATTATAGTATATTCACACAGTAGAAAACCATAAAGCAATGAAAATTAATAAACTGCTGCTACCACATCAATATGGATGAATCTTGCAAATATCATTTTAAATGAAATATCAAGTCACAAAACAATACCTATGATATGATGCCATTATATACTAAAATATGCATATATATTGTTTAGAAATATATGCATAAATGGTAAAAACTATAAAGAAAAATATCAAAATCATAAGAAAAAATAAATTCAGTGTGATTGTTACCTCCGGGGGGAAACATAAAGAAATAAATTGGAAAAAGCATTCAGTACAAAGAAAGCAATAGTATAAAACAGTAAAAAATAGTTCTTTTTAAAAGGTAGATCGTTGGGCCAGGCGTGATGGCTCACGGCTAAAATCCCAGCACTTTGAGAGGCTGAGATGGGTGGATCACCTGAGGTCAGGGGTTTGAGACCAGCCTGGCCAACATGGCAAAACCCCATTTCTACTCAAAATACAAAAATAGCGGGACATGGTGGCAGGTGTCTGTAATTCCAGCTACTCAGGAGTTTGAGGCAGGAGAATCACTTGAAACAGGAGGCAGAGGTTGCAGTGAGCTGAGATAGCGCCACTGCACTCCAGCCTGGGTGACAGAGTGAGACTCCATCTCAAAAAAGTAACAACAAAAAAAAGTAGATCGTTGTTCATGGGTATTGGTTTTACCATTATGTACCATCACTTATATATTATAAATATTCTTTTATAAATATATCATACTTGAATTAAAAACATAATTTAAAGAAATTAAAATGTTAAGCATTCAAAGAATATATGCCAAAATGTTACATTTCTTTCGGAAAATGGGAAGAGGAAGCATTATGGCATACTGTCATTTTTCATATTCTATAATTCTATAGCATATTTGATCTTCATGATGTTTCTATTTGAAAAAAGATTAAAGATTAAAGAAAAAATAAATTGAAGTCATGCAACATGAAATACAAATTATGTATGATTTGTATGTACAAATTGTATGAGATGTATGTACAAATCATGTAAGAGGACATTCTGGACAAGGCAAGCTCCTGGCATTTGACAGATGCTAATGCTGCTTCTTTTTGCATTACAGGCTTAGACAAATGATGCTTGAGACACACCAAGATACCTGCACACTAGAGGCTGCAGTCACCTCAGAAGAAAGATGCCCCCTGCTCTGGCTGGTCAAACGGAACCAAGTCCGTCTTCCTGAGAGGTTTGGTCCCCTTCAACCAGCTACAGCAGGGCTGGCAATGCCCAGTCCTTGGAGAAACAGAAGAGATTCAACTGCAACTGAAATTACCTACTAAAACTTTCCTTGAGAAAACAATTCTGGTTTTTTCACCATATTCTTATGCTCCCAGGAAGGAAGAGAAGAGGAGTCCTGGAGTCAAAAGTGAGCAAGATTTTAATGCTCAACACACACTGTTCTGTGCCTTTGCACTCACAGCTGCAGCCACTTACATGCTTTTGACAGACACACAGTCAAGAAAGAGTTTGAGGATGGAGTTTGTGCCAACCCTAAGCCAGCCAGGGGAAGAGCATGAGACATAGAAGACAGGGCTCCTGCTCACTAGGGGCTAACAGTCTAAGGAAAGAAATTAGACATGTATATATGGTGTGATCCAATTGAATTGCAAGTTATAGCATGGCTAGTTCCAAGGCATAATTCTTACCTATCCCACCAAATATGCCTAGCACATTATGTATCATCAAGTCTCTATTGATCTATTCAGCCCAAGATATCTATTCACTAAGCAATCATTTCTCAGTTCCCTGATCTGTAGAATAGGGATAATAGTACCTGTCACACCAGGCACAGTGGCTTATGCCTAAAATCTCAGCATTTGGGGTGGCTAAGACAGGGGATTGCTTGAGGCCAGGAGTTCCAGATCAGCCTGGTCAACATAGCAAGATGCTGTTTCTACCAAAAAAAAATTTTTTTTGTTTTAATTAGCTGAATGCGGTAGTGCACACCTATAGTCCTAGCTACTTGGGAGGCTGAGGCAGGAAGATCACTTAAGTCCAGGAGATGGAGGCTGTAATGAGCTAAGTTCTCATAATCGCTACCTTTTACTAAGGGAGAATTCTGACCTGTCCTTCCAGTTTATCTTTTAAGATTTGTATCTTTTATGGTGTGTGTCTGGAACTTAGACAGTAATAAGTAAATATTTGGGTTTAAAATTCTATAGACATGTGTGTTCACATGCTGTATTCTGACACAAATGGGGTAGCATAAGTGCCTAGAGCCCACCACAGTGACCTCAGAGGAGAACACAGAGCTTACTAGCACAAATCTTTGCATTCAGGAAGACCTGGGGTTGAATGCTGCCCCTCTAATTTATTAGCTGTGATATATCCTCTCCGCAGCTCAATTAACATTGCACAAGCCTTAGTTTACTCATCTGTAAAATGGGGACAATGATACCAACCTCAGTTACCGTAAGGCTTAAAACAGACAGTGTTAATAAAGAGCCAAATATAAGCCCTTAAGAAATAGTAGCTGTTGTTTTACTGCTGTAAATGGCAACAGCACAAGGACAATGCTGTGTCCACAGGCACTTGTATGTAGAAGGAAAGAGCCAAATTAAAAAAAAAATAGGAGAAGAACTCAAAAAATACATAAAGGCTCATTGCTCACTGTAGGGTTTTGTTTTTTGTTGTTGTTGTTTTGTTTTTGTTTTTGTTTATTTTTTGAGACAGGGTCTCACTCTGTTGCCCAGATAGGAGTGCAGTGGCACGATTTCAGCTCACTGCAACCTCCGCCTCCCAGGCTCAAGCGATTCTCCTGCCTCAGCCTCCCAAGCAGCTGAGATTACAGGCACGCACCACTACCACCCGACTAAGTTTTATATTTTTAGTAGAGACAGGGTTTCACCATGTTGGCCAGGCTGGTCTTGAACTCCTGACCTCAAGTGATCCGCCCGCCTTGGCCTCCCAAAGTGCTGGGATTACAAATGTGAGCCACCGTGCCCAGCCTATAGGGTATTTTTATATTCCAACTATTAATTCTACTAGCATGTAGCATACATGCATTCACCCTAGTACATATGACTAGCATATAATATGCTTTACTTTTAAAAAATGCTTTATACATGAGACTGATCTTACCATCTTCAATATCCTGTCTGGAAAGCCTTCATTTGTGAGTGCTGTTGAGATCACATGTCCTCCCAAGTAGGACATGGAGTGTGAAGGCCATTGAGTGGGTGTTCCAAAGGGCAGCACAGAATGGAGTTTAGTTGAAGGTGCTGGGGACACACTACCTGGGCTCAAGTCCCAGCTCCCCACTCTCCAGCTGTGCCACTTGAGCAAGTTGCTTGACCTCTCCAGGCCTGGGTTTCCTCATCTGTAAAGTAGGAATATTGATAATAATATCTACTTCATAGAGTTTCATGAGAATACATGTAAAGGCCTGAAACCAGTATTGGGTACATAATAATACATTCTTAAGAGTCTTTATTTCTGACAATGTACCTGAAATGTTCCTGAAATTAAGTTGGTGTTCA
Organism: Homo sapiens; assembly: GCF_000001405.40. NCBI lineage: Eukaryota > Metazoa > Chordata > Mammalia > Primates > Hominidae > Homo > Homo sapiens. The sequence continues at coordinate 52,151,280 of NC_000006.12, forward strand.
ATAAAAACATGTTCACTGAAAGATCAGCTTCTTTGTTTATTTTAAGCACAAACTATGGGATCATGTAATTTTTGGTTCAACTATTTCTACTTATCTCTTTCAATGCAGCACACTGGTTCAAAGCAGTAGTAAGGTGTGGGGGAAGGATGGCAACAAGCTTCTCTCTGCTTCCCAGGTCTGTGATGAAATGGAACTTCCCTGCGAACTAGGGGTATGCCTCTGGGAGTAGAAGCAGGGTGATCTTGAAGCGCAGTCGCAGAGCTGTCACCCGGAAGTCACCTGGCAGAACAGAAAACAAACATGATGTGGCCAAATACCAGCTGTCCTTAACAGGAGGGATCTTTTCCATCTGGAAGGGCAGAGGTCATGTAGGTAAAGATTAGATAACAATGCCAGGTATAGGTAAAAGGAGTGTTAAAAAAGGGTCACTTTCATATTTGGGATATTATGGCTAAAATGCCTGATAAAACTGGACAAGACATATAAGGCTAAGACTAAATAATGTCTTCTCTCTGTTAGAAAGAAGCCAGCCAGGCCAGGCATGAGGGTTCTTGTCTATAAATCCCAGCACTTTGGGAGGCCAACGCTGGCGGATCTCTTGAGCTCAGGAGTTCAAGACCAGCCTGAGCAAAACTCCATCTCTACAAAAAATACCAAAAATTAGCTGGGCACAGGGATGGGGACGCTGAGGTGGGAGGATCGCTTGAGCCCAGGAGTTTGATTGAGGCTGCAGTGAGCTGCGATGGCACCACTGCACTCCAGCCTGGGTGACAGAGTGAGACCCTGTCTCAAAAACAAAAGAAAAAAAAAGAAGGAAAGAAGAGGGAGGGAGGTAGAGAGGGAGGGAAGGAGTGAGAGAGGGAGGGAAGGAAGGAAGGAAGTTAAGAAGGGAGAGAGGGAGGGAGGGAGAGAAAGAAGGTAAAGGAAAGGAAGGAAGGAGAGAGAAAGGAATAAAGAAAAAGAAAAGGAGAGGAGGGGAGGAGAGGGAAGGGGAGCAAGCTAGCACACTTCTGGCAAGGGTTGGAGAACATGAGTGAACATTGTCATCCAACTTTCTACCTATCCCCTTGCCCTCAAGGGTCTTTGCAGAACACATCTTTGAGGGCCACAGGATGGAAGGAGTTCTAGTCATAGCCTGCCTCCAAAGTCAAAATATCGTACTGTCCCCTCTTATTCACTCCTGGAGAATTCAACTTCCATTCACATTTCTGTTTGATTTTCCTTAAACCAGGAGGGGAGCAAATGTATTCCTGCTCCCACTCACCACTATAAAAAGACAGAACCTTTAAGAAAACATGTTTTCTGGTAAGTTTGAATGACCTTGATATCCATGTTCAAAGGTCCCACAAGCCCAAACTCTCCATTTCCGTAAGAAATCAAGAGGAATCAGAGAATGGGGACTGCTGCCCACGGGTTGCGGTTGCTCATCCTGCCACAGCCCCTCTTCAGGGCAGAAATCTAGGTTAGGCCACCCAGTGGGGTGTGTGGTTTTGTGATTGCTGCTGTGTCCCTTTATGTGTGTTCCTGTATCATCATCAGTCCTGTGCCAGTAAGTGGCAGCCCATGATGTCACACCGGTCAAACATGACGACTCTTGGTCACCCTCAGAATGGACCCCACCCCCACATCTGGTGAGTGTTGGGAGGAAGAAAGTGATAGCACAGGCGTGCTGAAGGAGCTCTTCCCCGGAAGGAGTTGACGGAAAATAGTGCGGGGCTATCTAACTGGCAGGAATCCAGACAAACAAGAAAATCCCATTAGTGCAGTCCATCAACGAGTTTCTTTCTGATGGTAATTCCCAGGGCTGGCAAGACTGTTAGAAAACAGCAGCTCATACATAGCTGGGAGTGAATATAGGTCTATACTCTTCAAAGCATCATTTATCAATACATAGGCATCAAGAAGGCTATTATCTTCTCTGCCCAGAATCTTCTCTTTCTCTGTTAACAGCTCAGTCTCCCTCCCTTGGCTATTCTTTTTTTTTTTTTTTTTTTTTTGAGATGGAGTCTTGCTCCATTGCCAGGCTGGAGCGCAGTGGTGCAATCTCAGTTCACTGCAACCTCTGCCTCCTGGGTTCAAGTGATTCTCCTGCCTCAGCCTCCCAAGTAGCTGGGACTACAAGCACCCACCACCACGCCTGGCTAATTTTTGTATTTTTAGTAGAGACGGGGTTTCACTATGTTGGCCAGGATTGTCTCAATCTCTTGACCTCATGATCCACCCGTCTTGCCCTCCCAAAGTCCTGGGATTACAGGCGTGAGCCACTGCACCCAGCCCCCTTGGCTATTCTTAAAATTACCTCTCCCTCCCTCCATTCACCATGCTTCCCCAAGAACCTTTACAACCATGCACCTTTCTCTAACTTAAGCCATCCTAGTGAGCCCTTTCATGGGAGTTTGGATTATTGGTCTATAAAAATTAAAGCTGTGTTTCCTTGGAAAGTTAAAATAGAAAGATGTGAAGCTTCAAAATTATTCCCAGTATTTCTCAGTAGTGCTTAGTAAGAGATAAGAATGAACCAATTACTTAAAAAGAAACCAAAGAGAGAACAGATACAGAGCCCCAGAGGTATTTCAGTCCTGGACGTGGTTGTTCCCAAGGCCCAGTTCCTATATTCTGTATTCCTTTTTACCTAAGGCACTTAACACTGAAATTACATCATTTGCAAACAAAAGTGCCCTAACTCATATAGCATCAAATATATACCCTTTGACACTCTGGAGACATATTGTTAACTCACAAAGGGAAACTAACACAATCCATTTCTGTTTTTAAGAAAAATACATGTATGTATATGTTAAGAAAAATATGGAAGAATCTAGACCAAAGGTCCAAGAGTAAATATTTCTAGACAATGGATTTTTGGAGGACGGCCTCTCTGAATTTTCTAAATTTTTCCCAGCTAGCATGTATTACTTGTAACAAAAAGTAAGCCACAGAGATTTTTTATTTTTATGTCTTTTTATTTTTCCCAAAGCTATACATGTACAAGGTTTAAATTTTTAAAGCTTATAATGTAAAATAGTAATCCCCTGCCCCACTCCCAATTTCCAACTGTCAGGGCTATCCAAATTTAAAACAATAAAAATATGTAAGGAGAGAACACAGGTCACTATGGCAGATGAAGTTTGGCAGCCTGCTGTGAATCAGATCTCACCATCCTTGCTGTACATCTGGCCATTCCTTCACCTAATGGCTCTTTCAAAAACAAGGCTGAGTTTTACCCTAACTCACCATTCACTAAATCACCATTCAGTGTCCCCCTAAATCCCTACAGACAGGGAGAGCTGGGGGAAGGGTCGGTGGGGTCACCTTAGACACTATGTCATCCAAGACCCCGTGTGGTCCCTGCTCTGACCATCCTGTATGCCAAGGAAACATGCTCCATGCACATTCTTGACAGAACCTTGTCCTGAACACGCTCCTTTATGCCCCACATAAACCCCCCCCTACTGCTGTGTAAACCCATTTCCTCTTGAATTTTCCTCTGGGGAAACTAAGAATAGCTGCATTTTCATCCACCCCAAAATAATTTTCAGTTCTTTCTTCATAGAAGGCCAATAAGTGGGTCTCAGGTACTTAGAGTTTTCAACCAAAATATCAGGAATTATTGTTCTCTTAATAGAAAAAAGTATTATAAACAGGAATTACACTTATGAAACCACACTTCCAAGATACAGAAGCCGATGTACTCACAGCCAAATTTCCTGACATTCCACAGCTTGACTCACCGGACCACACCCAGGTATTAGGTTGGTGCAAAAGTAATTGCATTGTTGCAGTTACAATTACTTTTGCACCAACCTAATAGTCTCTTCACAAAAAATGTAAATTATTTTATAGATAGAAACAGAACCAATATATATGAATATATAAGTACATATTCACATATATGTGCATACACACACACACACACACACACACACACACACACACGGAGAGACAGAGAAACAGAAACAGATTTATTGCAGGGAATTGGCTCATGTGACTACGGAAGCTGACAAGTCCCAAAATCTGCAGGAAGCTGAAGACCCAGGAGATCCAATGATGTAATTCCAGCCCAACGTTAGTCAAGCAGGACGAATTTTCTCTTACTCAGGGGAGCATCAACATTTTTTACCTGTTTGGGCCTTAATTTTACTGGATGAGGCCCACCCACATTATGAGGGCAATCTGCATTACTCAGTCCACCAATTTAAACATTCATCTCATCCCTCTCAGAAACACCCAGATTAACACTTGACCAAACATCGGTGCACTCTGTAGCCAGTCACGTTGACACATTAACCATCACAACAGGCTTGTCTTCCAGTTAGTCCAAAAGACAGAATCGTTTCTGTTTTCTCATAACTCCAAGAGGGGGAAAAAAAGTCTATGTGAGAGAATAAAAAACTTCATGTATCTTTAATGTTGCTATTTAAAATTTCCCTCTCTTTGCTCATATTAGCCCGAGTATCTAAAATTTTATTGTGGCCATTTTGACACAGCTGTTTGGACCCCAGTGATTTGGACATTTACACGCATTTCATGTCTTTTTAAAAACAAACCACTAACTTTTCAACTTTTCCTTATTATCAAGTTACATATATGGCCACATTACCTCTCTCTGAGCCTCAATGCACCGCAGATCTCACTCCATCCCCAGACTTCCTCCAATCCCAAATTTTTACCTGCCTCTCTGGGGTTGGTTGCAGAGGAGGCATGCAGTGAAGGTAGTGTGGGCAGATTACCTGAGCTTGCTTTTTATAAAAAAAGCTAAAGACCCATGCCTCCTTTTTCAGTTCTCATTGAAATAGACCAGTAGCAACATTACAATGGCTTTTAAAAATATCCCTTCAGTCATCACACACAAAACCGCAGGTACTCAGGAAGTGCCTGGAGGAACAGGTTTCAGTGGTGTTTGACAGCCCTTAGAGGGCAATCAAATTGTGACCAGTGGCATCCTCTAAGTAATGTGCACATTTCCTGCCTTTGTGGGCTTTGTGGTGAAGGACCATTGGTCAGAGAGATTCCACCCAGTGGCCTAAGCTCACAACAATGCCCTTGTAACTGCTTGACCCTGCTTGGCTCAGCTGTTTCGCATATGTGAAAGCCCTCATGGCCTCTGTCTCCTCTTCCCACTTCCCCCAGCCCCCGTCATTCCACATCCTCTTCCAGAACCAGCAACTGTGGGCACCTTGGAGAACTGGAAAAATGCCACCCCAATAAAACAACCACCTGTTGACCAGCTTTTCCTGGGCTTCAACCTCCCTAACCAAGGACACTCAGTAAAACGTGTTGGCCCGAGTGACCCACTGTTCTACCTGACTTACCCAAACTGGAATGTCCCACAGCAGCAAGGGGCACCCACAAAAATAAAGCACTTTCATTTACAATGGAGAAAAGCTCTCTTCCCTGCCTGTGGCAGTGGACAGCACTCACCCTGCCTGCAAACACACACACACACACACACACACACACACACGTGTAGGGTAAAGAAAGAAAATCCAGAGAAGGAAAGAGAAAAGGAGTCCTTTTAAAAATAAGCTTCTTATATTACAGACATTCCTCTGGCTCCCGGCATTTCCAAGTGGCAAATGGCACTTCTCGGCACTCTCTACTGAAGCTCATCATTGTGTTTTATTCATCACCACACATACATGTGCAAGGATTGAGTGTGCTGGGGCATGAGGGTATGAGAGGGGGTGAAAAAGAGTGGAGAAAGAAGGATGGAGGAGAGTATGGTGGAAAAAGAAAGGTTTTATTAAAAATACCGAAAGCAAATACTGCATTCCTGAACCGTATATTTTCCAAAAAACTAGTTGCATGTTGGCAAGTAGCATCTTTTTATTTAATCCACAGAATGCTTTTCAATGAAGAAAAAGGAATCCAAAACAGTCCCAAGGGGAATTGGCTTGAAGAATTATCAAGAGGCAAACATTTAGAACACAAAAACCCAGTGGAGAGTGTAAACACTAAAAAAATTCTCTGTGTGTTACTAGTTTCAAGTATGTCTCTTTGTTATCTTATTTTCCTCTCTCACTTCTCTTTGTCCCTCCCTGCCTCCATCTCATTGGGTCTCCCTGGGAGGCCCTGCCTTCATTGTGTACATCATAACGAGTCACAATATCATCAGACTGGGCCGAATCTCTGAGCATCACCCTCAGGAGGGAGCCTTGGTTCCCTCAGTCCCAGGGACCCCACCTAGCCCAGTCCCTCAATCATTTGCAAGAATGTCGCTGAGTCCTTCCAGCCAGAGCTGCCAAGCTTCAAACTGCTAAAATAGTGGAGGAACTGAGCCAACAAACTTCCCTCTGCATCAGCTTTAGGTGGGAGTAGGGGGAGGTAAATAAAACCAGACTAGGAAAAAGCCAAGAGCATCCGGGAGAGCTGACATGACCATGAGCTGGAGCCTGTGTAGAGCACCCTATTTCCACGGAACTCACCCAGCATGTGTTGGTCATCATTTATGCCACTCCTACTTCCCCCAAAGAACACAGACTGTAGACACTTGGTATTACAGTTTTGACTCTTCATCAGTGACTCCAAAAGCCCATGACGTAGTCATTTATAATTTAACTAAAACAGAAATCTGTGCTCCCTCTGAGGCTGTTGTGTAGAAGTGAGTCATTTAGGAAGTGAGTGAGTCCCAACACGCTGCCCTGCATCTGCCTCTCAGCTTTAAGGTTCTCATTTCATTCACCATTTCATTTAATCCTGATAAAAACCTAGCAGATGGCTGTCTTTATCTCCATGTTGAAGATGATGAGCTGGCAAAATCAAATGCTACAATCAGGTACTTGAGATTTAGATAGTCTCAAAGATTTTAGAGCTCTTAATAACAGAGAGTCAGAGTATGGTCTGAAATAAGTACATGAGAGAAGAACCCAGAACTTGGGAAAAGATGGTCACTGCTGTCAGGCATTAAACCTAGCCATGAGCTTCCTGGCAGCCAAGGCAAGGAGGAAATACAAAAATGTTCAACCAACTAAGTAGCTTACCATTTCAGTCTTTATGATATTGCTTACTGAATCATCTATATTTGGTTGGTTGTTAGATAGAGACATGCTGAAAAACACTTCTTCAAAGAGTCAGGGCCCATCAGAGTTTGAGCTTTTGTCTCATGGGTCAGTTCCCTCACTGGAATCCAAGTGACAAAACTCACCATTCACCTCATACTAACATATCAGTGCTACTAAAACATGTGTTGTCATCAGTGAAATTATTTACTTCAAAGGTTTATCAAAAAGGGACTACTTCTTAGGGTTGTTTTTATTTTTAAAAAAATTACAAAATGGTGCTAAATGTACCCCAAAAAAATGCCTCAATGGATGGCCAAGAAAAGAAACAAGAGAATGCACTAGTAGCCAGCAGGCCAAATGATCATAAAAATTTCCAAGGACCATATTCTTCTTATTAATATGTTTTTCTTATAAATGTATTTGTTATAAATATAATAATAAAACAAGAATATTGAATGAACATAAATGGTAATCTAAAACTACCAAGAGCCCTCTACAGGTGAAAGCTACCAAAACAGAGTTAATACTCACTTTAAAGATTGTCCAGAAAATAGAAAAAGAGAAAACGCTACCCAATCCATTTTAGGAGACTAGTGTAATCTTCATTCTGAAACCATTTACAAACTATACAAACAAGAAGATTTTTCTCTCATTCGTAGTTTTGAATATGAATGTGATCACCCTGGGTAGAATACTTGCTGATCAAATCCAAAGAGTAATAGATAATAACATATCATGATCAAGAAGACTTCCTCCCTCAAGAAATACAATAGTTCATTTTTAAAATCTGTTAATCTACCACACCAATAGATTAAAAGAGCAAAATCATCTCATTATTTCAATAGGTGCAGAAAAGGCATCTGATAAATTTCATCAACTATTTATAACTTTTAAAACAACTCTTAACAAACTAAGTTGATATTTCAAGTTGGTAAAAGTTATACACCAGAAATTAGGAGCAAACAACACTTCATAGAGAAACTTTGATGCATTTTCTTTAAGATCAGGAACAACGTAAATAATCCCCCCCAACACACACACACCCACTACTGTTTCAAACATGGAATTAGAAGTCTCAAACAGTATTGGGTAGGGGAGAAAAGGAGAAAAGAGGTTTAAACATTGGAAAGGAAGATATAAAACTACCATTGTTTGTAGATGGTATGATTATCCCACAAATAAATACCAACAGAATCAACAGATAATCTATTAGAAAATAAAAAAATCAAAAAGAGAATTCAGCACAGTGGATGGATACAAGATTGGGCATTAAAAAAAGCAATAGCATTTCTTTAACATCAGCAATAACCAACTGCAAAATACGTTTTGAAAATTAGATACCATTTGGAGTTGTACCAAAACTATGCAGTATTTTAATTGAGAAGTTCTCTTTAAAGAAAACTTTTAAACCCAATAAGGGACACAGAGAATGATCTGAATACATGGAGAGGCATTCTTTGGACTGGATGGTTGATATCATATAGCAGACAATTCTTCCCATTAACCTGTATATTTAATGTAATCCCAAATGAAATTATATTTGAGTTACTTTTTTTAACAGACCAATTACATTTAGTCAGAAATTAATGAAATAATAAATGTCAAAAGCTGGTTAAGTCAACCTATAAAACAAGATAGGTATCTTGCCCTAATAGATACTAAAACCTACAATAAAACCATAGTTTAGTGCAGTATTAATACAAAACAGAACAATAATGAAAAATATTAGACAGACTAGGGACAGTTCCATATACACAGAAAAACTTAACATAAGATTTTTTAATAGTCCCATAAATCAATGCAGAAAAAAATGCAGTATTATGAAGATGGTGTAGAGAAAATTGGCTCATTTTATGGAAAGCAATGAAACCAGATTTCCATCTAACATCACATACAAAGGTAAACTCCAGGTGGAGTACAGTTAAATGTGAAAAGTAAAGCTTTAAAGTTAATAGAAGAAAATGTAAAAGGACACCCTTGATGCCTAGTGAAGAAGCACTTTTTAAAATCTCCAACCATGAAACAAAAATACGGATGAGTTTTATTATATCAAAATTATGAATTTCTGTTCAATAAGGAATACCCATGCAAACACCAACAAATAGACTATTGATTCAGAGATCTTTTCAAAGTATAAAACAGGTACTGTAAGTCTAAACAACTAATATTTATAATATACAAGTAAATCCCACCAATAAAATGAAGAAATCCAAAAAGCTAACAAGCCTAAAAAGAAATGTTCAAAGTTAGTTATAATCAGAGAAATACTGATGAAAACAACAGTGAGATATAACTTGACTAGTAGATTTGCATAACATCTAGAGCTGGCTATAAGAACTATCACGTACTTCTGGAGGGAAGAAAGACCGAAGAGAGCTCTGACACATCTCCCTAGAGTAGATATGACCAGACTTTGTGACTCAGAATTTCTACTCCCATGTATATAGCTTAAGTAAGTTCCTATCGAGACCATAAGTGGCATGTACAAGGATATTTATTTGTAGTAGAAGCAGAGGGGGAGTTGGCAGCAAACTGAAATCCATCCCTGAAAGAGGGGCTGGCTGAAATGCACAGCATACACACCATGGGGTCAGAAACAATGGTCAAGGTGTTCATGGAGCAACTTGGATTGCCCTTATAGCAATATCATTTGGGTAAGTTTAAAAACATCAGAGGATGTATGGAAACGCCTGGATGTCCAGGCAGAAGTCTGCTACAGGGGCAAAGCCCTCATGGAGAGCCTCTACTAGGGCAATGAAGAGGGGAAATGTGGGATTGGATCCCCCACACAGAGTCCCCACTGGGGCACTGCCTAGTGGAGCTGTGAGAAGAGGGTAACTGTCCTCTGGATGCCAGAATGGTAGATCCACTGACAGCTTGCACCATGCACCTGGAAAAGCTGCAGACACTCAATGCCAGCCTGGGAAATTAGCCACGGAGCCTGTACCCTGCAAAGCCATAGGGGTGAAACTGCCCAAGGCCTCGGGAGCCCACCCCTTGGATCAGTGTGACCTGGATGTGAGACTTGGAGTCAAAGGAGATTATTTTGGAGCTTTAAGATTTAATGACTGCCCTGATGGCTTTTGGACTTGCATAGGGCCTGTAGCCCCTTTGTTTTGGCCAATTTTTCCCATTTGGGATGGGAGCATTTAGCCAATGCCTATAACCCCATTTTATAACACCTTGGAAGTAACTAACTTGCTTTTGATTTTACAGACTCATAGGTGGAAGGGACTTCCCTTGTCTCAAATGAGACTTTGGACTCGGACTTTTAGGTTAATGCTGGAATTAGTTAAGATTTTGGGCAACTATTGGGAAGGCAAGATTGATTTTGAAATGTGAGAAAGACATGAGATTAGGGAGGGGCTGGGGCAGAATGATATGGTTTAGCTCTGCGTCCCCACCCAAATCTGATCTCGAATTGTAATCCCTGCATGTTGAGGGAGGGATCTGGTGGGAGGTGATTGGATTATGAGGGCAGTTTCCCCCATGCTGTTCTTGTGATAGTGAGTTCTCAAGAGATCCGATGGTTTAAAGGTGTAGCACTTCCCCCTTCATTCTCTCTTTCTCTCCTGCTGCCACGTAAGACATGCCTTACTTCCCCCTTACCCTTCTGCTGTGACTCTGAGTTTCCTGAGGTCTCCCTAACCTTGAGGAACTATGAGTCAATCAAACCTCTTTTCTTTATAAATTACTCAGTCTCAGGTAGTTCTTTATAGCAGTGTGAAAATTGACTAATCCACTTTCCTTTTAGGTACTTTCCATAGACAAAGGTCTTCACAATATTTTAAGCAAATTATAAATGCATATTATGAATATGCCATAGAAACAACTGTATTTCAAACTGTAAGGCTGGAGGCATTTAAATAAAATGGAGTTTGTACTGCTTCTCTCCTGAATATCAGTGGAACACTGTCTTAGTGACTCTCTCCACCTACTGTTGCTTAAGCATATTCTGTCCACCTGGTGTTTCTGACAGTCCCACAAAGAGTTTGGCCCTATTGTTTCTAGATTCTCTTTCAGCCATTACAATGTTTGTGGAACCAAAACCTTAGTTAGAAGACTGTCATGCAAAAGAAGTGAAGGAGGTTGTATTGATTGGATTTTCAACTGCACCAGCCAAACACCTACTTCCTTCTCATCCTTCTCTCATGTATGTTGAACCTCTAGCTCATCATAAGGCCAGGCTTTAAGAACAATGATCCTGTCCAATCCCATCATTTTATATAAGAGAAAATGGGACCCAGAGAAGGGGAATATGACCAAGGCCAGACTAACGTAAGTCTCTCTTGAAACAAGAAAGTATTATTAACTAGGTAGCATTAGAGCTAAAACTCAAAACCAAATCTCCCACTTCTAGTTTATTCTCCTTGTTGGCCATCTTAGCTTAGTTGTTCATTGTAAAGCAGTGGTTAAGAGCACAGGCACAGGAATCAGATCTCTTGGAGTTACAATTCTGACTCTACCATTTATCAGTGGTGTGATCTGTGCAAGTTACTCAACCTGTCAATGCCTCAATGGTATAAAAAGAAGATAATAATGATATCCACTTCATAGAAGTTTCATAAATACTAAATAAGATAATCCATGTGAAGCACTTACAACAGATCCTGGGCTTTAGTACAGTTTCAATAAATATTGGTTATTATTGTTATTACCTGAAGAAAGATGACCTAAGGCATTAGTTTATTATAAATCCTAGTTCTGTCAAGAAACTTAATCATATGAATCTTAATTTGATCATATGCTAGAGGCAAACACAGTCGGAATCCATTTTGCCAAATATCAAGAGAACATTACTGTTCAATGCAGAAGATTTCTGCCATTCCTCAAATTTGCCACCAGATGACAGCAGTTGATAATAGGAAAGACAGCTCAGGTATGACTTGACTAATGCTTCCTCCTTTAAAATAAAAGCACCCTTTACAACCTTTGTAAAGCCCTCTTAAAGAGTCAATTTCCTTTCCTCACTATAACTCCGTAGGGGAGAAAAAGTAATATTCTTTTCTCAGTCCCACAAGGGTCATGGCTGACATCCCTATAAAAAAAGACACATTAAAAAAAGAAATGTATAACAAATTTAACAAAGTTTTACATGAGTCTTAAGAAATGAAGACCCAAAGACCCAGGGAAAATTGTGGATGTTTATGTTAAGTCTGATGAAAGAACTGGATGGTTGTGGAGAAATGTGATTGGACAAAAAGGAGTAGGATGTAATGGTAATAAACAAGGGGAGCTCAACAAGGCCTGTTTGTTCATATTCTTTTCTGTCTCTGTAGGACATTCATTCCCTGCAGATACAGGGCAGGACACCTGTCGCATAAGGACCAACTAATAAACAGATCTTTAGTTCTATCAAACAGCACCCAAGAACCAGTGTTCTCTCTCTGAAGTCCCCAGGTCTGAGAATGATCCAGGGATTGCATCACCATTGCATCACATAATTCATGTTTAATGCATGTGTTGGCATATGTTGTCTTTTCTACTGTCTTATGAATGATTTTTATGTTATTGTATGCCGAAATGATAGCATTTTAGATAAATTTGGTTAAATAAGATATATTGTTAAAATTAATTTCACCTGTTTCTTTTCACTTTTTTAAAAATTTGAAATAATATATATGTCTCTCATTATATCTCTATTACTTAGTGCTGTTCTAAAGGAACTACATTCAGAGAGTCACCTTATCAGGAAAGAGCCTGAAACAGAAGATTTGGCCCCTCACATACACTCCTTGGTGCTATGCCTTTGTGCTTTGAATACATAAGTTGCTTGAGCTTGAACTAGAACAAGACACAAAAATTGGCTCAAGATTTCTTAGCTCAAAGGTGAAATCCATGTGCAGCAGATAAAAGATAACTGGCTAGGGAGTAGGATAGCAGGAAGCTCACCCGGTCATAAACTAACTTAGCCTTGACTAAGTTGTTTAATTTCCTTACACCTGCTTCCTCACCCAGGGTGGGCTAAGATACTTCCTAAGATGCATTGATATTGTAAGTTTCATGATTAAACCAAGCTACCAGGGTCCATTCTCTTCCAGGTTATTGAAAAGTCAGTCCATGCTCACAGATTCAGCAAGACAAAATCAAGGCTTTGCCCTTTGTGACAAGGAGGAAGAGGGTGGACAGACTGTGGGAGGACCAGCACAGAGCCTTCACTCTCTGGGAGAGACAAGTTCTGCACACTAACTCATCATCTACAGCCGATCCACTTGGTTGTTCACACACACCCTCCCCACCCACATCCCATTATCTGACCAAGCACAGATATGGACCTGGCCTCCAGCCAATACCCACTGAAAAGATGACACTAATCTCAAGAGCACTTCTTCAACCACTGAGCAAATAGTGTGCATACACTGTTCACAAGGCACAAGATTGATGCTGGGGAGAGCATGGGAGCAAGATTGAAATATTGCCTACCTTCAGGGAGCCTAAATTCCAGCAGGAGAAGAGACATGTAAGAAAGGGCTGGACAGATAATTACTTAGTGTGGTACAAAGTAGGAAGAAGAAACACCGAGTGTGAAGAGAGCTTAGAATAGGGTCACCCATGCTGTCTGGATAGTGTTTCTGACATGCATGGTAAGCCAATGTGGTTGAGTAGTGAAGAAATTGGAATCCACGTGCAGATGGTTGGGTTCAAAGTCCAAATGTGCAGCCTGCTAGTGATGAGATTTTGGCCACACTGTTTTAGGCATTCTACTCTTTGTTCTTCTCACCTGAAATATAGGGATGATACTAATAGTATCTACCTCCAAGGTAGTTGGAAAAAGTTAGTGGGTCAATACAGAACACCAATGGGTCAGTTAGAAAATGCCTGGCAAGTAGTAACACTACTTCCCAAAGGTTTGTTAATTATCACTGGAGATTCCAATGGAGTTTGGAGATTCTCAGATATCCATTCATAGTTAAGCCCATTTTAGAGACTTTCTTTAGTCACAGCTAATAGAAGATTCTACTGGGGACCTGAGCCAGTCTCCCAAGTACAGGGTCCTCCCCTTACAAATGTTAGCCTCCCTCCAGGTAGTCCCAGGTGTCAGCAGAGAAGCAATTCCTTCCATACGTTTCCAGACCCAGAAAAATTGCTGATAATTCACAGAAGAGGAATAACCAAGAGCTAATAAACAAGAAAAATTGCCCAACTAACCAGCCTCCAAAGAACTGCAAATTAAACAGCTAAACACAATTCGCTGTGTATCAATTAATGAGATTTTTGCCTTTATTGATGTCAATGTTGTTTTTTTCTAATTTCAATTGGCTTTTATAATTCTATTTTTATTTTTTATATTTTAGAGACAAAGTCTTGCTCTGTCATCCAGGCTGGAGTGCAGTGGTGTGATCAAAACTCACCCCTGGGTTCAAGGGATCCTTCCGCCTCAGCCCCCTGAGTAGCTAGACTACAGGTGCACACCACCACACCCAGCTAAATTTTTTATTTTTTTGTAGAAATGGGGTCTCTCTATATTGCCCATGCTGGTCTTGAACTCCTGACCTCAAGCAAACCTCCCAGCTCAGCTTCCCAAAGCACTGGGATTATAGGCATAAGCCACTGTGCCCAGCTTCATTTAGATTGATTTTAATAATAACAATGCCAGGAAGGGTTCAATGAAACAGATAGTTATCATTCCTTTCCTTCAATAATTAAATAATACGTATACTAGAAACTGTGCTGTCTTTGTCAGCTAGTAGGAGTATAAATTAGAAACCAGGTGTTCAGAAAGCAATGTGACAATATGTAACACAGCTCCCAAAAATGTTCATACCCTATACATTTCACTTTTAGGGATTTTGTTTGTTTGTCTGTTTGTTTGTTGTTTTGAGACAGAAATCTCACTGTTGCCCAGGCTGGAGTGCAGTGGCGCATCTTGGGTCACTGCAACCTCCACCTCCCAGATTCAAGCAATTCTCCTGCCTCAGCCTCCCGAGTAGCTGGGACTACAGGCACCTGCCACCATGCCTGGCTAATTTTTGTATTTTTAGTAGAGACGAGGTTTCACCATATTGGCCAGACTAGGGTCCTAAGAAAATAATCCAAAGTGGAGACAAAGATTTATGCACAGAGATGTTTATTACAGTATCATAGTAGAATACTAGAAATAGTCTAATTACTCAATAATATGAAAATGTTAAACAAGTTATGGTGCAGACACACAAAGTTATTTTAGGTATCCATTAAAGATTTTTACAAAGATTTTTAACAGTATATGGAAATATATATCCCATAATTTAAAATTTTAAAAATGTCAGGCATAAAATTGCATATCCAGACTATCTCAACCACTTAAGACAATTAGACATAAAAAGAGGGAAATACACCAGAAAATTAGTAGCATTTATCTTGAGGTGATAAGTTATAGGTGGATTTTACTATTATATGAATATTTTTCTACAGGTTCCACTTTTTCAAAATGTGCATAGAAGCGTTGCTTGCTTTCGTGTTACTCCGAGCCAATGGCAATAAGCATGGGCATGTGACTGCAGATGTCCAGGACTGCAACTGGAGCTGAATTTGGAAGAGTAGCTTCAGATCCTGGGGTCTCTAGTCAAGGCTACAAGCCCAGGATTTAAGAATAGCAAAGACTGTTCTCTGAACACACGATAAAGGAGGAAGATTTCTCTCCTTTGTCCTTTTGACACTCCGTTCTACACCCTTTTGTCATTCTACCCTTTCCCCACTGCTTCCTCTCCTCAATTTCTGGGTGCTCTTAGAGTCACAAGAAAGACTTATCAAGTAACCCACACCACCATGTGCACAATTTCACATCACTCTAATTTTTCTTTCTTTCCTTTTTTTTTTTTTTTTTTTTAGACAGGGTCTCTCTCGGTTGCCCAGGCCAGAGTGCAGTGACACTGTCTCAGCTCACTGCAACCTCTGTCTTCCAGGCTCAAGTGAGCCTCCCACCTCAGCCTCCGGAGTAGTTGAGACTACAGGTGCACACCACCATGTCTAGCTAATTTGGGGAGTTTTTTTGTTTTTTGTTTTTTCTTTGTAGAGGCAGGGTCTCACCATGTTGCCCAGGCTGTACTTTCATATTAATAAAAAGACAGTTTCAGGAAATGGCAAAGCTTGTCTGTAGGCAAAGAAATGTACCTTGGACAATGTCCTTTCTAGCACTATAGGACTGCCTGGTGAGAAAAATATGACAATCTGACTATGTTTTGAAGATACTGTGGACCTAGCCCCTCCTAAGTGCAAATACAGCCTGGACTTTGGCAGCTGAAGTTTTAAACCTTCTATTTCAGAACAGAGAACCCAGAAATAAAGCTGCACACCTACAGCCATCTGATCTTCAACAAAGTTGACAAAAATAAGAATGGGAAAAGGACTTCCTATTCAATAAATCGTGGTGGTGTAACTGGCTAGCCATATGTAGAATAATAATACTGAACCCCTATCTTTCACCATATACAAAAATTAACTCAAGATGGATTAAAGATTTAAATTTGAGACCTTAAACTATAAGAATCCTAGAAGAAAACCTAGGAAATACCATTCTAAACATCAACCTTGGGAAATAACTTATGACTAAGTCCTCAAAAGTGTTGAAACAAAAACAAGGATTAACAAGTGGGATCTAATCAAACAGAAGGGTTTCTGCATAGCAAAAGAAAACTATCAACAGAGGAAAGAGACAACTTAGAACAGGAGAAAGTATTGTAAACTATGCATCTGACCAAGTTCCAATATCCAGATTCTGTAAGAAACTTAAATCAATAAGCAAAAAGCAAATAACCCCATTAAGAGGTGGGCAAAAGACATGAACAGACATTTCTCAAAATAAAACATACAAATGGCCAATAAACATATGAAAAAAATCTCAGCATCACTAATCATCAGAGAAATGCAAATCAAAACCACAATGAGATACCACCTTACAACAGTCAGAATGGCTATTATTAATATTAAAAAGTCAAAAACAACAGATGCTGGCAAGGCTTCAGAGAAAAGAAAATGCTTATACATTGTTGGTGGGAATGTAAATTAGTTCAGCCACTGTGGAAAGCAGTTTTGAGATTTTTCAAATAACTTAAAACAGAACTACCATTCAACCCAGCAATCCCATTACTAGGTATATACCCGAAGGAAAATACATCATTCTACCAAAAAGGTACATGTACTCATATGTTTATTGCAGCACTATTCACAATAGCAAAGACATAGAATCAACCTAGGTGCCCATCAACAGTGGATTGGATAAAGAAAATGTGGTACATATACACTATGGAATACTACGCAGCCATGAAAAAGAACAAAATTATGTCATTTGCAGCAACATGGATGCAGCTGGAGGCCATCATCCTAAGTGAATTAACACAGGAATAAAAAATCAAATACTACATTTTCTCACTTATAAGTGGGAGTTAAACATTGAACACACATGGACGTAAAGATGGGAACAACAGACACTGAAGACTGCTAGAGGGAGGAGGAAGGGAGTGGAGCAAGGGTTGAAAAACTAACTATTGGGTCCTATGCTCAGTACTTGGGTGAAAAGATCAATCACACCCCAAACCTCAGCATCACACAATACAGCCAGGTAACAAACCTGCAGGTGTATCACTGAATCTAAAATAAAAATTGAAATTATTAAAAACAAAAGCAAAAACCTTCTGTTCCGTTTCCCTGTGGGCACCAAAAAGTTTTCCCTCCCCTGCATCATCTTAATCAGTCTCTAGTCTCTAGTCCCAGAGACCCTTGGATGGGTCTCACCTCACCCAAATATGGAGTGAATCTCATTAAAGAAAAACGAACTGCTTCAGTTTTCCTCAAACCCCACCTCACTTCAGTCTCTGTTACAGCATGCATTAGTTCATTTTCATGCTGCTGTTAAAGACATACCCGAAACTGGGAACAAAAAGAGGTTTAATTGGATTTACAGTTCCACACGGCTGGGGAAGCCTCAGAATCATGGTGGGAGGTGAAAGGCACTTCTTACATGGTGGCAGCAAGAAAAAAATGAGGAAGAAGCAAAAGCATAAATCCCTGATAAACCCATCAGACCTTGTGAGACTTATTCACTATCACAAGATCAGCCCCCATGATTCAATTACGTCCACCTTGGTCCCTCCTATAACACATGGGAATTCTGGGAGATACAATTCAAGCTGAGATTTGGGTGGGGACACAGCCAAACCATATCATTTCACCCCTGGCCACTCCAAATCTCACATCCTCACATTTCAAAACCAATCACGCCTTCTCAACAGTCCCCCGGTCTTAACTCATTTCAGCATTAATCCAAAGTCCACAGTCCAAAGTCTCATCTGAGACAAGGCAAGTCCCTTCTGCCTATGAGCCTGTAAAATCAAAAGCAAGCTAGTTACTTCCTAGATACAATGGTGTTACAGGTATTGGGTAAATACAGCCATTCCGAATGGGAGAAATTAGCCAAAGCAAAGGGGTTACAGGGCCCATGCAAGTCCAAAATCCAGTGCTGCAGTCAAATTTTAAAGCTCCAAAATGATCTCCTTTGACTCCAGGTCTCACATCCAAGTCACACTGATGCAAAAGGTGGGTTCCCATAGTCTTGGGCAGCTCCACCCCTGTGGCTTTGCAGGGTACAGCTTCCCTCCTTGCTGCTTTCACTGGCTAGGGTTGAGTATCTGTGGCTTTTCCAAGTGCAAGGTGCAAGCTGCCAGTGGATCTACCACTCTGGGGTCTGGAGGACGGTGGCCCTCTTCTCACAGCTGCACTAGGCAGTGCCCCAGTAGAGACTCTGCATGAGGGCTCCAACCCCATGTTTCCCTTCTCCACTGCCCCAGCAGAGGTTCTCCATGAGGGCCCCAACCCTGCAGCAAATTTTTTCCTGGGCATCCAGGCATTTCCATACATCTGAAATCTAGGCAGAGGTTCCCAAACCTCTGTTCTTGACTTCCGTGCACCCACAGGCTCAACATCATGTGGAAGCTTCAAGCCTTGGGGCTTCTACCCTCTGAAGTACCTTGGACCCTTTCAACCTAGGCTAGAGCAGCTGGGACACAGGTCACCAAGCCCCTAGGCTGCACACAGCACGGGGACCCTGGGCCCCGCCAATGAAACCACTTTTTCCTCCTGGGTTCCAAGCCTGTGATGGGAGAGGCTTCCATGAAGGTCTCTGACATGGCCTGGAGACATTTTCCCTGTGGTCTCAGGGATTAACATTAGGCTATTTGCTACTTATGCAAATTTCTGCAGCTGGCTTGAATTTCTCCTAAAAAAAAATGGGTATTTCTTTTCTACTGCATTGTCAGGCTGCAAATTTTCTGAGCTTTTATGCTCTGTTTTCCTTTTAAAACCGAATGCTCTAAACAGCACCCAAGTCACCTCTTGAATGCTTGGCTGCTGAGAAATTTCTTCCACCAGAAACCCTAAATCATCTCTCTCAAGTTCAAAGTTCCACAAATCTCTAGGGCAGGGGCAAAATGCCGCCAGTCTCTTTGCTAAAACATAACAAGAGTCACCTTTACTCCAGTTCCCAACAAGTTCCTCACCTCCATCTGAGACCACCTCAGCCTGGACCTTGTTGTTCATATCACTCTCAGCATTTTTGTCAAAGCCATTCAACAAGTCTCTAGGAGGTTCCAAACTTTCCCACATTTTTCTGTCTTCTTCTGAGCTCTCCCAAACTGTTTCAACTTCTGCCTGCTACCCAGTTCCAGAGTCGCTTCCGCATTTTCGGGTATCTTTTCAGCAATGCCCCACTCTACTACTGGTACGAATTTACTGTATTAGTTCGTTCTTATGTTGCTGATAAAGACATACTCAAATCTGGGAACAAAAAGAGGTTTAATTGGACTTACAGTTCCACATGGCTGGGGAGGCCTCAGAGTCATGGTAGGAGGCAAAAGGCACTTCTTACATGGCAGCGGCAAGGGAAAAATGAAGAGGCAAATGCAGAAACCCCTGATAAACCCATCAGATCTCATGAGACTTATTCACTATCACAAGAATAACATGGGAAAAACGGGCCCCCATGATTCAATTACCTCCCCCTGGGTCCCTCCCACAACACATGGGAATTCTGGGAGATACAATTCAAGTTGAGATTTAGGTGGGACACAGCCAAACCATATCACAGCATCAGATCTAAGATCCACTTACCTAATCAAGCAGGTCCACAACAAACTCTTCACTCATCTGCAGCTACATGAGATTAAGAATGCTGGAGTGTAGCTTTCTAAGAGGGTTCCCACAGTCTCAGGAGATAGTTTTTATTATGGAAGCATGTACTATTTCTAATGACCAGGAATGTGCCATGTAAACCACAGCCTCTGGGGCCCGTTAGCCTGGGGCTCAGATACCTGAAAGGTATCCAAGGGCATCTGAGGCCTCTTAAAGCGTCGCATGCAAGAAAGAGGATTATTTCCTCCTCAGTTGTGCCAAGATGCTGGTATTCTGCAAACTCCTACATCAGAGACATCTGAAGAACAAAGCTCACAATTATACCCATTTTCAAAAGATCCTTAAAATTTTGAAAAAAATTTTGTATTTTCTGACCATTTTTCCTTTCCATTTGTATTAATTCACCTTAAAGAAATAGCTTTTTAAGAAAGATAAAAAATTATAAAATATTTATTACCGTAACAGTGCAGATTTCATTTCAGTTACAATTTCATTCCTTCTTATATTTCCAATATTTAGCTTTGATACATTTTTGGGCTGTCTTTTTAATTGCCATGTTGTTTGAGATATCAAATCAAAGTCATTATATTTTTATTCAATATATATTTCTCATTACATGCTATTTTACTTATACTTCTAAGACCACATTTCTATGCCATCTGCTAACCTTTCATCAATTTTTTTTATTTCTTCTAGGGATTGTATTGTCAGATTATTAACTTCAATCAGAAAATCTTTTCGTAGGGAAAATACAACCCTTTTACTTCTCTCATCTTGTCGATTTCTCATCAGTAAGCTATGATCTCTTTTCATTTGCATAGTTTCTGTTAGTAAACTTGAAACTTTATTTCCTTAGAAAATAGGTCATAAGGGCCAGGCACAGTGGCTCACCCCTGCAACCTTAGCACTTTGGGAGGCCAAGGCGGCCGGATCACTTGAAGACAGGAGTTTAAGACCAGCCTGGCCAACACGGTGAAATGCTGTCTCTACTAAAAAAAAAATATATATACATATAAATCAGTTGGGCATGGTGGCGTACACCTGTAGTCCCAGCTTCTAGGGAGGCTGAGGCATGAGAATCATTTGAACCCAGGGGGTGGAGGTTGCAGTGAGCCAAGATCTTGCCACTGCACTCCAGCCTGGGTGACAGAGCTAGACTCTGTCAAAAAGAAAGAAAGAAAGAAAGAAAGAAAGAAAGAAAGAAAGAAAGAAAGAAAGAAAGAAAGAAAGAAAGAAAGAAAGAAAGAAAGAAAGAAAGAAAGAAAGGGAAAGAAAGAAAGAGAAAGAAAAGAAAGAAAGAAAGAAGAAAAGGAAATAGGTCATAAAATAATCTTAACTATTAAGAATCCATCTATTTTTACTAACATCCAATGATTAGTAAGCTGCAACCCAGCAGTTTAAATTATAGTATTAACCTATTTTGTTAACTCACCAACACTAGATCATTCTGTCAGTTGATATAAACTATGGATTCTTCTTCCCTTAATAATCTTAATAATATCTCTTAATAAAGAAACTATGTACAATGAACTTCCTCCTCTTGCACTTATTTGTATTTGAGTGCCTGAAACCTATTAGACATTCTCCTTTTGTACCTCATAGTTGTAATACGGATCTAATTTACCAATGAATTCTACTTAGTTAAATTTGAATTCATTTATTTCTGAAGTGTCTCTTTATTAAAAAGCTGTACTTTTATTATATTTAGCATATGGAATTTAAGATACATTGTTTTAGCTACTTTGCTTTTAAATATATCTTTCTGCCCTTAAATATAATCAATCTCAATTCTCAGTATCCAGCATTTTTAACTGACTGCAGTGAATTGATCACATTCTCATCAATTAGCAATTAATTGACTAAAGATGAAGAACCATGGCTTAGGAAGTTTGTATAGTTTATTTCAAACAGCTTAGATTGTAGAAGAGCCATGATTACAACCCATGTATCTGACTCCAAATACCCTAAAAGAGCTTAGAATATTACTGGAAAATATAAACACTCTCACAAAGAGAGAGAGACAGAAACAAATGTTAAAACCCCTTTTTTTAAACAAGTGGTACATGCAATATGTGTCCTCAACTGGAGTGTATGGTGGGGGATTATTCAATGAAATCTTCTCAACCTCATCCCTAGCTAAGAAGACGGCTCCAGGAGGAAAGAGTGAAAGATTAGTCAAAGGTCAGCAGAGATAGCCCCATGGATTTGAATGGGATCACAAGACAGGTAGGTAGGCTATGGATATTGGGTGTGGGAGTGCTGTAAGTGAAAGACTTTTCTGGCAAACATCAATCATCAGAGCTGCAGAAAGGGAGTTCTTCTCACTGCCAGCTGCGCCATCTTGCTTTCCATCATTCAGCTAAGACAGACCCTATCACCCTCCCCCCATACCCTACCACTTTCCTAAGTTGCCTCTTCTTCAGAGTCACATCTTCAAATCATCTTTATCAAGTATTAAAAGGAAAAATCACAATAAATAAATATGAAAGCAAAAAAACTGAACATACAAGATGGCAGATATGAAACTTAGATAGCTAAACTCTAGTCACAAATTTCTTAACCAAGAAAATGTTCTAAAGACATACAGGTCCCTGCACGTCTTTTCATCTACAAGGATACCCCTGCCTGAAATTATTTTAGGGGGCCTTGTTAAAAAGGAGATTAGTCCTTTCCGGAATTCAGTTTTTAGTCTTTCAAGGATGCCCCACATTCCCTTCCCCCAAACTAGTCAGTTGCATCCTACTCCCAAAATCAGTGCTCTGAATCAGCCAAATCTGTGATTTCCCTAATCTCTGGCCTCTTTCGGTGACAAAAGTCCTTTTCCAATCTGGGCCTAAGAAGTCCTGGGGGACTCTGACCCTCTAGGGGTTCTAGGATCATCTTGTGTGTGTTCTCCTGGCCTGTGATAGTGCTTGGCTCAGCATTTAGTGAGACGGCTTCTTCACCTTGAATTTCCCCAAGCGCAGCATCTAAGCAAAGACTCCATCACTGTGGTATAGCATGAGGTGGCAAGTTTCATGTTGGTCTGGCTCAGTCCCAACTTCCCACACTCTTTTGGCCAAATCCCTAATTAAATCTGTTTGCCAAATGTCCTTTGTCTTTTAATGAGAGCTGTGGATTCACCCCCTGAAAACAAATGCACACACACATGAATCTTTGCATGTGATTTTAGGAGGTTCACAGGTATTTGGAATCTCATTCATGGATTTTCTAGAGATCCATGGACTCTACTTTAAGAACCCCTGTCTCATAACCTCCCATCTTTCCCAGGTTCTGGTCTAAGGAAACCATACAGTACCTAGCTTGTGTGTAAGCACAGATGTCTCATAGCTGCAAATCTCATGTCATCAATCTATCCTCTCAACTCTGCTTTCCTACGATGGACTAATAACAAAAGTTGAAGCCTTTATCATTGCAGTTTTCAAATCATGGAGCCATACAACCGTCAAAAAGAGAGGGACTGTCTACTCTCTGAAGAAATAATTTACAGGAGAAAAGACATGGAGAAACAATGGGATCACTTTGAAAGACAGAAAACTAGCTGAACAGAAGCAGAGCTGGAGTTATAAAGGACGAGGCTAGGCAAGAAGGGCAGCCCCACATGCGGAGGCCTTGATGTAAAACTGAAAAGTCCAAGCTATCCTATAATAATTTTACTTAGGAAAACCTTTGAGGAGAGCAATGGCTTAGAAAGATGGATGTGGTTTTGAGGAGCAAGATGGACAGCAAGGACGAGGGTCTAGAAACCAGAAAGTCCATAGCAGGATGTGGTGACTAAGGTAAAAGCATGAGGGAGTGGGGGTCTGAACAAGGATAGAAAGAACTTCTCCAACTACATAGCAGAACTATAGAGAATCAATAGGACTCTGCAGCAAATTGAAATTGGTGACAAGACTCAGAGGGAGGTAGAAGGGGAACAGGAAAAGATAATGAAAAAGCTTTGAGCCTAGTTGATTTTGAAGATACTGCTTAAGGATAAAACAAAACAATTAATGGGATTTGCAACTGGAATTAGTTCAGTTAGAAATGAAGATAAATTTCCACTGCAATTGTAGCATCTCTTTCGCTGAATTGTTTAGATAAAGCATAGATGCTTAGCAAGTTTCTAACACCTAGCAAATTGACTGGATACGCTCTCAGGACAATTTCTATTTTTCATTCTGTAAGTCCATGAGTCTAAAGCCATATAGACATGCTGTCCAATGCTGCAGATGAAAAGTGAAAAATCAGCCCACCTGGATATTATGGTACATAACTAAGTTATATTTGTCAACTACTAGGCAAGGCATTCTAATGAGCTGGATTTTTCTTTCTTCAAATGTCTTGTTATTTCACGAATCCACCCCATGTGAAGCAATCTCCTACTTACAGTGACAGCCTGGGCAGGTAGAACTTATTTCCTGTATATTCCGCAATGCATAAAATTTTGAGCTTCATCAGAACTCATTATTGTAGATGATGCTTAAAAATAATACTATAGGCCGGGCCTGGTGGCTCACACCTGTAATCCCAGCACTTTGGGAGGCTGAGGCGGGTGGATCACCTGAGGTCAGGAGTTCGAGACCAGCCTGGCCAACATAGTGAAACCCCATCTCTACTAAAAATACAAAAAAATTAGCCGGGCGTGGTGGCAAATGCCTGTAATCCCAGCTACTCGGGAGGCTGAGACAGGTAAATCGCTTGAACCCGGGAGGCGGAGGTTGCAGTAAGCCGAGATCGCACCACTGCACTCCAGCCTGGGCAACAAGAGCAAAACTCCATCTCAAAAAATAAAATAAAATAAAATAATAATAATACATAATATTTATGATTCTGTCCAAAGAGCATTATACACAGTATCTACTCTAATCCTTACAGTAACTTTATGATGTAAGTGCTATTATTATTATTGCCATTTTAAAGATGAGGGGTTTGAGGCTTAGAGAATATTAAGTACCAAGGTCATGTAGCTACTAGGCAACAGAGTAAATCCAGGTGCGTTTAACTCCAAAGCTTTTCTATTAGTGTGTGAACAGTTTGAGTGTGTCTAAGCCAGTGGTCCTTGTAAAACTGTATATTCCCTGCTGCTCTTTTTAAAACTAATTCTTCAATAAATGTTTATTAGATGGATAGATAGGATGGTTGAAAGGATAGATAAATGGATGGGTGGGGATGTTTGATGAATTAGGACAACCAATGGACAATACATTTCTGCTAAGAACCAGGCTCCCAAACAAAAGCATTTGTAGAGCCTTCCTGTTTGTGTACCAGGTACTCAGCTGAAGTGCCTCTTCTAGCAACAAGCATAAAGGCAGGAGATAAGTGTGTTTCTCACCTGTGTCAAGTGGTCTGTCAACCACTTCCCTGATGGCTATTAACTCATCATCTCCAGCAGATGTTGTGTTTAACCCAGATAGGGCCCTGGCTCCCCATCTCTCACTTTCAGGTGTTAACCTCACTACATGTGGTTGCAATGCTCTATACAGCATATCTTACCAAAAAAAATCTAAAAACCACATAAGTTCAGCAGGATCCACATAGACGTGTATAAAGCACATAACTATTTTTAAAGGTGACAGAAAAAATGTCTACATCCAACCTTTCCAGACAGGGAGAGCATCTTTAAAAGATAATAAATAGACATGTACTATACATCTATCATTTATGTTTTGCACAATACTAAGAACTACAACTTAATAAATTTAAGTGGAGATGGACCAAAAAATTTATAGATATAGATATACACACAAAATTACACATATGGATTATACAACACACATATACTTGCACCTTATATATAAGCTATATATGTATGTATAAATAATTGAAATATAATGCAATAAATAAAATAGAAGCAATTACAACACTCAGACTGATGAGAAATAATAGAGCTCAGAGCTGGAGGCATTCTTTGCCAAGACTCAATGGTATGAAGGAAAGAAACTATGCCATCTACTACATTTTTCCTCTGTTGTGGAGAAAATTAACTTAGAGTGCACACCTTTTAGAATGTCTGCCCAGCCCACACCCCTCTTCTTTGAGAACAGGCCCCCCAGCATCCCTGTGTGTACTACACGAGCCTGTCCAACCATTGCTGATTAGACACATGACTCGAGTCAATCAGACTCTCCTGAAAATGTGGCTTGCAACTGAGAAATGCCTATCAAAAGGGACCTGAGAATGTGTGAACTTGGGAGAGCCAGAAGCATAAAGACATAGATGATAGGAATCTGCAGAGAGAGAGAAATGATACAGTTCAGGAAAGAAGGATTTTGAGAGATTAAGAAAGTAATTGCCTTGACACCTGTTAGTTTTTAGCTCTTGTTCCAGTACTTTCCTGAATCCCTGCTTTAATTCCTGCCTTTATGTCTTTGAGGCATCTTTATATGCTTATAATTGGTTTCTCATTTGTGCTTAAACTAGCTCTATTGACTTCCTATTACAGGCAAAGGAGGGAACTATATAATCTTCAAGATTCTTTAGCAAAACATATGCAATAATATAAAAACCTTATATATCCTGTAGTATGATATATATTTGAGCAAAAATCTGACTAGTATGATTTTTATCACTGTATTAATAGTAAATAATTTAGAGTGAATTTAAAATATGTTAATAGATGAAATAAATTATGGTACATACACACAACTGAATTCTAGCCAAACATTTTTAAATGATATGTACATCAGAGAGTTTTCAAAATTAGTTATTTTTTCCCTATTATCTTCTTATGCTTGGCATCAGGTTCATGGAGCAACTTAATACTGGTCAAATATTTAAAATGCTGACTACTGCAAAGTTTTTCTACAAAAACTAAATGCATAGCTAAATGCATTATGACTATAATGTCTTAGTTATTCAGAACAAATGAAGACCAATCTGTTCACAGCCATCATATAAGATTACTCTGTGATTCTCATATGTAAATTATGCTTCCTTCAACCCCCTTTTTAAGAAAAAAAAGGAAAAGAAAGTTTAATGATCTTCTAATCCAGCCAGGAAACTAAGCACAAATCCTGTTACCTCGATCTTCAGTAAAACATAGACATATATGCACCTCTCTTTGCACCTCCCTTATTTTTTATGGAAATCTCTACTTCAATGGGATTAAAAAATAAATAAATGTTGGGATTCTCATAGTCTAGACATAGGAATAGCCTAATCTAGCACTAGACAGAGAGGGGTTGTCACTAAAGCAAAGATAATGGACAAGGGTAAATGAAAGAAGTGATACCACCAAATGGATAAACCAAAGATAATTTGATAATTTTTGAGACTTCAAAATATCAGAAAGTCAGATGCAAAATAATTTTTTAATTGGCTTTCAATATCAGTGTTTTTAGTGTGCCATAGTGGAAAAACCCATAGACTTGAAAGTCAGCAATATCTGTGACAAAACAGGACCACCACCTGCCTACTGGATGACTTCAGGCCAATCACTGAAACTTGCCAAACCTTAGTTTTCTTCCCTGTATATTTGGACAATAGTATCCTAAGGAATTGTTGTAGAGATTAAATGAAATAAAAGAATGAATAATTTTTTTAAGTCTTGCTCTTTGATGCCATACTGATTGCCATATAATGACATAAATACTATACTGTAATAGTATTTATGTCATTGACCTTTGGTGCCTACCATATGGCAAACCACTTTTTTGCAAAGTCATTAGCCTTTGTCTTGTAAATATTTTTGTTGATATCTTTTTTATGACTATTGCCTCTGTAATATCATTACTTAGAAGGTTTAACAAGCTTCATAGATCTCTGTCCATTTATCTTAAGCATTAAAATAGAAATTTGGGAGCAATCAAAATATTTAACAATAGGCAACCAGTTAAACAGCCTATTTCTCATCTCTTTCTCAGGATGTTAGGTAATCAATCTGTTTCAAACACACACATACACATACACAAGCTTTAAAAAAAGGGCAAAGTGTTTAGAATATATTGTAAGATGAGAAAAAAGTTTACAAAACAGTATTATAATGTGGCCCAATTTTGTAAAAACAAAAATACATTTAGTAGAACAATACACTTAAAATGATCCCAATTTTGTAAGATAACAGAAGGTGTACCTTGAAAGCTTATTTCTAGCAACTAGGATTATGGATTAATTATGCTTGCTTTCTTTTGCATACGTGTGTATGTGTGCAAATAGATAGCTAAATAGAAAAAAAGATAGAGTCTAAAATACACACAGAATGGCAGTTCTTGGTTAAGTTTAATATAATCTGTGGTAAACCTTGAAATTCCTTAATTGTTGGTGCAGTAATATATAAATCAGGAAGGCAACTTCATAATTTGTAGCAAGGACTATTCCTTTCCAGTAACTAGAAAGCCTGTGTCTGCTATCCAGGGCCCTGGTTTCCAGGTTTCCTACCTGAGAAGCCTAATTCATTATAAGCAAATAGGCTGGTAAACTCAAAATATGAATAAAGGGACTATACTACCCTGAATGTCAGTTTCTTAAAAGCAGAGCTTTGTCTGCTTGCCCTGCTCTATCCTGAGTCCAGCACAGTGCCTGGCACGTAATAGGTGTTCAAGAAACATTTGTTTAATGAATGTCTATTTCATCTAGGACATGTGGAAGCCTGAAGATATCTCCCTACTTCCTCACAGAGTAGATATTCAAATGAGCAGATAACTAGTGTCCCTCAGACCCAATGTCTCCCTTTCCTCGAAAAGTTTTCTCTGACAGATTCTCACACACACACATTCCTGTTAATATTAACATTGAATCAATATTCACTGAGCATTTAATACATGCCAGGCCACATGTATTATTTCATTTACTACCTATAAAGCATGTTCTATTGTTATTTTCCTGTTGTAGGTACGGAAACCTAAATGTAGATGGTGTAATTTTCCCAAGGGCACACGGCTATTAAGGTGGAACTGGGGTGTGATCATGGGAATGTCTGAAGCAAAAAAATTGTCCTTAGCCAATATGCTATATAGGATCATCTATAAGCCTCAGACAAAGATTTTATCTTAAAATGTAATGATAGGAAAAACATCTACCTCAGGAATTAGCTAGCTTTTTCCTTCTGAAAATGAGACTTAGGTAATTGAGCATTTCTCCTTTTTTTTTTTTTGGCTGCCAGGAAGCTTGGAGACAAATGTAAATATGTTGGCCCTTACAGACAATAACTTTGGGTTTTCTTTTCCTAGACCTTGACTTTTGTCTCTGTTTCCACGTCCTCTGAGCTTGATTTATATTTCTACTTCTACTTTACTTTGCTGAATTTTTGCTATAATTACCTTAAATTCTCTGGAGGATTTCAGAATAAAAGAATCATTCATTTGGTATAGAGAAATACATCATTATGTGTTGATTTTTTTGTATCTCCAATTCACGAAGCTACCACCTCACCGTAGCAACCTCTATATTGCCTAAAAAAAACAATTAACAATTTGTTCCAGGTTCATATACTGTATCTTCCTTTCAAATATATTCTGTGGTTGTCTCTAAATCATATTAACTTCGAAATTGCTGAAAAGAAAATAAAGCTGATAACTTGATAGCCCAACCACAATGTGTGGTTTGGTTTTCTTGTTTAATTTTAGACCCTACTTTTCAGTGACATCCGTTCAGACTTGAAACTTCAGTCACTTGCTGACCTTAATTCTTAGAGTATCAGATGAAGTCAGCATTACCAAAGGGAAGTCCACCATAAAACAAATTTGCATGTGCCTGCTAACGTATAGGTGTATAATTCTACATGTATTGTTTGAAAAAAAAATGGAAAGTTTTCTGACCCACTTTAAATCAGTGTTTCAGTAAAAGACTAATGATAAACTCACCTAAGGAAGAGGCTTGGTTTCCATGAGGTTAGTAGTTATTACTCAAAGGAGAAATTGACATGCTCATATTATCTGCTTGATTATAGATTTTAATGTAGGGATTGGGGAAACACTGTTGATGGTTTGCAGTTGTTTTAAGTTGATGTGATATGACACATTTTCTTTCTTGCATGGCTTGGTCTCTAACACAGCTTTCAGTCATTATCTCAGTGCTTTGAGACTAGTAAAGAGGATGTGTTAAAGGCAAGCCCCATCTACTCAGGCGATAAAGGCACTACACGTTGTTTGGAAGTCACCAGACACAGAATGCCTTTCTATCAAACACTTCACATGAATAATGGCTGTTCAATGTTCTTTTGACCATACAGATTGGGTTTGTTTTTCACAGATGTCCAAACAGTTTTGTGATCTGGTTCCATCAGATGAAAACAGCCTGGTGTGCACTAGGTGGAGGAAACATCAAAAACCAATAGTAAAAAAAGAAAATTAGTCACTCAAAGGAGCTGCACAGATGGTCTTCATCCGGGCAAAATGCCTACCAAGAGTTAGAATGACCAATGGTGAGGAAACAGGACCCAAATGTTGAAAAAGGATTCTGCCTGCCATCTCTCAGCACTCACCATTAACAATGACTCTATAAAAACATCCTCATTGTTAATCATGCCTTTAATTCATCATGTCATATAAAAAGAGAATTTTCTCCAGCAGGGATTCCAGCACAGGATGAAGCCTGTACTCACCCCCAAAGTGTTCTCATCCATCAGCTCACTGTTCAGGACGGCCCTCAGGAGCACAGCCATGCGGATACAAACAAGCATTATGCTGGAGAGGAACAATGATGCTATCAGGTTGGTACCAAGACTGATACTTCCTATTTAAGAAATCATGTTAATTATATAGGTATTAAGTTCTGGTTTTTGCAAGACAACATCGGTAACCTCAGAGATGAACTTCTAGTATGTAATAGTATTGATATCTTCAAATTCAGGGTAGATGATCTAGAGCTTGATAAACTGGGTCTAAATCTGAGTCTCAATTAAATCCTGATTTTATCAACTCCCCAAGGCCTTCCAGATGGCTCTCTATTGCAAATCTTCTCCTCTCTAAACATCACGTCTTCCTTTTAAATGTCTGTTTGACATTGCTCCTTGTGTGCTGGCCCATTTGCAAAGTATCAGCCCCTACATTTAAAATCCAAGAGAATTCTCTCCAACGACTCATTTATTCTCTCTATATTAAGTGAAGATCAAGAGAGTAGTCTTGCCTGGTGATGTGCACAGCATTAATCAAAATGGCTCCAATCTTTTTGAACAGCCACCATCTTTTATTAACTTTAAGCAGAAACAATGGCATGATGCCTCCTCCTATACTGAGACCTTTGTTACTTTTATAAAATGGCTATAGAATATAAATTTAAAATATATTAATCTCTCAATGGTAACCTTACTACCTAAGCAAAAATTAAAATTTATTTATTTTATCTTTTAGCAAGCCTTAATTTTCCACCACACTGAGACAAAAGACTCAAAAATACTCTCTCCAGGACACAAAAGGAAAAATTTTTCTTTCCATCCCTTACATTATTCTCTATTGCAAGTAGAAAGAAATACTGTTTAATGGCCTAATAATTTCAAGGAGCCTTGAAAATCATTTCTCTAAATCAAGAAGGGCAGAAACATTTTACCACTATCATCCCTTCAAATGCATGTTTGTCTCCTGGAAATCTTTCCCTGTCTCCAGTTGCATACTTGCCCCCACCCATTGAAGCTCTGAACTCACAACATGCAGTTCCCCATTGCTTATGGTGATCTGTTTCAAGCCCTCAGAGAAGCAAGATTGATAAACCTGGAAGACAATCACTAACAAAATAATCATCCCTAATTTACTACTCCCATTTGTTCTTTACTATATTCATCTCCAGAAAATCATAGATGATCAAAAGATTACCTGGTGCAAAACTCATTTTATAAGACAGGAAACTAAGCCTCAAAGAGGTGAGGTACCCAAGGGCATGGGTAGTTAGTGGCAGATTCACAGTGAAAACAAAGGTGTCCTCTCATTCAGTGTTCTAGGCACTCTAATGCCCAGTCCAGCATGCACTCCACCTCAACGGTCTCGGATTGAAACCTGAGTCAGCTGGCTCTGCAGACAAATGCAGAGGAAGAGCCCTGCCCACTGTGAACACACTCTTACACTTCCAGCTGCTCCTCCAGGAGCCACAGGCTTCCAGCTCAAGCAAACGTCTGGGAAATCAGCCATACTCAAGGCTGCACACACCCAGCTCCAACCACCATGTCAAAATGATCCTTTTAACACTTCTGTGAAAACCCATTTTGTTTCCCCATTTTATTTTAAAGCATTTCAAAGCATAGCACACAGGCTGAATTACATAGGCACAGGAGGCAAGACTAGGGAAAACAGCTAGAGTCAGCTTCTCCCCCTGCAACTTCAATCAAAATAGTTCACAGTAAGCACATTCTCCCCTCCTTCTTCCTTGCCAGAAAGCAACAACAAGGAATCCTCCACTCCAGGGTGATCCTGAATAGGCTATAGCCTCATCACACTAAGTTCAAAAGGATCAGAATGCAGAGCCAAGGCACTAGACAACTCAGTAGGGTTATTGAGATGCAGGTAGGTTCTAAGAAGAATATAGAAAATTCTGAACTTCTCAAATAACATTACTCATACTGTCAATTAATCAAAATGTTGAACAGCTATTACTTACTAGACACTATGCTAAGTGCTACAAAGACCAATAAGACTACTTGTCTTCAGGTAGCTTGTAGTCTAGCAAGAAATGAGCTACAAAGAAAACAAGAAAGTCAGTATGTAAATGAATGGCATGCAATACACTAGAAATATGCATGAACAGCCCTGTATCAGAGAAGAACAAGCAACACAAAAGCAGTCTGTGAAGACCCATGTTGTATAAAGGGCCACATTAGGCACCATAGGAGTCACAAAGTTGAAGAACATACTAGCCTTGAAGGCTGACAGTAAAATCTAAACATGGAAATAAACACATATCTTACCCATAGCTTTTAAAGCCAAATGAAACACATTACAAAATGAAAGAAAAGTTACTAGAGAGGTAGGTGTAAGCTACATGTGATGGATGGAACTATTTATTTCAACTGAGGTAATCAGGCCAGACCTGTGAGATACATTTAAACAGGATTTTGAAGGACAAGTAGCATTTTGATAACCTGAGGATGGGGAAGGGCATTTCAGAAACAATACCTTAACAAAGGGTGGGTAAGCTTTGAAAGAAGGCCTGGAGAAAAATCAGGACCCCATCATCCCAGGTCCTGGAGCATGGTGGGGGGTAAGGCTAGAAAGGAAGTTGTACGAACTCAAATATTAATTCAAATGCTAAGAGGCTTACCCTTCATTCTGTATGCAAGCTAATGGCAGAAGAAAAGGCACAATTAGAGCCATGCTTTGAGAATCATTATTGAAAGCATGTCGAAGATGGTCTGAAGGAAGCAATTGGGAAAAGCAAGCATAGCTCATCCAAGTGGGTGAGAGTGTGAGTTAGAGGAAGCTTGGAAATTGGTGATGTGAGAGATGCTGCAGCTTCTGGGATTGCTGCCTGGTCGTGTGTAGAGGAGGGGCAGTAGGGCTCATTCTGAATCTTGTCTTGAAAAGCACATAGATAGTGATGCCAAAACCAGGACTACGGAAATCACTTGAAGCTGTATCCTACCTCCTCCTCCATCTGTATCTGCTTCACCTATCAAGGATATCTACTATTGCCACTAAAATTCAGGTGCTTATGGCCTCCCTCATTCATCAGCCAGGGTTTATCTGGCCAGGAAAGAGAAGCCCCTTCAGGCATTTGCAACAGAGGGAGTTTAAGTCAGAGAACTAGTCACCCTGGTAGTTGAGATTGCCATCAGCAAGAAGCTGTTACCATTTGAAGGCTGCAGGGACAAAGGGAGTGAGCAGTCCTCTGGGAGACTGAGGAAGGAAGCTCCTGGCTTCTCCCCACTTTCCACTTTCCACTTCCCACTTTTACTCATCTGTCCTCCAATTCCCTTTTGGCTGAGCCTAGCTGAAACCCAGCTGACAGGGGAGTTTGAGCAAGCAGCCTCCAGGGTCAGCCCTCTGAGTTACAGGTAGAGCAGGACAGGGAGGAATGGATCTCAGGACAAACAGGTTCAGGATCCGGCAAACTAATTTTACACTCCAGCCATTGAGTTGGAACTACTGGCCAGCCTCCCCCCGAGTTAGCATGTAGAATATGGGATACCAGCTGAGTGCCTGAGAGTTATCATTCACCTCAGTGGGGGTAGGGGCGGAGAAGGGTGACATATAGCCAGCCACATCTATATCCACTGGCCCTTCCTTGTCCTAGTCCTCTGTATTCCTGAGAAGGAACTATTCTCAAGGACCTGAGTCCAAGTTCATCTTACTTAGAGTACAGAGAAAAGAACCGCTAACTCCTTCTCTCTTTCCCCCATCATGTCTCCTCTCCTTTCTAGTTCTCATCACTCTCTACTCCCCCCTGCCCCCCTTTTCTCCATCTCCATCACCTTTGTCCAGTCTCTATCCCCATTTTCAATTCCTTCCTCAAAACACCAAGTTGCTTGGTAGCATGCAGGGTTGGAACATGCCTTTAACAGAAAATCTCGTGTCTCTTGAACCTAGTTATTTATTCCTTGAGCAGAGTAGATATTCAACAAAAGAATTGTTAAATTCAATTAAATAGGATATATCTTATTATTAAATATTTTTTTCATTTTTTGTTTACTTATATGATGGGAACTTGAGTAGTTTCCGGAATTGTCTCCACAACACCTGGCCAAGGAATCTGTGAGGAAAAGAAAGATCAAATGGAAAATCAAGGTACATGACACCAGAAGACCTACATGTTACTTCAAACTTTTTCTTCCTCATGAACCATTAAAATAGAGCATAACTCTTCTGGCAGCTGTACATATGTTCATAAATACATGATATTGACCCATAGCATAGCAGCTCTGCTCAGCTTCTAACAAGTAAGAATGAAAAGAGGACATGGTCTTTAGGAACATGAATTTCTGCCCTTCCCATTTTCCTTCAGAAGGAGAGATTCTTCTATGACCTCATTGGGGGCGGAAATTTTAACCAAAATGGTGTCACCCCTGAACCCACTGCGACACGCCACGTAAGTGACCACAGAAGGAGAAAAGCCCTATAAAAAGAGAGACGATAGCGCTACATTTTGTCCATCTCATAGCAGGCACAAACTCATCCATCCCCAGTTGATTGGAAGAAACAACGATGACTCCTGGGAAGACCTCATTGGTGGTGAGTCCTGCACTAACGTGCGATGCTCTTGCTGATTTGGACCAGATAGTATTTCTGGACCGTGGGCATGAAACGCTGGGTTCTGACTATGGAGATCCAGGAATACTGTATATGTAGGATAGGAAATGAAAGCTTTGGTAGGTATTTAAGTCATTGTGCAGCATTTTCAAGAACTGATACACAGCAGTTTGAAAGATAAGATTAAAACTGAAAGATAGCTATATTGGGGCTAAACCACACAAGAAGTGTCACATGATGCTGTGCAGTAAGAAAGAAAATTTATTGAAAGTCTGTTTTTCTGAGTACAAAGGATTTAATATAATTCTCCCACGGCATTTTTCTTTAAAATGGGTCACTATCCTTGAGATTTTGAAAGCCGTAGCAGCAACAACCTTTGTTTCCATTATCTCGTACCATATTCTCAGTACATTGAAACTATGTATTCTAACTAAACATAGGTATAACTGTGTTTTAGAATAAGTGGGGTTTATATTTTTTAAATATTTAACTTCAAGTATCTTTTTTGAAATCTGATTTTATTACAGAATCAATACATGTTAAATTTAGAACAACTGGAAAATATACCTAAGAAAACATGAAGGAGATCGAGTTTTTAGTTGGATGCCTGCCAGTAGCACCAACAGCACTTCTAGCATGAATATTGATACCACATAGATTTTCTATAGCTCTTTCTTCCAATGTGAATGTTTGACTTCACGATGAGTTTCACAGAATATGGGACTGAGAACAATGGTGCAGGAGGATATTTCTACCTAGAAAATCAAGGTTATTATTCCTTCCCAGACCTGACAATGATGCATGTGCTGATAGGCTAATGACATGCCATGACTTGACATTTTTATTAAAATTATTGCCAACCAATGGATAACATGTCTTTCCTAAGTCAAAAGGAGAATGTTGAAACTAGTTTTTTTAAAAAAATTTTAAAGCCATGGTGTTAACATTATGTTGGTCATCTACCTAGATTTTTCTCTAGCTGATCTGAAAAATGTAGTATAGATTGTCCTGGAACATTGTGTGTTCTCTATGATTAGCAATGCATCATCATCACAATTAATTTGTCAAAAAGAACCACATAGTAATCTAATCTCCAACCTCTCTCTCCTTTCCCATTCAATTCTAGTCACTGCTACTGCTGCTGAGCCTGGAGGCCATAGTGAAGGCAGGAATCACAATCCCACGAAATCCAGGATGCCCAAATTCTGAGGACAAGAACTTCCCCCGGACTGTGATGGTCAACCTGAACATCCATAACCGGAATACCAATACCAATCCCAAAAGGTCCTCAGATTACTACAACCGATCCACCTCACCTTGGAATCTCCAGTACGTAAAGCTTCCAGATAAAAATGCTATATTCTTCATCCCTCTTATGCATCAGACTGCCAGTTAAATCTCCCTGAGGATGATTTTATTCATTTAGAATTACCAGTCAAACCTGGAAGGACCACTGTGAAGAGCAATTCTCAAACTTTCTACAGATTTCTTTAACCAAGCACAGGACAGCCTCCAATAATCCCTATCCTGTTAGATCTAATTGTCACTGACACCAATAATCAACCCAAATTAATTATAATCATTATTCTAATATTTATGAGACCCCAAGTCTATTCTTTATTTATTCAAAGAATAGACATTTATCAAAGAGGATTAATGCTTTTATTATCTTAACCAGAGCTGCCATTGAGAAGATTTATTGCAAATAATTAATAATTAGGGTTTTTTACTTTTATTCTTTTGCTTATTTTTGTTTTTGAATCCCAGTGGAATAAGTATCACTGGGGTATTTCTACCCCTTTGTGTGTTAAATAGTCTTGATCTACTTCCTAACATACCTATGCTTGCTGTATCCTTAGTATACCCAGTATTTAGACCCCATCAAGGGTTAAATACCAAATGTATTTTGATCATTTGACTTCATACAAATAAGTCTCTGTTCTGTGGAGCCTACAGATTGGTCTGATTGTAGGATTTCTTCTCTTCTTCCCATTACTAGGAAGAGTCAAAATAAATCAATTCAAAAATGCAAGCAAATCATTCACTGATCTAAAAGAGAGAGGGAAGAGAAGGTCATAGAGACACTTAACCTTTTGTTTCCAGCCCTTTATCTCAGCTCTGGGCTCTGTCCCACGAATGTGATCTCAGATAAAATTTTGATGTATTCCCTCTTCAAAGACAGACTTCATCAAGTCAAATAAACAGCTATCTTATTCTAGATGGTTCCAAGTCTACTCTTCCTTTGGTCTTCTTCTGTCTGTCAAATGTACCCTAAAAAAGCTATCATTTGTGTCAAACTTAAATTTTTTCTGTGGCCTCAGTCTATCTTATTTTATTCATTCTTCAAATAAATTGGAGAAAAACTGATCACTGTCTTCTTTTCTATAACAATTCACGTGCTTGAAAAAAAAATCCAATTTGTCCCCAAAGTTCTTCTTCAAACTAACATCATTTAAAGAATTTGCAATGCCTATAATTTGTCATCCTGTGAACTTGCCTCTCTTCATGTATTCCTGTTTTATTTCTTTCCCACTTTACCAGGAATTCACTTTCCTCCTGATTTTTCTCCCCTCTGCAGCCGCAATGAGGACCCTGAGAGATATCCCTCTGTGATCTGGGAGGCAAAGTGCCGCCACTTGGGCTGCATCAACGCTGATGGGAACGTGGACTACCACATGAACTCTGTCCCCATCCAGCAAGAGATCCTGGTCCTGCGCAGGGAGCCTCCACACTGCCCCAACTCCTTCCGGCTGGAGAAGATACTGGTGTCCGTGGGCTGCACCTGTGTCACCCCGATTGTCCACCATGTGGCCTAAGAGCTCTGGGGAGCCCACACTCCCCAAAGCAGTTAGACTATGGAGAGCCGACCCAGCCCCTCAGGAACCCTCATCCTTCAAAGACAGCCTCATTTCGGACTAAACTCATTAGAGTTCTTAAGGCAGTTTGTCCAATTAAAGCTTCAGAGGTAACACTTGGCCAAGATATGAGATCTGAATTACCTTTCCCTCTTTCCAAGAAGGAAGGTTTGACTGAGTACCAATTTGCTTCTTGTTTACTTTTTTAAGGGCTTTAAGTTATTTATGTATTTAATATGCCCTGAGATAACTTTGGGGTATAAGATTCCATTTTAATGAATTACCTACTTTATTTTGTTTGTCTTTTTAAAGAAGATAAGATTCTGGGCTTGGGAATTTTATTATTTAAAAGGTAAAACCTGTATTTATTTGAGCTATTTAAGGATCTATTTATGTTTAAGTATTTAGAAAAAGGTGAAAAAGCACTATTATCAGTTCTGCCTAGGTAAATGTAAGATAGAATTAAATGGCAGTGCAAAATTTCTGAGTCTTTACAACATACGGATATAGTATTTCCTCCTCTTTGTTTTTAAAAGTTATAACATGGCTGAAAAGAAAGATTAAACCTACTTTCATATGTATTAATTTAAATTTTGCAATTTGTTGAGGTTTTACAAGAGATACAGCAAGTCTAACTCTCTGTTCCATTAAACCCTTATAATAAAATCCTTCTGTAATAATAAAGTTTCAAAAGAAAATGTTTATTTGTTCTCATTAAATGTATTTTAGCAAACTCAGCTCTTCCCTATTGGGAAGAGTTATGCAAATTCTCCTATAAGCAAAACAAAGCATGTCTTTGAGTAACAATGACCTGGAAATACCCAAAATTCCAAGTTCTCGATTTCACATGCCTTCAAGACTGAACACCGACTAAGGTTTTCATACTATTAGCCAATGCTGTAGACAGAAGCATTTTGATAGGAATAGAGCAAATAAGATAATGGCCCTGAGGAATGGCATGTCATTATTAAAGATCATATGGGGAAAATGAAACCCTCCCCAAAATACAAGAAGTTCTGGGAGGAGACATTGTCTTCAGACTACAATGTCCAGTTTCTCCCCTAGACTCAGGCTTCCTTTGGAGATTAAGGCCCCTCAGAGATCAACAGACCAACATTTTTCTCTTCCTCAAGCAACACTCCTAGGGCCTGGCTTCTGTCTGATCAAGGCACCACACAACCCAGAAAGGAGCTGATGGGGCAGAACGAACTTTAAGTATGAGAAAAGTTCAGCCCAAGTAAAATAAAAACTCAATCACATTCAATTCCAGAGTAGTTTCAAGTTTCACATCGTAACCATTTTCGCCCCCATGGCCCATGTGCTGTCTTGCCCTACTTCTGAAGGCCTCTAGATATTCTCAGGCCACTCTGCAGGCTCCCTGCTTCTTGAAAGACCTTCCTCTTCACTCCATCCTGCTCCATCCAGTGTGCTCCAGCCCACCCAGAGGCCCATGGCTTTTCTAGGCTTCTTTCCCTATTCCAAATCCAGGGGTTGGCCTCTCCAGCCACCTCCTCTCAGTCATTTTGTGCTCACATCTTGATTCCTGTGACCATCCCTGTCACCATTTTCCTACAGGAAATCCCCAGGCAGCTTCCAGGGACAGTTCCTCACAGCCTTTACGCTTTCAAGCTTCTCACTAAAAACCTGCTGCTCGTTTTCAAGCTTTCTCTGAACGGTGATGATGAAAAGAAAAAATTGTTTTTGTTTTTGTTGGGAGAGGGAGTTGTAAAGGATGTATATGTCTATATGTGTGTGTGTGTGTGTGTGTGTGGTCCTGAACCATTATTTCCCACTAGATTTTGGGTGGGGGGTATGCGGATGGGAAGAGGCAGTTGCTTTCCATGTACTCCTCCCCTGATACACTTTGCTTTTATTCTCTCTTCATTTTCCCCAGTTAGCACTACCATGTACCTAGTCATCCAAGCTAGAAATCTATGTGGCTTCCCTGAATCTTTTTCCTTCTGCCTCTCCCTCATTCCTAACATCCACATATCACCAAATACTATATTCTCACTTCCAAAAGTTCTCCAAGGAACCCCCACCTCCCCACCAATACCATACTACCCAGGTTCAGGACTGCATCTATTCTCATTTCTCTCCTCCATGATTGCTACAACCTTCCACCTGTTCTTGCTGCCATTGTTCCCTTCTCTCAATCCATCCTCCGACCTGTACCTATGACACAAATTCAAATATAACAAAAAGCGCCCCCCAGAAATCTGGCCTTGCTCCCTCTCCTGTTCTATCCCAGGGTGCCTCATCCTTGACGTTTTACCCTCGAGTCGTGGTGAAGTTGTTGCGGAGACCACCATGCTATTCTTGGCCTTGATGCCTATGCTATGTGGTCCCTTCTGCGTGAATGCCCTTGCCACCTTCCCCCTGCTATCCCTCCAGTCACACGCTGCCCTCCCCACTCTCCCCCATTTCTATGGCTCTACTCACATATTAAAACTTTCTTTAGGTCTCATCTTCTCTAAGGAGACTCCTGGACCCATCACTGCCTGTTATCCTAGATTAGGTCCCTCTCTTTCTTACGGGCTCCAAAAGCACTGTGCAGATCCTTTATCACTGACCTTACATACTATATCAGCTTTACCTATTTAGCCAGTTTGTGGTTCCTCAAGAGCAGAAACATCAGCACCTGACATGGCAGGTAGTAGACAGTCAATACTCAGCTGAACTTTGAACCAATAGTCCACAGACACCTCAAAATCAACAGAGACAAAACTAAGCTCGCTAGCTTTACTGCCAAACTGGCTCCTCCTACTGCTTTTTTATCTACTGGAATGGCATCGTCTACTCATCTGAGCAAGAAACCTAGCTTTCTCTCCATCCCTCATTCCCCTCCTCCAATCAGTGACCAACTCTTCATCAATGTCTCACATGTCCTCCCCTTCCTTGCTAACTCCAAGTTTGCTATTACAGTTGCATTATATTATGACACTAACTGGCCTCTCTGCCTTGCTTCTTATATTTAATAATTCGGTATCTCTCAAACTTGTAAGGGAGTCTAGTCAGAGTAGGTAATTAATAGCTTCTGCAACAGACAAAGTTCAAATAAACAAAGGTTTGTTTCTTGTGCATGTTACAATCCAACAGGATCATTAGGGAGCTTTGCTCTACTTGGCCACTGAGAGACCCAGGCTGACACAGAGGTTCTGACTTCTACAACACCATCTAGCACTGCAATGTCTAACACAGTAGCCACGAGGCATTTGTAACTATTGAGCGCTTGGAATGTGGCTAGTCCCAGTTGAGTTGTGTTATAAGTGTAAAATGCATACTAGATTTAAAATACTTAAGTTTTTTTAATGTAAAATATCTTTTGTTACTTTTTATATTGATAAATGTTAAAATGTATTTGGTTAAACATTAAATTTATTAAAAATTCATCTATTTCTCTTTACTTTTTTAAATGTGCTTACAATAAATATATAATTAAAATGTGGCTTAGCATTGTATTTCTGATGGACATATAACCAATGAAGGAAAAGAGAAAGCTAAAAACTACACGTTCAGCATTTAAGGGCCAGTCTTATTGACCAGGACTCAGTCACACAGACCCAAATTAAAACCAGTGGAGACTGGGAAATGAAATATTTCTATGGGTCCATGAAAAAGAAAATGAAATGGGATTTAGTGGACACATAGCATTACTTCTGCCATCACACATATGATGAATGAAGGCTCATGCATGACATCTTCCCACAGTCACATAATTCTAAATAGCTGAGCTGTTACATGGCCACTTCCTGGTGGAAGAAGGTCTAGGGTGCAAGTAACAGTGACATTATTGTAAAAATAACCTTGAATCTACACTAATTTTTTTAAAAGAACCTTTACAAACTTTGGCTATTAACACACTATAAAACAACCCACATGGGACATACCTCACAACTAACTGCTGCACACCTGTGTTTTGAAATTACACAGCAATTGTCACTCTTCCATCTCTCCCCATGTTTCAAGAGGTCCTTTCTAAAATGTAAATCTGATCACATTAATCCCCTAATTACTCCTCAGTACCTCCCCAATACCTATAAGATAAAGTACTGCCAATTCTCTTGCATGACACAGAATGTACTCTATGACCTGGCCCAGTCCACCTCTCACAGTATTCCAACCCACCATCCTCCCTCCCTGTTACCAGTATCAATGCCATGCCTAACTGGTTCTCACAATCTGGGACTTTGCTTATGCTTCCTGCTTACCTGGAATAGCCTTAGTCTTCCCATTTCTCATCATCATTAAACTGATGAAAATATCAACACTTTTTTTAAAATCAGATTAAGCAAAAAGACATCTCTGGAGATGGAATTTGAGGAACCATTCTTAACATGTTCCCCAGTTGATTTTGATGCATCCTCTCCAGCAGCCATCCATTGACCAGCCTCTGGGAACCACTGATGGAGAAGCAGCTAGAGATGCTATCTCGGAATACAGATGAAGATTAACAAAGAAATACATTGATGATAAATATGAATTGGGGCTGGGCACGGTGGCTCACACATGTAATCCCAACTCTTTGGGAGGCCAGGATGGGAGGATCACATGAGGCCAGGAGTTCAAGACCAGCCTGGCCAACATGGTGAAATGCCATCTCTACTAAAAATACAGAAATTATTTGGGCGTGGTGGTGCACATCTGTAATTCCAGGTACTTGGGAGGCTGAGGTACAAAAATCTCTTGAACCTGGGAGGCGGAGGTTGCAATGAGCTGAGATCACGCCACTGCACTCCAGCCTGGGTGATGGAGCGAGACTCCGTCTAAAAATATATATATTATATACATTATTTTTATATATAATATATGTTACATATTATACAATATATTTTATATAATATATTATATATTTTATAAATATATAATATACATTTTATGTAATATATATTTTATATAATATATAATATACTTTATATAATACATAATATGTAATACATATTGCATATTTTATATAATATATATTTTTAAATAATATATTTATATATTTTTATATATTACATATATAATTATATGTTTTATATTATATATTATTTAAATTATATATATAAATTGATCTTAGATAAAGATAGGGAACAGAGATAAAATTATGTGAAAAAAAGAAATTTCAAGTAAGAAACCTGAAAAAATTAAGGAGACAATAAGGAAAGTCTTAATGGGAAAAAAAAGATTCCTGGGTTGGAATTTAAGTGCATCTGAAAACTAGGTTTAGACAAATTAATTTTAAAAGGCTATAACCAAAACATATTCAACAATTTTTTTAATTTTAAAAATAAAGAACATAAAAGACTCATATCTGGAAGGAATATATAAAATATCTCATCAGGAACCAAAATTATATTGACATCAGACTTTTTTACATAACACTGAGAGGTAATAAAGTAAAATTTTCAAAGCACTAAAAGGGAGAAAGTAAAGATCAGGCAGCATCTGCTCAGGCAAGTCTTCCTTGACAACCCAATGAATGATAAATGTGTAATATTTTGTTGAGTTGCATACTTATGGGTTGTGCATTTTTCTGTATGTATGTAATAGCTTAAATTCTGCTTACGTTTGACTGCTAGTTTCAGATGTCAACTTGACTGGATTAAGGGATATCCAAATAGCTGGTAATATGGTTTGGCTCTGTGTCCTCACCCAAATCTCATCTCAAATTGTAAGCCCCACGTGTCGAGGGAGGGACCTGGTGAGGGGTGATTGGATCATGGGGGTGATTTCCCCCATGCTGTTCTCATGATAGTGAGTGAGTTCTCAAGAGATCTGATTGTTTAAAAGTGTCTGGCAGTTTCCCCTTCACTCTCTTTCTCTCCTGCCGCCATGTAAGATGTGGCTTGCTTCTCCTTAGCCTTCCACCATGATTGTAAGTTTCCTGAGGCCTCCCCAGCCATGCAGAACTGTGAGTCAATTCAACGTCTTTCCTATAAAAACCACCCAGTCTCACATAGTTCTTTATAGCAGCATAAGAAAAGACTAATACAGAATACAGCTGGTAAAGCATTACGTCTGAGTATGTCTGTGAATGTGTTTCCAGAAGACAGTGGCATTTAAATCATTGGACTGAGTAAGAAAGATCCACCATCATCCAATGTGGATAGGCACCATCCAATCGGCTAAGGGTGCAGATAAAACAAAAAAGCAAAAGAAAGGCAAATTTGCTCTCTCTCTCTCTCTCTCACTCTCTCTCTCTGCCTCCCTCTCTCCCTCCCTTCTGGAGCAGGGATACCCATCTTGTCCTGCCCTTGGACATCAGAACCCCATGTTCTCTGGCCTTCAGACTCCAAGGTTTGTGCCAGTGAACCTCGAGGTCTCAGCCTCACACTGAGAGTTATACCATTGGCTTTCATGGTTCTCAGGCCTTGGGACTTGGACTGAGCCATGCTTC
Source organism: Homo sapiens (assembly GCF_000001405.40). NCBI lineage: Eukaryota > Metazoa > Chordata > Mammalia > Primates > Hominidae > Homo > Homo sapiens. The sequence goes on from NC_000006.12 coordinate 52,195,714, forward strand.
AGGATTCTCTGGATCTTCAGCATCTCTGACAGCTTATCATGGAAGTTCTTAGCCTCCATAACCGTGTGAGCCATTTCCCCACCTCTGACTGAGAGATGAATCAAAGCTGAGAATTTAAGATGAATCAGTCATGGGCCCTCTGTGAGCACTGAAACTGGGTCTACATTGAAATATATCTAAATAATGATTATAAATTCTTTACATGAATCTTAAAGTCAAATTCTTTGCTAAAAAAGAATATCTAAATTATAGGTTAAATGATATTATTTAACCTATACAATAATATTATATAACTATACTTAAGATATTACCATCATTTAAGTCCATACTCGAGATAATAACCATCATCTAAGTCCATAATCCAAGATTCAGCAAAATAAGCAAAAAAAAATAAGGGTGGAAAGGAGTGACAGGGTAGAAATCACGAAATTCCTCTGCCTCAGTGGAGTAAAATCAAGTTATTGCTCCATTCTTGGCTTTGATAAGTAGACAATTTAAAAGTGACCTAATGTGATAAATAAGGCTAAAAATCTAAAGGTAACCATCAATATATATATATAAAACAAATTGGATTTAAAGAAACCAAATAATGCTCAAAAACCAAAACAAAAAAAACTGAAAAAAAGCACAGAAAACATAAACAAGAGACAATATGAGTAAATATTTGTAATTCTCCTATTAAAAAACAGAGTCCAGCTGGGCGCACTGGCTCACGCCTGTAATCCCAACACTTTGGGAGGCCGAGGTGGGCGGATCACCAGGCCAGGAGATAGAGACCATCCTGGCTAACAGGGTGAAACCCCGCCTCTACTAAAAATACAAAAAATTAGCCGGGCGTGGTGGTGGGCGCCTGTAGTCCCAGCTACTCAGGAGGCTGAGGCAGGAGAATGTCGTGAACCCAGGAGGCAGAGCTTGCAGTGAGCCAAGATCGCACCACCACAGTCCAGCCTGGGCAACAGAGTGAGACTCCGTCCCAAAAAAAAAAAAAAGAAGAACAGAGTCCCAAATTTAAGTACTTTTTTTTTTTTTTTTTTGAGATCGAGTCTCACTCTGTCACCCAGGCTGGATTGCTGTGGTGTGATCTTGGCTCACTGCAACCTCTGCTTCCTGTTTCAAGTGATTCTCCTGCCTCACCCTCCTGAGTAGCTGGGATTACAGGCATGCACCACCACGCCTGGCTAATCTTTTTCTTTTTTTTTTTTTTTTTTTGAGGCAGAGTCTCACACTGTCCAGGGGCTGGTGTGCATGACACAACCTCGGCTCACTGCAACCTCTGCCTCCCGGGTTCAAGCGATTCTCCTGCCTCAGCCTCCCGAGTAGCTGGGATTACAGGCACTGGTCACCACGCCTCAGCTTCCCGAATAGCTGGGACTACAGGCACTCGCCACTACACCCAGCTAATTTTTTGTATTTTTAGTAGAGACGGGGTTTCACTATGTTGGCCAGGCTGGTCTTGAACTCCCGACCTCGTGATCCGCCCACCTCGGCCTCCCAAAGTGCTGGGATTACAAGCATGAGCCACTGCGCGCAGCTAATTTTTGTATTTTTAGTAGAGATGGGGTCTCAGCATGTTGGTCAGGCTGGTCTCAAACTCCTGACTCTGTGATCCGCCCACCTCGGCCTCCCAAAGTGGTATCCTAAAAATACTGTGATATTTTTAGATTTTTAAAAAATTAAGTGCTTAGGCCGGGTGCAGTGGCTAATGCCTATAAGCCACTAAGGCTAAGAAATATCCCAATTTCTTAACTCCACAGTATTTTTAGATTTTTAAAAATTAAGAAATATCCCAATTTCTTAACTCCACACTATCCTTAAAATAACATAGAAAGTTTAAAAATAAAGGGGTAGGCAAAGAAATATATCAAGCAAATGCATACTAGCAGAAATCAAGATAACATCAATATCAGAAAACATAAATTTAGAATCATTAAATGGGAAAGAAATGTTACATCATTTTGGTAAGATTTAGATTGGTAATGAAAAAAAGTTGATAAAATTTATGCACAGGATAACTTTTAAATGTTTAAGTCAAAATATAGCAAAAAAAAGTTTTAATACAGAGACATTATTATTGTTTAACATTGTGTGGAAGTCCTGCCCAGTAATGAAACAAACATTGGAGAGAAAGACACAAAATTATGATTATTTGCAGAGAATATCATTACATACCTAGAGAAAAAAAATGAGTAAATCAAGAGGAAAACCATTAGAGAATGCTCAGAAACTGGCTAGCTACAAAATAAATATTTTTAAATCATTTGCCTGTATAGTGGTAATAACAAGTCTAAAAACATAACGCAAAAATTATCATCCATTACGGAAAAACAAAAGACTGAAATACCTGGAAATAGCCTTATTAAAATATGAGAGAGACGTATATAGAGAGAACTATGAAATAATGAATTACTTTAAATAACTTGAATAAATGGTCAGAAATACAATGTTCACAGAAGGCAAGATTACATGCACAAAAAAGAAAACAATTATTTTCTCTTTTTTTTCTTTTTTAGAGACAAGGTCTTGCTATGTTGCCAAGGCTGGCATGCAGTGGCTATTCACTTCACAATCACAGCCCATTACAGCCTAGATCTTCTGGTGTCAAGCAATCCTCCTGCCTCAGCCTCCTGAGTAGCTGGGACTACAGGCACACTCCACCATGCCAAGCTTCTAATTTGTTTCTGTGTCTAATGCAATACCAAACAAATTCTTATTGGTAAGGTTTAATGCGGTAATGTAGCAAATTTCTAAAACTCTTCTGAGAAGATTTAAATCATCAGAGACCTGTCCTCAGGGAGTGAAACAGTTTAAAGTTGGCATTTTTAAAAAATAATGAGATGTGAGAATAGAAAACTCAATGAACAAATTAAATAACTCAGAATATACCATGGGTATATACGAAGAATCTAAAATATAGTAAAAGTAAACTGTCATCACAAAATGGTATAATGAGGAATTATTTAGTGAATAGATTTGGGTTTCTTTATTGGTTAACTATTTGGAAGAGAGAGAAAATCAAAGTATAGCTGTCCATTACATCATGCATTCAAAAGAACTTCAGCTAGATTACAGAAGTGAGAGAAAAATCCTAAACTGGCAGACAGGAAGCTGAGGACCAGCCCATTTCACGCCATCAATTCTCCAAAGGCTAAGGCCCTAGCAGCACCAGGTTCTGCAGAGCAGGAGCTGAGAATACAGGGGGAAGAGGGAGATTTAGAGGGCCAGTGTGAAAGTTGTTTGAGCAACAACTCAATCCCCAACTTTTCTTCCCAGCACTCCACTGCTAGGCAAATGCTCCTCCCAATTCTACCAGAAAATTGGCAGTTTATCTCTGAAGAGGGTAAAACAGAGGGCCTTTGGATTGGGGTCTACCAGCATGGGTGAGGGTGTGGGACCACCAAAAACAGAAGGATCAAGTGGTCATATAGATTCTGAATGCCAAGGATGATCCCACCCTCAGGCCCCTTTACTCCTCAGTTTCCATAACTCTAACAAGACCTTTTCCTTCTGGCAAGAGGTTGAAGAATCTGATCATCCCTAAAGGAAGGAAAAGCCTAAATATATTTAGAGGGGGCTCCCCACAAATGGCCCACCCAGATCACCCCATAGTGAAGGTCAGAATCCCCAAATTTCCCCACACACACTGAATCCCCAAATTTCCCCACATCAGCTTTTATTTTAATCTTGAGCAGACCCCTGAGAAAATCGAACATGAAGACAGATACAAAAATAAACAAACAGAAAAGGGCATTAGGAGGCCAGGTGCAGTGGCTCATGCCTATAATCCCAGTACTTTGGGAGGCTGAGGCAGGTGGACCACCTCAGGTCAGGAGTTCAAGACCAGCCTGGCCAACATGGTGAGACCCCATCTCCACTAAAAATACAAAAATTAGCCAGCCTGGGTGGTGTGCACCTGTAATCCCAGCTACTCGGGAGGCTGAGGCAAGAGAATGCTTGAGCCTGGGAGGCAGAGGTGTAGTGAGCCAAGATTGTGCCACTGCACTCCAGCCTGGCCAACAAAGTGAGACACTGTCTCAAAAAAGAAAAAAGAAAAGAAGAGAAGAGGAAAGGAAAGGTATTGGAGGAACCAACCCCCAATATTTCAACATAGCTTCTTTTCTATTTTCCCTAAGTGTCGGCCGGTCTGAGAAATAAAGAGAAATAGTACAAAAGAGAGAAATTTTACAGCTGGGCCTCCGGGGGTGACATCACCTATTGGTAAGTTCTGTAATGCCCCTTGAGCTGCAAAACCAGCAAGTTTTTATAAGGGATTTCAAAAGGGGAGAGGGGTACAAACAGGGAGTAAGTCATAAAGATCGCATGCTTGAAAGGGCAATAAAAGATCACAGGGGCAGAGAGGCAGAGCAAGATCACAAGTCTAGGGTGAAATTAGAATTACTGATGAGGTTCCATGTCCTGCTAGGCACGCATTGTCATTGATAAACATCTTAACAGGAAACAGAGTTCGAAAGCAGACAACCGTTCTGACTAGAATTCACCAGGCTGGAATTTCCTAATCCTAGCAAGCCTGAGGGCACTGCAGGAGACCAGGGCGTATTTCATCCCTTATCTTCAACCTCATAAGACACACTCCCAGAGTGGCCATTTATAGACCTCCCCCTGGGAATGCATTCCTTTCCCAGAGTTATTCCTTGCTGGGAAAAGAATTCAGTGATATTTCTCCTATTCACTTTCTGCAAGAAGAGAAATATGACTCTATTCTGCCCGGCCCCACAGACAGTCAGACCTTATGGTTATCTCCCTTGTTCCCTGAAAATCGCTGTTATCCCGCTCTTTTTTAGGATGCCCAGATTTCATATTGTTCAAACACACATGTTTTACAAACAATTTGTACAAATAACGCAATCATCACAGGGTCCTGAGGCAACATACATCCTCAGCTTACGAAGATGACGGGATTAAGAGATTAAAGTAAAGACAAGCATAGGAAATTATAAAAGTATTAATTTGGGGAACTAATAAACGTCCATGAAATCTTCACGATTTATGTTCTTCTGCCGTGGCTTCAGCCATTCCCTCCGTTCGGGGTCCCTGACTTCCCACAACATCCTGACTTCCCACAACAGAAAGGAAAGGAGGGGAGGGGAGGGGAGAGAGGAGGGAAAAGGAAAGGGGAAGGGGAAGGGAAAGGGAAAGGGAAGGGCATTAGGAGGAAATAGAAAGTATGCAAGAAAAAAAAGCCTCAAAAATATAATTAATATCCTCAGATAGAGAAGATCCTTGAAATCAAAATAGGATACTACTTTAAAAAGGGAAATATCAAAAATAAAAAAAGATTATCTTGGAAATTAAAAACATCATAACTGAAATGAAACAGTCAATAGAATCCTGGAAGAGAAAGTTGAAAACATCTTCCAAAAAGTAGAGCAGAAAGATTAAAATATGGGAGAAAAGATCAGGGGTCCTATCCAGGACGAACTACTGTATATCAGAATAGAAAGTGAGTAATGGAGTAAAACAGTGAGTAATGGAGGAGAGGAAATCAGTAACTAAACACATGAAAGAAAATCCCCAGAACTGAAGAATATGAGTTGCCAGAGAAAGACTCATCAACTGTCTAAATGAAGCACTCACACCAAGCCACATCTTAGTGAAATTTCAGAATACTGAAGGCAAACAGAAAATTCTACAGGCTTCTTTGGAGAAAAACAGATCAGGTACAAAGGGCCAGGAATCAGAATACCTTCAGAATTCTCAACAATGACCCTAGAACCTAGAACAGAGTGGAAAAATGTACTCAAAATTCCAAAGGAAAATTATTTCCAAGATAAAACTCCAAACACATCATGAAACTATATGACTAAGGGAGAAAAAAGACATTTTCAGATAAGCAAGATCTCAAATAATTTGCCTCCCATGCAACCTTTCTTGTGAAACTACTTGAGGATGTGCTCCATCAAAACAAGATAGTAAACCAAGACATAGGAAGATATGAAGTACAGGAAACAGAGTCAACACAGGAAGGAGAATAAGGAATTTCCCTCCAGGATGGCAAAGGAGATCCCAGGGTGATAGCTGCACCAGGAGTTGAGAGTACCCAGTCTAGATTGGAGCTGTGTGATTCAAGAGACAGACATGTTAAAGGATGTTTGAGCAATACCCCTGAAGCCATGGAATGGTTTTGTGAATCTGAGGACAGAATGGCCAGGTAAGCCTATCCAAGGTTCTTACCTGTCCTTAGCTTCCCTTGGTTATAAGCTGATGAATTTCCTCTTATCTTCTCCTTGCCCCACTGCCTGGATTAAAGGCACTCATTTCCCCTTCAACCACCAAAATATCTGTGTGGACTTACCTTTGAAAACCAGAAATTAAGTAAGGTATGTTCAGAAACGGAAAATGCAGAGCACCCTGCTCACTTTGACCCCATTTCGGGTGGAAATTAAGAACCTGCATTTTCAGTTAAGGTAGGCTAAAGGGCTGAAGGACAGACCCAGACAGAAGTTTCTCACCCACATAATAGTTCAAGTGAGGTGTTCCTAGTGGGCATGTCTCCTCCATGTGGGGATTCCAGAACTCAGTCTCCTTTTCATCTCACAGATGTAGGGGAGCTGGGAAAGGAGGTCCCTGGAAGAGCAGATGCATCCCAAATAGAACTTTACACTGGATTCTGGGTGAAGCCGGCCAGGTCTTCTTCACTGGCCCTGCCCCATAGCCCTCAGTGTTCCCCCAAGTCTTCCTCATTATCTCCCCAGAAAGTGCTCTTGTAAAATCTCAGAAAAGCTGAAGCCAGACTATGAGCAAGATAAAGGAAGCAGCTCAGCTCCTGGGAGCCTCGTCTAACAGTGGGAACCTTGCCGTCTCCTAACCAGCTGGGTTTGTGTTTGCCCATTTGGTTCTTCAAAACTAAGCAACATATCATTTTTTTTTACAAAGAATTTATTAAATTAATAAATACTAAAACCTCAGTGAGAATAAATGGGTAAACGGCAGAAGTAGACAATTCATTGAAAAAAGAGATACAAGGCCAGGCACAGTGGCTCATGCCTGTAATCCCAGCACTTTGAGAGGCCAAGACAGGTGGATCATCTGAGGTCAGGAGTTCGAGAGTAGCCAAAAATTAGCTGGGCATGGTGGTGCGTGCCTGTAGTCATGGCTACTTGGGAGACTGAGGCAGGAACACCACTTGAACTGGGAGGCAAAGGAGCAACATATCATTTAAGGATGGAAACACAGGTGTGATACAGCTATAAAGAAAAGCAAGGAAAAGTTGGACACAAAAGTCAGGATAGTGGTTCCTCCTAGAGGAAAAAGAGGGAGAAAAAAGGGGCACCAGGGCTTCAAGGTTCTGGCAAGGTTTCACTTCCCAACCCGCATGCTGTGCTGTCTGGTGTTTGGGTTTGTTGTTTTTCCAATTTTTAAATCCCTTGTATATTTCAGTCATTTTTTGCATATATGAAATACTTTAAAATTAGAAGTTTTTAAAGCTGGGGAAGAAACCACAGAGAAAAAGAACAATAGATTTAGCTACACAAAACTGTAAATCGTCTGTATGTTAAACATTAAATAGAAAGGCTAACAACAAATTGAAAAAATATTTGCCACAAATGCTGCAAGTGATTAATATCCAGGGTATGAACTATGAACCTGAATACTAAACACAATCCCATCTCGCAGCCTTTGTTGTTTCTCCTTGCTCTTCCCTCGGCCAGGTACATTCTTCCACTGACAGCCTGATGAACAACTGTCTCCCTTCATTTGTGCAAATGTCACCTTCTCAGGGAGCTACTTCTGACTGGCCACCCTGGCACTCCCTTTCCAAATTCCCAAATTTATTTTTCTCTGTGACATTCATGTCCTTCTCATATCTATTTAATTTATTTATTCTGTTTTTGTCTATCTCTCTCCACCAGAATGAGAGCTCCATGCGGGCAGAAATTTTTGTCTGCTTTGTTCAATGCTGTGTCCCTAGTGCCTAGAACAGTATCTGGCACATGGTAGGTGCTCAATGAATATTTGTTGAATGAATAAATGAATATGAAAAGTCCACGATAATTGATAACACAAGCATTAAGAACACCTGCTGAAAGAACAAAAGATACAAATAAACAGTTTATGTAACATAAGGCATAAAAATGTCTTAGAAGCACATGGATAAATATTATCACTAATAAACAAATTCATATGTAACAATCTTTTTTTTTAGCTTCAATGTAACAATCTTTTGTCTATCAAATTAGTAAAACTTGTTTTTTAACTGTAGTAAACAGCATTGGCAAGAATATGCTAAACTGAGCAATTACTCACTGCTAATAAGTATAAATGAGTACAACATTCTGAAAAGCAATTTTATAACTTAATTCAAGAGCCTTAAAAGTGTTCATGCTTTCTGGCCCAGTAATTACACGTCTAGAAAGTTATCATAACAAAATAATTTAAAACATATAAAGAGAGAGACAAAACTGTGAATAAAACTTCCATAGCATTTGAAATAAGACATTGAAAAAAACAGAAAACTAATATGTAAAATTCCAGTAAGAGGAATGGACAATTTTTACTTTTTCTTTATAATTTCTTTTTTTGTTTGTTTGTTTGTTTGTTTTTTATTTCTTTTTTTTTTATACTTTAAGTTTTAGGGTACATGTGCACATTGTGCAGGTTAGTTACATATGTATACATGTGCCATGCTGGTGCGCTGCACCCACTAACTCGTCATCTAGCCTTAGGTATATCTCCCAAAGCTATCCCTCCCCCCTCCCCCCCACCCCACAACAGTCCCCAGAGTGTGATGTTCCCCTTCCTGTGTCCATGTGATCTCATTGTTCAATTCCCACCTATGAGTGAGAATATGTGGTGTTTGGTTTTTTGTTCTTGTGATAGTTTACTGAGAATGATGATTTCCAATTTCATCCATGTCCCTACAAAGGACATGAACTCATCATTTTTTATGGCTGCATAGTATTCCATGGTGTATATGTGCCACATTTTCTTAATCCAGTCTATCATTGTTGGACATTTGGGTTGGTTCCAAGACTTTGCTATTGTGAATAGTGCCACAATAAACATACATGTGCATGTGTCTTTATAGCAGCACGATTTATAGTCCTTTGGGTATATACCCAGTAATGGGATGGCTGGGTCAAATGGTATTTCTAGTTGTAGATCCCTGAGGAATCGCCACACTGACTTCCACAATGGTTGAACTAGTTTACAGTCCCACCAACAGTGTAAAAGTGTTCCTATTTCTCCACATCCTCTCACAAAATCATTGTGGTTTTGATTTGCATTTCTCTGATGGCCAGTGATGATGAGCATTTTTTCATGTGTTTTTTGGCTGCATAAATGTCTTCTTTTGAGAAGTGTCTGTTCATGTCCTTTGCCCACTTTTTGATGGGGTTGTTTGTTTTTTTCTTGTAAATTTGTTTAAGTTCATTGTAGATTCTGGATATTAGCCCTTTGTCAGATGAGTAGGTTGCGAAAATTTTCTCCCATTTTGTAGGTTGCCTGTTCACTCTGATGGTAGTTTCTTTTGCTGTACAGAAGCTCTTTAGTTTAATTAGATCCCATTTGTCAGTTTTGGCTTTTGTTGCCATTGCTTTTAGTGTTTTAGACATGAAGTCCTTGCCCATGCCTATGTCCTGAATGGTATTGCCTAGGTTTTCTTCTAGGGTTTTTATGGTTTTATGTCTAACGTTTAAGTCTTTAATCCATCTTGAATTGATATTTGTATAAGGTGTAAGGAAGGGATCCAGTTTCAGCTTTCTACATATGGCTAGCCAGTTTTCCCAGCACCATTTATTAAATAGGGAATCCTTTCCCCATTGCTTGTTTTTCTCAGGTTTGTCAAAGATCAGATAGTTGTAGATATGCAGCGTTATTTCTGAGGGCTCTGTTCTGTTCCATTGATCTATATCTCTGTTTTGGTACCAGTACCATGCTGTTTTGGTTACTGTAGCCTTGTAGTATAGTTTGAAGTCAGGTAGTGTGATGCCTCCAGCTTTGTTCTTTTGGCTTAGGATTGACTTGGCGATGCGGGCTCTTTTTTGGTTCCATATGAACTTTAAAATAGTTTTTTCCAATTCTGTGAAGAAAGGCATTGGTAGCTTGATGGGGATGGCATTGAATCTGTAAATTACCTTGGGCAGTATGGCCATTTTCACGATATTGATTCTTCCTACCCATGAGCATGGAATGTTATTCCATTTGTTTGTATCCTCTTTGATTTCCTTGAGCAGTGGTTTGTAGTTCTCCTTGAAGAGGTCCTTCATGTCCCTTGTAAGTTGGATTCCTAGGTATTTTATTCTCTTTGAAGCAATTGTGAATGGGAGTTCACTCATGATTTGGCTCTCTGTTTGTCTGTTGTTGGTGTATAAGAATGCTTGTGATTTTTGTACATTGATTTTGTATCCTGAGACTTTGCTGAATTTGCTTATCAGCTTAAGGAGATTTTGGGCTGAGACAATGGGGTTTTCTAGATATACAATCATGTCGTCTGCAAACAGGGACAATTTGACTTCCTCTTTTCCTAATTGAATACCCTTTATTTCCTTCTCCTGCCTAATTGCCCTGGCCAGAACTTCCAACACTATGTTGAATAGGAGTGGTGAGAGAGGGCATCCCTGTCTTGTGCCAGTTTTCAAATGGAATGCTTCCAGTTTTTGCCCATTCAATAATTTCTTATTTTATATGATCATCTATTTATTTTAAAATGGGGAGTGCTGTTCATGATCCGAAAATTGGCAGCTTTAAAAATTATTGCTGGTGCGGTGGCTCACACCTGTAATCCCAGCACTTTGGGAGGCCAAGGTGGGTGGATCACCTGAGGGCAAGAGTTTGAGACCAGCCTGGCCAACACAGTGAAACCCCATCTCTACTAAAAATCCAAAAAAGTAGCCAGGTATGGTTGACGGGCACCTGTAACTCCAGCTACTGGGGAGGCTGAGTCAGGAGAATCATTTGAACCCCAGAGGTGGAGGTTGCAGTGAGCCAAAATCCTGCCATTACACTCTAGCCTGGACAACAAAAGCATAACTCCATCTGAAATAAATAAATAAATAAGAATTATTGTTTGGTTATTTTGATAAGTTATTTTCAGTTATTTTCTTTTTTTTTTCTTTTTCTTTTTTTTTTTTTTTGAGACACAGTCTCGCTCTGTCGCCCAGGCTGGAGTGCAGTGGTGCCATCTCAGCTCACTACAAGCTCCACCTCCCAGATTCACACCATTCTCCTGCCTCAGCCTCCCGAGTAACTGGGACTACAGGCGCCCACCACCACGCCTGGCTAATTTTTTGTATTTTTTAGTAGAGATGGGTTTCACCATGTTAGCCAGGATGGTCTCGATCTCCTGACCTCGTGATCCACCCGCCCCAGCCTCCCAAAATGCTGGGATTACAGGCGTGAGCCACCACTCCCGGCCAAGTTATTTTCATTCTTAAATAAGTTATTTTCATTTTCATTCCAATGAATGGAAAAAATGAGATTATTTAAAAATGGCTCCAAGACAGAATCAACATCTGAAACCTAAAACCTCAGTCCAAATAACAAAGAGGAAACAAAAACAGGCCACCATGTCTATAGGCTATTGCATCCCCTGGTGGCAGCATACTCAAATAGACAAACGGTAAAGTGAAAACCTAGTCAAACTGGAAGAAAACTATAAAATCTAGCAAATACTTTAAAAACAAAGCTTCATCTTCAGATATCAGGAAAAAGATCTCATACACACAAAGCAATGCTAAAACATATGCTTTCATCTTTTTATGTTGTCAACATCAGCACCCTAGGATTAAAGACCTGGAGCCACATATACTGTGTTCTATGTCACTATTAAGTAACCATTCATGTTGAAGGACTCAACAAGTCTACTTAGAGACATAAATTTTCCAAATGGATTATTGATCAAATGAAATCACGACTGTCCCATCTCCATCATTTCCTGAGCCTTGGGGTGTCTCAAGTGACAAATAAATCCAACAGGATCAAAAAAAAATTATGGTGGCATGGCAGAGGTGGGGACACAGGAGGAAATTGGGTTCAGAAGCTTTTAAATATCAAAATACCATGAACTGAAATGCTCGGATAGTAATAGTAATTTTCTACCTCTCAAATTGGGAAAGATTTTAAAATATCATTACTTACACCCACTCTAATCAAGCTCTCACCCTGTCATTACCTCAAAACAGCTCCCACTAGCATCACTAATGACTATCATATTGCCAAATTCTATGGTCATTTCTCAGTCCTCACCTTACTCTTCTCTCAGCAATGTTTGAAACCCACGAGCTCACCTTCCTTCTTTCTCTTATTTCCCCAGCTCTTATTCTATGGCTGACCTTTCTGCCAGCAAGTTTTCCTTGTGTTTAAAAGCACTACGATTGAAGCATAAATGACAAATGGAAAGATGAAATACAGAAGCCCCACACTTACAAGCCCTTCCATATGCCAGGCATGTTCCTTAGGTTATCATATTTAGCCCTCATGGCCTCCCTCCCTTTGTCTGCAACATCAAGAAATTCATACAATGTTCTCACATATTTGTGGGACCTAAAAATTAAAACAATGGAACTTATGGACATAAAGAGCAAATGGTTACCAGAGGCTGGGAAGGGAAGTAGAGTGGGATGGGGGGAGGTGGGGATGGTTAGTGGGTACCAAAAAACCAAAAAGGACAAATAAGACCTACTATTTGATAGCATAACAGACAATGGACAATAATAACTTAACTGTACATTTTCAAATAACTATAAGAGTATAATTCAAGTGTTTATAACACAAAGGATAAATGCTTGAAGGGTTGGATACCCCATTCTCCATAATGTGATTATTATATATTGCATGCCTGTATCAAAACATCTCATATACCCCATAAATATATGCACCTACTATGTATCCATAAAAGTTAAAAATACAATTTTAATAAAATTTTTTAATAAATAAATTTTGAAACAAAAAAATGGAAAAAAGAAATGCATACCTTTGATGGATTCCTGAGTCATGGACCTCACCAACTTTCCTCTCCGCCTTCTTCTTCAGGTTGCATGGTTGGAAGGCCATGTCTGCAGGCTTCTTCCAGGCTACCAGCCAGAAAGTCTGAACTAATTTCCTGGAGGGAAAACAAAGGCCCCACCTTGAACAAATCCCAAGGCCAAGGGAAATCCTTGCTTCCCACATTTCTACAGCTGCCCCACCTCCAAGTGTGGCTCATACCCCCACCTGTGAACCCAGTACACCCGGCTGGATTTCACGGTGGGAGGATGGCCTTTTTCCCTGAGTATCAATGTTTTGGGCTCTGAAAGATTCTCAAAGTGTCCACCAAGAAGCCCTGTCTTATAGACCTACTGCAGGCCTGCTCTGGATAAACTTGTGAATGAGATGAAATCCAGCTTCTTTTGGCCCATTCAGTGATCCTTTTCCCCAGCATTTTGTCAACTGGCTGTTGACTGCAGTTTACCTTGCTAACTGAGACCATATTTCCAAAGGGAAAGTACATTAAGACATGAGGGATCTGTGGAGCTTGGGTACAGTGGCTTATGCTTGTAATCCCAGCACTTTGGGAGGCCAAGGCAGGAGGATCGCTTGAGGCCAGAAGTTTGAGACCAGCCTAGGCAATATAGGGAGACCCCATCTCTACAAAAAATAAAAAATTAGCTGGCACACAACTGTAGTCCCAGCTACTCTGGAGGCTGAGGCAGGAGTATAGCTTGAGGCCAGAAGTTTGAGACTAGCCTAGGCAACATAGGGAGACCCCATCTCTACAAAAAATAAAAAATTAGCTGGCACACAACTGTAGTCCCAGCTACTCTGGAGGCTGAGGCAGGAGTATAGCTTGAGCCCAGGAGTTTGAGACTACAGTGAGCTATGATCACATCACTGCACTCCAGCCTGGGTGACAGAGTGACCCTGTCTCATGAAAAAAATAAAAGGGGTCTGTGGGCCACACTGGGAGAGGAGAACTTGAGACGAAGATGTATAAACTTCAAAGTTTGAAACTTTCAGGATAGATTCAGTGATTTGGGGTGCAATGGAAAGAATATTTAAAATTCAAACTGGTTTACGCAATTGTAAGACAAACGGGGGCTCTTCCTTCATTTCAAAAGCATCCCTTTATTTACTTCTGCTCATCAAATCTAGCTTTCTATTCTCTCTGTATCTTTTCCTCAGCTGCCTTGCAGGAGGGTTTCTGATCATACTATGACATGAATGGTGTACATTAAATGTATCATCACTGCTCACACATTTTCATTTCCAGAGTGAAATGAAAGAATTACTAAGAAATATTAGAATTACTCTTATGGTGGGACATGCATCAGCAGCAGGTGAATTAGAAAAGCAAAGAAGCCTTTTCTAAATCACTAAAAACTTGAGGCAGCCAAGCATATGGTGAGTACATAAACTTCATTTTCGAGTGTTTCAGAACTGATCAAAATCTGGTGTTAGCTTTAGTAATTTCGTGACTTTAGGCAAATTATATGATGTCTCTGCACCTCTATTTTACATCATAAAAATAAAGATAGCAGTAGGGAAAAAAAGTAAGTTTATTTTGAGAATTAATTGAGGTAACATGATAGTGCCAGGGTGTACAAAATGCTCAATAAATGTGGCTTGTTACCGTGTTTTTTTATTGTATCAGCTGGGTAACTGGCTATACTATGTATAAAGTGACCAATGGGGAATTGTGACTTGCCACTAGTGTGGTGGTGAAGTATGAACAGGAAGAAGGTGACCCAACTGAGAGAGAGCTAAGATAACATCTGCTGCCTCACATTTGAATTTGCTGCCGGGGTAGGTTTCCTTTTCTGCTGCAAAGGCCCCTCTACCCTTCTGCATGGATTTGCATCCCATTTGGAGGTCAGCCTGCACCATAGTTGCTGCCTTCTAGTTGGCCCTAATCAAACACCAGCACAAGGAACTGAAAAATTCAATGTAATAATGTTTTTTGCTGATTTGATGAGTTTTCTCATTATTTCAAGTATTCATTGGGTGCTAAATCTGTGCATGTTTTATATTAGGCACTTATGGCAGTAAAAAAGAAACAAGGCCATCTCTCTAGGGTAGATAATGCCTACCATTCCTTCTCCTCCTCTTCTTTCCCTTCTTCCCCCTTCTCTCCTCCTTCTTTTTCTCTTTCTCCTCCTTATTCCAGCCTGCTTGTTTTAGATAAAAGTTCTTCAAAAAAGACAAAAGATACAGCTTCTCCAGAAGTAGGGGTGCATAAATAGGTCCATTTTACAGCTTTCCAAAGCCTTGGGCACTCTTTTGAAGGCCCATGCACATTAGACTAATCATAAAAATGCATTCACATCCAACAATTAGCATTACTCATAAATAATTATTTGAATTGAAAAAAATTACAGTTGACTAACATGATATTTCATTCTGTAAAAGTATGTAGTTTAACTTCATTTTGATAATTGTTGGCTTACTTTGGCATTTTGAATCCAATTAGTTTCTTTTTCCAATCCTCAAGCATGTTTTGGGATCTGAAAAGCTTATAAACCCTGAACACTGTGCCCTAGGGCTTTAAGGACAGAACAGTTCTGGCTAAAGTTGGGTTTAAATCCTAGCTCTGTCTGTTATTTAACCCTGTGAGTTTGAATAAATTACTTAAGCTCTCTCAGCCTCAATCACCCAATCCATCACATGAACCCATTCAGACACACTTAGCAAGTGCCAAGCCCATTGCTTTTGAAACCACCTTTGCAAAAATTATAACTGAGGAAATTATGACAATGGAAGAGATCAGACCTAACCAACTCCATCTTGCTTCTAACCTTTAAGCTGTCCTTGTTCATTCCTGGGCATAGGCTGGACTAACCTTGGGAAGGAATTTAGTTTATGGTTTGACTCTGAAACAAAATTGATAATAGCCCTTTCCCAAAAAAGACCTCCTTCTTGCGTTGGGACCAGTCTGCCTTTCTAGGACTAACAAATTAGCTACCAGACTAGAAATTATGGTTTAAGGGTCATGCAGCCTCTGGCTTCAAGAATCTGAACCTCCCCAGATTGCTGCTGGGGATAACATCACTATTGTAAAACCTAAGATCAGTGCTTGAGATATTTTGCAGACCCTCACTGGATGGATCAGCTGACACCACCCAGACCAGTAATCTGGCTCAAACAGTTCTGTGTTCCCACCCAGGAACAGAGAACAGCAAGAAAACCTCACTTCAACCCCTTATGATTCCATCTCCAACCTGACCAATCAGCACTCCCCATTTCCCAAGCCCCTGCCCCCTACCCACCAAATTATCTTTAAAAACTCCGATCCCCAGCATGCTGGGGGAGACTGATTTGAGTAATAATAAAACTCCAGTCTCCTGCACAGCTGGCTGTATGTGAATTACTCCTTCCCCATTACAATTCCCCTGTCTTGATAAATCGGCTCTGTCTAGGCAGTGGGCAAGGTGAACCCATGGGGCAGTTACAGTTTCCATAGAGAAACAGCTCAACAAATATTTCTTTTTACTTTCTTATTCAGAGTCTACAATGTAGAGTTCCCAACCAAGTTACTCAGAGCTAAATAGATTGAGGTTGAAGTTCCAAGGCTTAATCACTAAAGATCTCAAGAGGACTGTGTGGAAGAAAAATTCTACAGGAATGACAGATTTTCTGAGAAATTCCTACTCTCACACTTCAAGCCTCAGGCTTTGCATTCTGTGACAATAACAGCCCAACATTATTGGAGAGCAATACATCCTCAAACATTAATGGAGAGCAGCCATCCTTGGGATCCCAGCCTCAGGCATTTTACTTTCTTGTGTCTTTGTAGGGGGTTCTATGAGGAAGCAGGAAGTGATAAGAGAAGCTTACAGGTGGACTCAGGCAGCAAGGACTGAAACCAAATGCAGGCATCTAGGAACACCAGTGGTGGTGCAGGGCGTGCAAAGAGGCAGAGAGCACTTGGCTGCACCAACTGAACCAGCTTTTCTTGGTTGTTCAAACACAAATGACAAAATGCAGTTTACTTTTTTCTCAGATGTTACAACTGTCATCCACAGAGCCATGGATCAAATGCAATATGGATCAATCACTTTATTTTTTTAATTATGTTGAGCATTTATTTTGGGTAGACCACCATAGTAGGGGCTATGGATGAATGATGTGATTCCTGTCCTCAGAGAGACTACAGAGGGGAAAGCGGGAGTAGGGATGGACAATAAGTGCAAAGAAAGGATTGTGGTCTCACAGCAGGTATATGTAGGCTAAATTAGTGAGACAGATTACAAATGTCAAGGATGTTCAGAAGAAAGGCACTTCACTGTTGGATGGAATGGTCAGAAAGAGCTTCATCCAGAAAAGGGAATTTGAGCTGTGCCTGGGAAACATTTCGGAGTAGCTGAAGAGAGAAGTTAGAAAAGGAATTGAAGGCTTAGGAAAAAACAGAGAAAGAGAGAGTACACAGGGACATGACACATGATTTTTCTGTTTCTTTAACTACAAAGACATATTTAAAATCCAGGTTCACAAGTTCAGAGTCTGTCACAAAAAGACCAAGTCAGAAAGTAGAGTATTAAGCACCCATAAGAGATGCCTAGAAACTTCAAGGGTGGTGGTTTATCTTCACATGTCCCCACGTCCTCAGACACCAACTCTCACCAGGTGAGGGCAGAGCTGACAAGGCTGGTTCTCAAAGCATGAAGCTCATTCTTGGTGATTAAGGGAAATCAATATATGTCTGTGGTTAAAAGTAAGCAGACTTAAAAGGCTCAGATCAAAGGTGACCTATACTTCACATGCCTCATGCCGGAACACCAACATAGGTTACTCTCATGAGTTCCTGAAAGGAGTAACAATGCACAGTGGTTTGCATGCACCCAGATGTGTGCCAAATATGGATAATGGTGGTGGTGATGATTATTATTATTATGATATGAAGATTCAGTCATAAACATTTACTGAAGACACCCGTGACATTGATCCTGTGTCAATTATTGGGAAGACAAAGGTAGAAAGGCTGACTCATTCACTTTTGCCTGCCCAGTGCCTTCCTGGAGCAGTAGGTCTTGGCTGACGCTTCCTGGGTAATTATGGAATCACAATCTTGGAAGAGTTTAAATGGTCTTCCAGTCCATTTCTTTAACAAAAGATACCAGATAAAAGAAAGTAATACTATGCATATGCAAAAATATTATCAAGCCTACTTTTAAGCACTTTAAATATAGAAATACTACAATCCAGTGTGATTCATTACCTCTCCCCTCAAAAAAACAAAAAGTCCTTCTTAATATCCAACTGAAATATTTCTGTCTTAAATTTGGATCATGTAGCTTTATACAAAAAAATTTTACAACTATTAGTTTGGGGGAGATGCAATGGGATATCAAAGAAGCCATAATAAACTTACTTTTTAATCAAGAAAAAAATGAACACACATAATTAATTCAGGAATAAAGCAGCATTGGTCATAATGGCATTACGTAAGGATGTAACACTATGTTCAAATTGTATTCAGTGAATTTCATATTGCAAAGTGGCACTGCCATTTTGGGAAAATCTGTGACAATGTGAATTAAGTAATAACTACAGAGACACCTTTGTAGGGAACAATTCTGAAGCAAGAAACTTAAGTAGGGATGAGGGGATGGGAGCCCATGAACAAATGGAGAAGTCATCTTTAACTAGGAGTAAAGTCAGGTCATCCAGAGTTAAAGGAGAGTAAATGGGCCCAGAAATGTGGTTAGATGTATAGCACTTCTAGATGTTCTCTTCTGGGTTGCTTTTATTTTCTGCATAAAATAAGAGGCAAGGCCAACTACTGAGTGTAAAGATGGTGGAAGTTTGAGGAGTATATTAATATTGGAGATTTGAGGAGTATATTAATCAAGTACATCTGGAAATGAGAGGCAATAAATTGATAACTGGCATGAAGAGATAAGAGAAAATATAAAATTGTTAGGAGAGTGAGAGAGCAAATGGATGTTTGGGTAACATTACGGACCCAGTTGAAGTTAGTGGTCACACATTTAAAGTGAGACCAGTCAGTGTGGTTGCATGTTTTTCTCCAGTTACATTCAGCAGTGCAGCTTTAAGCACTGAATAAGTGAAGACTGGAATTTAACTGGAGTTGGGATTTTGCCAGTTGACTATGGACCAAGTGAAAGCCGTAAAGGACTGAAAGCATGTGCAAAAAGAGTGCTTCAAAGAGGTAAAGGGCTGAAAATGTGCAAAAAGAGTGTTTGTAATGATTGGCCATGGGATGTATGCTGGGTTAGAAGGGAGATAAGAACTTGACAAAGGACAGTAAATTGATTATAGGGTTTAATAGAGATGTGTTTAAAAGATTGTAGGAGTTGAGGTACTTGACTCTGATATCTAGTCACCAATAACTGTTTATGTTTCCATTCTACTTGCACCTCATTAGTTTAATCTTCTCTAATCAATGTGTCTGACTCCAAACCAGGCTGGAGAATGATGAATTTTATGATGTGCAGAATAACCAGTGTGGGGTGTGGGGTAAGGTGGGAATAAGGAAAGATCAGTTAAGGTTTAATGAGGAAGCAGTCAAGAGGAAGTATCTACAATACAATAAAACACTTAACTAGAAGCTGATATTCCCCCTTTAATACTACCCTCCATATAATAGGTAGTTGCTGAACATGTCTGAGGAATGAAATTGGATGGATGAATCCAGTTGAGAAGATATGATTTTCCTGAGGGAGAGAGTAATGAGTATGGTAGTGGCAGTGAAAATGACTAGAAGAGATGGATTTGAGAAATATTAAGGATAAAATCAACAGGACTTGATGGAGTGGTTGGGAAGAAGCAAACAGGAGTGCAAAGAGGCAAGGATGGCTCCTAGATTCTGACTTGGCTAATGGGGGTGGATGGCAATGTCTTTCAATAAGATAAGGAGTGGAAGAAAGAAGAATAATAGGTTTGGGGCCAATGAGAGTAGTGGATTACCTTTGAGCATGTTCTAAGATATCTGTGGGACACCCAAATGGAGATGTCCAGTGGAAAAATGGAGAAATGAGCCTGAAACTCAGCAGAGGTCTGAGGATCTTAAGGTAGCAATGTCCGTTAGGCAAAAGCAGGTGGGATCCAAAGCATGGCATGGACCTGTTAGCAAGTATCACAAACCATGAGTTCCTTTGGTGTCTCCTTAAGGGAAATTACAGAGTGAAAGGATCTGACAGCCAAAGATTGAAACTTGCACAACTCTTGTGTCTAAGGATCAGAAAAGAAGAGAAGAGCCCACAAAACAAAGAGCAACCAAAGATGTACACAAATAAAAATTGGAGAGAAAAGTGAACAGAATAGAGAACTTCAAGAAGGAAGTGGTCATCTGAATGAAATGTCAAGAAATGTCAAATAAGTTGTGATCTGAAAGGCATCTGTTAGCTATGGTGAACCAAGGCATTGAGCTCTACAAGAAGAAGGTAGAAGCCTTCTTTGGAGTGGTAGAGACCAACATCAGATTAGAATATACTGAGGAGTTAACAGAAAAGTAGGAAGTGGGAGACACAAGAAAAGGCTCTTTTTTGAGTAGCTTGGCTAAGAAAAGGAAGGAGATAGAGTAATGGCCATGGGAACCTATGAGTTATTCATAGTTATTTTTAATTTTGTTGTTTTGAAAACTGAAAATTATTGAGCATGTTGATAGGGAGGAAATGATCAAAGTTTGAAGATATAGGAGAAAGTCCAGGACAGTGAGAGTCTTTGGGCAAAGGCATACGGGGATCAAAAGCAGAGAAAGGTGTCCACTTCTTACCCTGTTGGAAGGCACAAAGGATGGTTTAGAGGGAGGTATGTTTATGTCTGCCTCACTTATTGAAAAATACATCTGTACTTATGCCCTCCACTTTCTCATCAACTATTTCTATGCATTCTGGCTTCTTCTTTTTTTTTTTTTTTTTTTTTTTTGAGATGGAGTCTCACTCTGTCGCCCAGCTGGAGTGCAGTGGCATGATCTCCACTCGCTGCAATCTCCGCCTCCCGGGTTCAAGAGATTCTCCTGCCTCAGCATTCCGAGTAACTGGAACTACAGGCACATGCCACGACGCCCAGCTAATTTTTGTATTTTTAGTAGAGAAGGGGTTTCACCATGTTGGCCAGGATGGTCAATCTCCTGACCTCAAGTGATCCACCCACCTTGGCCTCCCAAAGTGCTGGGATTACAGGCGTGAGCCACCATGCCTGGCCTGCATTCTGGCTTCTAACTCTACTGTTTTGCTGAAACTGAACTTCCCAAAGTGTCAAATAACCTCCCAATTTCAAATTCAGTGGCATCTTCCCAGCTCTTCTAAACCTTTGTGCAGCATTTACCCAATTGAACCCTCTCTCTTTCCTAAAACTCTGTCTTACCTTAGTTTCTGTGATACTGTGACACTCTTTCTCACCTCCCTATTAATTTATTCGGTCTCTACATTGGTTTCACTTCTTTGTCTTGAACCCTAAATGTAGGTGAGCTCCCGAGATCTGTGGCTTCAGCTCTTATCTTTACAAATATAGCACTCAAATTTACTTTCAGTCTCTCTTATGTGGCTTCTGCTGTCCAGGACTTTGTGGTTCAGACCTCTGACTCAAGACATTTGTTAAAAATGGAGTAGATCAATCAGAATCACTGGGCATTGTGAACAGCACCAAATCAGTAGGAGAATGGGAGTTATCAGTGATGACTGAACAAAGTTTCTGATATATGACTATGATCAAGTGACTGTGGCATGAATATGAAAGGTAGTAAAACCCAGTGTCACCTGGGGTGGGTTCAGAACAAAGGTGAATGCCAATCCACTAGGAGATAAGAAAATGGCAAATGGTGGACTCAGCACTAAGGAAGGATAAAACTGGAAGCAGATTACTCATAAGGGACGCGTGCACAATACTGTATGTTCTGTGAAGAGAGGTTCGTCAATACAAGATCAAGACAAGGTGACAGAAAAAGACAGGCAGAAAATCAATTTTTGTGATAAAGGCATCATCTAAGATGGACTTGCAACTGGGATTGGCCACTTGTACCTGCAAGCCCCAAGCAGTCACACCTAAACAAAAGGACAGATCTCTTTGGTGTAATGCATGTTTAGATCACTATATTGTAACACGCAAATTAAAAGTACATTGAGATACCTTTACACATCCACTAGATTGACCAAAATTTAAAAACTGACAATACCAAGTTTTGGCAAGGATATGAGAGGAACTAGAACCCTCATACATTTCTGGCAGAAATGCAAAGTGATACAGTCTGTTAAAGTTTATGGGAGGCTGTTGTTTTAGACTAGGCTCCTGCAGTAGGCCCCAACAGACCAGTCCAAACCAGAATGGAGTCACATGTGCTAAGTTCCACGTAATTAAGCTGAACTTTGAAATGGGCCAGTTTTCCTTAAAAAAAAAAAAAAAAAAAAAGGAGATTCCAATCAACCTGAGTCAACAAAATAAGAAAGTCCCCTCTGTTTTAACCCTAGCAGGAAAATAACTTTGAAATGACCAATCCACTTTTCGTTCTCTGTTTCTATTCTCTTCAGCCCTTTTCTACCTATAAAGCTAATCCCCTCGCTCAGCTCATCATAGTACTCACTCTATTTCATAGAATGAGATGTTCCTCAATCTAGAATCACAAATAAAAGCCAACAAAAATTTTTAAATTACATGTGTTGTAATTTTGTCTTTTGATAAGTCACTTTGGAAAATAATTTGGCAATTAAATGTACCCTTACCATAAGCCCCAGTGATCCTACCCATAAGTATTTATCCAAGAGAAATTAAACATAAGTTAACACAAGACCTATATGTAAAATGTTAGCCATAACAGCCAAAAATTGTAAACGATCTACTGTGGTTTGAGTATGTTCCCCAAATTTAATGTGTTGGAAGCTTAATTCCCAAATTCGTATGTTGATTGGAGGCATCAAATCCTCCAAGTCTTTAAGAGGTAGCCTTAGAGAGGTAACTAGCATTAGATAAGATCATCAGGATGGGGCCCCCATGATGGTACTGGTGGCTTTATAAGAAGAGGACGAGAGACCTGAGTTGACAAGCCTGTTCTTGGCCTCTCGTCAAGTGTCCTCCTCCAGGTTATGATGCAGCAAGAAGGCCCTCACCAGATGCAGCCCCTCAACCCAGGACTTCCTAGCCTCCAAAAATTCAAGAAATACATTTCTTTTCTTTACAAATTACCTGGTCTGTGATATTCTGCTGTAGCAACAGAAAACAGACTAAGACAAGAAACTGTATACCAAGAGTCAAGTCGTTGCTATAACAATACCTGGAAAATGTAGACTTGGCTTTAGAACTAGATATTGGGCAAAGGCTGGAAGAATTTGGAGGAGCAGGCTAGAAAAAGCCTCAGTGGCCAAGAACAGAGCATTAAGGGCAATTCTGTAGGGACTCAGAGGACAAGAAGATGAGGGGAAGTCTGGAAGTTCTTAGAGATTATTTAGGTGATCATGACTAGTATTCTGATAGAAATATAAACAGTAAAGGCTCTTCTGATGATGTCTGAGATGAAAATGAGCAACAAGATATTGGAAACCAAAGTAAAGGCCATTCTTATTATAAACTGGAAAAGAATTTGGTTGGATTGTGTCCATGCCCAAGGGATTTTTGGAATACAGAACCTAACAGCAATGAATTAGAATACCTAGTGGAAGAAACATCTAACCATCAAAGCATTCAAGCTGCTGCATGACTACTTTTACAGCTCACATTAAGCTACAAGAGGGGAAAATGATTTAAAGATGGAATTTATCCTCAAAAGGGAAGCAAGGCAGAAAGTTTGGAAAACTCTTACCCTGACCCTGTAAAGAGTTAAAAAAAAAAAAAAAAAAAAAGTAGTTCAGGAGACAAAATCAAGGATATGACCCAGATATCATTTTCTAAGGAGATTAGCACAGATAGAAGGAATCACCAAGACAATGGAAGAAAGGCCCTGAAGATATTTCAGAGATCTTCAAGGCTTCCCCTTCCATCAAAAGCCCAGGGGCCTAGGAAGGCAGAATGGTTTCAAGGGACAGGCCCAGGGCACCCTACATGGGCTTACTGCCCAGAGCCCCCTTTGGTCTTTGCTCCAAGCATTACAGTGCAGGAATCCACAGCCTCCCTAGCCATGTCTCAAGCAGGCCCAAGTACAGCTCCTGCCATAGCTCTGAAGGGCACAAGTGATAAGCCTTAGTGGCATGAACATGGTGCTAATTCTGCACATGCCCAGAATGCAAGAGCTATGGAGGTATGGCAGCCTCTACCTGGATTTCAAAGAGTTTACACACAGCCTGGGGTCTCAGGCAGAAACTTGCCACAGGGATGAGGCTGCCACAAAGAGGCCCCTCTAGGATAATGCCTAGTGAAGCCATGGGTGTGGGACTGCCACTGAGACCCCAGAAATATAGGACCACCAGTGTGCAGTAACAGTCAGGGAGAGTTGCAGGTATGAGACTCTAGCATGAAAGGGCTGAAGTGTGAGCTGAGCCCAAGAAAGCTAAGGGAAGAGGACTTCTTGAGGTTTTTGGGGTTCATTCCCAACCCCAGTATGTCCAGGAGGCAACACATAGAGTAAAAGATTATTCTACAGTCTTGAGATTTAGTGTCTGCTCTTTTGGGGTTTCAGACTTGCTTGGGGCCCATTACCCGTTTTTTCCTGTCTGTCTCTCCCTTTTGGAATGGAAATATTTACTCATGCCTCTTCCACCATTATATTTCGGAAGTAGATAATGTGTTTGATTTCACAGGCTCACATCTGGAAGGGGTTTGCCTTGAATTTGAGATGACTTTGGACTTTGGGTTTGGACTTTTGACTTGGTGCTGGAACAGGTTATGAAATTTGGAACTATAGGGATAAAGTGAATGTACTTTGCATGTGAGAAGGACATAAGTTTTGGGGACTAGGTGTGAAATGCACATTGTACCCTATAAATACGTATAATTATGTGTTAATTTTTTTAAACTGAAATATTATACTGCCACAAAAATATGCTTCCAATATGGTTTTCATAACATGAGAAATGTTTAAATTAAGTGTCTGTAAAAGTTGTTTTATAAAATGAAGAAGAAGAAGAGAAACTTGAGCTGGTACACACTCTCGTCCTCTCCCCATGGGATGCCCCCACCACGTTATGATGCGACAAGGCCCTCACTAGATACAACCTCTCAACCTTAGACTTCCCAGCCTCTAGAACTGAAAGAAATAAATTTATTTTCTTTATAAATTACCCAGTCTGTGATGTTCTGTGATGGCAACAGAAAACAGACTAAGACAACCCAAATGCCCATTAACTAGTGTATGAATAAATCAATTTTAGTATATCCATACAATGGGGTATATTCAACAATGAAAAAGAACAAACCACTAGCACACAATGACATGAATGAATCTTAAAAGCATTATACTAAAGTGAAAGAGCTAATTACTAGAGAATACAATCTCAGACAACCTGCTGCCCAAATTTTAGCAAAAGCTCTGTTGTAAAAAAAAAAAAATTGTATTTATATTTGAACCATACATTCAGTCTGCCATTTCACTTATCAGTGATGAGCATACAATTTTGCCCAAGCACAAGTTCCAAAAAAGAAAAAGAAAAATATTTGTAGGCTACCATTTATTTTATAAATTTTATGTTTTCTTTCTATCGAAAGTTTAATATCTGCAACTGGCCTTAAGCATTCATTTAACATTTCTTTAACTGAGGATTTCAGATTATTTGCCAAAATTTCTTAAATGACACACAGAGTACATAGTACAGTATCTGGTTTCAACATTTTGCCGTTGAATAGATGTTGTTGTTGGGTAAATTATTCACATGTCTTCACTGTCCCACATAACTTAGACTTTATCTCTGTGTCACATCCAGTTGCTTCCCACAAGCCCCTGCCTCCCTCGCCTCGGTCCACCTTCTCTCTCAGCAAGCTCTGTGGTTAACCAAACTGTCTACAGCCCTCCTGATCAACTGATGGCTCACCATAGTGATGCTCACCACAATAATCTTATAACCCTGTTCTCAGTTCCAGACAGAAAAAAGGAAAAAAAGGTGCATATGCTTTCTTCACTGCAGCCAAGTAGAAATCCTCATCTTGAATAATAATATGGGTGAATTAAGCACAATCAGAGAGAAAACCACTCCAAAGCCATTCTCTTTGGTGACTCTTCTCCTTCCTTCTAAGACTCTTTGTCTACCCTCAGCATCAGCCTCAAGATGAGGGCTAAAGAAAAATTAAACAGGACAAACTTTTCTCCACTTCTGGAAAAAGCAAAATATCCCACAGTCATTCATAACTCGATCTGGAATACTCCTGAATTGTTACTGTAGTTGCAATTTTTCTAAATCTCTTCAAACACTGCTAGATCAACAAGTCTAAATAAGTTCTAAACAAAATAAGAAAGAACAGTTGAAAAAGGGAAAGAAGGAAGACGGGAGGGAGGGAGGGAGGGATGGAGGAAGGGAGGGAGGGAGGGAAGTCCTACAAGGAAATTGTTGTTCCACATACATGACATTTCTAAGCGTTCATTTTGGATTACTCCTTAAACGCCTTGAAATGGGCTTTGAGCATTTTACAACTAAGAGAACTAAGGTAAGACAGGTGTCCATACATGTGCTAAGTACTCAGATGTGACTTAAAGAATCGATTCTCTTAATCACTCATGTTTATGTAAGCAGCACATATTAGAAAATGGGTCCCAGTGCTTTGGGAGGCTGAGACAGGAGAATTGCTTGAGGCCAGGGGTTCAAGACCAACCTAAACAACAAAGCAAGATCCCCCCACCGTATCTAAAAAATATTTGTTTAAAAAATTAGCCAGGTGTGGTGACACACTTCTGTAACCCCAACTACTTGGGAGGCTTAAGTGGCAGAATCACTTGAGCTCAGGAGTTCAAAGTTACAGTGAGCTATGTTGCACCACTGCACTCCATCCTGGGTGACCAAATGAGCCCCTATCTCAAAAAAAAGAAAGAAAAAGAAAATTAAGTTGATCCATCTTAAGAATAATCATGACTCAGCTACACTATTCTTCCACTTTCTCATCTCTATTCAGATCAGTTTCAATTAAAGGACAAATTTTAGAGACATGTATTGTGTCTCAGCTTACAGAGTGATTTTTAATGGACAAATGCATGTGATTGACTGCATATTGTTTTTATTGCATGTAAACATAGCATGTCTAAACAATGTAAACATAAGACAGACAAATTATAAGGCTAAGGTAACTCCTGTTAAGGAGATATGTATTAAATTCATCAATATCTCTCAGCAACTCACAAAAAGGCTATGATTCCTGGGTGTTCTGTTGCTTGAGTATGTTTAGGAACATCTGCCCCAATAATCCCTATGTCTATTCTGCCAATTTTTTCATTCTCTTCCAGACCTTAACATCCACCCACAACCCCTCATCATTCTCTTCTTGCTCCCCAGAGCACCTTTCTGAGATGAAGGCCTCCAACGTGCATCTTTTCCTCAGTTACAACCCTTCTTTCTGCCTCAGAAGCACTCATCCCCACGTCTGCCCTCTCACCCTCTGCCACCTCCTTGAAACCATGCGTGATTCCCTTTAGCCTTGGTATCTTTCATCTCATTTTCTTCTTGGCATCTTTCATCTCCTCTTCTCTGTGGTACCCTACTGCTGTAAAAGAGATTTGTCCATCTAAGATGCCTAGAAGTTAAACATCCCAAGAACTCTTTATCCAGCACAAATGTGTACAACAATGTTTTGAGAAAAGTGACTCGAGGAATAATGCTCCTTGTCTTTGTTTAGCAACCTCTCCCACAACATCAAGCAGCAGCACACTTCAAAATGTGAGGACCAAGGGTGACCTGTCTGCCCCAATTCTTTTAGGCTATGCTGCTGTGAAAGGGTGCACAGGCTAAGTCTTCTCAGGCCTCAGGATACTCTTGAGAGCTACATCCTCAGTGCTCACATTGCCATGGTCACCTCATTGTGCAGATGAGGACAGCTGGGTCCTTTACCAAAACCAAAGAAAATACTTGTTTCTTTCGATGGCTGAGTCTCAGTGTTTTGTCGTAGAGCATCATTCCCAATCCTTATGGTAACTGCTACAGCCACGATTGCATCTCTCACAGTCAGATGCGATGACCAAGCAGTCAGAACCTGTCACTTCTACTTCCTCACCTCTCCTTGCCTCCTAAGCCTTTGTATTTTGCTTCTATGACAATAAAGCAATGAAACTTGATCTCTGCAAAATCATCTTCTAATCATTTTTTGAAGAACGTCTCCACTCTTGGTTTCCCCCACATTTCACTCTTCTGGTCATTTACTTCCATCTTGGTCTCCTCTGAGACCCCTTTTTCCTTCCCCCAAGAAAATATCCCCCAAGGAGTTGTCTTCAAATCAGCTTTAGCAAAATGACACATATTGGCCCAAGTGACTGGGAAGGGGAAGGGGCTACAGGACCTAAGGCCCAGGAACTAGAACTGAACTCTCCACCTACCAGGACTCTCACTGTCTACATCCATCTCTCATCTCTGCTTGCCTCTGCCTCTGAGTATTAGCCTCATCCCCTCCTACTGCAAAGAAACTTTGCTTATATGGTGGGGAATGTGCCCAGGTGCAGCGCAGCCATGAACTCCCAATGAAAAGAGAGCACTTTCTTCTCCCTTGTTGGCTGAGGCTCTAGGTAGTTCCAGTGTCTTGATGCTGTCACAGAAACCGGTGGCCTTAGTACAGAGTTCCTCCAACAAAAATGGTTACTGTATGCTGACATATCTCTGAGAAAATCCTAGGAAAGTTGAATAGGTGACAAAACCTTGCAAGGTGCCCACTAGACACTGGAAACAGCAATAACTCCTGATGGATGGGAGGGCTCAGCTCTTGCTAAATAATTTATCCTTCACACTCCCATGAGAATCTTATCCGAGGCTTTCCAGAACAGTAGTTTTCCAAACTGGCATTGCCTGTACACCTGGAAACTTGCAGAAAAACCAGAGGAATAAGTGAGAGAATAAATAATAAAAGAATCGTAACTTATGAAGACTTCCTTGTAGATACCAGTGATTATTTGGGGGGGTTTCTTGCCCAAGAGAAGCCACAGGTAAAGTTGTGAAGTTGAGAAAGATGTTATTTGGTGTCCTACCCTCTTCTTTCTGTCTCTCTTTTCCTCATCCTCTAGACACCCAGTGACTCCATGGTACCTTTCATCATCAAAATCAAGGACTATACATCCGAGGTCTCTCTAATTTTTTTCCCAAAAGAAAATTCCCTTTTATGGTGAAATAATCTCAGTTGGCAGTAAGGAAAAAGAACCTCATAAAACTAATTCACATTAACGTGTGCATGCCTAATATACCATCTTTCCCTGGTTTGTGTTTCTGAATCCCAGGTTATATAGACTGAATCACCAACTATCTCAAGGACTCCACAATTTCTATTTCTGGACTTTACCTTCAGCTTCTTCCTGTGAAACTGGATCAATATATCCAATTACCCATAGGCATCATATTTAACATCTAAACTCATTGTCTTCTCTACCTGAAAAATGCTTGTCTTTAAATAGTGTCATTTTGGTTTCCAGCAGAGGCATCCACCCATTGGCCCCATCAGACCCTGGAAAGTTTTCCCAAACTCCTCTGTTTCCTTAGCCTCTCACCACCCCCAACCCCAATCAGAGATGAACAGTTACCAAATCCTACTGATTCAATATTTCCCTATCCTCCAGACCCACTGACGTTTCAGGACTTCATTATTTCTTGCTTGAGTTTTAACAATAACATTCAACCATCATAGCATCTCCACACAACACCAACCTGATCAAATCTGATCCGATCTCACCCTGTTACCAGAGGGAGCTCCCTAAAACCCAAAATCGATCATTTCACTCCCTTGCCTAAAACCTTGAAATAGCTCTCCATTATTTGGAGAAGAAAATTCAAATTTCTTAAAGGCCTTAAATCCCTTCATATTTTGGTCCCCGTTTATCTCTTTGGTCACACGTTCTTCTGCCCCCCTGCCCCAGAAACTGTACTTCATGTTTCTGCTTTGCCAACGGTTCATATTTTCTGAGCATGGGATGCCATTCTGTGCCACCGTGCCCATGCACACACTGTGCTTTCCAGCCAAAAACCCTTCTGCTTCCCAGTCTTCCCAGTAAACTTCTATTCGTCCTTTATTTAATGTAATTATTTGTTACTTACTTATTTATTTATTTTGAAACAGAGTCTCGCTCGTCACCCAGGCTGGAGGGCAGTGGCATGATCTCAGCTCACTGCAATCTTCGCCTCCCGGTTTCAAGTGATTCTCATGCCTCGGCCTCCCGAGTAGCTGGGATTACAGGTGCCAGCCACCACAGTCAGCTAATTTTTGTATTTTTAGTAGAGATAGTGTTTCACCATGTTGGCCAGGCTGGTCTCAGATTCCCAGCCTCAAGTGATCCACCTGCCTTGGCCTCCCAAAGTGCTAGGATTACAGGTGTGAGGCACCACACCCAGCCCAATCATCCTTTAGTTGGAACACCAATGTCATCTTCTTTGGCAACCCATATAGGACCAACCCTCTATCGAAAAACAACTCAATGTCAGTTTCTTTCATCTTGACTCTGTACTTCATATCTATTTATATTGTTATATTTGTCACACCGTATTGGAATTGTTTTTGTAGACATGTTAAAAAAAAAAAGAAATTTCTATTTAAAACCACAACCAACTTAATTGCTTTTGCCCTCAGGGAGTGGCGTTATTTTTCCCCTGAGTAGAAATGTTTGCAAAATACTTGGAAAGGCAGTATTTGGTGCAAGGGATAAGGTCTCCAGGACCTGCATTAGCAGACAACAGAGAAACAAAAAGCTAAACCATACTGCAAATGGAAGGTGGTAAGCAGGAAGGGGGACAAGGTGAGAGCTGAGGAAAGATGGAGTCAGGGGCAGAACTACCAGGAAACAGGCAAGGAGCCCATGGAGAAGTGTTAGCCTCTGACGATTCCTCAATGCCAATGGTGGCCAAAGAATGTTTAAGAACAGGAATACCTACTATTAAGTGTGGAGTTAATTGCACCATAGTGCTGCTGAGTAGATCCCGCTGTCACTCTACATCCCTGGTGACATCTAGCGCACACGCAAATGCCGGGTGTGCTTTTCCCACAAGGCAAAGCGTCTAGGTCAGCTCAGAGCAGCGCCGTTTGCAGGAGGTGGGCCGCGAGTGCAGAAGATCAACACTGCAGCACCTTAGGAAGCCAGCGCCCTAAAGGAAGGCTAAGATTCCCTAAGGAATCCCCACAGGTATGGAGGGAAGGCCCACTGGGTGGTTTGAACCAATTATTGACTAAATTTCAATAGACATGATGACCCCAGCTGACAGGGGTTGAATTTGCTAACTTTTTTTCTGTCTCCCTTCTCAACCATGAGCATCATAACAGAAAGAATGGTGCCATATTGATCTTTCACTCCCCAGTGGGGAACATGGTGCTGCATGTTTAAAAAGAAGGTTTTCAGAGGATATCTAGAAAATGGAATCTACCTTACCGGGTTAATGTGTCAACCTTCTAGAAGTGCATATTTTTCAAAAAGCCCTCAAAAGTGATGTCTTAAAGAGAGTATTTCAGCAGCGCACAAAAATGTATTTTGGAGGCAGAGTCTCCTCCCAGTGCCTCATAAATTACATCACGTAGAAAAATGGTCTGTTTTGCTAAGCTTGAGTTGCAGCCATAGCTGACATTCCTGGAGCCATACAGGGATAGGAACAAAGAGCGGAGGCACTGGAAGTGGAGGAGGCAAGTTTTCCTAAAGACATGAAACAGCACACCCACAAAGACAAATGGTCACCCGCTCAACCCTACTGCCCTTTCATGTATCAAATTCAAGAAGTTTGGTGAAGACAACGGATTTCAAATAATCTTTATATTAAATA
Organism: Homo sapiens; assembly: GCF_000001405.40. Lineage (NCBI taxonomy): Eukaryota > Metazoa > Chordata > Mammalia > Primates > Hominidae > Homo > Homo sapiens. The sequence goes on from NC_000006.12 coordinate 52,227,447, forward strand.
TGATCGTCATGCAATGTTAACTTTTATGCATTTAACCTTGAACCACTACTAGTAAAATGAGGGTCATTTTGGAGGCTAGAAATGTAGGTCAGACATCTCAGTTTAAGTTTGTGGAAGGAGCACTCCACCAACACTGACTTCCTCCCCTTGGGGTTACTGTAAGAAGTTGTCTGTTTGGGTCAGATGGTGAGAAGCCAACTTTGGGCCCCATAGTGCTCTTCATTGTCTCCCACACAGGGCATGCAGCAGTCAAACCGAAACAGCATCCTTGCTGCTTGCTTTCAGAATCCACCACATGGGTGAGTCAGAGACATTTCCCACCCTGCATCTTCTGCTGTCATCAAACACATTGTTTAGCTGGGCTGGCCACTGGAGAAAGCAAATTTTCTGTAATAGACTAATTGAATTGAATTGGGGCCTAGACACAATGAACCTGAATTATGGCTTTGCAGAAGGAGACATTGACATAGAGATCACAAATGGGTAGATCATACCTAATAATTGCTAGAGTGAATGCTCTTCCAGCCTGGAAACAGAATGCTTAGGCTAATCAAATATCCAACTTGATGAAGAGTTACCCATGCAAGAAAGATTTTTCAAAGAAGAAGAAAGCACTCAGATACACGTAAGCATACTATTAGTTTTCTATTGCTACTTTAACAAATTACCACAAAGTTTTTGGCTTAAAACAGCACACATTTCTCTTACAGTTCACTGGGCCAAAATCAAAGTGTCAGCCAGACTTTTCACCTCTGGAGGCTCTAGGAGAGAATTATGGTTTGCCTTTTCCAGCTTCCAAAGCTGCAGTCTTTGCATTCCTTGGTTTGTAGTCCCTTCCTCCATCTTCGAAGCCACCTCTGTAGCACCCTGTTTCCATCCTCACATTGCCTTATGTCTCTGTAGTCAAATCTCCCCTGCCTCCCTCTCATGCAGAGTCCAGTGATTACATTCAGGGCCCACCCGCATAATTCAGAATAATCTCCCCATCTCAAAATCCTTGATTAATTACATCTGCAAAGTCTCTCTGGCCGTATAAGGGAATATTCCCAGGTTCCAAAGACTAGGACATAAATATCTTTGGTGAATGTTATTCAGCCTAGCACATCATGCAGGAAAGAATTTTTTTTTTTTTTTCTTTTGAGACGGAGTCTCGCTCTGTCGCCCAGGCTGGAGGGGCAGTGGCGTGATGATCTCAGCTCACTGCAAGCTCTGCCTCCTGGGTTCACGCCATTCTCCTGCCTCAGCCTCCCCAGTAGCTGGGACTACAGGCGCCTGCCACCACGCCTGGCTAACTTTTTGTATTTTTAGTAGAGACGGGGTTTCACCGTGTTAGCCGGGATGGTCTCGATCTCCTGATCTCATGATCCGCCCACCTCAGCCTCCCAAAGTGCTGAGATTACAGGCTTGAGCCACCATGCCCGGCCAAAAAATTTTCAAATAAGAAAATCAGATACACATGGGGCTGTAACACAACAGAACATTCCCTTGATTATGTAGAGAACAGTATCTAAGGTTGTCATTATGAATATCAATTCATCACCACATTCTAACATAAATTTATCACCATATTCTATTCTAACACAGCAATGCTTGTTAATACAGAGTGCTGATAAATAACTGAAACCAGAGGCTCAGCTCTATTTTACTTCAGAATAAATTATGAAATGTGGGCTTGTTTTTCATTCAGTATCTTGGGGCAAATAGCAGAATCTGAAAATCTGCATTTCCAGGAGGCAAGCATTTTCCTGCCTTGCATAAAATATGTCTTGAAGCTCCTTATTTTTTTCTGAAAAATGCATGTATGTGGGCCCCTTAATTATGCAGATGTAAACAGACACTTGAAAAGCCATGGTTCCCGGGGACTAAATTGCTCTTTGTAAAAGGTGATGTAAAAGGTCATATATACTGTAGGCAGAGTTGCATTTCTTCAGACTATGCCCTTTGTAGAAAAGTGTCTTTCTAACTAATGATATATACTGAGTTGTTGTGTACTGTTGCTGATTATTATATAGAGGTGTGTATTTTCATGCTTTTCATTTTAGTTGTTGAGATAGCCAAAATTGCAGCAAAGATATAAAGGCACAACTTTGAACTCTTGCTGGATGATAAAACAAAAAATAGAATTGGGTTAGATATAATCCAGCTTCCTTAGAAACAAATATCAAGCTAAGTGAACATTTAGAAAATGTAGGCCAGGTGTGGTGGCTCATGCCTGTAATCCCAACACTTTAGGAGGCCAAGCTAGGAAGAAGGTACAAGGCCAGGAGTTCAAGACCAGCCTAGGCCAAATAGTGAGATTTTGTCTCTACAAAAACAAATAATCAACCCATTGTGGTGGTGCACACCTGTAGTCCTATCTGTCCTATCTACTCAGGCTGAAGCAGGAAGATTGCTAGAGCCAAGGAGCTCAAGGCTGCTGTGAGCTGTGATTGGGCCACTGCATTCCAGCCTGGGCAATAGGGCAAGACTTTGTCTCTAAAACAAAAAGAAAGAAAAGAAAATGTAATAATATTGGGCTATGGCAGTCTAAAATAATTGTTCTTGGAACCTGATGTGATTACTAGTGCCATGTAATAAATCATCCCAAAATTATATTATGTAAAACCAAAGCCATTTTATTTTGATAACAAAAATTCAGGAAGAGTTCAGCTGGGCAATTCTCTTCAGATCTCGTGAGCAGGCAAGCATCATAGGCATGTAGTTTGTGTAGCAGTAGCACAGGGCCCTGCACTTAAAAGGGCCCCACAGTTGCTTTAATGTTCTGTTTGACAGTCTTAATTTTTGTAACAATAGGCCCCACACTTTAAGTTTTGCACTGGAATCCACAGATGATATAGCTCGACCTACTCATGATGTTGCATTCAGATATTGGCTGGAGTTTCATCGACTGAAGTCTCAGCTAGGCTGGATGTCCTTACTCTTCACATAGCTGGCAGTGGATACTGGCTATTGGCTGGGAGCTCCTGTGAGACTGCCAACCAGAGCACCTACAAGTGACCTTTCCTGGAGGGAAAATGTAGTTGGACTTCTTGCATCGCAGTTGGCTCCCCAAGAGTGAACATTTGAAGGGAATAAGATGGAAGCTGCATAGACTTTTATGACCTAGGCTTGGAAATCATGGAGCCTGACAGAGTTTACCAGGCCTCTATCTGCAGGTGGCTGAGTGGGGCAGGAATTGATGTCTAAAAACAGACAGTTGGTCAAAGTGGTGAACAATTTCAGGAAAAGTTTAGAGGAAATGAGGATGTTGCTTAAAGCTTCCCAGAAAACCCTGGGGACAAGGGCTTGGTAAAGGACTGGACTTCCCATAGGCAAGCAAGATGAGGGCCATTATAATTTGAGATATTGATGGAAGCTGGCCAACCCAAGGATCTATTGGTTAGCTTTCTAATGAGCTTTCCACAAAGCTTAAAATGTCGTAATTGTATGACTAAGCAAATATTGTAGCTTGCTCTCCCTGACCATTCACAGAAAAAGTGATCCTCAGAAAAGATGCCATGGTTTAGAGCCTCTCACAAAGGGAAGTGATTTGTGGCAGATCTCCCACAAAAGGCAATGGAGCTTGGTGATGAAATGCAGAAGTCTACCACCATATCACTATTATAACCTTAGGAAAGATACTATCTCAATCTGTGCCACAATTTTCTCATATGTATAATGGGCCTATTTAATATTTCCTACCTCACAGAGTTATGATGATGATTAATTAAGTGCATGCATGTGAAGTTAGAAGTGTGTTTTCTGTTGTAACCAGTGAGCAAGTGTTAGCTTTTATCACAAAGCATTCTAGTACTAATGAGAATCATGGAGAATCCCTTGGTACTCATCTACTGTACAGTAGAAGTAATTATATCATTGCTTCACCCAGCAAAACTCATTTCCATATGGCAAGAACCACAATTCATTCCAATTCTTAAACCGAAATCATAGTTCTTAATAGATCTCACAAAGCTCAGCAACACAGATCCGAACAGAAAGATCTGTTTTCTTTTATATTTAATTCTATTTTTTCTGTACTTTCAAATACAGCAGCCAGAAGTTTGGCATCCCATATGTAGACACACTCAATATCAAAAGGCAGAAGCAAACCTTGCTTTCTTAATGGATCCCACTTGGGGTTTGAGGTGACCGCAGAAGACAAACAGGCTTTTGACAAGTGGTCTGTGGGAAGTCTGAGTGTTTTTTCCCTTAGAGGTTGAGAAGCCCAGGAATGTGAGATCAGCAGATGCCTGGGACCCTGGGGAACTCTTGCCTGATGGATTAGTATCTTCAGAATACTAAGCACTTTTCCATGAGCATGGTGTCCCTTACAAGGGGGACAGTCGCACTTAGATCCCACTCCAACGTTCAGCCTGCACGCCCCATCCAAGCAGTGCCTCCCAGAGCTGATTTCTGTCAAAGCCATGAGAATGTGGTTGTGGGAAATGGTTACAGGGCTTCTGGTGTTGTCACCACTATAAACAAAGTCTGGTCCTCACCTCAGGCCATACAAAGGGCTGCGGTGTGTCACCTATAGATAGCACGTAACAAAACCACAGAGGTAAGCCAGTGGAATCAGAAGGCTCCGAATATGTTCACAGCCACAACCCCAGAACAACTCATAAACTCATTTTTGTCTAATGCATTGATTTCTTTGGCTTTCAAAACAAGAATTTAAAGGTGGAAACATTCATTCACAGGCTCTGCATAACCACTAAGACTAAAACAGCTCGTTGGAACTGGGAACTGCCCTAAATGCTTTACATGTATTATTTCTTTTAATCCACTTTACAATCCTATGAGACAGACATTATCACCCCGCTTTATAGTTGAGGAAACTAAGACTCAGAGAAATTAACTAATTTGCCCCAAGGTAGGCCATAGATATGAAAACACACACACGCGTACAGAATTTTGATATTCAAGGCAACTATCCATATGCAAAGACATAAACTCTTCTGTTTGTATCACATAGTTTATAATTTTAAAAAGTAATTAAAACAGTTACAAGCATTATTTAACTTTTTAAAGTTAATAATTATTCTTTTATTTTTGGAGCTAAAGGTCCAAAAATAAAAGAATAACTAAATAAATTCTGGTTCATCAACTTGAAAGAATTACACAGCTACTAAAAATCATTGTGAATACTTTATGGAAACATTGGAAATACATAGAGTATAATGTGAAGTTAAAAATTACCAAATACAAATTGCATGTATCTTACAGTTACAGCCTTATAAAATATATATCTGTGAGGCAAATGAGCAGAAGAGAAAGAAAAACATTAATGTGATCTATTATTGTGGTAGAATAATAGATGGATTTTATCTTTCTTAATAATACACTAAACAATACACCTACCATGTCAGTAACTATTCCAAGTACCTTATAGATTATTATTCTATTCTCTCAATGACTTTATGAAGTAGGCGCTATTATCATCTCTATTTTACATATGAGGAAAAAGAGACACAGAGAGGCTAGGTAACAAGACCCAAATCATTAGCAACTAGTACAGCTAGTAAGGTCCAGAACTGATATTTTAACCCGGCATCTGGCTCCAGCGTCCACACACTAAGTCATTATGCCTTGCTCTCTGATATTGCCATGACATCTGTACCATTTAAGGGAAGAAATCAACATTTTGCCAGCAAGAACATCTTGATGCTCAAATCGTGATCATTTTTTATCTTAGTTTTGAAATATGTTCTTCTTCACTACTGAACAAAATTCTCAAAATCAGTACCCACTGAACTGGCAGGGAGCCAGAAATAGGTCACAATTTTTAAAGCACACAGTTATCTAGCTGAACGTGTATCACTCCTAAAACTAATTGAGCTAAAAATATTTTTCTTCCAATTTATACCAGCGGAGTGGGATACGATAGACATCTGGGTCCAGGGGGAATTTTTTAATGAATTGAATCTACAGCTTTCTTAACTTTTCACAGATGGAAAATTGATTTATACACAGGATCTATATACTAATATATACCTGCACTATATATACTATACTATATTATTATATGTATAGAAATTAAATAAAGAAAGCAAATTTGAAAACCATGAGGAACAATATAACTGTGTTTTTTTTTCTTTTATGAATGCCTAATCTGCCAGCAAACTGTGGTATCTAGACATAAAAATGGGTTCTGAGTTTCTTTGGGCCAAGCAAAATGGGAAACCTAAGTCCTCCTGTGCCTCTTGAAATAATGACTACCAGTTACCAAGCCTACTATTACCTGGTTACTGTATTAAGTAATTTACCTTTTTTTAATTTCGATTGCTTTACACAGAGCTCTTTAAAATAGATATTATATTGCATTTAACGTATGAAGAAGCTGAATCTCAGAAGGACAAAATTGACTAAATTCATACAAGCAGAAAATGGTAGAACCAGGATTCAAAGCCAAAAGCTGTCTACATATTAAATGCATATTTTCTACCTCTCCTTTTAGGGAAGGGAGTGGGGGAAGAAAAATCAACTTACTATTTTTCTCACTGTAACTTACAAGTAAAATTTATCACACAGAGCTTTATATATATAGGTGACTTTTATCCAAATTTGGGGAGGTAGGGAACGGGAAAGGAAGAGAGAAACAGAGACAGAGAAAGAATATGTTGGTTTTTTTCCCCTTAGCCAAGCATTCATCAAAAAGAACTGGATGTTGAAAGAAAAGACTATATGCTTTCAAGTTTCCACGTGGAAAGAAAGGTTTCTCTCTCCACACATGATGAAGCAACGTTGTATTTGAACACCTAAACTGCTCAACTTCAGCCACTTCTCCTACAGGAAAAACAAAGGCTCTCCCAGAAAGCTGAGCGCAGAGCAAAAGAACACAGCCTACGCACTCTGCCTCAGCAGTGGCTTCCAGTCACCAAATAAAACAAATTACCCATAAAACAGTCATTTCTTTCCTTTCAACGTATACTGAGGAATCTGGGAACAACTGGACACAGTTCGCCACCTTGTGAGCAGGAGAAGACGTGCAGTTTCCTGAAGGACAGCCAACCCTCAGTGCAGAAGCCACAGAGAGAAGCTTTGTGACTCAGGGCCCCAGGCTCCAGAGCACCACATACGATGTCTTTGGAGATGTGCGGTGCGGGGTTATTTCTGCACTCTCTCCCAGGGCCAGCCTGAGGCCACATAAATAACTGAAATGGGTCTTTATTGCACACACTACAGCATTGCTGCAAAACCCTTATCAAAGTCATGAACTTGGAGTCAACGAACCTGTTTCTGCTACTAACTACCAAGTGACCTTGAGCAAGTCGCCTAATTCCTGTGGGCCACATTTGCAAATGAGAAAGATTGACCAGGTGATCTACAGGGGCTCATCCAGCTCTAAAAATGTGAGTGTGCTGTCGGAGTGAAATTGCTTTCTCTCCGATCTTCTCACTGGCCTTCAGATTTCTGATCTCTTTTGCACTCTATCACCAAAGTTATCTTGTGAAATATAGCGATACTCCTGTTGTTCCTGTAACGGAGCTTACAAAACCATCCATGAGTGGCCCATTTGCCCACTGTTCTTTGTCTACTACCAAGTGAATTCATTCATTTATTCATTAAAGAAATATTTGTTATGTGTTCCCCACCGCGTCCCCATGTCCACACTATCCTGAGCAAATAGAACTACTTTCAGTCCCCCAGCATACCAGGTTTTTTTGTATCTCTTGCCTTTGCTCATGCTGTTACATTTGCTTGGAATGCCTTTCCCACATCTTCCTCCAAATCAATTCATATTCGTCTCAGTGCAAAAGTCATCTTGTTTCTGAAACTTTCCAGGAATTTCCTATATCTTCCTAACATTTCATACCTTGATTACAGTATTTGGCACACTGCCTTGAAAGTACATGTGTACATGTGTAATGAAATGTGAAATAATGTCTTTCTTTTTTTGAGGCAAAGTCTTACTGTCACCGAGGCTGGAGTGCAATGATGAGATCATAGCTCACTGCAGCCTCCAACTTCTAGTTCAAGCGATCCTCCCATCTCAGTCTCCCAAGTAGCTAGGACTACAGGTGTGTGCCACCATGCCTGGCTAATTGTGTGTGTGTGCGTGTGTGTGTGTGTAAAGAGAGAGAGAGATGGGATCTGTGTTGATTAGACTGCTCTTGAACTCCTGGTCTCAAGCAATCCTCCCTCCTTGGCCTCCCAAAGTGTTGGGATTACAGGCATGAGCCACCACACTGGGCTGAGATAATATCTTGATACACTCAGTGGTGCAATTCTTTTCCCCCTGAAATTTCCTTTATGCTTCCCTCACTACTCAGACAGAGGGCTTTTTACATGCACTACCCCTAGGGTACAGCTATTACTGCCCAAACGAACAGAAAACTTTCTTCACACAGATGTGAGCATCACAATGAACTTGTGAAATTCAGAGCAAAATTGTGAAGCTGATAGCTATGAGAGGAAGGTATTTTACATGTTAAGAACCTGAACATTTTAAGTACAAAAGTCAATATTTATATCCTAAGCACAAGATTCTGGAGCAAAGAGATAGAGAAAGAGTTCGCCTCCCCAACCACTCCCATTCCACACCCACCAACAGACTAAACAGGTCAAAATGGGAGCCAGGCTCCTGCTGACTGCCCATCCTCAAGCCAAGTCCTAGGTGGGAGTGAGAACTTATAGCCCACTTTCTCTCTGGTACCTGGGAGGCAGCAGCATTGCCGACGTGCTCTGAGTTAGTGGCATGCTGGAAGTAAAGGAGAAAATGTGGTGTGCAACAGAAGCACCAGAAGACCTCTGAGTTTCCTCAGAGTGGCATGGAGATCAAAATCTGGAAGCTTGCGTGCCCCTAAGATGTTAAAGAGATGGACAAAAGACAAACAGTGACCCCTAAAGGGCCCAGAAGTCAGAGGAGGAAACAAAGTGGCCACCATGGCCCTTATGACCAGGGGCTCTTTGGATGGCCTCTATTAACACATGGCCCTTCCATATGCATTTCTTACTTTTCTTTGTGTCTCCACTGGCTAGCACAGTGGCCAAGAAGTACTTGCTTTGTAAAATAATGTAGTTGGGATAATGAAGCAGGAAAGTGTCACTAGGGAACCTGAGTTCTGTTTGCACCATTTTCCTTAACTCTCTATGTAACCAACCTCCAAGCATCATTAATAACAAAACAACTCTAACACTGGTGCTCTGATGAGGAAATATGAAAAACAAATGATAGGCATATAGAATTCCAAAATGTGTAGGGCTACACAGTCTGTGAGTACAAGCTGGGAATGCAAACAAACACCTGAAGTATTTTTAAATTATTAATACTTTATTATATTAGCACTGAATATATTAATTTTTCTCCTAACATTTTAGATATCAAATATAAAGTGTAGTACATACACACATACATTGTGAATATTTTCTGTTTCCATCCGTGCAGGTCTTATTAAGAGTCCTGTGAAGTGGAGGGAATTGGGGGTCAGACAGGACTTGTTGCAGAGCACTGGGTAAGGAGTGGCATTTCTACAGCTTCTTCAGCTGAGTGGATATGCACCTCTTACTGCACATGGTGGATGACAGGGGTGACGCAGGTGCAGCCAACAGTCACCAGCACCTTCTCCAACTGGAAAGAAACAGAGCAGCCTTGGTGCTTCCTCCGGACGACCAGGGTCTCTTGCTGGATGGGAACGGAATTCATGGAGATGTCTTCCTTTCCTTGAGCATTGATGCAGCCCAAGTTCCTACACTGGGCCTGTACAACTTCCGAGGGGTACCGGTTGGGGTCCCAAGTGACACTGCAGGAGGAGCAAGCCAAAGCACAATGGTGAGGCATGGGGGAGGAAGACAGCGAATGAGAGCCCCACAGCACTGAGTGTTCACCTGCAGGGAGGCAGTTCTGCAGGGCTGTGGCACAGGTTCTGGAGCCACACAGCCTGGAAGCATACACCAGCCTCTGGCAGTGGCTTACCTTTCTAAGCCTCAGTTTCCTCAACTATAAGATGGGGATTTTCATATACCATTTTCTCATGCAACTGTTGAGAATACTCAGTGATACAAGTACATATAAAATACCCCACTGTACAAATGTTAGCATTCAATTAACATTAGATCTTTCATTGGCATTATTATTATTATTATTACAATTCTTTATTCTCTGCCTGGAGATTGAACGTCACTAGTCAGTCTTCCATCACTAGTCGGTCTACAGAGCCTGCTGCTTGGAAAGGAAAGCCACAGCCCCAGAGGTCTGTGAATCTCAGACCTTCTCTCCATTTCTCCTTTAATAGGCCCCTCTGCCTGGAGGCATAAAGACCACAACATTTATCCTGCCAGCTTGCCATTGTACATATTCCACTTGTAGTGTGACAGGACCCCCACCAGGTTACTTGAGGGTGTGTGTCCACTGTCTGAACCCTGAAGGACGGGCAGTGAGCCAAGGCCACCATGCACAGCCAAGGAGCAGGCCACCGAGAACCCAAACATCTCAGAGAGTATCTGAGAACCTACCAAGGAAAACAGTCCCATTGGACACACACAGTAGGCAAAGAGCCAGAAAATTCGCTTAAGAGCAGCTTAGAGATGGGAGGCAGAGCGGATCTCTAGATCTGTCCTGCTGTGGCCCTAGGGCGCCCCATAGTAAGTCTTAATAAACTCATCCACTCGCTAAGCTGGACTTGTCCAAGTCATTCTTTGATCTCTCCATATCTTCCCAGTTCGAGGCAGGGGGCACTACCGTCCCAAGGTTTTCTCATAACACACTCACATGAGAAGCTATGTGACAACCCCAGAAGCACTTCAATTGTCCCTGGAATCTACTTTGATACTTACATTTGGAGAGTATGAGGGAGTGCTTGGTCTTCCAAGAACCTGTATCTTAATGCCAAATTACAAGACTGTACCCTGAAGGTCTCCACCTAACATCCCATTTCCCAGACTGGCCTTTCTCCTCCACTCATTCCCACTCCTTAAATGATAATGTCTAATCTGAGTGAATCTCCTTAAACCGACTTTTCTGTTTCCCATTTATCCTCATGAGGAGATAATTATGCAATCTGCTTTAAAGAACCCTCTCTTCCAACACAGGAAAATTTGTGAATTCTATCCTAGAACTACATGAAGCAGAAAAAGGCACAAAGTCTATGAGAACGTGGAAGCAAAATATTAGGACCATCAACCACAAAGGTGAACCTAGTCCAAAACAAGAAAGATATGAGCTCCCAGGTAAAGTGAAATTTTCATTGTTAAGAGGATTTTCCCTTTTATTTTTTCTATGTATTCTACATTTTCTACTTTATGATTAGAATGAATTAACATATTTTTCCAAAGAATGTGAAAATCAGTCTCATTTGCACTTACGTGTAATTCCAGGGGGAGGTGGAGCGGCTCTCGATGTTACGTGACATGGAAACGCGCTGGTTTTCATTGATGATGCCAATGTCAAGCTTCATACTACCTCCTGGCACAGGCGGGCAACTCTCAGGCTTTTGGAAAAAAGTATGTCCTACTTTGGGGATTTTCCGAGCTGCCGCCTCACTCAGAAAGGCAAGCCCCAATATCGACAGCAGCAAGTACTTGACCTGGAAAATAGAAGACGCTGCAATCAGTTAGAGACTCGCCTCACCTACTAGCAAGAGATGCATGGTCTGGCGGAACTCAGCATTCCTGTCCTTTTATGGGATCAGGGCTTCTCTTTGCACCTCAGTTCCTCACCTGGAAATGGGAACACTCACACCTAAAGGTATCAAGGTGCCAAACTGAGAACTAAACTCAGTAGCCTAGCTAGTAACTGAAGCCCTCCATAGTCTAAAAGCTCCCAAACAGTGAGACAGAAAGATGCAAGGGTCTGAGATTGAGTTAAAATCCTATCCTGGCTTCCTTGCTGAGCCTCTAGTTTCTCTTCCTTCCAACTGGATAATAATGCTCACTTTATGAGACTACTAATGAGATTAAATAGAATGTTCTATATAAAACACCTATAAATCTGTATAAGAAAAATAGAGGCTTAATAAACGATAGCTCTTGTTTTTATTTCCAACTTGATATCCCATGAATCTCCCACAAAATCCTTCTTCGGAGCCACCCCTCTACCTAGAATACACTGCCTAGAATACTCTGTCTGTCAAAATCCTACCCTTCCATTAAGGCCCAGCTCAGATGTGATCTCCTCTAAGAACAGTCCCTAAAATGGTTCAATCAGAAGCATGTTTATTATCCTTAAATTATAAAGCTTTGATCATCTAGCACTCAAGCAGCATTTTTTAATTGTCTAGAAATGTAGTATTTGTGTTCCTGTCAGATCTACACCCATTAGATTGTAAGTTCCTGCATATTACACATTTTCCATAAACACTTTTGGAATGAATGAGTGAATGAGTGAATGAATGAACAAAATGATACAGCTAAATTGAACTATATAGTTAAGCTCACTGCATTAAGAAAAACATTACGCAAAACCAACGATAGCAAAGTTCCAATTATCCATGCTAATTGAAAGAAACCGGGGCACTAATGATGCACCACAAGAGAGAATATGGAAACTATTTCTCTTTAGCTCTGGAGCATTTTTTTTATACTTACGTTGAAATGCCAGTTTATCTGGTGTTATAGGAATGCGCAAAGAATGAAAGTGCACTGAAGACCTAATGAAAAGAAAAGCTACAAATCTTGCCAGATTCCCTTTGTCACAACCATGCTTTGCTCACCCACCATTGCCACTGACCCTTACTGGGGATGAGCAAGGCCCATCACCAACTCTCAACATAATACAGAAGAAGAGCTGAAGGCCGGGTGCAGTGGCTCACGCCTGTAATCCCAGCATTTTGGGAAGCCGAGGTGGGTGGATCACCTGAAGTCAGGAGTTCAGGACCAGCCTGGCCAACATGGTGAAACCTCGTCTCTACTAAAAATATAAAAATTAGCCAGGCGTGGTGGTGCACGCCTGCAATCCCAGCTACTCGGGAGGCTGAGGCAGGAGAATCCTTTGAACCTAGGAGGTGGAGGTTGCAGTGAGCCGAAATTGCACCACTGCACTCCAGCCTGGGCGACAGTGCGAGACTCCTGCTTGGAAAAAAAAAAAAAAAAAAAAGAGCTGAAAATAAGTTGCTTTTATTCTCTAGGCTTAGCGTTGTTCAGGCTCACACCTTCCATGAGTTAAGGTAGGGAAGGTGATTAGACATGTTGGTTTCAAAGGCCTTCCTTTTCATATTTTGCAGATACTAGAGACAAAAAACAATAAGAGTAAACAAAAAGGTCATAGTGTCCATTTGCCATACTGAGGAAGCTGACACTAAAAAGAAGTTGAAAGCAAGATTGACCCAGAAGAGTCAGAATGAGGCTGATTTGCCTTTAGATAATCAGCAATCATCAACTTTCATCCCCCACAATCGTTCATTCATTCAACAACTAGCTCTTGACTTTACAGTGTGGTAGCTCAGGGCATGGGCTTCAGAGTCAGAAGTCCAGGGTCTGTAACTCAATTCCAGGACTCTTAGAAGCGATGACTCTGTTTCCTCAAAAAAAAAAAAAATGTGAAGATTAAATGAGATGATCCATATAAATTATGAAGAACACTGGCAGCATATGATAAGTATCCAATACTGGCGACTCTTGCTAACTCTATATTGTGCTACACAGTGGACTAGACAGATGTGGAATTTACACTCATATACCTTGTCTTGACAAACTGCTATGGCGTTTGTTTGTTTGTTTGTTTGTTTGTTTGTTTTGATGGAGTCTCACTCTGTCGCCCAGGCTGGAGTACAGTGGCACAATCTTGGTTTACTGCAATCTCCGCCTCCCAGGTTCAAGCGATTCTCCTGCCTCAGCCTTCCGAGTAGCTGGGATTACATACGTGCGCCACCACACCTGATAATTTTTTGTATTTTTAGTAGATATAGGGTTTCATCATGTGGTCAGGCTGGTCTTGAACTCCTGACCTCAAGTGATCTGCCCACCTCGGCCTCCCAAAATGCTGGGATTACAGGCCTGAGCTACCGCGCCTGGCCTGCTATGACTTTTTTTTTAAAAGATGCCAACTTATATTAGAGGGTCTTAGATAACTTCCCAAGCCTACCAATCACATATTTAGGGTTCTTAAGTAAATTCCTCCTTTGTGTTTTCTCTTTCCTCTTCTGTGTCATACTCACTGAATCACTATTAATTTTCATTATGAAAACTTTTAAATACATACATTGGAGTTATATGACTTAGCAATAATTACAATGCTTCTAACAAGTCATTATTACATTTGCTTATATATTCTTAGAGTATATTAGAAAATTCTTTTACATCTCTTTAAACACTGGATTTTCACAACTACCTGGTGAGGTAATCAGAGCTAGTATTAATTATCCCAATTAGACAGGTGAAAGAGTTCTGTCCCAGAGGGAATAAATAACTTGATTGGGTTCACCAGCCTATGAGTACCAGTCTGGGGACTCAAACCTAGGTGTCAGTAGTCAGTGCTATTGTCATTGAAGGTCATTTTTATTATTACCAACATTAATCTTAGTTTTGTCTCATTAGAAGAGCTAAGTGTTTTAGGTAATGTGACAGCTGTACTAGATGTGCATAAGTGTTGTAGGTCACATAGCTCGTTATCAGGAAATCAGATGATGTCTGCAAATACTCCAATTTGCTCCACAAAGCTTTTGATCTGAAACTGTAGATTTTAGTGGTTATGTAATACAGAGCAGGGGCTCTGAACCAGGCTGTTGCTGGTTCTTAAGAATGATTTAAACAGCACCTCTCAGAGAAATCCAGAGCATGACTTGAACTCTTATATGCCACCTATAAAGCAGATGAATAGATATCGCTCTCAATCTGTATAATAGGGGACAGGGGCAAGGGAAAGCACCAGGTGAAGGTGAGCTGTAACAGGACAACAACCTTCTCAGCCTAGCTTTGCACCTCACTCTAATGTGAGCTCACCTGAGCAACCTGAACATCCATCCTCTATACTCACCAGCAATGTGTGGACACATGTAAGCATGCACCTGGCCAACCTCTAGGTCCATGAGAATTTGCCTCAACTACTTATTGAAGATGTCCTATCTGCCTGCACCTCTCAACTTCTAATCCTATTCCAATGCTCCTTGCACTGTTATGTTTCTTGCTGACAACCCAACAGATTTCTTTAAGGAAACTAGAATTAGAAATAGCTATGGAGCACAAAGCTACCCAACAGAATTGCTTGGATGCAATGGCTTTAAATTCACAAATCTTGCCTCTGAACCAAAGAAAAGCATACTGTATGTGGAGACAGAAAGCTTAGATTGGTGTACCAGTTCTTGTGCTTACAGTATCCAGCAATGTTAAATAAATAGCTTAATTGAGCTTTTGTTCATCTGTATAAAGTGGAAAGTATTCCCATCTACTTCAGTGGATTGATCAGAATTTCCAGGACAATAATAACAATATTAATATGAACAGTTAACACTTACTGAATGCTTTCTCTATCATTATCAGTCGTTGTTTATTAGAATGGCCAAATTAACTGAAAATTAAGCATACACAAATCTGCCAGTACAGAGTATAGACTCATTTATTCTCAAAGATATTAATTAATCCTCCCAATAAATGCCATGAGAAAGATGCCATTGTTATCCCCACCATACAGTTGAGGAAACGGAGGCACAGAGAAGATAAATAACTTACCCAAAAATCCTACATTTAGCAAGCAGTGGAGCCAGGTCTGCCTGACATCAAAGCCTATGCCCCTAAATATGGCACTTTGCTGAGCTACATGTAATCTTTAAAATAACACATAAATATAAAATAAAACATACCATTGCTATATGCCATGAACCTTTTATGATATTCAAGCTCTTTTAAGTTGTATGGCTTGTAAAAGGAGAAAAAAAGGAAATTATCTAAGCCAATAATATGATGCGGGATTTCCTAACCCCTGTTTTCATGTACCTCTATAGTAAATTCTTCTCAGGCCTTATCTGACTAATGTCAGGCAAGATTCCAGACCTGCTGGGGCTAGATTTTCATTGCATTAACATCTCTCTTTCCTCCAAGAAGAATGAGATGGTACAAAATAAATAAATAGCAATCAGAGACATGGGAAATTTCCCTTCTCTAGGAGCTGTCCAAAGTCAACACTGGGTGATTTCATTTCTTCCATCCAGGGCACTCCTGTAATCTCAGGGGAATCATTAAACCTCTTGAGGCCCCAGTTTCCTTGGTTAAAATGTATATGTACATAATCCCTAAAGTGCTGGCCAAGCTCCCACCATGAGATAAGAATTTCAGGCCAACCTGACTCTATAATGGATGGCCACAGGAAAGAACATGCTAGTTGTCTGTGATGCCAAGGACTGCACACACTAACACCACCTGGGCACACACTAACACCACCTGGGCAAAAGCCATTGGGTGAGGAGCTGCATTTTTTTTTCTTTGAGACAGAGTCTCGCTATGTCACCCAGGATGGAGTGCAGTGGCGTGATCTTGGCTCATTGCAACCTCCGCCTCCCAGGTTCAAGCCATTCTCCTGCCTCAGCCTCCCGAGTAGCTGGGATTACAGGCAACTGACCCATGCCCAGCTAATTTTTGTATTTTTAGTAGAGACAGGGTTTCAAGTTAGTCAGGCTGGTCTCAAACCCCTGACCTCAAGTGATCCACCCACCTCAGCCTCTCAAAGTGCTGGGATTACAGGCGTGAGCCACCAGGCTCGACCTAATTTCTGTATTTTTAGTAGAGACCGGGTTTCGCTATGTTGGTCAGGCTGGTCTCGAACTCCTGAACTCATGTGACCCGCCCGCCTTGGCCTCCTAAAGTGCTGGGATTACAGGCATGAGCCACCACGCCTGGCCAGGAGCTGCATTTTTATGCCATTATAACTTTTCTAGTTATTTTTTTCTTTTTCTCCACCAGACAGGAGTCAAAATTAAAGTCATCTCTGTTTTTTAAGAAGTAATTCCAAAAAGACCCCAATCAAACCTAATTCCTTAGGATTCTGTTTTCTGAAATCCTAGGCATGACAGTCCTTAAACCAGAATGATTGCTGCTACTCACCATGGCTGGGCCATGCAGGGTCTTCACTGTCATGTTGCGCTGGTGGCTTACTTTGTGCAGGAAGCTCTTTCTGTGAATGTATCTTCCTGTGTATGCCTGTGTTCTATCAATGAGAGTACCTGTTAGTTTTATAGCAATCATTGCCCCTGTTTCGATTGACCTGCTTACTGTCTTTAAGTTGTGGTTGACCCGGAGTTACTGACGAATGCAGGGGTTTTTTTTTTTATTCCATTTCCCGAAGGGGAACAAAAGGGGGACCCTAAAGAAAGGGATGACAGGAAAAGGACCAAATTTTTCTTTCCTTCTACCCTACTTCCACCCCCATTGCCCACAAATCAGAGCAAAATTTTTAATTTACTACAGAGATGAACCAAGTTAGAAATTGTTGTCAAATCTTTTTTGTTCTTCCACAAATTGCCAACACCCTTGTCACGGACCATATGTTCTACTTTCCAGTCACGCAATATGAATCGTGATTTAAATGGGAGAAAACTCATCCTTAGAGGAGCCTTGGTACTAAACTATCTTTACCTCCATTTTATGAATGGGAAAACAAAACTAAAGAAATGAATGACATAAGTGAAAAATTCAGAAATGATATACCCTGGTAGTTTTGTTATCTCCCTGAACTAATTATTTTTTAACCCCATGGTTAGACTCCTACTGGTGCTTAATAAATAATCACTATTCATTGTGTTGATAAAACAAACTGTTTTCCTCTGCTCTCACACCACAACCAGCAACACAAAAGATTTCCATGACCATGTATGTGGGCATTTATCTCCATCAACCAGCAAGCAATCAATTCTGCATCCAACGCCAGCTAAGCATCTTCTAATCCAATTCAATTCTGACGCTATCTCCAGGTAGGTAGAGTCAGATCCCACAGGCTGAAGGCTCAGTCCCACAAAACTGCTCCCACTTTAAGCACCAATCACAGGTCCAAGCCTCTGGGACTTCTGACTGACTGGCCTCAAGTTCAGGTTCCCACAAACCGCTTGAGTTTGATTAGGCTTGATTAATTTGTTAGAACAGCTCACAAAACTTAGGGAACACTAATTTATATTTACCAGTATATTCTAAAGGATATTTTTAAGGATACAAGTCAACAGCCAGATGAAAAGGTACACAGGGCAAGGTTTGAAAGGGTCACAAGCACAGAAGTGTTCTTTCCCATGGAGCTGGGGTGCACCACCCTCCCAGCACAGGGATGAGTTACTGTTTACCTTTCTTAGAACTTCCACAAGTTCAGCGGTCCAAAGGCTCTTTGTATCCCATCCTCTTGGGCCTTTTATGGAGTCTTCATTGGGCAGACATGATTACAACATGGAAAACTGTAAACAAATGTGATTGGATAAAAAGGGTATAACCTGATATTAACAGGTTGAATGAGGAAATTCAGCCAGGCCTGCCTGTTCAGATTTTTCTTGGCCTCTCTGAGCAGCCTTCCTTCCTCCTGGGTAGAGGGGAGGACCCTTCCTGAATTGAGGGTCTTATGGCCTATGATTAGACAAGGTAAATCAAAGAATTTCTTTATGGCCAGCTCCAAGACAAAAGGTGTGGGGGGTGATGTTAGATGACAGGATATTTTCTGTTTCTATGGTCTTGGGGAGAAAAGGTGGGCAGGAGAAGTTCAGAGAGGGAGATTCTTTTTTCTGAGGCCTATTTCTTAGGCCTAAAGTGCCCCAACATTACAATAAAAGACTGTCTTTTTCACCTTTATTGCTCTGAAGCTGTCTGAAGCTGCTTCAGGAAACAAAGACAAAAAAGCTAAATACCCTAACAAAAGATATGCTTATTATTTTTATCACTTAGGATATAACGAGGGCTGTGGGAGTTATGAACCAGGAGCCATGGACAAATATACATATATGTAAAATCACATTGATGCAACACTTAAATGCCCATTACCTTGGCTATCTCTAAGAATGGTTTTTTTTAACCAAAATTAATTAGCAAGTAGAAGCCTTTAAATGCAAGATTGGCAGCCCTGGCACTGCAGCTGGGGCAGCAGAGCCAGGACGGCCCAGGAACTGACAGACTGAGGGATAGGCAGACTGACCATAGCCGACCAGCCAAAGCCCATCAGCCTGCTCAAGAACCTGCTGGCCAGTGGCTTTGGTGGCATGTGCCTGGTGTTCATGGGGCACCCTCTGGACACTGTCAAGGTCCGACTGCAGACACAGCCACCGAGTTTGCCTAGACAGCCTCCCATGTACTCTGGGACCTTTGACTCTCTCCCAAAGACTCTTAGAAGGGACATCACAGGGCTATATAAGGGAATGGCTGCCCCTATCATCGGTGTCACCCCCATCTTTGCTGTGTGCTTCTTTGGGTTTGGTTTGAGGAAGAAACTATGACAGAAACACCCAGAAGATGTGCTCAGCTATCCCCAGCTGTTTGCAGCTGGGATGTTATCTGGTACATTCACCACAGGCATCGCGACCCCTGGAGAACCCATCAAGTCCTTGTTACACTTTCAGCCTTCTTCAGGGGAAACCAAGTACACTGGAACCTTGGACTGTGCAAAGAAGTTGTACCAGGAGTTTCAGATCCGAGGCATCTACAAAGGGACCGTGCTTACCCTTATGTGAGACGTTCCAGCTAGCGGAACGTATTTCATGACAAATGAATGGCTAAAAAATATCTTCACTCCGGAAGGAAAGAGGGTCTGTGAGCTCAGTGTGCCTTGAATCCTGGTGGCTGGGTGCATTGCAGGGATCTTCAACTGGGCAATGGCAGTCCCGCAAGATGTGCTCAAGTATCCCTTCCAGACGCACCTCCTGGGAAATATCCTAACAGTTTTGGAGATGTGCTGAGGGAGCTGATCTGGGATGAAGGAATCACATCCTTGTCTAAAGGGTCTGATGCAGTGATGACCCGAGCCTTCCCAGCCAATGCAGCCTGTTTCCTTGGCCTTGAAGTTGCCATGAAGTTTCTTAATTGGGCCACCCCCAACTTGTGAGGCAGAAGGCTGCTCAAGACTTCTGGATGCTGGAACTGTTGCTGAGAAGGAAGAGTAGTGGGCAGAACTAAGCAGACTTGGAGAATGAGGGGAGGAGACGGTGGGATCAGAGCTCTGCGCATGGACTTGGTGAGACTGTTGCCTTAATGACATCCTCTACCTTGTATAAGTTGGTGTGTCATTTCGCAACTTGAATTCATTCTTGTCAATGTAAGGGACCTTAAGAGGATTTGGAGATCTAGTAGTTTCTAGACCAGATACTACCTGTGGCAAGAATACTGCCTACCAGTTGACGGTTGGCCCTACCACACCCAAAGTGTTTCTCATTAAAGAGGTAATCTCAGCTTCTCACTGGAGGCACTTTGGATGCTTTCAACCAGCTGACCAGGGGCTGAGATCATCTTCAATCCCTAGCCAGGAACACCCACTTGATTTCCAGGGTACCACCTAATCCTGGGCTGCACATGGGGATTTGGACTTGAGCCCCACATCTGTGTCCAACTGGACTGGGCATATATGCTTAGGAAGAGATAACCTATTAGCTATTGATTTTTGCTTTTTTTTTTTTACACAAGTAATCAAAAGTAAAACTAGAGTAGAGTAGCCTAATTTCCCAAGAATGGGTGAAAAACTTTCCTTTCTACACAGTGAGGACAGTCCCAGCCTGCTGGGATAAGTGAGAAAACCCAGGGTGAAGGAAGGCTCTTTCTGCACAATCTTTTCTCATGAGAGCGCCATATTTTTGTTTCCAATTTTTGAAGGAAAAAAATTAAGCGTTTAAATGCTCTGACATGAAATTTAAATGACCTGCAAAAAGTTAATTTGTCTCAGTTCAGTTCAGGTTGTCAAACATTTGTTAAACACATTCTATGTGTCAGGCATTGTGCCCTAGAGATACACAGACATTCCCCAAAAAACAGTAACTTATCTTTTTTTACATTCATTAAGATTGGGTAAAATTACACATCATCTTTTCATAAGGCAGGACACATTCTAGCAGGGCAAAGTTATTTTCCTCTAGCGTAACATGTTCGAACAACTCTTTGCCATTTTCTTCACATGAAGAAAATGAAGAGAAAGTTGTTCTTAGGTTCATTGGAAGGCCCTGAAAAACCGATCAAAATTCTGTGATCACAGGCCTTCCATCCACCCTGCTCCCCTCCATGCCTGTGCAATCCTCTGCAGCTCTCTCTGGAACAACCAGAAGTGTAACTTCTACAAAAAGATTTCCTCAAATCACCCTTTCAGGCATTGTTCCCTTCCTCAACCTCTTGTGCCAATACTTGTGTATCTTGCCCTCACATACATGTTTTAGGATAGTTCCCTGGGATCTTCATATATTTGGGTAACTTTACCCTGCTTCCCAATAATCTCTACCAGCCTCCTTCTCCAAATATACATCCTCAAATATACAATCTAGATTAAACAGTGTATTCTATGCAAAGACAGACTCAAGTCCCCTGGCCAACCCCTTCTAGCCAGACTGAACCCCCTAAGCCCATCTTACGGAGAATTTTCAAGGCCTCCCCAGGAGTGACCTTCCATGTGCACAGTGAAGGTAGCTCCATGAAATCAAGAGCCATGTTTTCATCTTTGCTTATATCACTCATGCTCCCAAAGCAACATGTGCAATAGACCTTTAAATGTGTACTAAATTGAGTGGATTGAGTCACTCATTTTCTTCAGTGATCTCTTTTCCATTCAGAGCTGTACCTCAATGCATAGAAGAATATACCAGCTCTCTTGAAAGAAAGAATGAATAAATCAGTTGGAACCAAGAGTACCGAATTCAAAACAAGAGGATTTGCTAGATTGCAGGGGAGAACAAAATGGTTCTTTATGTAAGCAGGAGGCAACACTGACCTTTGGTCACAGTTTTCCCCCTTGGGGTAAAAACAACTCTTATCAGGATGCCAGACTGGTAACTGGCTATCACTGAGTTCAAACTAAATCAACAGATCCAGATTCTTATCTCATCTAGCATTCATTGAGCACTTCCTATAATGTAAATCATGTGCTAATACCAGGGACACACTAATGAACATATGATGGGCACACGGCTGACTATGGTGGAACCCTTCACTGACTGGCTCTATACCACTCATGATCTAAGCTGTCACCAGCTTTAAGAGTTTCAATAATGCATTGGAGCCATTATTCAACACACTGACAGCGAGATGACTACAGTCAACTCCAAGAGCCCACAAAAAGAGATACCAAAAGACTCTGTTGTCTTAGCAATGAGTTACACACAGCCTCAAATGTGGTAAAATACTATACTTCTTCAAACATCCAAATCAGCAAGATGTTTTCATGCCCTCATATGTGCTTGGAGCCATGATACATTTTGTTGGGGCTAGTAGCACAGGCAATAGACTGTATTATTACAGTCTCTACCTTAATGAGCTTAAAACAGTCATGGAAAAAAGTGAACACGCACATATAAACCAGTAAGATAATAATATGAGATTGCTGGGAATAATGATAAAATAAATGTACACATTTAGTTTAACAAATACAACTTTTAAAAACTTTTATTCTCATTTTTAAAAGGGGTATCTAGCCAGGTGTGGTGGCTCATGCCTGCAATCCCCACACTTTGGGAGGCCAAGGAGGGCAGATCACTTGAGGCCAGGAGTTTGAGACCAGCCTGGGCAACATGGCAAAACCCTCTACAAAAAATACAAAACTTAGCTGGGTGTAGTGGTGCACACCTGTAGTCCCAGCTAATTGGGAGGCTGGGGCCAGAGGATCACTTGAGCCCAGCTACTCAGGAGGTTGAGGCTGCAGTGAGCAGAGATTGTGCCACTGCTCTCCAGCCTGGGTTACAGAGTGAGACCCTCTCTCAAAAAGAAAAAAGAAAAAAAGTGCATCTAATCAAGATATACTACTGCAACATGACAGTATATCTGCAGTTACAGAAATTTATGCCTTGAAGTAAAGTGCTATCATAACAGAAAGCATGAAACAGTGGTCAGGTAGCACGCCATAGGCTGGACAGACGATAATCCATGCTCTACAATGGCAAAACATTTAGTTAAACCATTGCCTGCAATAACTTGAGAGGCAGATCTTGTACCTAATAAACTTGAAGCTCTAGAGAAAGAGATTAGAAAACAGAATGTTAGTTGCATGTGTTTGGATACTGTTGTCTGCATTTGGCCAAGTAACACATAAAAGAGATGAGCTCAGGAAAGAGTTGGCAGGTTGATAAACAAAAATGAAAGGAAATGAAGACAGTTCAGAAATTCAGAACCCTAATTACCCAGGCGTGGCGGTGGGCGCCTGTAATCCCAGCTACTGTGGAGGCTGAAGCAGGAGAATCACTTGAGCCTGGAGGCAAAGGTGAGCCGAGATTACGGCACTGCATTCCAGCCTGGGCAACAGAGCAATTGACTCTGTCTCAAAAAAAAGGAAAGAAATTAAGAAATTCAGAGCCCTGTAAGGTTGCAACAGAAGATTGAAAAAGCCTTTGAAAAAGAAATGCACAATAAAACCTTTCAACCAAGTAAATTACCGAAGGGCAAGAATTAGAATGAAGCATCTGGAAAAAAATGTTTAACTGGATAAAAGGACTCAATTAAAAGTGTAAAAGTATAGTTCTAGTAATCTGCCATCAAATCAAGACAGAGTTATAGGAATGAAGAAACAAAGAAATAGAAATGTTCTGGGAATTATGCCTCAAAAAGAATTGACTCAGATTAGAAGTTCACTAAGTTTTTGAGAGAGCTCTAGAAATTAATCAGGAACCAATCCTCAGTCCCCCAACCATCAAGGAACAAGAATTAAAGCTCTAAGAAAGGTATATTCACCAACACCATGTCAGATGTGACCAAAGAGATTACAGGGAGAAAAAATAAATTTTTTAAACCTTCCAAGAAGTGGAGCCAGGGACCACAGAGTAAAAAGGAAGTGAGCCTCTCCCAAAAAGCAGAAAACTACAGACCCCACAAACTCTACATCATTCTTGGGGTTTTTTTTTCCTTTTAATGCAAAACATTTCCAGTTTCAGACTTTTTTGAAACTACTAATTCAATGTTTCATATTTGTTTGAGTCAAATATTCAAAACCATTATGCACTTTCTAGAATCTCCACAAAATCACAATTCATAGAAACTAACCCTTCTTTTTAAATGTAATGATTAGGTATGAGTGCGGTGGCTCACGCCTGTAATCCCAGCACTTTGGAAGGCCGAGGCGGGTAGATAGCTTGACCTCAGGAGTTGGAGGCCAGCCTGGGTAACATGGTGAGACTTTGTCTCTACAAAAAAAATACAAAAATTAGCCAGGCATGGTGGTGCACACCTGTAGTCCCAGCTACTCAGGAGGTTGAGATGAGGGGATCACTTTAGCTAGGAAGTCAAGGCTCCAGTGAGCTGTGATCGTGCCACTGCACTCCAGCCTGGACAACAGATCGAGATCCTATCTCAAAAAAAAAGAAAAGAAATGATTATTTGTCAGATGAAAATGCTGTGCTAGGGTCTTCATATGCCAATATTTGTGAGAGTAGAAATTACTTGGGGTATAGGTAAACAAAACATAAAAAACACAGAAGTCTTCCTTTCCCTTCTGTCTCTGTAGTTGTCTCTCATTCATTCTCTCTCTCTCTTTCTCAAAGCATGCAATTTCTGATCTTCTGATGAAAAAAAAGCCGGGAGAGATGGCAGTGAGAGAAGGGGATCAGAGGCAAAAGCTGAGAAAAGAAAAGTAAGGAGAAAAAAATACTTCGGAAAGGAGTTTCCCCAGAGTGCTGTGTGAGGATCCCGGACGGAATACAGTTTAAGTGGCTGGACAAAGTTCCAGATCGCATGAGGGACCTCTCAATTCTGAATCTATTCTGTGGACCTGTGAAGGCTTTTGCATTCAAGTTTTATCTACTTGTTAGCGGAAACATCATTTATTAAACACTCACTCTGTACCAGTCTCTGTGCTGGGTAACAGGAAGAAAAAGTGCTACCAAAAAAAAAATTGCCATAACAGTTTTCTCCTTCCAAGAGAGCTGCAAATTTTATATCAGACCAGATGGCACTTCTGTCTTGAAGAGAACTTACCTTTTTGGAAGTGCAAAGACAGAGCCTATTCCAGGGTAAAGACAGGGAAATTGCTACACATAAAAAATAATATGGTCAGGCACAGTGGCTCATGCCTATAATCCCAGCACTTTGGGAGGCTGAGGCGGGAGGATCAATTGAGGCCAGGAGTTCAAGACCAGCCTGGGCAACACAAAGAGGCCTCCATCTCTACACAAAATAAAAAAAAAAATGCTGGGCATGGTGGTGTGCACCTGTAGTCCCAGCTACTTGAGGGGCTGAGGTGGGAGAATCGCTTGAGCCTAGGCAGTCAGGGCTTCAGTGAGCCATGATCCTGCCACTGCTCTCCAGCCTGGGTGACAGAGCAAGATCTTGTCTTCAAAATAATTATAATAATAGGAATTTCAGTTAACCCTAGAGAGAAGAGAAATGAGAGCTGCCATCCAGAAACTCCTAGTATCTGAGATGACCAGGGAACTAAGAGTCATGAGCTTTATATTCAAATTGTTTCAATGTGTATGTTGTGCTTTAATTCTTTAATTAATTCTTTAATTCTCTTCCATTATTTCCATGTCTAAGGTAAACCTCTTTATATACAAAACAGGTTTATGATGTCTACATGGAGCATATATATATATATATGGAGAGAGAGAGAGAGAGAGAGGACAACAGCCTCAGGAGGGGAGGCAGCACGTATGGATAGAGCAAGATTTAGAATGAGAAAGTTGGCTCTTTCTTACCCCTCAATCCTGCAATCTAGGAGAATCTTACTGCTCAAAGTTTGGTCCTGGGAACAGCAGCATCTAGCTTGTTCGCACCTGGGGGCTTGTTAAAACTGGAGACTCTCCAGCCCCCATCCCAAACCTACTCAATCAGGCTGCATTTTCACAAGATGCCTAAATGATTCATATCACATGAAAGCCTGGGATGCACCTCATTAGGGAACATTAGGGAAGGTGCTGAACTTCCCATAAAATTGCAGTGAGGTTCACGGAACACATTACATTTTCTGAAACAGAAATTGAGACTCAAGTATCCTTGAAAGGCTATTGAGATTTGAAAAAAAAAAAAAAAAAGACGTCTTAAATCTCAGAGCTTCACTCCCTCATAGCTAAGAACCATACCTATCTTCCTACTTTGGAAGGCTCTTTGGCAAGCGTGGGGATGAAGAGAATAATGGGAAACTGAGGCTGTTCTTTGTCAACGTTAGGCGGTGGCCTCCGTGGGCGTGGTCTGTCCTTGCAACCGCGGGCTGGCAGCAACTCCTCAGGGTTTCGTGCAGACTTCACTTACTCAGCAAGCAAGCTGATTTCCTGCGTTGAGGTGGATGGAATTAATCAACATGCTGCCAGAATGCAATGCCTGGGGAAAGCCCAGCTGAGCATCTGTCAAACACTGTCACATTTTCCTGGCTTCCTCCCACCAAAATTTCTCCTCAGTTTGATGAACCTGGGATCAGCAACTTTTGCTCCTGTCCTTTCCCCAAGGACAACAAACTCCACTGACAACCAACAGAGTTTTGGGATGGTGGGTGGGGATGACAAGCCTGGGCCCGGAAAGATGACCTTTCACTCCATTCTTGCCCAGGATTAAATTTCCGAGCCTTTAGGCATTGGCCCAAATCTCATGCCTGCCCCCCAACCTCATTTATTAAAGCAAATTCCTTTCCCAAACCCTCCACATGCCACACACTCAATTTTCTGCTTTTGCTCCACAAAATAGTTTGAATTTCTGAGTCTTCACCCTCTCCAGGCTAGTGTCTTGTTCCTGGAATGACCATTTCAGTTCTGCTCACCTGGGTTCTATCCAACCTCAATATCCACGTTCTCAGACCCAAAACCCACTCATGTCTTTCCTTCTTCCAAACTCTCATCATACTTTCATGACATTTCATTTAGCAATTAACTAGAGACAATGAGAGACAACTTTTTAACTGTCTACTTGAATGGCTATTTGCATGTGCTTTGGCTATTTGTATGTGCTTTGGCTTTTTACATGTTAAAGTGTTTATTCCTAATCTGCTCTCTGGATCTTAAACTTGTTGAAGGAGACAACTGTGACTTCTTTCCGCCTTTTACCCTTCCCACCATTCTCAAACCCCTAGCAAATTATTCTGCCCATAGCTGTAGATATTTATTGACTTGATTTAATTTGATGTTAATACTAGCTTATTTCTTCTTCTACCTAATTTCTTGCTACCTTCAATTTCTAATATATCAGTACTCACAAAGTTGTCAACAAAAATGATTAAAGTCGGAATGTTCTAGAGAAGAGAAAACTTACACCACATATTTTCAAAACTTTAGAAATTTTTCAAAAGGGAAAGAGATTGGACTATCTCTAGAACACCAAATCTTGATGAACAACTGGTAGTGATGTTCCAGAGTAGAGTTATGCATGGAGGGGCTGTTTGGATTGGACCACCTCCAAGGTCCCTTCCAAATTTGTGATCCTATGGAAATTCAACAAAAAATGGTATTTCATTTAAAGATACAATTTCAGTCTTGGAAGTAGGGGTGTGTGTGTCTGCGTGTGTGTGCGCGCGTGCGCGTGCACGGATGCACACATGTATATGGGGTGGGGTAATAATATATCTTCTGCCCTCTTCAGTTTTTTCCTTCTTCTGTGGAAAACAATCACATGACTCCAAATGCTAAAAATTCCAAGTGTCTTAACTGTATGTTTCCCATGAAGATCTGGATTGAGAAGAGAATAAGAGGCAGCAGAGATCCAGTGAGAGCACTGAAACAACCACACTTCTGAGAAATGTGTTACTTTCACTCCTGCACGGATCTGACTCAGAATGATGATTCTCAGGTTCTCCTAATTTCAGTTGAAATGCTGTGGAAGGACACAATGAAATGGCTTTCCTGTGAGGGACACTTCTTCATCTGTGCAGAGGTAAGGGCTTGAAGGATGTATGAAGGGCAAAGGAGAAAAAAAAAATGAATATGGGGAGGTACCTGGGAAGGAAAAGTGGAACCTGCCTGCTCTTCCTCTGTCTGCCCTCCGGGGTCCAGAGCAGAAGGCAGGAGCTCCTAAGTTAGCAGGGCTCATTCCACTGCTCTCTCTAATGCTTTTGGCCCTGAGAAGGACTGGGGGCAGGGTAGTGTCAAAGGAAGGTGGATGAGAAAGGACACCAAGGAAAAAATAAAGACTGAAATGGTTCTTGGCTATGCAGAGCCCAGCCCTTGTTTAAGCTGGAGAGAAGGCTTCTTGTAGATTGCACATTTATGTCGATTATGCAGATTTTGCGTTAAACAACTCAGGAGAATACCACTAGCAACTTTGTTATCCTGTGACATCTCTGATACCTTACAGGTCATCCCTAGACCTGGAAACCCATTAGTTTAGCCATTAAGTCAGGCAAGACATCTCCATATCTTTGATATCTCAGCTATCATAGATTTCAGGAGCCACACAGGTCTTTGGAAACAATCTGGTGCAACCCACTCAGCTGATGATGGGAGTTAGAATGGCTTTCCTACAGATAGCCAGTGGTGGAGAAGCTTGGCCTGGACCCAGGCCTCTTGACTCCCTCTAGACTCTGTCTACAAATAAAGGGATCCCTCTCTCCAGCTCTTTCAGGGCCATTTTTCCCTGGTCTAACACTATCAGCTCTTTAACAATGTGCTGACAAAGGAGGGAAATGATTATAATAGGAATAGCCCTGAGCTCTGCCTCCTGTCAGATCAGTGGGGCATTAGATTCTCATAGGAGAGGGAATCCTATTGTGAACTGCATGTGTGAGGGATCTAGGTTGTGCACTCCTTATGAGAATCTAATGCCTGATGATCTGAGGTGGAACGGTTTCACCCCAAAACCATCTGCTCTCCAGCCCCACATTCACCCTTGGACTGGGAAAAACTGACTTCCATGAAACCAGTCCCTGGTACAAAAAAAGTTGGGGGGTTGTCAGAGGACCAAATTTATAAGGCAAGCAGCACCTTCTAAGTGATACCTAGGACTTGGGGTCAAGATACCTGAGCAATTCTGTTCTCTAAAAATGAGAAATGAAATTAATCTTTGGACTTTTTATCTGAACCCTTTTTAGCCTTTACACATTATCTTTTACACATTTATCTTTGTATGAGAAAGGATTTTTTGTTTTGTTTTGTTTTGTTTTGTTTTGTTTGAGATGGAGTTTCACTCTTGTTGCCCAGGCTGGAGTGCAATGGCACAATCTCAGCTCACTGCAACCTCTGCCTCCCTGGTTCAAGTGATGCTCCTGACTCAGCCCCCAAAGTAGCTGGGATTACAGGCATGTGCCACCACGCCCAGCTAATTTGTTTTGTATTTAGTAGAGATGGAGTTTCACCATGTTGGTCTGGCTGGTCTCAAACGCCTGACCTCAGGTGATCCACCCACCTCGGCCTCCCAAAGCGCTGGGATTATAGGCATGAGCCACCGCACCCAGCCTGTATTAGGAAGATTAATGGAAACAAGATCAGACCAGGTGATTTCAATAATAGTGGGTTTTTTTTGTTTTGTTTTGTTTTGTTTTGTTTTGAGACAAAATCTTGCTCTGTTGCCCAGACTGGAGTGCAGTGGCACGATCTCAGCTCACTGCAACCTCTACCTCCTGAGTTCAGGCAATCCTCCAGCCTCAGCCTCCCAAGAAGCTGGGAGTACAGGCACGTGCCACCACACTGGCTAATTTTTTGTATTTTTAGTAGAGACGGGGTTCACCATGTTGCCCAGGCTGGTCACAAACTCCTGAGCTCAGGCAATCCACCCACCCCAGCCTTTCAAAGTGCTGGGATTACAGGCATGAGCCACCACGCCCAGCCAATGATATCTCTTAAGATGCAATATTCCACCAACGTTTCACCTCAGGTTTTCAAAGCTTATACAGTGGTAAAAGTTGCCTTTTCTGCACTTTCTCTGTTAATAATAGGAAGAATTTTTAAACCACTTCCATAACTCTGAATTGCAGATATTACTGAAAGTATTACGTCATGAGAAGTCTATGTGTGAGATCTTAAAAATAAACTTCAAATCTCAACCAGACTAAATGTGGCAATTTTTAAAAGGTAGGGATGGGATTGAGGATTATACCCAGTGTCAGCAAAGACGTAGGACAATAAAATCATCCTCATACATACGTGTGAGATATATATAAATCAGCAAGTTAGTGAGGTATACCTAAAACTTTAATAATGTTCCTATTTTTGGTCCAGCAATTATACTTCTAGGAAATTGTCCTAAGTAAAATAAGCATGTGAACCAAAATTTGGCAACATGGTTTTTCATCACAGCATAATTTGTAATCTGAAAAACTGATAATATCCAACTACAGGTATCTGAAAAAACATACCAGATAAGTTCTCTGTGGGTGACTAGATCATAAGTATATTTTATTTATTTCTTATGGTTATTTATAGTGTTTCACCAATGAAAAGATCCTAGTTTTGTAACAGGAAAAAAAAATATTTGAATTGTTCTTCGTTTAAGAATGTTAACAGGCTCCAGCAGGGCAGTTTCCTGATAACTAGAGTGACTACACTAGCACAAGCTTTGTGAGACAATATGAAATAGCAAACACCAGTCACTGCCAAAAAGGCCCCTTTGCTCTCAGGGCAAATCCCTGAGATGGCTCAGACAGCATCACCAGCTATGGATGGTCTTCCACTTCATCTCTGAATGCCAGTACCCACACGCCTCGTCACACTAGAATTCTGTCATCCCATCCACGAGATTCACTCATAGATGTAGCTCTGACCACCTCCAGCTCCCCAGAGCACTCCCAGCCCTTTGAAGGGAGCACACAGTATGCTGGTTAGAACATAGTAGTTGGCTGGGCGCGGTGGCTCATGCCTGTAATCCCAACACTTTGGGAGGCCAAGGTGGGTGGATCATCTGAGGTTGGGAGTTCACGACCAGCCTGACTAACATAGAGAAACCCTGTCTCTATTAAAAATACAAAATTAGCCAGGCGTGGTGGCGCATGCCTGTAATCCCAGCTAGTCAGGAGGCTGAGGCAGGAGAATCACTTGAACCTGGGAGGCAGAGGTTGTGGCAAGCAGAGATCGTGCCATTGCAATCCAGCCTGGGCAACAAGAGCAAAACTCTGTCTCAAAAAAAAAAAAAAAAACCATAGTTAAGAATCAAGAGTGCCAGTAGGATCTCCACATTCTAGCTCTGAGACCCTGGGCAAATTATCTAATCTTTCTAGGCCTATTTCCTTCTCTATAAAATTGAGACAATAAAATCCACGTCACAGAGTGGAAGATTTAATTATTATAATTTATATGGTGCCTAGTATATAGCAGCAGGGCCGTCGCTTCTCATCTGCCCCACACACGAGTACATAAAGTTGTGCCTGGGAGCCAAAGTTTGGTTGGGAGTTTAGAACCTATATACATCATCCCTATGTTAAACTCTAATTTTCTCAGCTTTTTATTCTCCCTTAGGGTTAAATGTGACCTGTCAACATTTGCCTTTCTCCTGCAATCAGATTTTCAAACATCTGACTTTTAAGTTCAGTTTCAAAAACATTTTTTGTCCCTAAATTCCTAAACCAGTTTGTTAATCTCAAGTGCCTAATCTGAAACTTGCTTATACAAATTGGATATACTATGAAGTGTCACTCTTAAAACTGGTTTTAAGATTCACCAAATTGAGTTATAGTAGTTATATTAGGGTAGTAAGGTAATTTTTATTCTCTAGCTTCCTGAATATTCCATGTTATATTCGTAGTAATATTTTCTTTAAATAGGCCAGGTGCAGTGACTCATGCCTGTAATGCCAGCACTTTGGGAGGCTGAGGTTGGAGGATTGTTTGAGGCCAGGAACTCCAGACCAGCCCGGGCAACATAGAGACCCCCATCTCTACAAAAGATTTAAAAATCAGCCAGGCATGGTAGTCCCAGCTGTCTGGGAGGCTGAGGTGGAAAGATTGCTTAAGCCCAGGAGTTTGAGGCTGCAGTGAGCCGTGTTTGCACCCTCCAGCCTGGACGACAGAGCAAGACTGTCTCAAAGAGAAAAAAAAAATAACCACACACTTTTGTTTTTGGAGGTTTTTATCAGGTTTTATTGTGGTTCCTATTCAGGACTACATGCACTGAAATTACTAGAAAAGCAGCACAGCACACATACGCAAGATTACAGGAGCTGACCTTTCTATTGCAAGGTTAAATAGTGGTACTTCAAGCTAGGAAGGTTTAGCTTGCTACAAAATATACCTGCTGGGAGAACTATTATCAGAATGGTAAATCTCAGCAGAGGCTAATATCCCCCTACAGGCTGTGGGAAAATACTTAGAACTTAACAGTAAAAATATTCACAAAAAGACTGAAGAGAATGAGCTAGGATTACATGCTGGTTAATAACGGACCAGCCAGAATCCAAGACATATCACTAAGGCGCCAGACCTGAAAAAGAAAGTAAACCAGGTTTACTTTTCAGGAATTTAAAATGGAGTTAAAATTAATTTTGTTCTAAAGTGTTTCTAGGATGGCCAGGTGCAGCAGCTCATGCCTGTAATCCCAGCACTTTGGGAGGCCAAGGCGAGCGGATCACCTGAGGTCAGGAGCTCGGGACCAGCCTGGCCAACATGGTGAAACCCCCATCTCTACTAAAAATACAAAAAGTAGCCAGACATGCTGGCAAGCGCCTGTAATCCCAGTTACTTGGGAGGCTGAGGCAGGAGAATCAGTTGAACCCAAGAGCCAAGATCATGCCACTACACTCCAGCCTGGGAGACAAAGTGAGACTGTGTCAAAAAAAAAAAAAAAAAGTGTTTCTAGAAATTCAATAAAATCTCTTGAAATAGCTGGCAACATCCTGGGACACTATCCACAAAATAAGGAAGCATAGAAATCACTGTCCCTAAAAGGCATATTTAACATGGTGACCAACAACTCATTCTGACCTGCCTCTCCAAGCAGTCCAACCCAGGTTTTATCAAGTGGTGCCAGTGCTAACGTCTTGTGGGTGGAACTGGCACTGAATGTAAAGAAAATCATAGCCAGGCATGGTGGCTCATGCCTATAATCCCAACACTTTGGGAGGCTGAGGCGGGAAGCTCACTTGAGCTCAGGAGTTCGAGACCAGCCTGGGCAACATCAACACCGTCCTTACAAAAAATGTAAAAATTAGCTGGGCAGAGTGATGTGCACCTGTGGTCCCAGCCACTCAGGAGGCTCAAGAAGGAAGATCACTTGAGCCCAGGAGGTTGAGGCTGCAGTGAGCCATGTTTGTACCACTGCACTCCAGCTTGGGCTACAGAGCAAGACTCTATCTCAATTTCAAAAAGAAAGAAAGAAAATCACATTCATTACCAGAAGGGACCTCAGAAATCACGTAGTTCAACCACCTCCTTTTCCAGATGTAGAAACCATGCACTTTCCTCTAAGTGGCCAGCCTAGCTTGGCATGTTAACTCTGGTACCTAGTGTCAGAAAAGGAACTCAGATGCACATGCCTTTGCTTACCAGTGCAGGGCTCATGTCACCCTGCCAACCTTTTGGCTCTCAGGTGAGAGTTCCTATGCAACCAGAGTTTAACGCTCCACCCTCCCCACTTCCCTACATGTACAGCAGACATGGCGTTACCTGGCTCTTGAGAAGTGGGGAAAGGAAAGGATGGCAAGGAAGGGAAAGAGCTTGCACAGAGCTTGTTAGGGCTGAGCACCTGAGGCAGCCAGCACACAGGTGACTCTTGTGCTTGCCATATTCTACTGACCAAACCCTCCAGGCAGAGCTCACTTCACAAGCTCAGAATCATTAGGACAACTGGTGTAGTCTGAAATCTCCTCAGGAGACATGAGAAAGAGAGGGCTGGCAGATTCACTCGTTTCTGTGAACCTTTCTCCTCTTTATCCCCCTTGATGTTTTCCTACCACCCGGCCCTGTTGTGAGGTAACACTGTCCTCAGGAGAAAGCTGAAAAATGCATTGCCGAGCTAGCGCCGAGAGGGTCCTCTCTGGGGGAAGTGCTTGCCTCAGAGCCACACTGACCGGAATGTGGGAACCATCAGAGAGTGGAAAGGCAGGGAAGAGATGAGAGTTCAGGAATGCAGCCAGGGTGAAATCATTGTAAATGGTTTTGATTAAAGGATCATGTTTCATAAACATTTGTCAAAATGAATCACTTTGTTTTAATGGGCCCTCGAACTTGCAGTAATCAAAACCACTGCCATGAAGTAGTAATACACCAGGTGGGAACCTGCCATCTGCTTTCCCAATTATGTTTCACAAGCATCCTACAAGGCAGGAATCATCCCCATTTTACAGCTGAAATAAAGAGTAGCATAAAACTTACCTGAAGTTATTCGGTAAATGGCGGAGAAGAGATTCAATTTCAACAATCCTTACCAAATTGTCCTTTTTGAAAACCACCCTTTCATTTTGCCACTTCATTTATCCAGGGGAGTTAAGGAATAAGGTGCCATTTTTCAAGATACAAAAACTTACTTCTCTAAGCTCCCCAAATTATTTTAACTACAGTATTTCAGACCACAAACCTAAATGTAAACAGACTTCTCTTTTGGAATGAGGCACGCAGATAATTTAGCAGTTTTCTCTGGTGAATCTGGGTCACCACTGCAATCTCTGCAGGGTGGCAACAGCGATACCCTCAGGGGTGACTGGACTTGAGACATGTCAGCCCACTTGAGCAGCCTCTTTCAGGTCCCCACAGTAGGTCCTGCAGTGGATCACCTGTCAACAAGCAAGAACCTATCCTGGAAAAGCTTACCAGCTCTTTTCTGTTCTTGTAAGCTGGGAACTACATAAACAAGTTTCTTAAAACTCAATGTAAAGGTTGAATCATGCTATTTTAATACAATTAGTATCTATTGTGGCTGCTATAGTCTTCTACCTACTATTCTTTTGACTAGCTTGAAGAGTGATGAAATGGTCAGCAAAGTCAACCTGATATTACAGCTATTATCACAATGGTAGGTGCACATATCCCCCCACTCTGTGCCTCAGTTTCCTCAGAGGTGAAGGACAGACTAAGAGTCCCATTGACAGAATGTTTGCCTTTCTAGAACAAATCACTTGAGGAGATCCCTAAGAACTCCTAGAACTGTTCTTCATAGCTGTACCCCATCAGTAGCACCTGACATCCTCATGGTCCTCCCTGGATTCCTATATCTCTGTGTGTGCCCTCATTTGGTATATAATCATACTTAATTTTTTTTTAATAAAGACAGGGTCTCGCCATGTTGCCCAGGCTGGCCTTAAACTCCTGGACTCAAGCAATCCGCCTGCCTCAGCCTCCCAAAGTGCTGAGATTACAGGCATGAGCCACCGTGCCCAGCTGTACACTTTATATTTTGAAATTTTCACCAACATATTGACATATCCCCAGCCTAGAAGCCTCAGAGCAGAAAGCGCCACTTTTGCACCCACTGCTATACCTAGCACAA
Source organism: Homo sapiens (assembly GCF_000001405.40). NCBI lineage: Eukaryota > Metazoa > Chordata > Mammalia > Primates > Hominidae > Homo > Homo sapiens. The sequence continues at coordinate 52,262,765 of NC_000006.12, forward strand.
CTTCTGACTTATTGCCAATGCTCAACAAATGGCAAATTCTTCCTTCTGGTACCACTGCACTCTCTTTTGAAACTGTGCTCTCTAGACCACTTCCAGTAGGACTTAGATCTCGCTCGCATCAGTGAGGGGGAAAAAAAAATCCCAGATAAAACAGAATTCCCCAATAATTTTGTACTACTCCCTTTAAGAAAAAAATCCCTTTGTCCTAACGAACCAAAGAATATCTCCTGCTTTGTGGTAAAGGATCACCCCTCAGCAAAAATGGAAAAGAAAATACCTCAGCAATCTTACAGCCAAGAACTGGCACAACTTCAGAGCCACATCTGCCACCAGAAAGCAGCTTCCGGTCCATGTGACCGAGGCCCCCCATAAAGTCACATGATTCTTCTAAGTAACTTGAAAAATTCTTCAGAAGCTATTCAAACCATATAACGGTAGGACAGAAGTCCCGCCCTGGCCCCATCACAAGCTTCTGTGCAAACAGGCTAACCAACCCCAAAGAGTGGACACCCAGGTAGTTTCAAAAGCATCCTGTAGGCTGGGCACAGTGGCTCACACCTATAATCTCACAGTTTAGGAGGCCGAGATGGGAGAATCACTTGAGTCCAGGAGTTCAAGGCCAGCCTGGGCAACAGACAGACCTCATCTCTACTAAAAATTAAAAATAAAAACTTAGCGGGGCATGATGGCACGTGTCTGTGGTCTCAGCTACTAGGGAGGCTGAGGCAGGAGGATCACTTGAGCCCAGGAGGTCAAGGCTGTCATCAGCTGTGATTGTACCACTGCACTCTAGTCTGGGCACAAAGCGAGACCCTGTCTCAAAAAAAAAAAAAAAAAAAAAAAAAAAGATACTGTAACAAGATCTCATTATGGGCAAGAACTCCCAGGATTTTGAGGTGTCTGACGTATCGGGTATTCTATCTTTATGAAGGATAAGTTTAGATTCAGGCAAAAAGCGCCAGGCAGAGGGGCAATTCTTCTCCTGAACTTTTACTCACTAGCCTCCCGTGGCCATTTAGCTATTTTAAATTGGCAGGGTTTGGTCTATACTATCAATTTTGACTGATAAACGCTGGTGCTGCTGAAGAAGAAAACTGCCTCTAGAGAAGACATGACCCCCAGAGATCACAGCAGGCTGCTGCCACCTTGTGGTAGTTTGCTGCAAATGCGGGAGCAGCAAACCCTGCACGATTGCTCTCAAGGAAAACAATTCAATGTTATGTATAAAAAACACACTATGACTATTAAGACCATGTGTACGAAATGGCTAAGTTTATTCAACATCTCGGATATTCATCTGGATATTGGGTTTGTTTTGTGATACAATACATATTCACCTTAACTGGTGCTACTGCAAAGAAAGCTTTCTTGACCTGCATGACGTGCCTCAGAGCTTCTCTCCACCAATTGGAACCACCCAAAGCCTAGTCTAGACCAAAGTGCTCTGGAGAAAAAAAACAAAACAAAAAAACAGCAAACAGAAAACAGTTGTGCCCCCAAAAGTACTCAGAAGTCATATGTTATTTACAATTGGGTTTGTGTGGGATGGGAAGTAGGGCGGATGAGCCAGTGCTTTTGCAATGAAGATGCAATAGTCATTGTCCTCTCCCACTGTCTCCTCTTTCCTCACCCCATGGCAGCTTTCATGACCCATTCCCAAAGGGTCCACCGAGTCCTGAACTCAGCTTCATCACCAACATTCCTCGCCTTCAGTTGAATTCAACACTGTTAAGGGAGTAGAGGCAAAGACTTGGGTCAGGGAGAGGGTGGGAAACACAGAACAAACTCTCTCGGCACAACCCAAGTTCAGAGACGAGGCCTCCTCAGATGAGGAAGATGATGCCCTCAGACACCATGACCTGATTGTCATCCTGCATCTTGCTCAGAGCAGCCTGGATCTCAACTGAAGAGAAGGGCTCTTCGCTGTCCCGGTTGATGGATTCTGTGAGGCGATTCATGCCGATTGACTGCGCATGAGCTTCCCGGAACACATCCAAGAGGGCCACCTTGAATGCCTTCAACCTGCCCCAGACAGAAGAAAGGGGGAAGAGGAGTAAACAAACCCAAATGCTCTCAGGAAACAGCTATACTAGGAAAATCCATAGTATTAATACAGTAGAGGCGTCCCCTCAATATTCTTTCTCACACACACATCTGCCTCTGATGGCAGTGCTACCCTTGAGGAGCCCCCTTTAAAGCTAAACTATTGTACTAGCGTGTGGGAAATTGGCATTCCCATTCACTGTAAAATAGTAACCCGGTCAGCGTCAATGCGGGACAATTTAACAGCACTTACTAAACCCTTAAAAGCGTATATCCTTTGGCCCAGGGAGCCCATTTCTAGGAACTCACCTTATAGCTATACTTGCATGAGTGCACACTGATAAATTTAATACTGTTTTACTGTAAACAGGGAACAACCCAAATGTCTATCATCAGAGAATTTCATTAAATTTTTACCCATCCATACCATGGAAACCCTGCAGTCATTAAAAAGAATGAGATCAAACAAGCACAGTGGCTTATGCCTGTAATCCCAGCCTTTTGGGAGGCTCAGGTAGAAGGACTGCTTGAGGCCAGGAGTCCAAGACCAGCCTGGGCAACATGGTGAGATCCCGTCTCTACAAAAAGTAAAAAATAAACACTGTAAAAAAGTAAAAAATAAACACTGCACTCCGGTCTCAAAAAAAAAAGTGAGATCTATACGAGCTGATTCAAGCATTTTAAGATACAGTTGATGGTTGTCCTTGAGGGATAGAGTTACAATTGATTTTAATTTTTTTTCTAAATACTTTTCAATGTGTTTCAAATTTTTTTCAGTAAATACACTGTATTATGTGTTTAAAGTATAAAAAGAAAAAACGTAAAACTTGGCTATGGAGTTTCTTGGTGTCCAGTAAACAAAATTCATAGATAAAAATGTTTCCTAAAACCCTGGTGGTAAAAATTCTTCATTTCAAAAACAAATGGCCAAAATGTATCTATCCCACCAAGAAGAATCTGAGGTTACAGTAAGACATTAAGTTTTATCCTTATTGTAAAACTCTTCTCTCTCAGAAAGAGAGAATTATTAATTTAAACAACTGAAGATTCTGGGTAAAGGACATCCAGAAGTTCTTCATGCTTTTCTCATAACTTTTCAGTAAGTTTGAAATTAAATGAGAATATAAAATGTTAAAAGCTGCAGGCCTCTAGTTTTGAGTTCTATTGATGACCAGCAGTTTGTTTCCCACCCTCTCCAAGGGAACAAAGTCCCTTCCTCAGCGATACACAGAATTCTTGAAGGGGCAGGAGCAACATCCGTACTCACCTGGATTCACTCAACTCCACTTTCTGGGATTCCTTGGTCTCCTGTGAGTCTGCCGTCTTTGGAGTGTGTACTTCAGAGGGTTGATGGTTGTAGAGATGGGGAAGATAAGCAAGGTGAAGCCATTTCCACAAACACTAGAGAAATCATCTCCACTCCCAATCTCTCACTCAGCCTGCTGAACACTCCTATTTCCTAGGGTTCTTATGGGGCCAGGCAGAACAATTAGGATATAGGGAAATCTTCATTGGATGATGAAGGAATTTAGTCAGGCAGGAGACCCTCAATGTATATATTATCTGAAATGCTTATACCAGGTGAAACAGCACAGCACAGTTCATCAAGGAGGTGTATATAATATAGCAAAGCTTTTTCCAAAGTTTCCCCTGAAGCTCTCTTGGGACAAACCTCTTGGACATAGGCCCCAAGCAGGGAGCCAAACAAACAGGAGTCCACAAGAAAATAAAGTGCACAGAGCAACTGGAAAAGTCCAAGAGTCACAGGAACAACCTCTTTCATCAGTAAGTGGGCTCACTCACCTTGAGGCATTTCCTCCTCTGTGTCACTGAAGTCATAGGGGTCGTATGAATCCCCATCTTTGGCATCTGGCTGGCGAGTCTTCCTTCTAAAATACCCACAGCAGTTAAGAGAGAGAAAGAGTTTGGAGACAGAAAGGCAAGGAAGCCCCATCACGTGCCTCTAACTACGGAGAAAAGGAAACAGAACCACTAAGTCAAAGTGAAGCACTAGGCTTAGGCCTTTGCAAACTGCTGCTTGTTCCAAACGAGACCAAGTCCCCAGACTAGAACACAAACAGGCGCTGCTTCCCAACGCTCTTTTCCACATCACTCACCCTTATAAATTCAACTATAAGCATGAAGGTTTTTCCCTTAGAATTTTGAAGTATATATTCAAAACCCTCAGTGGTTGGGTTGCTGTTCCTACTATTTAGCATTTCTTCAGTAGAGGGGTCAAAAGCACACAAGAAGGACTCGCTCTCCTTCTCTTTTACCCAGGGTATCTTCTTTTTTTTTTTTTTTTGAGACGGACGGAGTCTCACTCTGTCACCCAGGCTGGAGTGCAGTGGTGTGATCTCCACTCACTGCAAGCTCTGCCTCCTGGGTTCACGCCATTCTCCTGCCTCAGCCTCCCAAGTAGCTGGGACTACAGGTGCCTGCCACCACGCCAGCCTAATTTTTTGTATTTTTAGTAGAGACAGGGTTTCACTGTTAGCCAGGATGGTCTTGATCTCCTGACCTCGTGATCCGCCTGCCTCGGCCTCCCAAAGTGCTGGGATTACAGGCGTGAGCCACCGCGCCCAGCCTACCCAGGTTATCTTCATCCTCAAACCCCGCAGGTCTAGGAACACTCTCCATGAACAACCTGACATCAATAAGCAGCGCTGGTTCCACCTTCTACCCTCTACTTCTCTCCCCAGTCCCACTGGAACTTACTACTTTTTTTTTTTTTTTTTGAGATGGGATCTCTCTCTGTCGCCCAGGCTGGAGTGCAGTGGCACGATCCTGGTTCACTGCAACCTCTGCCTCCCAGGCTCAAGCAATCCTCCGACCCCAGCCTACCGAGCAGCTGGGACCACAAGTGTCCGCCACCACGCCCAGCTAATTTTTCTATTTTTTGTAGAGACAGTTTTGCCATATTTCCCAGGCTGGTCTCAAACTCCTGGACTCAAGTGACCCACCCGCCTCGGCCTCCCAAATTGCTAAGATTACAGGCGTGCACCCCCAACTTCTTGGCCACTAACTTTTTAATCTCATTTGCTTGCCCCACCTTACCTCTTCCTCTTCTGCTCCTGGTCCTCTTGGCTTTTCTCCTCTTCATCTTCTGTCTCTGATTCATCCTCACTTCGCTTCTTACGTTTCTTCTCCTTCTCCAGAACCTAAGACCAAGGCAAGTGTGGCTGGGCTAGAGGGGTCACTGATGCAGGGGAACTGCATCAAGAACTCCCAGTCCCTTCTGCATCATAAGCAGGAAAGACTTCCATGTTTCCAATGGTTTACCTAGCTCCTCTTGTCCCTAAGTCCCAGGACCAGGGGCAGAAGTAGAGACTGCTACCCATCTTTTCAAAATGCTGGGAAGTATGTTAAATGCTGTTTATATAGTAGGTACTCAATAAATGTTTACTGAATAAAGAAACAAATGTCTAGCCCATAATGGTTAAGTGAAAACAATCCATTTCCTTATAAATCAGGTGTCTAATTGAAATCCAAGACAACCCTTAACCTAGCAAAAAGCGAGGAAGAGTTTATCAGACTCACAACTCAACCCTTAACCTAGCAAAAAGCGAGGAAGAGTTTATCAGACTTACAACTCAACCCTTAACCTAGCAAAAAGTGAGGACGAGTTTATCAGACTCACAACTCAACCCTTAACCTAGCAAAAAGCAAGGAAGAGTTTATTAGACTCACAACTCAACCCCAAAAGGCTAACATTCACCAGACTGGGGTGGGAGTGGGCAACTAGGAAAAGGGAGTCTAGGCTTTGAGGCTTGATATCTAAAATGACAGAGGTGCAATGTCACAAACAGAAATAGGGAAACAGGATGAGTGGCAAGTTTGAGAGTTCAACTTTAAACATGAGCTTCTGAGGTGCCAATGGGACATTTGAAGAGACTACCAAGAGGAAAGGTAGAGTGGGACAAGGAAGATTACCAAGGTAGCTCTTTTGAAAACACCTACTTTTTTTTTTAAGATGCAAAGGAAGTAGGGGTAGACAGAGAAGCAGCTAACTGAAAGTACAGCACATCAACTAAACCAGAATCTCTAGGAGCCCTGGAATCAGCATTTTAAAGCTTTCCATCTGATTCTCTGGTGCAGTCAGGGTTGAGAATCACTGAGTGTTTCAGAGGAAAGAGTGAGGCAGACTGATGACTGGAAGACAAATACTGCTTTCTGTTGACAATCCAAATGTAGCCGTCAGCCACGGAAGGCTGGGAAGCCCATGCATCTGTAATATATCCAGGAGATCCTCTCATGCCCAGGCATCTGAATCCTCACCTTCTTAAAGTAAGCATACTGGACCAACTCCACAGCTTCCTCTGCATCCTGCAGGTCCACAGTCTTGCTCATGCGGGCCTTCGCATGGGCTGTGGCCAGTCGAATCAGAGTTTCCAGTGTTCGGGCTGTAACTGGAGATGTCTAGGGAAGAAAAGGGAGGATTGCTTATCCCAAGTCTTTTAGGCATGCCCATCAATCCTACTGCACAGAAAGGGAAATGACACTACCAGAAAAGCCCCAGGAGGCCCAAGCAAAGAATTCAGAGTTCTGTGTTCTCTACAGATACCATATAAAAATGAGAAAGATGATAGCAATGATCAAGGAAATATACACAAGAGTGTTGCAGGAAGGAGGAGCAAGTGAACAGGGAAGATTAGGCATCTAACAACTGGAAAGATAAAAAGCTACAGCGTAGAAAAGAGAAGGGAGAAAAATCATCAGTGATTGCAGGCCTGCAATGCAGCAGGAAGTTTGCCTTTATATACATTCTGTCATTTCACCCTCTTAATAACTTGGAGAAGTTTTATACATGAAGGAAATGGGACTCAAAGACCTTCAAGGAGATTTTCCAAAGTCACACTAAAGGAGGGATAGGAAAGAAGTAATCTGAGGACAAAAACGTAACTTCAGTAAACTCAGTCCGGAGAAGGAGAACTCTGACACATTCCTAACAAATGTTTCTCACAGGGGCCGATGAATACCAAACTGGGATGCCTTTATCTTTTAAAATGCTATTGTCTGAATGGCCTTTCTTGACCTAATCAATCAGAATGAATTGGAAATGAATGAATCAGAAATCTCAGTGTTTAGGACTAGATATGTGTACAAGTTTCAGGTGATTCTGATGTATCCAATCCTCTCATTTTATGGATAAGAAAGCTGACCTGACAGGTGAAAGGATTTGTCCACAGTCCAAAAGCTAGCTGCAGAGCTGGGATCAGACATGAAACTACTTCCAGCCCGGACGTGGTGGCTCACATCTGTAATCCTAGCACTTTGGGAGGCCAAGGCAGGCGGATCACAAGGTCAGGAGCTTGAGACCACCCTGACCAACATGGTGAAACCCCATCTCTATTAAAAATACAAAAGAAAAATTAGCCCGGTGTGGTGGCGCATGCCTGTAATCCCAGCTACTCAGGAGGCTGAGGCAGGAGAATAGCTTGAACCCGGGAGGCAGAGGTTGCAGTGAGCCAAGATCATGCCACTGCACTCCAGCCTGGGCAACAGAGCGAGATTCCATCTCAAAAAAAAAAAAAAAAAGAAAAAAAAAGAAACTACTTCCTTCTGTCACACCTCCCGGGTCTCCCATTATATGACCCCATCACTGACGTATCCTGGTCACTTCTTGTTTCAAGTTTCCTAAATTACCATGTATATCCACAATGACATTCAAAAATAAATACATTCACATTTAAATTCATTCATCAAATCTTGTAATAATTTAGAAAGCTACCGGAGTTTGGAAGTCATACACTCCATGACAAGTTCTAATTCTTAAACCACCTAAAAAGCTGGTGAAATCCTGGCCTGCACTAGCAGACCTAGAGAATCCAAATTCTCTTGGAATTCACTTACAGACCCCACACTAAGACAATTAAAATAGTGTATGACGCTCAGTTCTAGGTTCAATGAGAGGGCCTGGGACACACCAGAAGTTCGCATGTGGAAAGGAACAGTTAAAAAGAAAGTAAGCTGTTTAATGAGGAAGACAGGCGATACACAACCTCCAGAAAACAAGACTAACACCCACAGGTAAAAGTTGTGGGAAAATAGGTTTAAGCTTAATAAATATTCTAAAATTTCAAAACAGTGATGCTCTGCGCATGCTGTCACTGGGGGTATTAAGAAGTCCCGGCCGGGCTCATGCCTATAATCCCAGCACTTTGGAAGGCCGAGATGGGCGGATCACGAGGTCAGGAGATTGAGACCAGCCTGGTCAACACAGTGAAACCCCGTCTCTACTAAAAATACAAAATTAGCCGGGCATGGTGGCACGCACCTGTAGTCCCACCTACCCGGGAGGCGGAGGTTGCAGTGAGCCCAGACCATGCCACTGCACTCCAGCCTGGGTAACACAGCAAGACCGCATCTCAAAAAAAAAGTCCCAGCAGGGATTTGAAAAGACAGAGTGGGTGAGGCTTGAGTAGATGATCTGGGATCATGTCTAATCCAAGAATCTATGTCTATGTAACATAATAAGAGTTCTGGACTTGGGTCTTTCTGCTGTAAAATCCTATGTGAACTACACTGCCCCTAAAAGATTTAGACAAATTTGGGCCGGGCATGGTGGCTCACACCTGTAATCCCAGCACTTTGGGAGGCCAAGCCGGGCGGATCACCTGAGGTAGGAAGTTCCAGAGCAGCCTGACCAACATGGAGAAACCTGGTCTCTATTAAAAACACAAAATTAGCCGGGTGTAGTGGTGCATGCCTGTAATCCCAGCTACTCAGGAGGCTGAGGCAGAACAATCGCTTGAACCAGGGAGGTGGAGATTGCAGTGAGTTGAGATCGCGCCATTGCACTCCAGCCTAGCCAACAAGAGTGAAACTCTGTCTCACCAAAACAAAAACAAAAACAAAACAAAAAAAAGATTTAGACAAATTCATGGACACCTATATTAGGTTACCAGAAATTGCTTTGAATAACCATCATGGTTGCCTGTTAGTCATTTTTTCAAAGTCCAGTCCAAATATCATACTCTCTGGGAATCCTTCCTTGACATTCATACCCCTTCAGGGAAGTCTAAAAGAAATTAACAGTTTATTCGTCTATGCTCAAATAGCCTTTCACGTTCATTCCTTTGTAAGTACCACACTGGGGTAAATATTTATAAATATGTACGGAAGTCTTTCTATCTACCTTTGTGCTTCCCCCGCTCCGGATCTGAGCTCTTTGAAAAGAGTGTTTATTAATTTTACATTGCTTGTAAGAGGAAAGACTAGGTCACTTCCCAGAAGTCACTCCTATGTTTGCTGAATGAATCACAGCTTCTGGAGGCCAATGTCATTTTAACTAATAAGAGACATGTTATCTCTGGGGTCCTTATTTCATTTTCCTTTATAAAAGGAAATGATTAAAATTGTATAACAGGAAGCCCTTCAGACCAGGAAAAAAGTCACTAAGTTAAAATGCTTTCAAAGCTCCCAGATAGCAGGGACTCCTGCCCAGCCATATACCTAAGGGACCCCAAGCCTAGGCTCCCCCAGGCACTCACCCTGGCGGTGTCTGAGCTCATGCTATCCTGGCTGCGCAGGCGTGAATACTCTTCTGCAATGTAGGTGGCCGACTCCTGTGTCAGGACAGGCTTGATGATTTTGGCCACATGGATGTACTTCTTCATGAATGCTGCACTCACCATCTTCTCCCTGGAGCCACACACAGTGAATTCCATCTCCCTGCCACACCTTACCACCTGCCTGGATTAGTGGCTTTGCCTCTCAGAAAAGCCAGGGTCAAAACAAAGCCTAGAACCCATTATCATAACTCCCATTTATATGGAACATAGACAAGACTCTTTCACATATTTTTATTTAATTATTACAGGTATTATTTGTAAGTTAGGTAGTTTAGGCAGAAAGTTTAGGTATTATTTGCTCTATTTTGTAGGTGGGAAAACTACAGCTCAGAGAAGCTCAAGTTGACTAAAAGTTTTCTGACTCCAAATTCTACATTCTTAAACCAACAGCTTTGAAGATTATGCTATGCTTCTTACTGCATCATGGCCAAAAATAGGTGTAAGATCCCACATTTCATGCTTTGAGCACCTGATCACACGTCTCCTTCACCAAGTCTACCTACAAAGTCTCAAATGTTTGCTATCTGCTGACCCTTCATCACAAATGGCTACATGACACTTGCCATCTTTCATATATAAGGCACACCCACCATCAGGCGTATCATCAAAACTCTATTTTAAGAAAAGACCTGAACCTGCGCTGAATCACCTAAACATTTACAAGGCAACTGGCCAGGATAAAGGATATATTGTGGACCCAGAAAAGAAGAAAATTAATCCACGTGGTTATGACTCCAGGCATGGCTTTGACCTGGGCATATAAGGCCTTAGCTAAGCTTAGATATACACATGCTCTAATATAACACATATTTCAGGTTCCCTTGAGGAAGAGTTATGAGAATGCTCACTTTTTCTTCTTGGTCCCATGTAGAAGGTTGTCATGCTTCTCATAAATCTGGGTGTCCTGCTGATCTTCCTGGCTAAAGTTGGGATCATCTGTGGCCAGGATATCCACAGCACTACCCAAGGGCATAGCTGGTATACCCAAGTTAGGAGAAAGGAGAGTAATAAAGAGTTTAACCCAGGGGAAATTGCTTCTTCTATAGCACAAGAAGGGGAGACACCAAGATTCATAAAGAAAGGGCCCAAAAAGAATCAGACACATGGAACCCACAAATAAAGATAGTGGAACTGCCTGGCTCACACAAGATGCTCAGTTATTCCCAGACCCAGAAATGGACAAAAGACACACCTTAGGATACCCTCCACTAAGCAAGAAGGGGAGGTGGCTAAACAGTTGAGGGCTCTTCAACATCAACCCGGACACTGAAACACCTACCACCACCTGGGTTGGGCCTGAGAAACTACCATCTGTTTAGCGCCTTTCCATTAGTTACTCTTACTATTCTTATGGCCTCACCATCGCCATCCTGCTCCCCAGGTGCTCTGTAACGGTGCATCCGAAGGACATGGTCTGAGATCTCCCGATCCTGCTCAGGATCCATCTGATCCAGCATGATGAAGAGCAAGTCAAATCGTGACAGCAGTGAGTCCTGTAGCCCAATGTTCTCCATTGGAGTCTTATACTGGTCATACTGGGGAATGCGAGGACAACAGAAGTGGACATGACATCAATAGGAAGAAAGAACAACAAGGCTGCTGCAGTTCTGGGAGTGGGAATGAAAGGCTTGACCTCAAAGAGCAAAACAGACAAAAAGCAGTGAAAAAGGGAAGTGTTTTAAAGCCATTAAACAATGTAAATCATCTCTTCTACCTGCAACCCTTCTTTAACTGAGCTTCCTAGGAAGCCCCACTTTCTACTACAGGAACCTCTAACAGGCTGAGTGTAGGTCTGAAAACCAGGCCCCTGCTTCCCAAACCTTATTCTGCTCTTCTCATTCCCAAGGCAGGACCTGACTCTGAAAGATGATCCCTTTCCCCTACCTGTCATAAAGACAGGGCAAGTTGGTTAGGCTACAAGCACTTAGAACTTTTTGGAGTCCCTTACTCAGAAGATACAAGTAAAACCTCAACTAAAATGGTCAATGATCTATATATCATAACATCTTAGAAACTGGCCAGGCACATCCACTCACACCTGTAATCCCAGCACTTTGGGAGTCTGAGGCAGGTGGACTGCTTGAGCCCAGGAGTTCGAGACCAGCCTGGGCAACATGCAAAACCCTGTCCCTATAAAAACTTAAAAAGAAAAAAAAATTTGCCAGGCATGGTGGTACGCATCTGTAGTCCAAGCTACTCAAGTGGCTGAGGTGGGAGGATCACCTGAGCCCAGGGAGGTCGAGGCTGCAGTGAGCCAGGATCACTCCACTGTACTCCAGCTTGGGTGGCAGGGTAAGACTATGTCTCAGAAAAAAAAAAAAAAAATCAAGGGAGTTTTTCCTTGGGATTCAAAAACCCCAATACTCTCCTTTCAATTCTGGGCCTACTGGACTGATACTTACCCATCCACATACACTTCACAGTCAGAGAACATAACAACCTTTAGGTAATAATGATTTTGACCATGTTCACGTTTCAGGTCCTGCCATTTTTCTTGTATTTCCCAATCACTCTTGAGAATGACATAAACATACATTATCATTTATTTTATTTTATTTTACTTTTAAAGATGAGGTCTCACTATATTGCCTAGGTTGGTCTCAAACTCCTAGGCTCAAGTGATCCTCCCACCTCAGCCTCCCAAAGTGCTAGGATTACAGGCATGAGACACTGCGCCCAGCCCTATCATTAATTTTAAAAGCTATGGTTTTCAACCTTGGCTACACATTAAAACCAAACCTGTGGAGCCCTTCTAAACCATAGCTACCAAGAGCTCCAACTCAAGAGATTTTAATTCAGAAACTCTGAACGGGGGACCATGCAACTGTATGTATAAAAAACACCATCGCATCGCAACAAGGTGTTCCCATACACTGTGGGATTGATTATAAACTGCCAGGACACAGCATGAGCTCTGGGCTCAAATCCTGGCTCTGCGATTTTCAAGTTTGTGGCTCTTGAGCAAGTTACATAATCTTTTGTACCTCCATTTTCTCATCTGTAAAATAAAGATAACTACACATTGTGAGGTAGTTACTGATAGGATAAAAGGAGTTGGTAAATACAAAGCATTTATGAGCATTCATTAATAGAAGTATTAATATGGTACAATCTTTAAAGAGGGTAATTTTGCAATCTCTACCAAAAGAAAAATGCACATAACTCTTAATCCAGTAATTTCCTTGCTAGGTATTTATACTACAGATATATTCCCAAATCTATCCACACACATAAAGGGATGGCCACTACAGCTTCATTCAAAATAGGGAGGAAAAAATGGAAACCACTAAATACCCATCAGATGGAGACTAGTTAAATACATCCCTGTGACGGAATACTAGAAATCTATTTTTTTAAAAGGAAAAACTCAACAAACCCCACGCACAGACAAATATAAAAGATTATATCTAGCACATCACAGTCATGGTAAAAACAGAGATAATTCTTAACAAGGAAATAGTGTATTTGCTGGTACATGCTTAAAGTTTTGTTTCCTGCAACACTTCAAAGCTGTTATTTCTTGGCAAAGTGACAGGAGAGAGAAGCAAGTCTTTTCGTTTTCATACTATATACCTGTTCTGTTTAGAAATTCTCCCGCCACATGCATGTAGTCCTTTTATTTAATGGACGGTTAAATATGTTAAATGGACTGTTTAACTGTACTGTTAAAAAGTTACTTTTAAATAAGGAACTTTCCAGGGGATTCTGCTGTGCAGGAATGGGTGAGGAACACTGCTCTAAACAAAGGACAATAACAAGAAAATGGCCTTACTTTTAGTCTTTGGCCTATTATTCCCCTGGGTCACCTAGAATACACTTCTCAGCCCAGTTAGTCAGCAAAACCAAATGAAGGTGAGGACAATGGTTGGGGCCTGATTCCACTTACCCTGCCGTAGACAGGGTTGGCAGCTGCCAAAACACTGCAGCGGGCATTCAGCCGAGCATGGATGCCAGCCTTGGCAATGGTCACTCGACCCTGCTCCATCACTTCATGGATGGCTGTGCGATCCATGTCAGACATTTTGTCAAATTCATCAATGCAAACCACGCCTCGGTCAGCCAGGACCATGGCCCCTGCTTCCAGACGGCGCTCTCCTGGGAAGTGAGAAGGTAAAAATACGTGCTACAGTCTAGGTTATAGGGGCCAGAAGGGAAGGATTTCAATCTCCTTCCTAGGAATCTCTCACTTTGCACGTGAGAATGCGGCAATGGTGTGTTGGCTCCGAGAAACTTAGAGGAAACCCTGGTGGGTCACCTTTTCAGCTCTAATCTAAATATTAATAGTATCTCTTTGTCCCACTTTGACCCCTAAGTAACTAGCTTCTCACAAATTTCCTTCATAGATTCTCTCTTCGGCCTCAACCTCAAGTAATACCCCAACTAGACCTCTGCCTTCTCTTCACTGGTCTCCAAATCCCTTCCTCTAGTTCATAAAATAGTACAATCTTCATTTTTATTTCCTTTCTAATGTGCTAAGACTTAATCCTTTAAATCGAAAACATTCCTGTAAATAGATGAACACCAAAGACTTAAATAATTCACCCACCATTGCTGAATACTCAGTCCTCTATAATCTGGACCCAACTAACCTATCAGCTGTATCTTCAGAACACAAGCCAGGGCACACAAAGGATCTATGCTCAGGCTCTCTGCTGGGCCTTTGCCAAGGACCCTTACACCCTTACCTGTTTCCTGGTCTGTGGTGACAGCAGCCGTCAGACCCACTCCAGAGGAGCCCCGGCCAGTGGTGGGGATAGCTCGGGGTGCAGTGCAAAGCACATACCGCAGAAGCTGAGACTTGGCAACGGATGGGTCTCCTGTAGGGTGGGGGCAGTGATGACTCTCTAGGAAACTCCCCAGCACCCCCAGCAAATTCTGCCTTTCTAGCACAGCTCTTGACACAACAGAGTCACACAGTAAGTGGATTTTAATATTTTTCCTTCGCTTTTCCCTTCACCACTCACGGAAGAATATTTATATACTATAAATCAGGAATTCCAGAGATGACAAAAAAAAAAAAGATTCATTTTAGCCTTTTGTCCTTTGATAGGACTGAAATACTGCTAAGTACAGAATATACAATCTTACATATTATAGGTCTCCACAACCACTCCATCAGAACAACAGTCTAAAGCAAATCCCCAACATCGTACCTATTAGAAGAATATTGATGTCCCCACGGATGTGGCTGCCATTTTCTAGGTCTCGTTCCACCCCTCCCAAGAGCAAGCAGAGGATTGCTTTCTTGACATAGTCATGCCCATGGATACTTGGGGCCAATGACTTGGCCAGCTGGTCAAAGATATCCTACAGGAGAAATAACCAATGGCAAGCCTAGTGAGATTCAATGGGACTTTGTGGAGCTCCACTTTATATACTTTGGCCTATAGAAAATACTTGAAGAGGGCCAGGCGCAGTGGCTCAGGTCTGTAATCCTAGCACTTTGGGAGGCCGAGGCAGGCAGATCACGAGGTCAGGAGTTCGAGACCAGCCTGGCCAACATGGTGAAACCCCATCTCTACTAAAAATACAAAAAATTAGCCAGGCGTGGTGGTGTGCGCCTGTAATCCCAGCTACTTGGGAGGCTGAGGCAGGAGAATCACTTAAACCCAAGAGGCGGAGGTTGCAGTGAGCAGAGATCGCACCATTGCACTCCAGCCTCGGTCACAGAGCAAGATTCCGTCTCACCAAAAAAAAAAAAAAAAAAAAAAAAAAAGAAAATACTTGAAGAAACACACAAACAGGTACATTGTTCCTAACTGCAAAAAATTATTTTCTAAGACAAATTACACTATCAGGCCATTATCAGAGTAGGCACAGAGCAGCCTGGATTCCAAAACTTGTTTAGAGGTTTAATCTTTAAGGGAAAAAAGTATCCCCAGGTTCAAAACATTTTAGGTTTAATAAGAACATGTACTGTGCTTGAACAGTAACCTTTATCATCACACATTCATATATGTAGTTCAATTCTAAATGTGGATATACATCCTATCTTAAAAAGATAAAAACAAGTTGGAGAACTAAAACAAAGAAAAAATGTTTAAGTAGTAATGCATCACTAACGCCTTCAGTAATAAATAGACTTACTGGTACACGGGCAAGTTAACACCTATCCTAATATTTGTACTAGGCTCATTTAGCAGCCCAGCAGGTAGCAGGTATTAAAATTGTTTAATAACAACAGAATTACTAAAGAACAAACAGCAAAAACACCCTTCATTTGTTGATTGAGACAAAAATAGAAAAAGCTAACACCAAACCTCAACCCTTCCTTCTGATCTAGTACAAAAATAGCCATGCACCAAAACACAACTCTTAGAAATCCATTCCCACCCTCAAATTTCTAAAGGATGCCCAGACCTTGGATCGGGTTTTACTGAACTTCTTGATCTTGGCTATATCCTCAGCAGAGAAAGAGGGCTGAGCATCCTTGCTCATCTGCTTAACATTACAGGCAATCAGGACAGTCCTGGGACAAACAGAATAAAGAGGAAACCCGTTATATTCAATTCCTAACATCAGTAGCTAGTACCCCTAGCAGGAGTAAGCCTTTTTAGGCTGCCAAACTAGACCAGCCAATTAGAGTTGGTGGGGAGGGGGCAGGTAGCTATTGTGAATTAAACAACTGGTTCTGTCTGTGATCCAAATATGCTGATCATGCCCCACCTCTGGAATTGACCCACAGAACTTCAGACAGAACTGTGTATGGGGACGAAGTGTAATTAAATGAGAAACTCCCAGGAAAGCCATGAGGCTGTAATCATTGTCACCAATAACTCTCATTTTTGGCATATGATGGTTAAGTATCACCAGCTTTATCTGATAGAAAAGAGGTATTGAAGGTATCCTGTCTCCCAGGCAGGTAGAGTGCTCCACCTATCAGATATAACTCTCTGGAATATGGCAAACTGGAGAAAGGATATTACCAGAAATGGAAGCTGTCAACAGCATTCCATATACTTTAAGGCAGACCCTTTACCTGAAGGTCCCAGAGGTGTAGCCTCCCTTCTTTCCAGGAAGGCAACGGTAGGTTCCCACCACCTGAACCCGGTCACCAGGCTTCGCTTTATCCACCAAGTCATCATCCAGAATGACGTCCACAGAGCGGGGGAGCTGGCCGGCTGGGGCCTTCTCCGGCATCTCCTGGATGGTGATGGTCTGGTGATCCTTGTAGACAGAAAGGCCATATTCTGTCTCAAGGGGATTGTTCTCCTCATCCTAGAAAAAGGCACACAGAGGGACAGAGTGATCTCCGTCCTGTCTTAAAAATGCCACACTCACCTGTCATGGCAAATAAGATGACTTCATAAAATTTTATTATTCAGTAACAAAAAAAGCCAAGTACCTTCTCTAGCTTTTTGTGTTCCTGTCTGTTTTAGTAACAACCATCGAATGGAAGGGGCAACCCATAGTCTGAATGGACTATGGTTATATTAACATCTAAATTAAGATTCTTACTTCCCCTCTAAAGCTGAATATATGCTTACATTCTGAAGCAGTTTTTCCACTCCTAGGTAATACCCAACAGAAACATTCACCCAAAGCCATGCATTGTAATGCTCATAGCAACATTATGCCTAGTAGTCAAAAATTTTAAAGTGTAAAAATGCCATCAATAGTGTAATGGTTAAACACGGTATATTCACATAAATGAATACTATACAGCAATAAAAATGTATGAAACACACCTATACACAACATGGATAAATCTCATAAACACAATGTTGAGCATAAAAAGCCCATAAGTATTTAAATAAAAAACAGCTGAAAGTAATCCATACTGTTAGACATCAGGATAGTGGTTACCCCTAGGTAACATGAGCCCTCAAGAGGGACTTCTGTGTGCTAATATTTCCTCATTTGGAGCTGGTTACACAGGTGTACTCAGCTTGTAAAAATTCATCAAGCTATACACTTATGTGAGCTTTCCTGTACGTATATTAAAGTTTTACTTCCTTCACATTTGAATTTTCTAAAAACACAGTTGTCACTTATTGAGTGTTTGCTATGTGCCAGGCACTGTGCTATTACTTCACAAAATTATCTCATGTAATTATCACAACAACTTTGTAAAGAAGGTATTTTCACACGTCATGCACAAGGAAACCAGGAGACTAGGAGAGATTAAGTAAGTTCCCCCAGGTCACACAGTTAAGTAGCAGAGTCTTGACTTGATACAGGTGTTAACTCCAAAGCCCACGCTCTTAAGCATCACCATAGACAACCTCCAGAAGATCTGGTCCAATGTATTTCACTTTTCAAGTAAAGAAGCTTGGCCACAGTAATCAACAGAAGAGTACTTCCCAAGTACTTCCTGAAGAGGAAATTCTAAAAAAGTGGAGATCTTAAGGTCCGAAGAAGACAACAGAATGACTTAGAAAATACAACTGGCATGAATTAAAGAGACACAGGTCCTAGTCCTTAAGGCCATCACTAACTGGGACCGTAAGCAAATTGTTTAACTTCTCTGATCTCAGCATTTCATCTGGAGGTAGACTAAATGATGCTAAAGTATGTTTAAGTTATAATTCTAAGATATTCATTCGTTTTTGTTTATGTTTCATTTCTCCACCACTGTGAAGACTAATGACGAGGACTGGGTCTTATTTATATCCTTGTCCTCCATAGCGCCTAATAGTGCTTTGAATACAGTAGTTCTCAATTAAAATTTGATGAGGGGAGGAGAGGAATTGTTTGATAGAATCAGTTCAGACATCAAGTAATCCATATAAATGATCTTTTGTCTCCAGAGGAAAACCTTGCATTGTCCTCAATCCAGATCAATCTGAACACCAAGAAGAAAGCATTTTCCTATGCCAACCTGCTCCCAAACCCGCAACAAAATATTTGTAAAGATTACATAACAGTCTAGCATTATTTTTCTACTTTTTAAAAAGCAGATTCTAAAATTATAACGTTGTTAAAACATCTATGTAGATGACTTCTTCTTTTGACTATTCCTTAATTTTCTAAAATGAACAAGTGTTTTCTTAAAAAAATAATAAGAGTTGTGGCTGGGCATGGTGGTTCATGTCTGTAATCTCAATACTTTGGAAGATGGAAGCAGGAGGATCACTTGAGGCCACGACTTCCAGTCCAGCCTGGGCAACATAGCGAGACCCTGTCTCTAGAAAAAAGTGAAAAAAAAAATTAGCGGACCTGGTGGTGCATGCCTATAATCCCAGGTACTCAGGAGGCTAAGGTGAGAAGATTCGTTGAGTCCAGGAGTTTCAGGCTGCAGTGTTCTATAATGGCACCACTGCACTCCAGCCTGAGAGAGACAGATCCCGTCTCTAAAAAAAAAAATAAGAATTGTGAAGCCAGGTGGCGTAGCACATGCCTGCAATCCCAACTACTTGGGAGGATCACTTGAGCCCCGGAGTTTGCAAATTTAGTGCACCATGACTGCACCTGCAAATACCCACTGCACTCCAACTTAGGCAACATAGGAGAACCTCATCTTTAAAAATAAATAAATAAATAAATAAGAATTGTGGGCTTTTCATATTAAACTCTGGCCTGCAATCAATCTTTCCTTTGGATTAATCCTTATTTTTCACCCTTTACAGAAAAAAGACTTCAGATATTACACAATTCCTTGCCTTAAAACAGGTATCTTTGATTCCAACCTCCAAGACAGCTCAACTGATTTATCCCCCTTACCTTGGTAGGATAGACAGAGCTGGAGGGAAAGGCCACCAGGGTGGTGAGATCAGAATAACGTCGCTCTATGGTCTTCTTAGTAGCAGGACAGTAGTGGACACTGCGGACGACTTTGGGACGAACTAGAGAACCTAGGGATGGAAAATGTGCATATATAAACTCACCCAACTAGACGATGATACAGGTGGAACCCAAACATATGCAAGCCTATAATGACTCCAAATACTGTGTTTTTTTGACTAGGTTACGATATTTCAATATTACCTTTTATTCACTTTTTTATTTATATATAGACCACCACCATATCCATGTAAAATTTTAAGTACCACCAATCCCAACTAATAAATAGGTGGAGTTAGAGGTTGGAATTAGAGATTGCCAGGAACCAAGACTCCTCCAGCTCTCAGCAGAATTCATCATTCTACTAATACATGTGATTACTCAAGGTCCCCCAATCATTGTACACACTGAGCCCTCCAAGTTTTACCACGTAATTCCAATGCTCCACCTCTTTGAAGCCACAAGCTACCCAGATCTACTTTGCCTCTCCTGCTTTCCCCATCTCCCTGTCTATTCATTTCCTAAGCGGCCCCCTTTAACCCACTTACATTTAGTGACAATGCCCTCCACACAGACCACACAGCTGAGGAAGCAGGAGGTAAGAGTCCGCGGGGAGACGTGCTTGGAGCCAAAGCTGCCTTCCAGTCCTACGTAGAACTCCTCATACTGCTTGGCATAGGTAGCATCAATGGAGGCCACAAAATCCTTTAAGGCCCGCTGGAAGGCAACCAGCTCCTCAAAGGCATTGTTCAGAAGCCTGTACATAAGCAAGAGAAAGAAAAATTAGACTGGGCAGAACTCAAAAAAATGGATCCTCAAAACAGCAGACATTCTTAGATCATTAAAAACAATGAGAAAATCCAGCTTCTGCTTTCTCCTATAAGTCTCAGTAAAACACCATCCTATAAGACTCAGTAAAATACCAGAACTAAGGACCAACTTCACCTCAACTTATCAAAGATATAAAAATGATATTCAGCTAAACATTGGAAGGAGGGGCATTTGGGAGGAAAATGCCAACCACCCACTTTTTGAAAAAAAAAAAAAAAAAAATAGGTGCAGGTGAGCTACGAGGGCTTGTAGATCAATCCTGTTTCATACAAGTCCTCTCCTGAGAGGCTGTTCCAATCTGGCCAAGAGGGAAGGGAGCCATTCTCACTGACAGCCAGTATATCCCCTTGCCTCTCACCGGTTAGCCCTCTTCTCGTTTTTCCTGCGCAGGTCATTCACATTGACAATCAGCCGGTATTGGTTGTCACTGATCAGCTCCCGAACTTTGCTCTGATAAATTCCCTGGTCTTCCTGCAAAACAGCCACCACATATCACCATAGCCACAAATTTAAAAACAATGTTTCTAAACAGAAGTAGTTCTCATAGCCAGATAGCTAAGTCAATCTCTGCAGCAGAGCTGAATCCCCAGTAAGTATGTGCTCATCAATTTCTCCCTTTCATTCACTGTTTTTAGATTCGAAATAACACCCTAAGAGGGGACTATAAGAATTATAATGACTTCCTCAAGGTCCATGCTGTTATTCCCATCATCATGGACAACTTTTCTGCATGCTGTAATTTCTGTCTTTAGTGGAGAATTAAAATGAGCTCATGAGAAGTCTAAATGGACAGTAAGTGCAAACTTTGTTAAAATGTTAAGTTAAACCTAGCAATGTGAATGTTAAAGGTAACAACGTGAATAGATGGATATGTTGTTTCACTGTAGTAATCATTTCACCATGTATATCAAAACATGTGCACTTCAAATATATACAATAAAAATGTAAATAAAACAGACTCTTAATAGTCACATTAAAATGGCTTTTCATTTAAGAATTATGTAAAAAGTAATATTTTTTCCAATCATCTCTATAATACGGAAAGGGTTCTCATACCCCGACCTAAAGGAATAGAGAATCTCAGCTATTTGGTCACATCATCAACCCTTCAAGATGGTTTTTTCAACATTCTATGGCTTTAAGTCTTGGGTTGCACATAAAATCCCCTTGGCCTGCACACAAAACACTTTTTATCTGCATCTTAGTTGGTATTGAAAAAGAATGCAGCCGAATTATGGAGTCTTTTCCTCCAGGTAAAACGTCAGTCCCTAAAATCTGAGCACTCTGCAACGCGGCTGGTCACTATAGCCCTAGGGCAGCCCCTCCCCCACAGTCTCCTCAAATCAAGAGAGAGCAGTGAAATGCAAAAGGCCGAGGTGGGCTTTGCCAATCTGCTTGCACTTAATGGGAACCTGTCGCCTTTTGCGCGCCCGGACCATCGCTTGTACTTAAGAGAAAGCTGGCTTCCTAAGAGTTCACTTATCGAACACAAACTAGCGAGTCCGGCGTTGAGAAGTTACAAGATTGGGGCTGGAGGCTCGGGCCCGGCAGGCTCCGCTGCGGCACACGGTCTGGAGGTCTGGCGGGCCTCTGGCTTCCCGGCCGGGCCGCGTCCGCAGGGGCTCCGAGCGCTAGAGCCCGCGCGCCGGCGCCTCCCTCACCTCGTCGTCCAGGAAGTCCAGGTAATCTCTCTGAGCCTCCCGCAGCTCCACATCGTCCAGCACCACGGTACCCGCCATGCCCGCTGCCAAAGAACTACCTCCACCAAAGTCGCGTGGAGGTTCCCAGGATGACTCCACCCCGGCGCGAAAACTTCCGAACTCTTCCCGCCACCAAAGGTTACCTCGAGGAAGAGGCGGGGACCTTGGGAGCATATAAGCATTATGATTGGCTGAGTTCTCTGAGGTCGGACTAGCGACTGTCCAATCAAAAGCTTCTTCTTCTTCGGGTTTTCCGCTGCGCGCCCCGCGGTGGCGGGAAACGTACCATCCGGGATTCTCTGTTCCTCCCCTCCCTCCGCCTCACTCACTGACGAGCAAACTGACCAATAGGGCTGAGAGGAGGCTCACAGAGGCTGGTCATTGAGCAGCTGGAGGGGACAGGCTGGCGAGAGGGAAAGCATTGCGTTCTGGGAGTTGTAGTGTTCTCCCTCCTTTCCGGATGTTTTTGCAGGGTTTTTCAAGCTGCAGAACTTTTGACCCGATGCAACGACCAAATTCAGAGGATGGTGCTTTATAACGCAGGGAGATGAAAACATAAAAGCAAATCATTTTTAAGATATATCCAAATCAGAACTGCCCTCCAGTGGCATCCTAGTGTAAAAGTGGATTTTGAGAATCTATAGGATAGAATATAGAACTACAGTACCTTAGGGAAAGATTAGTTAAAAACCCATTTGCTATCTGATACCGTTGCCTGACGAACTCCATAAAGACATCGCCGCAGAGAAGGATGAAGTGAAAAAAAAAATCTGTGTTTACCCTGCCCCCTAGAGACTTCATCGTGTGTTATACAAATTTTGGAAACCGTTACTACTCCATCTTACTTAATAACAGGTAAATTAAAGGCTTTCTGGTCTTATAAAAAGATCACAAGATCCTTTTAAGTAACTTAGCTTACTGAACGATCAGCTCAAGAGGGGAAAAAGTGTTTCACGTCACTTTGATTAAATATCAATCAGTAACTAACAGCAAATCTGAAACCATAATGACTAAAAGATCATCGCACGTCCAAATTTGTATGTTTGTTTTCAGTCCGTCGTGGTTGGCTTTTTCTTATATTTCTAGTTTTATTTTGAGATATAATGTATATACAGTAAAATGCACAAATCTTAAGTGTACAGCTCAGTGAATTTTTACCTGTGCTTACACCCATGTAACCACTCTGCACAATAAAGAGCAAGCCCATTGCCCCAGCATGTGTTTTTAATTTTACTGAACAAGAAGCTGAAATACTGGATTGCCCAACATCAGACATTTGATAATTCTTTATCTGAAATTTCAGCCAACTATTAGCTTATGTTTTAAAGTCTTCAGGACTCACTATGTACTGATAAATATTCTAAGAATAATCTGCCTAAACAAAATATATAGGCCATCTATTTGTGTGGGTATATGTATTTCTAGTTATTATTCAGTTTATAGTTACTGTATGTTTTGTGCCATCCTAGTGGGCAGATAAATCGATCCTTAGCCAAAGCAAAAAGGCTGTCATTTGACTGCTTGCTTTTATGTTTATTAACGGGCAAAAAAAAAAGAAAATTCTAGAATAAAGATACTGTTTGCCGTTATATAGCAAGAGGTAATTACTGATTTATTAAGACTTTTTACTCATAACTCTTATTTTATGAACTTATTGGACAGAGTACTGAGATATCCTCTGCTCTGGAAACAATTTGAAATTAACACTAAAAGAACCGGGAAGCTTAGTTCAAACTAGCAAAGAAGTCGAGTCATTTGTAGTAGAAAGTCCAAAAGAGTGGAAATCTGAAAACCACATCTTTGATTCTCACACTTTTTTCTGGGCTTGTTTCCTTATATACAGTATAAGATGAAGAAACTGAATTAGAATATCTCTGATAATCTGTCTTACTCTAACATTCCATGAGCTAATGGCAAATTTGGAAACTATGTAAAGACAATTCTATTTAATGAATTAATCATGCCATGGTCTTTGATAAAGACTTGATTTGTCCCAATATAATCATCTTCAGCTGTGAAGGACACACCGCTATTTAATTGGTGTTTCTCCCTTCTTTCATTAGGGCATGAAATCTTTAAGCAGAGGAAATGTATTTCCTTTGTTATCCCCGACACCTGCAAACTGCCCAAAATCAATCAGGTTGTTGCTACAGAAAAATTAGGGGCATTTGTACATATCTCATAAAAAGTCCAGCTGAGCTTAGCCCGTAGTCCTCCTCTATCCTGATTCAAAATTAAAAAGCACATATAATCTAATAAAGTAGTGTATCTACAGTTTCCATACTTGGGTCACATTCCTGCTTTCCTCCATTTCAATTTTCTTTCCACCCTAGACTTTAATGGACTCAAGCCCATCTCCAAGGCTGCCTAAACGCTAGGGGGCTCCCTGGAGAGCAGAGTATACAGGAAGAGAATGGAAAGAAAACAAGATTGCAAAGAGATTGCAAAATAGATGTAATACTGCCATTTTTCTATGTCCTCAGGGTCCAAAAAATACCCAAAGACACAATACAAATCCATAATAAATATTATTACAAGAAATTATATATACCTTTGTTCAAACTAATGAACATTATATGTTGCAAAACATTTCAAATAATACCCTGTAATTAATAACTTGTTTAGGCACTCAGGAAAGTGCCATAATTCATTAGCAGTCCTTTGACATTTACTCAAAGGCCACCAAAGCTTGGAGGTGAGCAAATCTATGCCTCCAGGTGTCACAGCAGCTCAAGGAATAATCTGTAGGCACAGGCTTGCCCTAACCTCACAGTTCTGCAGTGTGAAGTCAGAATCTTCAGATGCTGTAGCATCTAGAGTTTCAAGCACCAAGACAGGCAGATTTGGTTACTCTTTCTGGCTGCTCTGTATATTACCTGCACGACTAGGCAACTTACTTAACCACTCTGTGCCTCAGTTTCTTCACCTTTCAAATTAGGTTAGTAGTATCTAACTCAAATGTTTAAGTATCCAGTGAAGTCATAACAGATGTAAACTACTGAAAAAAGTGCCTGGTATGTAGTAAGCATTAAATAAATGTTAACCATTGGTAGTGGTGGTGAATGGTAGTTGGAGAGGAGTCAAGGGATAGGAGAAGGGGAGGAAGCACTGTAGTGCATTCTGAAACAATTCAGACAACCAAATTCAAACCCCCTTCCCACTTCCACCAAAAAACTTACAATACAACCAACCCAGACACTTCCTTGAGTGGGACCTTTTTCTGCTGGAAGTCCAATTGGCTAAAAAAAATAACATAGGCAGGGTGTTGTTTGGCTCGGATTCCGACAGTGTTGGAAGCCATCAGATGCATTTACTCCATGCTCAAAGAACATTATGGAATACTAAATGGACTCCTTTATAAAACTCTTTTAAAAGAGTCTGGTCAGCCGGCACAGTGGCTCACACCAGTAATCCTAGCAATTTGTGAGGCCGAGGCAAGTGGATCACCTGAGGTCAGGAGTTCAAGACCAGCCTGGCCAACATAGTGAAACCCCGTCTCTACCAAAAATACAAAAAAATTAGCTAGGCATGGTGGCCGGCACCTATAATCCCAGCTACTTGGAAGACTGAGGCAGGATAATCGCTTGAACCCAGGAGGCGGAGGTTGCAATAAGCCAAGATCACGCCATTGCACTCCAGCCTGGGTGACAAAAGTGAAACTCTGTCTCAAAAAATAAATAAATAAACGAGTCTGATCACCTTTCTTGTCTCCCTTTTGCACTCTTCTGTTGCTTCCTGGAGTCCTTCCGGTTAGATATGCTAAAAAGAGCCGGAAAATCCAGGAGCCAGACAGAGAACATCAGTGATCATGATTTTCCCATTAAATATAACAACACAGTTGGCTTGCCAACAATTAGTGATTCATTGGTATTTGCCAAGGTTAATTTCAGTAATCTGATTTCTTAGTCCGTAAGAAGTCATCCCCATTCTTTTTCTTTCTGAGAGATAGGTTCACTATGCTGCCCAGAATGGTCTTAAACTCCTGGCCTCAAGTGATCCTACCACCTTGGCGTGAGCCACCATGCCCAGCCCCCATTCTTTTTTTTTTTTTTTTGACGAAGTCTCGCTCTGTCGCCCAGACTGGAGTGCAGTGTGCAATCTCGGCTCACTGCCACCTCTACCTCTCGGGTTCAAGCAATTCTCCTGCCTCAGCCTCCCGAGTAGCTGGGATTACAGGCAGGCGCCACCATGCCCAGCTAATTTTTGTATTTTTAGCAGAGACTGGGTTTCACCATGTTGGTCAGGCTTGAACTCCTGACCTCATGATCCACCCACCTCGGCCTCTCAAAGTGCTGGAATTACAGGTGTGAGCCACTGCACCCGGCTGAGCCCCCATTCTTAATTGTACAAGTCTTTACTGATGCTCTGAAGAGCTTTGCTTCAATGCTTAGAACCACAGATTTGCAGAAGGAAATGATTAAACACAAATTGAGTGAATATGAATATAGCATATGAAATGCTCTGATAATAACTCCATTCTGTAAATCTGTCTAGATTTGTTGTAAGCATGCATTTTTAAAGATACAGTCCCTTAATGTAATAAAATGATGTACATTGGCATGGTAGGGGAAAAAAGAAATAAATGTTTTTAAAAATGATGAAGAGCTTTAGCCATACCAAACAATCAAATATTAGTTAAGCATCTGTAATCTGTATACCTAATTCTGTCCTGGAACAAAGACTTTTAGATCAGTGCTGCTGGATAGAAATATACAAGACACATACATAATTCTAAATTTTATAGTAGCCACATTTTAAAAAGTAAAAAAGAAACAGTTGAAATTAATTTAGTAATATATTTAACCTAACATATCCAAAATATTGCCATTTCAATATGTAATCAATATTAAAAAGTGTTGAGAATTTTTTCTTTTTTCTTTTTCTTTTTTTTTTTTTTTTTTTTTTTTTTGACAGGATCTTGCTCTATCACCCAGGTTGGAGTGCAGTTGCTCAGTCACAGCTCACTGCAGCCTCAACATCCCAGGCTCAAGCAATGCCTCAGGCTCCCAAGTAGCTGGGACCACAGGCATGTGCCACCATGCCCGGCTAATTCAATTTTTTGTAGAGATGGGGTCTGGCTATGTTGCTCAGGCTGGTCTGGAACTCCTGGCCTCAAGCAATTCCCCCACCTAGGCCTCCCAAAGTGCTGGGATTACTTTTACTCTTTTTTTTTTCCTTTTTGCTGTCTTAAAAATCCTGTGTGTACTACCCCCATCTCAATTCAGACTGGCCATATTTCAAGTGTTTCATCACTACATGTGGATATTGACTGCTACATTAGACAGAAAGCTTTAGAGTATAAAAATCTCTCTTGAAATAGTTTATGATTTAGCTTGAAATAATAGTAACCATTCATTGAGCATGTACTATGTGCCAGACACTTTGCTAAGCACTTTATAAACCATAAAATCTCATTTAATTTTTACCTCACCTTGTGAAGTGGTCATTTTTAATCCTCATTTTACAAGTGAGAATACTAAAGTTTAAAAGATCTCAGAATTCTGTACTAGCAAGAGGCAGGGGTAGGATTTGAACCCAGATCTTTATTACTATACCAAATAGCATTTAAGAACAAATGAGGGCTGGGCACGGTGGCTACGCCTATAATCCCAACACTTTGAGAGGGCAAGGCAGGTGGATCACCTGAGGTCAAGAGTTCAAGACCAGCCTGGCTAACATGGCAAAACCTCATCTCTATAAGAAATTAGCCAGGCATGGTGGTGTGCACCTGTAGTCCCAGCTACTCCAGAGGCTGAGGCAGGAAAATTGCTTGAACCTGAGAGGCAGAAGTTGCAGTGAGCCAAGATCGCACCACTGCACTCCAGACTGGGCAACAGAGTGAGACTGTCTCGAAAAACAAAAAAACAAATGAATATGTTAAGGTTCAAACGTAGAATCTGATCCTTTACACTCAGTAGAATTTACTTCAATATTAAGTGAACAGGTATTTCTTATTTTAAAATATTTTAATTGAGTTAAAAATATGTGATATGGGCATAGTATAAAACATCATATTTATTAAAAATAACATATAAATTTGCACTGATTGAGGGAAGGCTAATGAGAGGAGGGAGTATTTGATTTGAGGATCAAAAGTGGGCAATATTGCCTCTAGAGAGATGTGGCAGCAAGGACATTTTAAGTAAAGGCAGACATGGCCAAGCCCTTAGGAGATACTAATGTGACTAGAATGAAGGGTCCACAGGAAAGGTGAGTACAGGGTACGACTGAAAGCAGCTGGGTACATTGGGCCTGACTCTAGAGGTCACAGCCAACAGAATAAGTACACAGTGCCTGATTTAGTAGGAAAAAGGGAGCCATTGATGGCTTTTGAGCAAAGGAGAGACTATCAAAGTTGTGCTTTAGGAACATTAATCTGGCCAGAGCATGTGTAGAATTAATTATTTCAATCAAATAAAAGGAAATGAAGCTGGGGCCAGGCTCAGTGGCTCATGCCTGTAATTCCAGCACTCTGGGAGGCTGAGGTGGGTGGATCACCTGAGGTCAGGAGTTTGAGACCAGCCTGGCCAACATGGTGAAACCCTGTCTCTACTAAAAATACCAAAAATTAGCCGGGTATAGTGGCGCACGCCTGGAATCCTAGCTACTCAGTAGGCTGAGACAGGAGAATCGCTTGAACCCAGAAGGCGGAGGTTGCAGTGAGGCAAGATTGCACCACTGCACTCCAGCCTGGGCAACAAGAGCGAAACAAAAAACAAAAAAACAAAAAAACAAAAAAAAGCAAACAACAACAACAAAAAGAAATGAGGCCAGGAAAAGTTGTTCAAAAGTGGATCAGAAAGGAAAGGATGAGGGCAAGACATTTCAGAGGGAAAACCGACAGATAGAAAAGCTATTTGGATAGAAGCAGGAGTGAGGGAAAAGGAGGGTGATATGGTTTGGCTGTGTCCCCACCCCCGAATCTCATCTTGAATTGTAACTGGCATAATTCCCACGTGTTGTGGGTGGGACCTGGTGGGAGATAACTGAATTATGGGGGCAGTTTCCCCCATACTGTTCTGGTGGTAGTGAATAAGTCTCACGAAATCTGATGGCTTTATAAGGGATTTCAGCTTGCGCTTGGTTCTCATTTCTCCCTTGTCTGCTACCATGTAAGATGTGCCCTTCACCTTCCACCATGATCGTGAGGCTTCCCGGCCAGGTGGAACTGTGAAGCCTTTAAACTTCTTTTTCTTTGTAAATTACCCAGTCTTGGGTATGTCTTTATCAGCAGTATGAAAACAGGCTAATACAGAGGGATAAAAATTATATGTAGGTAGCATAAATTAGACACAGTGCCTCGAGGGCTTACAGAAAGCATACAATGTTAAAGATCTTTATTTAGATCTTTAGTTAGAATGAAGAGTTGTTTTATAGTTAACACAAAGGAAAAGAAATTTCAGAGACAGTCAAGTCTCCCAAAACATCGGTAGTCAAAGGAAGAATTCAACCTTGACATTTAGTTTCAAAACTTTGGCGCCGGGCGCGGTGGCTGACGCCTGTAATCCCAGCACTTCGGGAAGCCGAGGCGGGCGGATCACGAGGTCAAGAGATCGAGACCATCCTGGCTAACACGGTGAAACCCCGTCTCCACTAAAAAATACAAAAAACAATTAGCCGGGCATGGTGGCGGGCGCCTGTAGTCCCAGCTACTCGCGAGGCTGAGGCAGGAGAATGGCGTGAACCCGGGAGGCGGAGCTTTCAGTGAGCCGAGATGGCGCCACTGCACTCCAGCCTGGGCGACAGAGCGAGACTCCATCTCAAAAAAAAAAACTTTGTCTGGGACAGTATAGAAAAGGAAGAGAAGTTGTATTTTGTTGAATTTTAAAACAAAGTACCATATACAAAGTATGTCTCAATAAGGGAAAGTATACATAAAGTATGCCTTAATCAAGTTTATTCTAAAAACCTAAGCAAAGGAAATAAATAAAATTATAAAAGCCTCATGACTGCATCTGGTTAGAAAGGGGGCTGGAGAGCCAATGCTCCTTGAAATGAGTTGAATATTTCTTTTAATTGTTTCCATGTTATTTGCCTGAGAAACTGTAGCTCCTATCCACAGCATTCACACCATCAGTGTGATAGGCTGATAGAAGCCAGGGCTTGGGACAACTGAATCTCATTGTATCCTTTACTCACCGAACATTTGACAACACAGGAGCAAAACCTGAAAGATGCTTGTGAGGCACTGTGAGATACAAGCTGCAGAAATGGTTGTATTGATCAATCACTTGCCCTTCAGAGAAATATAATAAAATCATCCTTCCTATCCCTCACCTCAAATCATACCCACAGTTCCCTTCCAGCATCTTACTACATTCTTCCAGGTCAATTTCAGGAATCTTTAGATAAAAAGAAACACAGTCCTTCGTTACTGTTCTTCCAGCCCTCCTGTATTCTGCTGGTTTTAGAGAGTGTAGAAAAGCTGTTGGAACTCTAATTTTACATTTTATGTACTATAAGGATCAAAACAAAAATATCTGAGAAGCTTAGAGATCTAATGTTCACCTCTTTTGCCCAGCCTTTCACTGGATTCTTTGATGAGCCTCCAAAAAATATCTCTGATCTGAAACCAAACCCAGATGGAAATTTTTCCTGGCCTCTGTCCATCTGGTCAGCCACCTGTTTCTCTGTTAATACAGGAAGGGGATATGAGAAAACTGAAGGTGTTGGCTCAGAGCCTGTAGAGGTCTGGGGAAGGTGGCTTTTAAAATAATCATTCTTTATT
The DNA here is from genome assembly GCF_000001405.40 of Homo sapiens. NCBI lineage: Eukaryota > Metazoa > Chordata > Mammalia > Primates > Hominidae > Homo > Homo sapiens. The sequence continues at coordinate 52,293,364 of NC_000006.12, forward strand.
CACTGGCATGCTTCAGTGCCACCTTCATTACTTGGAAATGCAAAGTACTCCAACAATATTTATTAAAAAAATAAATGAATGTCAGAGTACATATTAAAATTTCAGAGCTGGAAGTCACCTTACAGGCCATTTAGTCTAAAGCTCCATTTCATAGTTTAGATAACTGAGGTCCAGAAAAATCGATTACACTCTAAAATTAACATATTTAAAATGAAATGTTTTTTAAAGGTAGAGAAATACTCAGGACAGAACAAGACCCTCAAAGAAAAGTAGATTTGAGCAAATCATACTTTTAAGATTCAAAAATACATTATTGAAAGACTAAATTAATGGACTGGGTGAAAGCAGAGCATACTTATTTGAAAAGAGATAAACTAGGAGATGGAGCTGAGGAAATTGCTCATGAGATGGCAGAGTGGGGGAAATGGAGATATAATATGAAAAATAATTTAATATTCTTTGCTTAGGATTTATATTTTATATCCCTATAAATGCAAAAAACGATGGTAAGCAAATAAATTGGTAAACACAAAGGTAAATCTAAGAAAGTCTTGACTGTAAAAATCAATACTAATAATAATAACTAGAAGGCCGGGCGCAGTGGCTCACACCTATAATCCCAGCACTTTGGGAGGTCGAGGCGGGTGGATCACGAGGTCAGGAGATCGAGACCATCCTGGCTAACACTGTGAAACCCCGTCTCTATTAAAAATAACAAAAAAAATTAGCCGGGCGTGGTGGTGGGCGCCTGTAGTCCCAGCTACTTGGGAGGCTGAGGCAGGAGAATGGCGTGAACCCAGCAGGCGGAGCTTGCAGTGAGCCCAGATCACCCCACTGCACTCCAGCCTGGGCGACAGGGTGAGACTCTGTCTCAAAAATAAATAAGTAAATAAATAAATAAATGATAATGACTAGGCAGAGAGTTAAAAACTAGATGTAAATAACTAGGATTGTCTTGCAGTATTTTTTTTTCAATGATGGAAAAGTTCTGTATCTGCTCTGCCCAATCTGGTAGCCATTAGCCACATGTAACTATTGTACATTTGAAATGTGGCTATGCAACTAAGGAAAATAATTTTTAATTTTATTTAACACTGATTAATTTAAATTTAAATAGCCACATATGGCAAGTAGCTATTGTATTAGCACAGCTTTAGACAATAATAACATGGCAAGTGACTAGAGCCAATCAAAGTTAAAAATCTAAGATCTTTGTATTATTTGGGAGGAGAATGCAGATTTTGAAGGCAGTTGTTTGTGTTAAAAATTTAAGGATAAAGCCTAGAAAAATAAAAAGAGAATGTATCATTTCTAAAGTAGTAGAGGAAAAGGAAACAAAGAAAACACTATAAATAAACAGAAGATAGTAAGAGAGGTGGAAAAAATTAAAGAAAAGCATGGTAAGTAGAAAGCACAAGAAATACAATGGAAATAAATAAGCAATGAACTAGTTTATTTTTTGGTAGAATACAGAAGTTTAATGGAGCTACCATATGAGAACACTGGGTGAAAATATCAGGTAACAAAAGATATACACAGTATTAGGCCTTTTTATATAAAGTTTCAAAACATACAAACTTACTATTTATTTTGCTAACACAAAAATATAGCAAAATATAACAATATTCCTGGGATGAATGACACAAACCCACTCATAGAAGAGGGACAAAAGAAGGGCAGGTCTTTGGTTGAGTATAAATATTTTATTTAAAAAAAAATACTTGAAGCAAAATGTTAACATATACAAAATCTGGGTAGTGAGTGTGAGTTTCAAACCATTTTCTGTTTGAAACTGATAATAGTTTCAAGCTATTATCTTTTATAAATAAAAACTGAAATTCAAAAGGAACACATTAGGCCAAACTATCCAAATACTTTCCTCTTTTCTTTGTGTTGGATTATTTCTATCTGACTGGTTTAGATCTTAGGAATTAAACTTGGTTTCTTGTTGATTAGGAAAGTTCTGTCCACAAAATAATAATCTAACATTTTATTAATGCCCTCCCCACAGCAGAGGACTAAGGAGCTGGATATCCCATTTCCTGTTTCCTTAGAATAGGGTGATGTGGTTTAGATGTTTGTCCCCTCCAAATCTCCTATTGAAATGTAATCCCCAGCCCAGGTGCAGTGCTCGTGCCTGTAATCCTAGCACTTTGGGGGGCCAAGGCAAGTGGATCACTTGAGGTCAGGAGCTCAAGACCAGCCTGGCCAACATGGTGAAACCCTGTCTCTACTAAAAATACAAAAATTAGCCAGGCGTGGTGGCACATGCCTGTAATCCCAGCTACTCGGGAGGCTGAGGCAGGAGAATCACTTGAATATGGGAGGCGGAGGTTGCGGTGAGCCAAGAATGTGCCACTGCACTCCAGCCTGGATGACAGAGCAAGATTCTGTCTCAAAAAAAAAAAGAAAGAAAAGAAAAGAAAAAAGAAATGTAATCCCCAGTGTTGGAGGTTGGAGGTGGGGCCTGGTAGGAGATGTTTGGATCAAGAGGGCAGATCCTTCACCAAATGGCTTAGCACCATGCTTCTGGTGATAAGTGAGTTCTTGCTGTGATCTGGTTGTTTAAAGTGTGTGGCACCTCCTATCTGTCTCTCTTGCTCCCACTCTCGTCATGTGATGTGCCTGCTCCCCCTTTACCTTCTGCCATGATTGTAAGCTTCCTGAGGCCCTCACCAGGAGCCAAGTGGACATTTGTGCCATGCTTGTACAACCTGCAGAAGCATGAGCAAATTAAACCTCTTTTCTTTATAAATTACCCAGTCTCAGGAACTCCTTGATAGCAACTCAAAAATGGACTAATACATGGGGTTAGCAAAACCTTCCCATGCCCCCAGTGGATACCTGAAATGGCAGATAGTACAAATCCTATATATACTACATTTCTTGCTATACATATGATAATGTTTAATTTATGGATTAGGTTCAGTAAGAGATTAAAAACAATAACCAATAATAAAATAGAAAATTATGATATACCAGCATCACTACTCTTACATTTTGGGCCAGCATTAAATTTAATAAGGGTTGTTGTAGGGAAGTGTGGGGCTCCTTGGTTCTTGTCTTCTCGACAAAAAGAATTCAGCCAAGAGACCAATTAGTGAAGCAAGCAAAAATGGTTTATTATGGAAATAAAAGTACACTGTAAGAGAGGAGTGGGCTGACCTGGCTGGGAACAGCCCCAAGAGTTCTGCAATGCAGTTTTTATTACGTTGGACTTTTTGTTTAAGTTCTGGCCTCTGTCTCAAGCCTTTGTCTTTGTCTAGTTTCCTGGCTTCTGTCTTAAGTCTCTGCCTTTGTCCCCATCTAGTTTCCCGACCAGGCTTATGGGACCCTCCCTTACTGTTGGTTAATGTGCATGATTGGGGCCCAGCGATCCATATGAATCCTACCTAATGGCAGTGTGTCTCATAACCACCACCCCAGGAAGGTCAAATCTGTACTTATTGCTCATGTGTATCTCTTAGGAATTCCCCTTTTGCTCTTTTCCCCCTCCTATTAGCATGTAGCTAGCTACTTTCTGACAGTTTAACCACAGAATGAACGATTGCTGGGCTTTTTTTTTTTTTTGACAGAGTCTCTCTCTGTCGTGCCCAGGCTAGAGTGCGGTGGCGCAATCTCGGCTCACTGCAACCTCCGCCTCCTGGGTTCAAGCGATTCCCCCGAGTAGCTGGGATTATAGGTGCCCGCCACCATGCCCGAGTGCGATCTCGGCTCACTGCAACCTCCACCTCCTGGGTTCAAACGATTCTCCTGCCTCACCCTCCCGAGTAGCTGGGACAACAGGCACACACCACCATGCCCAGCTAATTTTTGTATTTTTAGTAGAGACAGGGTTTCACCATGTTGGCCAGGATGGTCTCGATCTCTTGCCCTTGTGATCCACCCGCCTCGGCCTCCCAAAGTGCTGGGATTACAGGCGAGAGCCACTGCGCCTGGCATAATTTTTTGTATTTTTAGTAAAGACGGGGTTTCACCATGTTGGTCAGGCTGGTCTTAAACTCCCGACCTCAAGTGATCCACCCGCCTCAGCCTCCCAAAGTCCTGGGATTACAGGCGATTACTGGGCATCTTAAGGGGAGTTTCAGGGTATTCCTTTTTGCATACCTTGAAGAAGTAACATTTCTCAGTGTCCCCTCAAGGAGGGGACATTCCTTTCGGTATTTCCCCTCCTCTCTGCTCATATTTAGCATGCATGTTTCAGGCAGTCTCTGAGATGCTAGATTTTCCAGCACTTCCTCCTCCAGGGGCTCCCTCTCATGCTCACATCTAACCATCTGCCTGTTCTAACAGGGTTACTTGAACACAAGCACTGCGATACCTCAACAGTTGATGTGATCGCCAAGACCCTGTTAAGTGACTAATGGGGGGTAGATACACTGGGCAAAGGGATGATTCACCTCCCAGGCAGAACACAGGGAACAGCAAGAAACTTCATCATGCTGCTCAGAATGAAGGACAATTTATTATGAATTATTTCTAGACTTTTCCATTGAATATGTTCAGGCCACAGTTGACTGTGAGTATCTGAAACCAAGAAAAGCAACACTGCAGATGAGGGGGGACACTTGTATTCAACTCTGTTCTATTAACGGAATTAGTGAGTACCCTTAGGTGCCATTTTATGGCAGTAGAGGAGGAGGAAAGAAGAGACAGAAGAAAAGGATAAGGATAGAAAGGGAGAAGGGGAAAGAAGGAGAAAGGGTTGTGGTAGAGGGCTCCCAATTGCCTTTGCTCACACAGAAGCCGCCAGCACCATATCCCTATAAATGACAGTTGGATGGAACAACCTAGTCTTCTTGCTTTGACATTTTTCACTGGGTGCTTCTTTCATCATATTGCAATTAGTGTTTACATGCCTGTTTACTCCAGTGAACCATGTCTTGTTCTGCTTCTTACCCTGAGCACTTAGCCCAGTGCTTGACACACACAGAGTAGGCCTTAATAATGTCTGTTGAATTAACACTGAATACACAACTTCAGATCTTAATTGATTTCTTGCCCTCTTGTTTCCATTCATACAGCTTCCTTTTGTTCTGTGAGCCCTCCCAGCCTTTCTCTTTTGCTTCATTGAGTTCATGGTCCCCCTTTCAGGCCCTCAAAATTGTAAACCTTTATGCTTTTCCTTTTTTTTTTTTTTTTTTGAGACTGAGTTTCACTCTTGTTGCCCAGGCTGGAGTGCAATGGCACCATCTTGGCTCATTGCAACCTCCGCCTCCTGAGTTCAAGTGATTCTCCTGCCTCAGCCTCCCGAGTAGCTGGAATTACAGGCATGTGCCACCACATCCAGCTAATTTTGTATTTTTAGTAGAGACAGGGTTTCTCCATGTTGGTTAGGCTGGTTGCGAACTCCCGACCTCAGGTGATCCGCAAGCCTCGGCCTCCCAAAGTGTTGGGATTACAGGCGTGAGCCACCGCATCTGGCACTTTTATGCTTTTTCCATTTTTGGCTCTAAGTTGGGACACTTAAACTAGTTCTAGGTGGCCCACAGAGTGCCTTCTTAGGAAGACAAAGGAAACAGGCTGGGGACAGTGTCTGGGAACAGGAACTTTCTGGGGCCCCAGAAGTATCAGTATCACCAATTCCTGAGCCTGACTTTTTTTACTTTGTGAGGGGTTTGACAGGGAGCTATGGTTGAGAGGATAGAGGAGAGGAATGTGGCAGTTCCTGATACCAAGTTTTCATATCCTTCCCACCGCTTTGTCCCAGGCCGAAGCATAGAGGCCTACAAGCATTCCCTCACACCCAGCCCTGGCCTGCCAAAGCCAGCCCTGGTCTTTGTGGTAACAAACTTCTCTCTCTTTCCCTCCCCCTTTTTTTTTTTTGAGATGGAGTTTTGTTCTCGTTGCCCAGGCTGGAGTGTAATGGTGCAAACTCGGCTCACTGCAACCTCCACCTCCAGGGTTCAAGTGATTCTCCTCCCTCAGCCTCCCAAGTGGCTGGGATTACAGGCATGCGCCACCACGCCCGGCTAATTTTGTATTTTTAAGTAGAGATCGGGTTTCACCATGTTGGTCAGGCTGGTCTCAAACTCCTGACCTCAGATGATCCACCTGCCTTGGCTTCCCAAAGTGCTGGGATTACAGGTGTGAGTCGCCACGCCCGGCCACAATCCTCTCTTTTCAAAAGAAATCAGCTGTGCTTACAGCTGTGGGTGGGGTGGTGCTGTCTTACTAGAGCAAGAAGTCTAGCCTGGCAAGATATTTCTGTCAACTGCACTGTGGGAACCAATCTGTTCTGTTAAGTTGTAGCTCAAGGGATTTTCTCATGAAGACATGGGGTGCAATGTCTCCTGGAGGCCAGCTGGCTCACCTTGGGCCCATTTCCTCATTGGCCAACCAGCATACAAGACCTGCTCACCGGGCAGCAGTGAGCTGCTTGACAGCCATATTGAGGTGGAGGCAAGTAAGGAGGAAAGCTGAATGTCAGTGAGATATTGGCACAGTCTTCGTACACTACAGTGAGGCAGATACGTGTGGGCAGAGCCACCTGTGGCTTACTTAGAGGAAGGCTGCTATTTGCTTCAAGAGAGGACAAAACCAACAGGTCCATACTTATCTCTCCCTGTCAGCAGATTTGGGTGGCTGTGGCTGGCCAAGGACACAGCCATGAGATAGACTCATGAGACAGCCAGTCTCACTGGGCTCTGGACAGGACTTGGGTCTCTGGATGGGTCACAGCCTGGGTGAATGACAGCCAGGAGAACAACTCTCTGGTTCCATTCCTCCCTGCCTTAGGCTCTAGCTTGAGCAAAGTGGTAGCAGAGCACAGGGGCCTAGGACATTAGCAAGTTCAACTATATTGGAGCCTTCACAGAAGCATGTGTTTTTCTAGGAGCATCCCTGATGAGCTCCAGCAGTTAAAGGAGGATGAAAACAATAGCCTCAGCAAATTCTGCAGCAGTTGGGGGCATCCCTGGGAGTCTTTTTTCAATAACATTGTCCCTCACCTATTGCATGACCAGCCACTCTCTGAAATAAAGGTAGAAATAGGTGCAGGATCTTTCAAGTTGAGCCTGGCTAAGTGAGGTCCACCCTGACCCTCCCATCACCCACTGGGGTTGGAAAGAAAGAAGAGGAATCCTCCAAACTTACCGACCCACAGCCTCCAAACTGCCCCAATAGGAAGGCTATGCAGCAGGAAGGAGTTGTGAACTGTGAACTTTCACATAGCACAAAGGACTTGCCCAAACACTATGCTAAGAGACTTGACCAGACTTCAGCCTGGCTTCTGCCTACACTAGACTGTGTCCCTGTCTTAGTCTGTTTGTGCTGATATGACAAAATGTCTGAAACCAGGTCATTTATAAAAGAACAGAAATTTATTTCCACATAGTTCTGGGGGCTGAGAAGTCCAAGATCAAGGCATTAGCAGGTTCAGTGTCTGGTGAGGGCCTCTGTCTTTGCTTCCAAGATGGTGCCTAGAATGCTGTATCCTCACGTGGCAGAAGAGCAGAACAGCGAAAGGGGGCTAGTTACCTCCAGCCACTAATAAGGTCACTAATCACATTTTATAAGGTCACTGATCACATTTATGAGAGCTCCACCATCATGACTTAATCACCCCCTGAAGGCCCCACTTGTTAGTGCTATCACATTGGTGATTAAGTTGCAACATGTGACTTTGGGGAGACATTCAGACCACAGCAGTCCCTAAAGGTGGCCCCAGCCCCTGTGCGAAGTCTTTGCTCAGAAAAACACAATGCTGCTAAGCTGCAAAATGTACTGTGTCCCAACCCACTTTGCCAAACAGTTTTCAGTAATTTTCCACTCACTCCTTCTGTAATTTTCCATTTTTCCCAGACTTTCTTTGTCCTCTCTTTTTTTTTACTTCCCCATACCCCCTTTTAATTACCTCTATGATCTCCCTTTAAATGTCCCATTTACCATTGTCTTAGTTGGAGGTGAGCTCAGTTTATACTAAAGTCTCTCTTCAATACTGCAGTGGTTCGAATAAAATATCTTTCTTTAAAAAGTGACTGATGCTCTTCTCTTCAACAAGACCAATCTGGAATTTCCACCAATGGCCTCAGCCCTCATGCTCCCAGGCCAAGAAATAGTGGGACCATCCCAGGCACAACAGTGGGATCTATATGGGGTCTGCTGAGCCCCAGCAGAGATATGACACAGGCTCACTATCATGGAGAAGCCAGCCATCAACAGGCCCCTGAAGATAGTTGACCACAACACTGCCCTCCTGACCTAATCACCTCCCCAAAAGCCCCACCTCTTAATATAATCGCCTTGGGAGTTAGGTTTCAACACATGAATTTTGAGAGGACCCACACATTCAGATCATAGCACCATTAAACAACAACTTTGCCCCCTGCCCCTAGCCCCTGGTAATCACCATTCTACTTTCTATACATACATACGAATTTGATTACTTTAGATACCTCATATTATTGGAATCATGCAGTATTTTTCCTTTTGCAATTGGTTTCACTTAGCATAATGTCCTCAAGTTTCATCCATGTTATAGCATGTGACAGGATTTCCTTCATAATAGACAGGCCACATAATATTCCATCGTATGTATACACCACATCTTGTTTATCCAGTCATCCATCAGTGAACATTTGGGTTGTTTCCACCTCTTGGCTATTGTGAATAATGCCGCTGTGAACATTCTGTATCTCTTGACATTCTGTTTTCAGTTCTTTTGGATATATACCCAGAAGTGGATTGCTGATCATTCTATTTTTAATTTTTTGAGTACCCACCATACTGTTTTCCGAAGATGATGGGCATTTTTATTATTGGTGAATACCCTGGACTTAATATAATGCCTAGGCATAAAGGAGACCTTCAAATGCTTTTTGAATACATAAATAATAACAGAAGAGACTAAGGGTAATAAAAACACAGACTTAGGCCTCTCCACCGTGACCTTTTTTAGCTAAGGCTTAGCCATAATCATTAAAAGCCCTGATCCAGAGGCCTATCTATTCCACGCTTCAAAGCTGAGACAGAATGAAACATAAGAGCCAAGTGCAGTGGCACATGCCCGTAAATTCCAGCACTTCAGGAGGTTGAGACAGGAGGAACACTTGAGGCCCGGAGTTTGAGACCAGCATGGGCAACATAGCGCAATGCCCCGTCTCTACAAAAAAAAAAAAACATTTAATTAGCCATGGGTAGTGGCACATGCCTGTGATCCCAGCTACAGCTACTTGGGAGGCTGAGGCAGGAGAATCACTTGAGCCCAGGAATTCAAGTTTACAGTGAGCTATGATCGCACCACTGCACTCTAGCCTGGGCAACAGACAAAGACCTTGTCTTAAAAAAAAAAAAAAGAAACACAATTCATTTAAGGATCTTTTAATTAAAATCCTACATTTATTTTCCTTTTGTTCACTTTGTTATCTATCCATTTCCTTTATTAAATTTTTAAATTTCTTCTAACAGAAAAAGTATTGATGCCAGTTCCAATAGTTACTTTCCTGCCCTTTGGGGCAGGACAGTTCGATATGTGTACCTCCAGAAGCCCCAGCACACATTAGGAAGCCATCTTTGGTCCAGAACTTCTCTATCTGTGCTATCTTTCAGCACCTCCTCAAAGTCAGGCTGGTTTTCCAGGCGATAGCACAGATGGCATCCACAACCTCATAGAAGGCATGCTCAGCAATAGATCTGTCTACCCCAAGGAACTTAGCAGCAAGACACAGAGGCACCAGGGAGGCCAGCAATGCAACCCAGTAGCTACTTTCTGAGACACAGACAGAGGCAATTTTATGTGGATGGTTTTCCTTTGAAGATGTGTGGCCAGCTTTTCAAAGATAAAGTAAAATGTCTCCTTAGACATCAGGAAGGTTTGCCTCCAACTGTCGGGGATGTCTGCCCACTCAGAGGTCCTGCTGAAGATGGGACAATGTGGAGAGAGCTCTGGTCCTGTGGGCTCTAAGAGATCAAGCATCTGGCTCTATGAACAGAGAACAGATGACCTGCTTTGGTTCTCCAATATTGATTCAGTTTGACCTGCATGGTCTGGGCCAGGGAAGCCACCTGCTCAGCCTCTTCACTCTCAGCCACAAGCACAGCAGCAATGGCTCTCCTTTGCAGGACAGCTTGTGCAAGATGTTGCAGTCCCCCCTGAGCTTGATGCTGAAAGCATGCTTTGAGGGTGGTGGAGGCCTTTGAGTTGAGTTGGGTACAGTGATGTGTGAGTGTGTGTGACTTTCCTAATAAAAGTCAATGAAATTTTCCCCCAGGTAACCGTGGAAGCTCAGGGTTGAGTTAGTTGATGAATATCAGGCCTTCCATTATGAAGTGAATGCAGGTATGAATGAAATTATATCTGTGTAACCACACATCAGTATCTTCCCTCCATGTTCTTACAGAATCAGTCAGCAATACAAGAGCCAAAGTAAAACAGCTCAGAGAAAATAAGACTCATTCTTAGTGTGGATATCATTCTTTTCCTCACACAGACTTCCTCTCCTTAATGACCCCTTCCTTCTAAAGGACTTTTCATTTTTCCTGGCCTTCTTGTAGCAGGACGAGCCACAGACAGAGCTCCTCAGACACGGAATTAAAGAAGGAAGGAATTTATTCGGCTGGGAGCATTGGCAAGACTCCTGTCTCAAGAGCCAAGCTCCCCAAGTGAGCAATTCCTGTCCCTTTTAAGGGCTCACAACTCTAAAGGGGTCCACATGAGAGGGTTCTGATGGATTGAGCAAGCAGCGGGTATGTGACTGGGGGCTGCATGCACCAGTAATCAGAACGAGACAGAACAGGACAGGGATTTTTACAATGCTCTTCCATACAATGTCTGGAATCTATAGATAACATAACCAGTTAGGTCAGGGGTTGATCTTTAACTACCAGGCCCAGGACGCGGCGCCGGGCTGTCTGCCTGTGGATTTCATTTCTGCCTTTTAGTTTTTACTTCTTCTTTTGTTGGAGGCAGAAATTGGGCATAAGACAATATGAGGGGTGGTCTCCTCCCTTATTCTGACTCTCTTCACCAAGCAAACACATTGGCAAAATTCTACAGAAGTCTCTCCCACACACTAAAATCAAGGAGTGCCCTGAAAAACCAAAATAAGGGCCGGGCACAGTGGCTCATGCCTGTAATCCCAGCACTTTGGGAGGCCGAGGCGGGCGCATCACCTGAGGTCAGAAGTTGGAGACTAGCCTGACCAACATGAAGAAACCCTGTCTCTACTAAAAATACAAAAATAAAAATAAAAAAAAAATTAGCCGGACGTGGCGGTGCATGCCCATAATCCCAGCTACTAGGGAGGGCTGAGGCAGGAGAATCCCTTGAACCCGGGAGGCAGAGGTTGCAGTGAGCCAAGATTGCATCATTGCACTCCAGCCTGGGCAACAGAGTGAGACTCCGTCTCAAAAATAAAAATTAAAAAAAAAAAAATTGGCAAAATTCTACAGGAAGTCCCTCCCACACACTAAATTCAAAGAGTGCCCTGACAAACCAAACTGCTTCACCAGTTTTACTTGCCCTGATCATCTAACGTCCCCCACAAGCAGGCACATGAAGATGGTTAGTTTTTTGTTTTGTTTTTGTTTTGTTTTAAGACAAAAAGCCAAGACCTTTTTCAATCTCGGGTTTCTGCCTTTTAGTTAAAAAATTCACTCTATATTTCAATCTATTATGAGGAAGGACCTGCTTGACAGGAGTGAAAAAAAAATCAATTATTCCTTAAAGTTTTCAGAAAGAAAAACCACATGGAAGAATAGACTTTAACATTAGCATTGGATATTTCTAGATCTCAGCGCTCTCACATTGCCAAGTCACTTGGAATGTCTAATCAGCTGCCTAATGGAGGAACTGAGACTGCAAAGCATTCTTGACACACCACTGCAGTGCTTTCTCTTTCATACTGCAGTGCTTTCCTGCTGTTTCTTACTTAATGAAAATCTACTTCCATAATATCATGATGTGTTTTTTGAGCTGCTCTTTCTCTAAGAGCTGGTGTCCATCCTAGGTGGGGCTAGGAGTCAGAAGATGCATGCATATTCTAGCTCCAAAGGGTGTGTGACCTTAGGAAAGTTACCCTCCCTTTCTCTGTCCCAAGTGTTCTCCTTATAAAACAAGCATGTTGGACTCACCTAATCCTAACTAAGGCCTTTAGTTGCTGTAACATCTTAAAATTAATTCAAAAGACCAGATCTCACAGGATCTCTGCTAAGATGGCTATAACTTGTCGTCTTAGAGATTGTTTCTAAGGTAGTAAAATAAATACAACGTGGTAAATATTATGAACTCAGCAACGCATTCCACAAATATTTATTGAGCCCCTTTAATGTGCTAGGAATTATGACAGGCACAGGAGATGAAGTGAGACAGCCATTATAGATACTAAATCTCATGTTCGTTATCGGATCAGCAGCTTGGAAAAAGAATCAGTACTTTGTCATTTCTTTCTAGGTAGCTGTTTGTGACTGGAAAGTCTGTGCTTGTTATTGCTGGCAAATTCTTGACGTGGGCAGGACTGCATATTCTGGCACTTAGGACTTTAATGATTTCCATGAATCTTTTCATGTAGTAATTAAACATATTTCCTAAAATTCTATCTAGGTGGGAGTCACTGCCACCACCTTGAGACTTACTGTAGTCTCATTGTAATAGTATGCTTCCTGTCTACCTGTCTGAAAAATTACTCTATTACTGGACTTTTTGGCATCTTCCACTTGAAAATGACAACTTAGCCAACCGACAGTGATCAAGAGGAAATGAGAGTTTCTGTTCTCCTTTCTTTGCCTTATGATTTCTTTTGATGTAAGACATCATGATCCGACTTTAGCAATACCGCCTCTTCATCGGGCTCACAACTCTGTGCTACATGAATTCCTTTGCTTCCTCCTTAGTTATTAACTCAAGTTACCATCTTAGATGGCAGGCCTTTTCATAAAGCCACTTAAAGTCCCTCCAAGCAGTGCTAGACTGCTCTCACTGGACCCCACCAGGAGAGGTGGAGGTGGAGGGGAGCCTTAGGCTGATTCTTCCCCACCCCATTTTCTACCTAGGAGCAAGGCCTGCTGCTGCTTTCTATCTGTTCATTGGTTGAGACCTTTCCATCTGTTAATTGCTTGGAGAAAAGAGGAAGAAAAACAAGGGATCTTGGCCCCTGCCCTCCTCTTAAATCGCCATCCCCTACCCCCAACACCTTAAAAAAATGATAATAAAGTACATGAAGACAGTTTGAGAGCTTTAGGTTTCCCACTGAGGTTTGGAGCTTCTCTCATGGGAACCGGTCCCCAGGCTGCATTCACGAATTGCTCTCATCTCCATTCTCCCACAGGTTTGTTCTCCACCCGTACCCCCCACCTCGCCCGGCTATCTTACTCCCTGCGATTTCTATAGGAAAAAGTGTGTTCTTGGCAGGGCGTGGTGGCTCATGCCTGTAATCCCAACACTTTGGGAGGCCGAGGCGGGCGGATCACCTGAGGTCGGGAGTTCGAGACCAACCTGACCAACATGGAGAAACCCTGTCTCTACTAAAAATACAAAAAAGCCAGGTGTGGTGGTGCGTGCCTGTAATCCCAGCTGCTTGGGAGGCTGAGGCAGGAGAATCGCTTGAACCCGGGAGGCAGAGGTTGAGGTGAGCCGAGATCGCCACGGTACTCCAGCCTGGGCAACAAGAGCGAAACGCCGTCTTAAAAAAAAAAAAAAAGTGTGTTCTTAAACTGGAAAACCTCGGTATGTCAAGGCCTGCACTTCATGTGTCCGGGCCCAGATGAACTGAGGACTGACCTCAAATGCCTCGCTCACCTGGCTCCCAGCTCACCTGGGAGAAGCGTTTCTGTTCGCGGAACCTGAACTTCAGGTTCGGAGACGAGGAGGTGGCCGTCCCCCGTCCCGCCCCCAACCCGATGAGGGCGTTGTCAGCCAGGGGGCCTGCCAGGTGTTCACCCCTATCCCACGGACATCCTGCATTCCTGGCCGCTTGGCGCCCCACGGACCGATGGACAGACAGCACTGCAGCCACAGAGCGTCGCACAGTAGCCACCGCGCTGGCCCCGGGCCTCCGCTCACCTCCCTCCCTCTCCCGGCCTCCCCACTCTCACTCCTTCAGCTACCTTCCCCTAGCTTCCTCCAAGCCTCCTTCACTTTTTTAAGTAACTTCCTCCTCCTCCCCGTTTCTCTCCCTGCCCCTCCCCTCCCCTTCTTTCTATGATTTCCAGCTTAGAAAAGTTTCCAAAAGGGTCCAAGGAACTCCCATCTGCCCTTTTCCCGGATTCACCAATTGTTTCCTTTCTCTCCATATTCAGACACTTTTAATAACCTCAGGGATGGTCCCTCCCTCACTCCCCGGGACACCTGAAGGATCTCTCTGCGTCATCTGTTGTTGAGGGGCCTGCACTTCCAGACACAGAAAGTTGACTTTAGAGTTAAAGAATAGTAAACTGCATTTACAGCTCTTGGGAACTTTTTAAAAAGAAGAAGAAGAAGAAGAAAGTAAAAAGAATAGTCAATTGCAAATGTCCCCCAGAGGAGGTAACACATGACTGCAGGGTATCATTTTTGGATCTTAGATACCTGGGCTACCTTGCTGCTATTAACACCTAAAATGAATGAGTTTAGCAAACTTATTTCAAGCTGACTCTTAGCTGAAAGCATATCCTTGCAGCAAAGGAGTTGATCTGCAGGGATAGGTCAGGGGAAAGGAAGAGACCAGAGAAAGAAAGAAAAAAGTATCCAGTCTAAAAAACAAAAGTAAAACAACAGCAAACCATTAAAACCACATGTTCTGGCTTTCCACTTCCTGTCTTTGTAGTAAAGATTTCCCTGAGTGAATACAAAACAAAATTCACAGACCTGATATTCCTTGGTGTGGCAAGTTGGCTGCTAGAAGACTTTGACTGGTAGAGAAATAAATGCTTAAATCCGACCTGCAACAAGATTGTTCTGGCTTTGTCAGCAGGCTTCTTGACCTGTTGCTTCTAGAACCAGCTGTGTGGCCTCCAGAGTCCCTTCCTTCTCTGTGAGGAAGGATGTGGACTGAAAGACTATTGGCACCTGCAACACTGAATACTCACAGGGCAAGCTCATGGCTTGTGGACTCAATTCTGCCAGGGTAACTGTTTTGTTGTAATTTTTAAAATTAGTTGATAACATTAAATTTTAGGAGATTGCTTATAAAAATCTGGATTTCTGGCCGGGTGCGGTGGCTCATGCCTGTAATCCCAACACTTTGGGAGGCCGAGGCAGGTGGAAAACGAGCTCAGGAGTTTGAGACCAGCCTGGCCAAGATGGTGAAATCCCGTCTCTACTAAAAATACAAAAATCAGCCGGGCGCAGTGGCGGGCACCTGTAATCCCAGCTACTCAGGAGGCTGAGGCAGGAGAATCACTTGAACCTGGGAGGCGGAGGTTACAGTGAGCCAAGATCGCTCCACTGCACTCTATCCTGGGCGACAGAGCAAGACTCCGTCTCAAAAAAAAAAAAAAAATCTGGATTTCCAGCCTTTTGAAAAAAAATATGCTTTTTGTCAACACTGGGCCGATATTTCCCACGTATCAGCAAAAGACAGTTATTAGACACATAGACACAGTCCTTACCAAGCCAGATTCACACTTTGCTACCTGCCAGATCCCTCTAGGCATTTGGGAGTGAGGGGTTCTGCTCCTCCTCAGCTCTAACTCCGTGCTAGTGGGGGGAGAGACATAATAAACAAGTAAACAAATACATATGATTTTTTACAAAAATTATAATAAGTTCTATGAAAGAAATAAAGCAGGGAACTGAGGCAGAGGCAGCATTCTAGGATAGGTAGGATAGGTGATCAGGGAAGGCTTCCCTGTGGAGGTGACTTTTTTGTTTTGAGGCAGGGTCTTGCTCTGTCACCCAGGCTGGAGTGTGGTGGTACAATCATAGCTCACTGCAGCCTTGAACTCCTGGGTTCAAGCAATCCTCCCACCTGAACCTCCCAAGTAGCTAGGACTACAGGTGCATGCCATTGCACATGGCTAATTTTATATTTTTTTGTAGAGATGGGGTCTTGCTCTGTTGCCTAGGCTGGTCTCAAACTTCTGGCCTCAAGCAGTCCCCTACCACCACGTCCCAAAGTGTTGGGATTACAGGTGTGAGCCACCGTGCCCAGCCTGGAGGTGACCTTTAAGCTGAGATCTGAATAGTGAGACGGACCTGGACTAAGTGTATCTGGAGAAGAGTGCTCTATGCAGGAGGAACAGCAACTGCCTTAATATTGATGACTCTTTGTACCATTAGGGATGAGTATCTGAACACCTTCTAAGAGTTAGGTGGTATACTGCTTTTTGTTTTTTAGTTTTTTTGAGACGGAGTTTTGCTCTTGTTGCTCAGGCTGGAGTGCAGTGGCACGGTCTCGGCTCATTGTAACCTACACCTCCTGGGTTCAAGCGATTCTCCTGCCTCAGCTTCCCAAGTAGCTGGGACTACAGGCGCATGCCACCACGCCCAGCTAATTTTTTGTATTTTTAGTAGAGACGGGGTTTCACCGTGTTAGCGAGGATGGTCTTGATGTCCTGACCTCATGATCCACCCGCTTCAGCCTCCCAAAGTGCTGGTATTACAGGCATGAGCCACCGCGTCCGGCCTACTGTTTTTATATCTAAGTAGCATGGTCCATGATGGTCAAGGCCATTTATAATGGGGTTATGCATCTTACCTAACTGACCCAATGACTATGTCTATAATGTAGCAATCCTTTCCTTTAATAGAGCCGAGACCCTCTCCCCAATATCCAACATTCATCCCTGCCTCTGATTTTCTTTTTGCTCTTCTCTGACCTAAAATACTATTTCTCTCTTTTGTCCTTCAAGGTTTAAAGTTCTATCTCCCCCATTAAGAAAGATTATTCAGTTGGAGCTGTTTAGTACCTTGACTGTAATAGTGGATAGGTAACACTACATAAGTGATACAATTGTATAAAACTTAATACATACACACACACACACGAATACAAGTAAAACTGGGGAAATTGGAACAACATCAGTGAGTGTGTCAATGCCAATATCCTGATGGTACTATCATACTACAGTTTTACAAAATGTAACCACTAGGGACACTGAGCTAAGTGTACAGGGGAGCTCGCTGTATTACTTCTTTTTTTTTTTTTTTTTTTGAGACGAAGTCTTGCTCTGTTGCCAGGCTAGAGTGCAATGGCACAATGATCTTGACTCACTGTAATTTCTGCCTCCCAGGTTCAAGCGATTCTCCTGCCTCAGCCTCCTGGGTAGCTGGGATTACAGGTGCATGCCACCACACTCAGCTAATTTTTCTATATTTAGTAGAGACGGGGTTTCATCATGTTGGCCAGGTTGGTCTCGATCTCCTGACCTTGTGATCTTCCCACCTCGGCCTCCCAAAGTGCTGGGATTACAGGCATAAGCCACTGTGTCTGGCCTCTGTACTATTTCTTATAAGCATGTGTAAATCTGTAATTACATCAAATTTTTAAAATGAATAACCAAAAAATTATATTTCTCATAGAAACAGTCTTATTATTTTTTATTAATTTTTTTACAAAATAGATTTTTCAACTGGTTCATGAAAATGAGCAAAATGTATTGTCTAAATAAAGCCATACCAATTTTTCACCTTATGAGAAATGGAAGTTAGGTTCATTTGGAATAATCTCTTCTCAATGAAAACTTGTTGGTGCCTAGCAATGACTTCCCTTTTTTTATGTTTATAGGATGCCCTTCAAGAACTTTGCCCAGGACTCTGGCATCTATGGTTTGCAGAATCAACCTTCTTCCCCTTTTCACAAAATGGAATAGTGTGTACCCAGCCACAGTCTTCTGGCGTCTCTCCCCGGCCCCACAGTCCCTGAAAAGCTGCCAACAGTCTTCTCATATATAAATTCTGTTGGTACCCCAGCCGGAATTTGTCCAAGCTTGGAGACATAAGCTCATTGAAAGCTAGGCATTCTCATACAATACCCCATTTATTTTGTGCCTCAATGTCTTCCTGCTGATATTTGTATGAAGAACATTCAACTTTAGAAAAGTTGGAACAGGGAAGCTGGTGTTTAGAGGTGGAAGCCAGTAAGTTCCGGGTGCAAATCCAGATTCTTTCATTCTCCAAAGGTCTGATCTTGGGCTAGGTTATCCAATTCTTTGAACTTCAGTTTGCTAATCTGTAAGATGGGAATAATAATCGCTATTATTATTACTATTAGGTTTCAGGTTGTAGTGAAGATTGAATAAGATAATATTTGTAAAAATGCAGAGCACGAATGGATAGTAACAACAAAGCAGGTGAGATGAACAGATCTGCTTCCTCATAGATATGGGGATTAATGGGATTTCAGAGTTGGAGAGCACTAGAGAAGTCACCCAGTCCTACCTCCTGCTCAGCGAGAGTGGTACTCATGAGCCAGCACATTTCAGCATGAACCAGCTTCTCCCTGTCACCTATCACCATCCCATTCGCTCCTCAACAACATGCCTGTACCTTCCATCCCCCATCAAAACCTTTAGAAGGCCTTTTCTCTGTGCCAGTACTTTAAACCCTTTATCTCATTAATCCTTACAACAACCCTGTGATACGTTTTTAATGTTCCTTTTACAGCTATGGAAACTGAGGCTCAGAGATATTAAGTAACTTATCGAAGGCTACACAGTTAATAAACAGGATTCAGCCCAGGTCTGTCTGTAACCAATGCTCCTACTCTTTTCTGCAATATTACATGGCCTTTAAAAAAAAAATTCTTATTTTTCTCAAACAGCTCATTCTTGGCTTTATCCATTTTGTCAGCTGTCCTGAAAGTCCCTCTTTTAGGTGTCCGTCTTTTAGGTGTATCCTTCTGCTATGCACTAAATAGTGTCCACTGAAAATTCATATGTTGCAATGAACTTTAATCCCCAATGTGATGGTCTATGGAGATGGGGCCTTTGGGAGGTACTTAGGATTAGATGAAGTCTGACAGCGGGACTGTCACACTGAAGTCAGTGCCCTCATAAGAAGAGGCACCAGAGAGCTCACTCCACCATAGCCCCAGCACACAAACAGGAGGTCATGTGAGTAAACAGTAATGGCAGCCTCCTACAAGCCAAGAGAAGAGGCCTCAGGATGAGACCTGCCTTGCCAGCACCTTGATCTTGGACTTCCCAGCCTACCGAACTGTAAGAAATAAATTTCTGTGCCTTAAGCCATCGAAAAGTCTATGGCATTTTGTTATGACAGCCTGAGCAGACTAAGCCACCTTCATTGCATCTACATTCTCTTTTCTCAATGCGGCATTTTTCAAATCTGAGCTGACTAATGAGTTTGCATTTCAGCTTGATGGGTCTCTCCAGCTCTCAATTTCCTGCCTTCCCCATTGTTCATTGTATCCTCAGTGTTCAGTTTTTGACAGTTCTCTTATTCTCTGGAGACATCCTCCTGTTTAGTGTCTCAGGCCATGTAATCAGATCTGTGATTTTTCCCTGAATGGTTTGACATTTGCCTTCATAACATCTGACAGTGTCCATTCTTGTGTACTCCAAACTTTGAAAAGATACAGGTCTGCTCAGTTCTGGGGCATAGTGAAAAAAAGAAAGAAGGCATGGATACTTTTACCTAGGCTTCTAGTCCTTCAAGTTGACCCCATTAGTTTCTGCTTGGAGAAACTTTGGGGTCCAAGTTATGCCCAGACTACAGTGTCCCCTTACTTCCTCTGCTTCCTAGGAGCTGCAGTTCTTGGCCAGGCAAATCAACAGGTTAACAGATATGACGCGTAAGCTTTCCTGCCCTTACTGATACCTCCTCTCCCCGAATTGCTCTAGCATTTGTTGTTTATTCCTTCCAGTTTAGCCCTTGATTGCTGGGCCTTGTATCCATTAGGCAAAGTGCTCAGGACCTACATTTCTTCTATTTTTAATTGGCTCTTATTGGCAAATCTGGAATCAGGCAACATCTCATTCTACAAAATAGAATGAGTATTCCTGGACCTACAGTTCTTTCTAGGTCCACAAAAATGTCTGAGACTTTCAGGGATGAGGGGAGAATGACATTAAAAAAAAAAGTTTGCAAAATCAAAATTAATATATGTATCTTTAAATGTCCATAAATTTAACATGATGAAAATTAATTAACTGCAACTCAATTCTACTCTAATTATGTGGTGATATACGTGGTGTTTGATGTAAAATGTGGGTTCAATATATTTTGTACTATGTGGGGGTAGCAGAGCCTCTGAGATTAGAAATGCCTGGGACCTACTGGAGTCTTAAAACTGCTCTGCTTGATTGTTTTACTCTATGCTTTGTTCTAATTTCTTACATCATTCTTGATGATTTAGTAGCATCATGCTACTAAATAGGTAGTCAAATCCTTTAACATATTGCTATACCATGTGTTAAGTACTGTGTTCAGTACTTAGGGTGGGAGTGAGGGGTGATTCACAAAAGATAAAATGGGGGCCCTGGGCCTAAGGAGTTCAAAGTCTAGTTGGTAAGAAGCAGCTTTATCTTTCCCCACTTTCCTTTGCCTCCCCTCGCTTCTTTCAGTTCTTCAAATTCACTGAGTTTCTTCCTTCCTACCCCAGGACCTTTGCAGATGCTGTTCCTTGGAATACTTTTCCTGCTACCATTTGCTCAACTTCCTAACTCCTATCCATTCTTCATTTTAAATGTCACTCCCACTGGGCACAGTGGCTCATGCCTGTAATCCCAGCACTTTGGGAGGCCGAGGTGGGCGGATCACGAGGTCAAGAGTTCGAGACGAACCTGGCCAATATGGTGAAACCCCCGTCTCTACTAAAAATACAAAAAAAAAAAAAAAATTAGCCAGGCCTGGTGGCGGGTGCCTGTAGTCCCAGCTACGTGGGAGGCTAAGGCAGGAGAATCGCTTGAACCCGGGAGATGGAGGTTGCAGTGAGCCAAGATCTTGCCACTGCACTCCAGTCTGGGCGACAGAGCAAGACTCTGTCTCAAAAAAAATAAAAATAAAATAAAAATAAATGCCACTCCCTTAGAGACTTTCCCTGACAACACCCTGCCTTCACCCGCTAACCCATCTAATTTAGGTTCTACCTGCTATTCTTTCATAGCTTCCAAATGTTTTTGGTTTTGCCTTTGTAGCCCTTAGCATTTGGAATTACTTTACGCTTGCTTATTTATTTACAGTTTATCCTGCCTCACTTAAGGGTAGAATGAGGGTAGAGAAAAGGTTGGTTTTGTTCACTGCTGTCTATCAAGTGCTGATCACATCGTCTGGCAGACAGTAAGTGTTCATTAAGCATTTGTTTAATAAACAAAAAAGGAAGGGCACACACTCTTAAAGCAGTTAAATAGCAATGTGAAAATGCCTAGGATGAAAAGGAAATCAGAAGCAAGATATGGATATATAAGGGAGGGGTTGGGAGAGTTTCAATGGAGAGGAAGGATGGCTGGGACCTGGATAGATGGAAAGGAGGAGGCTGGGCATGCTGAGTTGGAGGCAACAGCGTGAGGAAGAGCCTGGATTGCTGGTCTGGGAACAGTTGAAACACTGGCCTGGCTGCCTGATTCACTCTCCCGGGTGGTAGAAGACCACATCAGACAAGTAGGTTCAGGCCATATTGTGGAGGGCCTTGAAAGCTGTCCTAACAGAAATGGGAAGCCATTGATGATAGTGATGAGACATCATAAAAGCAGTGGGAGATTAACTGCAGAGTGGATGGTGAACTGGACAGAGAACAGAGACAGTGTTCAGGGAGATCAACTAGCAGATCCTTGCAGTTACTCATAGTTGAGATTATTTATTTATTCATTCATTCATTTATTTATTTGAGACAGTCTCACTCTGTCATAAAGGATGGAGTGCAGTGGCATGACCTCAGCTTATTGCAACCTCCCTCTCCCAAGTTCAAGCGATTCTCGTGCCTCAGCCTCCCGAGTAGCTGGGATTACAGGCGTGTGCCACCAGCCCAGTTAATTTTTGTATTTTTAGTAGAGACAGTTTCACCATGTTGGCCAGGATGGTCTCGAACTCCTGGACTCAAGTGATCTGCCTGCCTCAGCCTCCCAAAGTGCTGGGATTACAGGCATGAGCCACCGTGCCGGGCCCTATAGTTGAGAGTCTAAGGGCTCTTTGAAAGCAGGGATCCTATTTTTTGTATTATTTTATATCCAACACTATCCCATATTAAATTCTATGTACTCTATGGTTTGAACCATAAGTGACATAGACAAGAAAACAAAATCTGACATTAATTCACTAAATAATACTTAGTTGGAAAAATGTGAAAACAGAAGCATACATTTCCTTGAAACTTCAGAACAATCTGAACCATGGGTTTATTTTGTTTTATTTTTTATCATCAAGTATTTGAGATAATTAAAGCATGAGTTTACATTTTTTCTTTCTAAATAAAAAAAGAAACAATTATTCAATCTTCATTGCATAGATGGTAATAGGGACACAGACGGAGAAAATCAGGACTATGTCGTGTGTTTGTTGCCCTAATATTGCTGCCATTTTTCTCCCACTGCCCAATACAGCATCGTCTGCCCACTAAGCACAAATCTCTAATTACGGAGGCTCTGACTGCCACTGGGTCGACTATTGGCCTCTGTGACTGGGTGTCTCCATATATTTCCTCATCTTATCTAGTTCTTTTCAAGTTTCTCTTTGAAATACAGACCTTATCAAGTGAGAAAAATGCTTACTCCATGTAAAATATAAAGCTGATACTAAAACAATATTGAATTAAAGGAGAATGTGAAATATAAATATCTATGCATTTGTTAAAAATGATAATGTTGTTTGTATTTTTTGCTGTGGAGGAAACCCATGTGGCAAAGACCTTCATGTCCATTCTTCCTTTGGTTCATATAGTAGAACCCCCATGATGAGCTGGTCGTGCCATTTCTTGCAGCTGCATGTGGACATGTGTCTAAGTCCTTTATAGGTCTATAGTAACATGCTTAAATAAGAATATCTTATATCTCATCCTGTCATTCTTCCTAGAAGCTCAAAACGTTTTGTTTTCAAAAATAACACTTTTCATTAAGCAAAATTTCAATATTCATAATGTTCAAGATATTATAATATTTCTATCACCAAGATATTTTACAGCTGTTTTAAAAACCAACCACTTTCCGGCCGGGCATGGTGGCTAATGCCTGTAATCCCGGCACTTTGGGAGGCCAAGGCTGGTGGACCACGAGGTCAGGAGATCAAGACCAGCCAGACCAACGTGGTGAAACCCCATCTCTATTAAAAATACAAAAAATTAGCTGGGCGTGGTGGTGGGCACCTGTAGTCCCAGCTACTCAGGAGGCTGAGGCAGGAGAATGGCGTGAACCTGGGAGGCGGACCTTGTAGTGAGCTGAAATTGTGCCACTGCACTCCAGCCTGAACGACAGAGAGAGACTCCGTCTCAAAAAAAAAAAAAAAACACTTTCCAACACACTCAAGAACTTTTTTTTACTTATTTTAATACCTGTGTATGTCTTTGAAAGAAAATGGAATAATGAAGAAAAAAGCAAGTGGCATAATTGCATTTTTAAATGTGAAATAATTTTCTTGGCAATTATTTGCACAAAAAATATTTAGACTATTTATTTAACATTTTAATGCCCAGTTTTATAATATATAATTAATAGTACCAATATGTCACATGGAAAAACTGATGCACAGAAGATGTATGTCAATCACGGCTCTCTGCAGTAAGCAATGGAAGCCAACTTCAGCTAATTTAGCACAAAAAAGATTTATTTTAAAAGTATTGGGGGTCAGGTGCAGTAGTTCACACCTGTAATCCCAGCACTTTGGGAGGCCAAGGCGGGCGGCTTGCTTGTGACCAGGAGTTAGAAATCAGCCTTGCCAACATGGTGAAACCCCATCTCTACTAAAAATACAAAAATTAGCTGGGCATGGCGGTGCATGCCTGTGCCTATAATCCCAGCTAGTCAGGAGGCTGAGGCAGGAGAATCACTTGAACCCAGGAGATGAAGGTTGCAGTGAGCTGAAATTGTGCCACTGCACTCCAGCCAGGGTGACAGAGTGAGTGAGACTCTGTCTCAAATAAATAAATAAATAAATAAAGTATTGGGAAAATCATAGAATTTTCCAGGGTGTGAACACCGTGACTTAGAGGCCACATTGCAAAACTGACATTCCTGAGGAAGTTTAAGTTCTGTAGTCTTAAAGTGGAACTATCTAGTGGAAACTAAACATCCTGGTGGAGCAAAGGCACAATTTGGTGACTTTGGCATGCCCATGAGGGCTGAAGGCATTCTTGATTATAAAATCAGGAAATCATGGCCTAAGGCTTAAGTTTAGTTTACATGACAGATGATGACCAATATTTCTAATTTAATTCAAGTGCAAATACATCCACCGTCTTATCAATCTTACAAAATTGAAACCACAGGACATTTTAAATAATGCATATATCTTATCTGTTGTATTACAAATACAGATTAACAAACCCAATATTAAATAGCCACCTAATTTATTTGTGCATATTCAAGCCTCAAAAAGTTGCCCCCTTCAACCCCACCCCAAACTCTCACAGTCATTGAAGCCACTATTCAGAATTTAAAAGGAGTTAAAATGGATTATTGGTGACAGTTCAGGCACAGGGCAAGAGCCAGTCCTGGCATTCTGACTGAGAAGGTTGCAATACCAAATGGCTTGTTAATTCTTCCTCTGACCAGAGCAGAAAGTACTCTTCTCTACAGATGCTTGTTATGAGTCATCCAGATGCCTTAACTCTGGCTGATTTCAAGGTTAGAGAGACAGAGTGAGAAATAAAACGTCTTTCAACACCTGCACCTCGATTTTGGCCATGCCCTTTGGGACCAGCATTTCAGGACGATGTCCACAAGGAATGTGGACTTCACCTGGAAGTGTAGTCTGATAGTTATTTGCTGCTTGTGAAAGAGGAAATGCCCCACTGATGTTCTTTTATTGCACAATCTCACTACTTTCAAGACAAGAAGAAAGAGGATTGATAATAATAAAAATTTCTAGCATTTATTGCACATACACTGTGTGCCTGGGATTGTGCCAAGCACTTAGATACTTTATATCCTTTCCTCCCTGCAATAATTTCTGCGCAGAAGATACTGCTATGTCTCCATTTTACAAATGAGGAAACTGAAGCTCTGAAGGTTATACAGCTTCTTCAAGGACAAACACATAAATAGCAAGAGGTAGCCTGGGACTGGAATCCAGTTTGTATAATGCCAGAGCTGGTGTTCTGAGCCACCATGCCACACTTCATATCTTTCCTGTAGGATCCTCTAGTTTTCTTTCCTTCTTTGCCCATTTTCTAACCAGGACTGCAGACTTTCAATATTCTCCACTCCTTACCTGTCAGTCCATGGCAAGACCTCTCTTGCCTGTCAGTCCATGGCAAGACCCCAGGACTTTAATTATTAGGATGTTCTTACTAGACTCTCAAAGAATCAGCCACAGGATGATGAAATTATCATGCTAAGCACTTTCTCTCTCTCTTTTTTTTTTTTTTTTGAGACAGAGTCTCACTGTGTTGCCCAGGCTGGAGTGCAGTGGCACAGTCTTGGCTCACTGCAACCTCCACCTCCTGGGTTCAAGTGATTCTCATGCCTCAGCCTCTGGAGTAGCTGGGATTACAGGCATGTGCCACCACACCCAGCTAATTTTTGTATTTTTAGTAGAGGCGGGGTTTCGCCATGTTGGCCAGGCTGGTCTCGAACTCTTGACCTCTCCAAGGTGATCTGCCTGCCTTGGCCTCCCAAAGTGCTGGGATTACAAGTGTGAGACACTGTGCCCGGCCTAAGCTAAGCACTCTCTTAGAGGCTGCTGTGCAAACTCCTGCTCCATCTGCTCTGAGTTTGCATCTCATAAATGGAGTGTAGCCTTAGTAGTTCTGTCTGGTGTGGCTTTACCTCTGGTTGCTTGGGACTTGAGCCATTTCTTCCAGCCAACTCCGTGGCCACCAGGAAGAAGACCAATAAAGAATAGAAACTTCAACTCCAAGATATATTTGGAACTTACTTCTTGGCTTATCTGACAGAAGGAGCCCCACAAATTCCCCTCTGACTCAGCTTGGGTTTATGCTTTCCCTCTGGGCCCTAAGTCCCTGCATGCTCTGCTCCTATCCCTAGGCCTGGCAGAGGAAGGGTTTTTCTTCTCAAGCCCAGGAGATTCCCCTCCTGGGCTCAGGCCATTCTGCACTAACTCTGCCCTTTCTAATTGTCTCCTTCTGGAGCGGGAGAGTCTCCAACATTCCAGGTTCCCTGAAAGCCCTACCCTCTCTCCTGAACCCTTTTTCTGCATCCACCAGTCCTTCTTAAGGCTGTATTCTCTAATCATTGATAGTTTTTTAGTTGATTCTCTTACAGTTGTCAAATAGCAGTTATATCACTTGCAGGTACTAAAATTTTCGCCTCTTCTTTTCCAATTTTTAAGCCTCTAATTTTAAAATTTTGCTTAAATTGAGTACAAGATACTTTACAAAACCAAAAATCTAAAACATGTAATTTACAACAAGAGAATAAAACCTTTTTTTTTTGTTTTTGAGATGGAGTCTTGCTCTGTCTCCAGCCAGGCTAGAGTGCAGTGGCACAATCTCGGCTCACTGCAATCTCCGCCTCCCGGGTTCAAGGGATTCCCCCGGCTCAGCCACCCAAGTAGCTGAGACTACAGACGTGCACCACCATGCCTGGCTAATTTTTTTTTGTATTTTAGTAGAGACAGGGTTTCACCATGTTGGCCAGGATGGTCTTGATCTCTTGACCTCGTGATCCGCCCGCCTTGGCCTCCCAAAGTGCTGGGATTACAGGCATGAGTCATCGCACCCGGCCAAGAAAGCCATTTTTACAGCAGAGGTTACTACATTGTTTTATGGTTATAATTATATGCTGTAGTTATAATCTTTCAAGTGGCTGTCTCGATTATTAAATTATGATCTTCCTGGAGGGCAGGAACTGTTATTCACCTTCATGTCCCCAGCACTTAGCTTTGTAATCTTGACAAATGGTTTTCTGAAAAATTAAAGAAAAACCAATAATGCCACTATAAATAGGTTAAAATAACTATCATTTATACGGTGTCTGCTAATGTCGTCTGGTATGAATGTCAACAAGCCTTATTTCTCAAATTTTTTGAGACCATGGAACATAATATGGTTTTTAGGTCACAACACATTCTCACTTCATCCTAGATCTCAGTTCTGCCAACAAAGTATCTGCTTTAGATACCCAACAACTTTTCTCTATCACCAAACACCATCTGCCCAAGACCACATGAACTGTGCTGGGCAGCTCCAGTGCGCTGGACAACCCAGAAAGTTGAAGACTCCAACCTTCAGGTAGAGGGCAGAAGTAATGTGGATTTTTCTTTTTTTCTTTTTTTTGAGATGGAGTCTCGCTCTGTCACCCAGGCTGGAGTGCAGTGGTGCCATCTCGGCTCACTGCAAGTTCCGCCTCCCGGGTTCATGCCATTCTCCTGCCTCAGCCTCCCGAGTAGCTGGGACTACAGGCGCCCGCCACCATGCCCGGCTAATTTTTTGTATTTTTAGTAGAGACGGGGTTTCACCGTGTTAGCCAGGATGGTCTTGATCTCCTGACCTCGTGATCTGCCCACCTCAGCCTCCCAAAGTGCTGGGATTACAGGTGTGAGCCACCGCGCCCGGCCAGTAATGTGGATTTTTCTGAGTACAGCTTGACACAGCATTTTGTAGGGCATGAAAGGGGACTGAAATCATTTTGACCATATATCCTTTCCTCCCTGCAAGAATTTCTGTGCAGAAGACACTGCTATGTCTCCATTTTACAAATGAGGAAACTGAAGCTCTGAAGGTTATGCAGCTTCTTCAAGGACAAACACATAAATAATGAGAGGTAGCCTGGGACTGGAATCCAGTTTGTATGATGCCAAAGCTGGTGTTCTGAGCCACCATGCCAGAACACAGATGGGGCTGGGAGCAGTGGCTCATGTCTGTAATCCCAGAACTGTGTGAGGCCGAAGCAGGTGGATCACCTGAGGTCAGGAGTTTGAGACCAGCCTAGCCAACATGGTGAAACTCTGCCTCTACTAAAAATGCAAAAATCAGCCGAGTGTGGTAGCAGGCACCTGTAATCCTAGCTACTCGAGAGGCTGAGGCAGGACAATTGCTTGAACCCGGGAGGTGGAGGGTGGAGGTTGCAGTGAACTGAGACTGCGCCACTGTACTCCAGTCTGGGCAATGGAACAAGACTCCATCTCAAAAAACAAACGAACAAACAAACAAAAAAAACCCACAGATGGTAACTGACCTCAGCCACAACTTGAGGCTACTTCCACTGCCTCCAAGTCTCCAAGTCAAGTGTGCTTTCCATTAGGAATTCTTTTTTCTGAGCAGATCTCAACTGTTGGTTTAAAATAGTCAGTAAACCATGCCATAAGCATACGTGCTATCATCTCAGCCTTGTTTTTCCATTTATAGAACAAATGCAGAGTAGATTTTGCATAATTCTTAAGGGCCTTTAGATTTTCGAAATGGTAAATGAGTGCTGGGCTTCAACTCCAAGTCACTGGCTGTATTATCTCCTAATAAGAGAGTTAGCCTGTCCTTTGAAGTTTGAAGCCAGGCACTGACTTCTCTCTAGCTATTAAAATCCTGGATGTCATCTTCATCCAATAGAAGGCTGTTTTATCTACACTGAAAACCTCTTGTTTAGAGTAGCCACCATCATCAATGATCTTAGCTAGATCTTCTGGATAATTTGCTGCACCTTCTAAATGTGTTAGCACTTGCTACTTCACCTTGCACTTTTAAGTTACAGAGATGGCTTTTTTTTCCTTAAACCTCATGCATCAACCTCTGCTAGCTTAAAATTTTTCTCCTGAAGCTTCCTCACCTCCCTCAGTTTTCACAGAATTAAAAAGAGTTAGGGTCTTGCTCTGGATGAGGCTTTGGCTTGAAGAAATGTTGTAGTTGGTTTGATCTTCTATCCAGACCACTCAAACTTTTTCCATATCAGCAATAAGGCTATTTCGCTTTCTTATTATGCATGTGTTCACCAGAGTAGAACATTTCATTTCCGTCAACAACTTTTCCTTTGCATTCCCCACTTGGCTGTTTAGTGCAAAAGGTCCAGCTTTCTGCCCACCTCAGCTATAAATATGTCTTACTCACTAAACTTAATCATTTCTAGCTTTTGCTGTAAAGTGGGAGACGTGCAAATCTCCCTTTCACTTAAGCACTTAGAGGCCATTGTAGGGTTATTAATTGGTCTAATTTCAATATTGTTGTGTCTCAGAGAATAGGAAGGCCTCATCAGAGGAAGAGAGATGCGGAACAGCCAGTCATTAGAGCAGTCAGAACATATACAGCATTTACCAATTAAATTTACCGTCTTGTATGAGCATGGCTCATGGCACCCCAAAACGATTGCAATAGTAACATCAAAGATCGCTGATCATAGATCACCACAAAAGATATAATGATAAGGAAAAAGTTTGAAAAATTGCAAGAATTAACAAAATGTGACACAGAGACATGAAGTGAGCATATGCTGTTGGAAAAATGGAGCTGATAGACTTGCTGGACACAGGGTTGCCACAGACACTCAATTTGTAA
This sequence comes from Homo sapiens, assembly GCF_000001405.40. NCBI lineage: Eukaryota > Metazoa > Chordata > Mammalia > Primates > Hominidae > Homo > Homo sapiens. The sequence continues at coordinate 52,322,832 of NC_000006.12, forward strand.
AAACACAGTATCTGCTAAGTGCAATAAAACAAGATATACTTGTATTCACGATCTCTGTCTTCTATCCATGATAGAGTCCCCTAACCCTGTGGCTTTCCTGAGTGGTATGACCCAGACACTTGTCCCTCAGGGGACTGAGCTCCTGATCACCTTGCCCTCCTCAGGCTCTGGCTGCTGCAAGGGAGTACCAAGTAGATCACCTGGGGTCAGAAATATTCTTTCCTTTCCCCATTTTATAACAACAGGGCTACCTCCTCCAGAAGATTAAAACTAGTTACCTCTTCAGGCCTGCTGATTTCTTGGCAGGAAGGACCTAAAGTAACAGGGCAACAGACGATGCTTCAAATAGAATGGTACTCTCACTGTATACCCTGGTGGAACATCCTCTTCCCAGGAGTGGAGATCTCTAAACTCACAGGGCCCAGACTTGCAGGGACAGGATGCAAACATTCTCCAAGTGGGTCCCTGGCAGTGTGGGTAAGCAGGGCCACTCCTGCTCCTACCGCTTGGTTCTCAAAACCGTGTGTTCTACCTATTTGGGACACCACACCATATGATGATGTTGCTTTAGGATATACTCTGTAAGGGTCGGGCCTGGTGGCTCACACCTGTAATCCCAGCACTTTGGGAGGCTGAGGCAGGTGGATCACTTGAGGTCAGGAGTTTGAGACCAGCCTGGCCAACATGGCAAAACCCCGTCTCTACTGAAAATACAAAAAATAGCTGGGCGTGATGGCGGGCACATACAATCCCAGCTACTTGGGAGGCTGAGACAAGAGAATCACTTGAACTCCGTGGGCGGAGGGTGCAGTGAGCAGAGATCATGCCACTTCACTCCAGCCTGGGTGAAAACGTGAAACTCCATCTCAAAAAAAAAAAAAAAAAAAGGATATACATTATAAAGTATCACCTTCAAGCTGGCCTCTCATTTGCACCTCTACAAGCCATTCTGCTGCTCTATGTGGTGCAGTGTTGTTAGCGATGGAAAAGATCTGAGTTACCACGAATTACTGGCAGTGAATCCATAGGGTCCACAGCAACTTAAGTCTGTGCCTCTTCAGAAGAAAGAATTTGACTGAGGGGCATAAAGCAGAAAAAAATACCCAGGCAAGTTTCAGAGCAGGAGTGGAAGTTTATTTAAAAGTCTTTGGAACAGGAGAGAATGGAAAATTCTCTTGAAAGAGACTCAGCCGGACACCTGAATGTCCAAGAAAGAAAAGGGTGCAAAAGAAGACAGAAAAAAGGGGGTCTTTAACCTTGATCCCAGGACTTACAGGCTCACCTCTTTCCCATAACTCTTCCCTTAGGGTGGGCTTTCCTCATATGTGGTACTTTCCTTACCCTTTGGAATTGAGCAGGCACTGTGTGTATAGGGAGTTATATGCATGCCCATCTGAGGCTTTCTTCCCTTTTCCAGTGGAGTGTACCTGGAAGATCATACGTCCACATTTTTGTCTCTTAACACGCATGCCCAGGAAGTTGCTTATCCCTAGGGCCTGCATTCAATTAACATTTTGATGTTAAGAGGTGTGGACCGTCAGGAATTGGCCTCTCCCTGGTGCTTCCAAATTATCATTTTTAGAGAGGCAATGCGATAATTGCTGAGCCATCACTCAACATTTCTAGTGGGTGCGGGGAGAGCACTCTCCTGCCCCGCTCATGCCTATCTACCTGTAACAGTATGGATAGAGCCATTGAGTCCTATGACCATGTACTCACTGTCACATCTTATGGGTTGTAAAGTGTGTCCTTTATTCCAGTTTGATCTTTTGTAGGATCTCCTCCCAGTGGATCAAACACTCTGTAAACCTCGGACAGTGGTGCTGTCTGGGGCCTTGTAAACAGGAAAGACGGAGGCAAAGCTAAAATATTTGTTGATTCCAGTCAAGATGAATTGTCCCTCTTATCAGAGCTTTCTTTATTGCTTTGGTAAATGAAATGTCCTCTGGACCCTACCATGGAAAATTGTCCTCTGGTGGGTTTTCCATCCTTACATAACAAATCCACTCAAACATACCCCTTTCTATGAGATATTTGATTCCTTTTTCCACTGTTTGCAACAGAAGTTCTGATATTTACTTCTCATTTAATGTGGGCATCACTTTCTCCAAATGTGTAAAGAGCCATCCCAGCAGTGTACTGGGGTCCATGCCAGGATATTAAATCCTATATCCCAGAAAAATGGTCCCATATCAATCAACTCTCCCTCAGCCTCTTCCTCTTGATCCTATAACCTCAGAATCTAAACCCATACATCATCTTATTACCAGTGGAGGGTCTTGACTACTAGTTGTCCAGGTCCTTGGTGTGTTTTTTGTTTGTTTTTTTTGAGACATTCTTGCTCTATCGCCCAGGCTGGAGTGCAATGGCACAATCTTGGCTCACTGCAACCTCCACCTTCCGAGTTCAAGCGATTCTCCTGCCTCAGCCTTCTGAGTAGCTGGGATTACAGGTGCCCGCCACCACCCCCAGCTAATGTTTGTAATTTTAGTAGAGACGGGGTTTCACCATTTTGGTCAAGCTGGTCTCGAACTCCTGACCTCAGGTGATCCTCCCGTCTTGACCCCCCCAAAGTGCTGGGATTACAGGTGTGAGCCACTGTGCCTGGCCCCTGACAGCTGGAATTTATTAAAGCAAGAAAACACTCCGCAGGGTGGGAGTGGTCTCAAGCAAGCAGCTCAAGGGCCCAGTTACAAAGTTTTCTGGGCTTTAAGTACCCCGTTTGAAGTTCTTATCGGATACCCCTTACCTGGATGAAGGATTGGGTCTGTGGCTAATTAAAGGCTGAGGTGGGCCGGGCGCAGTGGCTCACGCCTGTAATCCCAGCACTTTGGGAGGCTGAGGCGGACGGAACACGAGGTGAGGAGTTCGAGACCAGCCTGGCTGACATGGTAAAACCCTGTCTCTACTAAAAATACAAAAATTAGCCGGGCATGGTGGTGTGCTCCTGTAGTCTCAGCTATTCAGGAGGCTGAGGCAGAAGAATCGCTTGAACCCGGGAGGCGGAGGTTGCAGTGAGCCGAGATCGCACCCCTGTACTCCAGCCTGGGAGACAGAGTGAGACTCCGCCTCAAAAAACAAAACAAAACAAAAAGAAAGAAAGGCTGAGGTGAATTGGGGCCCTATGAAGATAAAAGGGACGGCCCGTGCTCGGCCTGCAGCTAATCCAAGGCACTGTCCCTTTCCATCTGGTATGTGGTGGAAGGGGGAGGGTTGCAGGGAGAGTAGCCTTTGATCCTTTGTTACTCGGAGTAGGGAGATGTAGTTTTTCCCGTTTGGTTTAGCCTTAGGAAGTTTGTGTTAATTGGCTTCAGGTTGCCTGCCTTCAGTCCCACTTGTTTTCCTTTTGATCCAGCTTTGGGAAGTCAGCATGAATTGGCCTTAGATTTCCTGCTCCCAGAACTTGGTGTTTTCTCTTTTAGGAAGTCAGCACAAATTGGCCTTAAGTTCGCTGTCTCTAGGCCCTATTCTCCTGCCTCAATCTCTTTCAGCTCTGCTGGTGCAGACTGACCAGGTCCTGCAGCTCCTGTAGTCCTTTTCCTCCTTTAGCTGCTGAGAATTTAATCTTTTTTCTTTGGAACCTTGTACTTTTGTGCTTCAGTGCCTAGCCTGATCTTCAACCTTGTCTGTTCTCCAGCTATAGATGAGAGTCTCCTTGTACTGACAAGAAAGCCCTCTGACTTTTATGTTTAGCTGATTTAATTGCTGGGTTAATCACCCTCAGCCTTTCCTTGTCTTTCTCCAGAACATCTTTTGCCCTCAGCAACAGTCATCTGATCCTACTGTCCTTATAATTGCTAATTTCCTCATGCTTCTCAAATACTGGTTCCATTGCCCCAGCCAGTGCATTCCCTTCCAAAGGTATGCCCTTCCAGAAAGTGTTAGCAATCATTCTGCTACTGTGTGCAAGGCTTTATCCATGCTCTACCAACCACCCGTGATGGGTCTGTCAACCAGAAAGTATCTGAGGCAGGGCTCCATCAATTTAGAAGTTTATTTTGCCAAGGTTAAGGACATGCCCAGAAGAAAGAAACACAGAATCACAGAAGTAATCTGTGGTCTGTGACTTTCTCTAAAGATGAATTTGAGGTCTTCAATATCCAAAGAGGGAAAGTGGGCTGGAGGGGAAAGAAGGAGGGTATGGTAGTCTACATGTTGCAAGGGAAAAGGAGTAGGTAGGGGGATAGTCAATGATGTATTCATATTGTGCTCAGTAAATCGGCACTTTATATAAGGTGAACATAGAATGGAGGTATTTAGCCTTTTATTTAAATATCTCCTGTGGAGATATTTAGCCTTGTATTTGTAGTTATTTGCTTAGGAACAAAAGGAAAGGCAGTTTCTTCCATAACTCAGCTTTCAGCTTAATGTTTTTTTCTTTTGGCATAGTGAATTGGGTCCCCAGATTTTCTTTTCCTTCTTTCCAGCCAGTTGGTGGGTGACCAGCTTCAGCGCCTGCTTTCTTGCACCACATGGGTCTCTGGAACTGGGATGACCCTGAAGAGTTGTCCCCATGTTGGGGACATTGACCAGTCATTGAATGGAGCCTGCCCTGGGAGGGGGAACGAACCTTGGATAAAGTTGCTATCTTCATAGGAGGATAACTACAAGAAAAAGGGCTTAGTGGCCGGGTGCAGTGGCTCACGCCTGTAATCCCAGCATTTTGGGAGGCTGAAGCAGGCGGATCATGAGGTCAGGAGCTCGAGACCAGCCTGGCCAACATAGTGAAGCCCCATTTCTACTAAAAAAAAAAAAAAAATACAAAAATTAGCCGGGCTGTAGCAGGACAAGCCACAGACAAAAGCCTTCAGACACCAAGTTAAAGAAGGAAGGGCTTTATTTGGCTGGGAGCTTCAGCAAGACTCACGTCTCCAACAACCAAGCTCCCCAAGTGAGCAATTCCTGTCCCTTTTAAGGGCTCACAACTCTAAGGGGATCCACGTGAGAGGGTCGTGATCGATTGAGCAAGCAGGGGGTACGTGAATGGGGGCTGCATGTTCTGGTAATTAGAACGGAACAGAACAGGACAAGGACTTTCAGTGCTTTTCTATACAATGTCTGTAATCTATAGATAACATAACCGATTAGGTCAGGGGTTGATCTTTAACTACAGGCCCAGGGTGTGGCGCCGGGCTGTCTGCCTGTGGATTTCATTTCTGCCTTTTAGTTTTTACTTCTTTCTTGGAGGCAGAAATTGGGCTTAAGACAATATGAGGGGTGGTCTCCTCCCTTAGGCATGGTGGCACACGCCTATAATCTCAGCTACTTAGGAGGCTGAGGCAGGAGAATCACTTGAACCCAGGAGGCAGAGGATGCAGTGAGCTGAGATCACATCACTGCACTCCAGCCTGGGCAAAAGAGCAAGACTCTGTCAAAAAAAAACAAAAACAAAAAACCCACCAATTGTTCAGGAAAAAATGGTAACACCTTTTGTGTTCCTTTGTTCGGAGACTTAGTAGCTTGTTCTGGGGAAGTTTCCCCACTTGATGACCCAGACCTCCCACCAAACAAATAAAAATCTGGGAGTGGCTTGGTTAATGAAACTACTGATAAGGGGTCAATTGGCCTCTTACCTTCCTTGTAAGCTACCCAACCCAGACCAAAAATAGGCTAGTGTGGGTGTGGACTCCAGGCTGTCCCACAGCAGAACAGGCAGGGAAGCTTGTGTAACCCCAACAAATAAATCAAGTACTGTGTGCTTCTGCTTTGAGGCCTGTTGCCATGTGGAACCCACGCTAATCAGACACACGAATCTACCTCCCAAGACCTTGAAAGATAATTTATGTCTTTAGGAAGCCTGGTGAAAAGGAAGTTTTATCACATTTAATAAAAAAAATTATACTTTAAAAAATCCTACTTGGACAGCTCATTTCTGAGTTCCCTCCATCCAAGCTGCTGCTCTCTACATCTGTCTTATCTACTGCTGGCAAACCCTAAAAGCCCCTTTCATCTACCTTCTGAATGTATTCTTTTCCTTTACAAGTATATACGCAGAAAATTTTTGTAAGTTAAATTTGTCTTTCTCTGCACTTTTCAATTCTCCCTCCCTCATAGTAAACATCACACAAAGGGCAAACACAGACTCCTTAATAGAGTGGAGTGTGGGGGGAGGGTGAAGTTTGATCCTGTCACACTTGGATTGGTAAATATATTTTTAATGCTATATTTGACTGTGGCACACTTCACCAGGTGAGAACCCAATAATAAATTAAAATGTTTGAATTGTCCCTTCTTTGCAGCTGCCATCTCATTCTTATGATCACCCACCCCATTCTCGGTCTACTCATTGCCTATTAAAGTGTTTCCATGGTGCTTTGTCTGCAATAGACCTGGCTGCTTTCCACTCTTCCTTTCTTTTCTTTTTTCTTTTCTCTTTTTTTTTTTTTGAGACAGAGTTTCGCTCTGTTGCCCAGGCTAGAGTGCAGTGGCGCTATCTCGGCTCACGGCAACCTCTGCCTCCTGGGTTCAAGTGATTCTTCTGCCTCAGCCTCCCAAGTAGCTGGGCATACAGGCATGTGCCACCATGCCTGGCTAATTTTGTATTTTTAGTAGAGATGGGGTTTCTCCGTGTTGGTCAGGCTGGTCGTGAACTCCTGACCTCAGGTGATCTACCTGCCTCGGCCTCCCATAGTGCTGGCATTACAGGTGTGAGCCACCGCACCAGGCCCCACTCCTCCTTTCAAAGAAGCCTTGCTGACCTGCCCTATAAAGGAGAACACATGAATGTGAGGTGCAGGCTTACACAAATACATAAATATAATTTTGCATATCATTTCAGGGAGTTCATGGACCACTGGATAAGCTCCAGTTAAAGACCACTTATTTAGTCTTCTTGCCTAACAAGCTCTCAGTTCCTGAAATTCTGATGCCAAGATTTTATTTATTTTTATTTTTTGAGACAGAATCTCGCTCTGTCTCCCAGGCTGGAGTGCGATGGCGCGATCTCAGCTCACTGCAACCTCCGCCTCCCAGGTTCAAGTGATCCTCCCGCCTCAGCCTCCCAAATAGCTGGGATTACAAGCGTGCACCACCACTCCTGGCTAATTTTTGTATTTTTTAGTAGAGACAGGATTTCACCATGTTGGCCAGGCTGGTCTCAAACTCCTGACCTCAGTGATCCGCCCACTTTGGCCTCCCAAAGTGCTAGGATAACAGGCCTGAGTGACTGTACCTGATCTTTGATGCCAAATTTTAGCTAACCTAATACACACTTAGATGCCTGCAATAAGATGCAAAATCATTTTTTTTTCTGTATTGGCAAGTGAATAGTCTTTATAAATTGCATAAAGCATGTGTAGATTGTGTACTAGAGAAGCCAACATTTTTATTCATTCATTTGTTCATTTGTTGATTACTCATTCATTTTACAAATATTTGTTTAGGCATTACTATTTTGGAGTAATACATTTATGTAAAATCAACCTCCAACTTTAAAAATCAGACCAGTTAATGGGAAGAACCAATATGTAAATAGACAGTTAACAATAGTGTGCTATGGCTGAGGGTGCTGAGGGAGCCTTGGAGAAAGTGAAGGGTGAGGGGAGGGTGGCGTGGAGAGGGCACCTAATTCAGCCTGGGAGTTGGGTATGGGCTGAGAGTGATTTCAGGCGGAGCTTCTGGGAGAAGGTGACACATAAACTGTATCTTGGGGGAGTTCTTAGAGTTCTCAGAAGGCAAGAGTGGGAGAAAGATAATCTCTCTAGATGGATCAATACTTTCAAAGAGCCAGAGTCAGAAAAGAGCATGGTGCATTGGAAAACTTGTCATTGGTTTGCTTCGGCTGGAATGGAGTGTGGATATGGAGACATGGCAGGAGCTGGAGCAAGGGCCACTTCACACAGGGTGTGAAATGCTAGTTGGAGGAACTTACTCTTTATCTCAATGGGGTGTGGAGCCTCTGAAAGCTATTTAGCAAGGCATGATGTAATCAGATTTGCATGCAGAATGGCAAGGTACAGTGGTAATCACACCCATACATGGGGATTGTTTCTATATACGTTGTATTTAAAACTGGAAAATAATAAAGAATTAAAATTGTGAATGACTTGCTTTACATAAATTAAAATAGGTACCAGGCTATGCCTTTAATAACAGCACTCTCAGCTACCTGTTTTTTGCTTTTTTTTTTTTTGAGACGGAGTTTCGCCCTTGTTGCCCAGGCTGGAGTGCAATGGTGTGATCTCAGCTCACCACAACCTCTGCCTCCCGGGTTCAAGAGATTCTCCTGCCTCAGCCTCCTGAGTAGCTGGGATTACAGGCATGTGCCACCATGCCCGGCTAATTTTTTGTATTTTTAGTAGAGACGGGGTTTCTCCATGTTGGTCAGGCTGATCTCAAACTCCCCACCTCACGTGATCCACCTGCCTCGGCCTCCCAAAATGCTGGGATTACAGGCATGAGCCACCATGCCCGTCCTGCTACTTGCTTTTAAATATTATTTTGAATGGTGTTAATGCCAGAGCTGAGGAAATAGCACATATAACTCACATTCCAGCTTGTCTTTGTCCTAGCTCTTAGAGAAGAACGCTATATAACCTCTAATACCAATGGAGATTTAAGTATTGTAGTGCTTCTTTATAACTTTATATTTATTTCCAATTTATCTTTATGTTTTCCAATAATTACATTTTTAGTTTAAAAAAGAGAAAAAATAGAAAGGAAGAAAACATTCATAGGACAGGTATATCATTAAGTGAATATTTTACTTACTCACATGTTTATAAAATGTTTTTATGAATATAATACCCCTTCCCTGAGTAGTCTGTGGTCTATGCTTTACTTTCCAGCTAAATTTTAGGAAACTGCATCAGAATTTAAGTCAAGGGAGTGAGTAATGCATGGTGAATATTATCTGTTATTGGTATATTGCAACAGGAAAAAAAAATAAAACCTAACTGACTGAGTGACTCAATGTCTATTTCAATCTCCTTTGAGTATGCCTTCCCATACTGCAGAATTGGGAAGCCAAAAACTACATTTTCCAAATTCCCCAGGTAGAGTTTCTAAGGATGTGACTTAGGTTGTGACAATTAGACACACTGACATAAGACTCCAAATTCAGAGTTGAATGAGTTGTTGGGGCACAAGGCGGGCAGGGCAGGAAGCATCTATTCTGCTTGTGCGGAGCACAGCAACCCTAGGTTGTGAGTTTGCTAGCTCAGCTGACACTCCCTAACTGTGGCAGAAGCAGCAACTCCCCTGGCAACTCAGTTCTGAGTGTGACTTTGTTCCTAGTAATTCAGCCTCAAATCCACTTCTTCAGCTCTCCCACTGATTCTGTAAGCCAATTAATACCTTGCAATAATCTTTTTGGCTTAAACTAGCTAGGGAAGGCTATGCTTTCTGCACCTGAACCATGACCAATGTAGTCAGCGAAACCTGAGCCTTTGAGAAAAAGCTGAGGAGAAGCCAGAAAAGTAGCAGTAAAACCAGGACAGGCTGCTACCCTACAATCAAGACAGAAGAGAGTTTCAATAAGCAATGAAACACTGCAGAGAGGCCAAGACAGACACAAATATGAAGTAAAAACGATTCAGCCAGGAGGTCAAAGATGATGTGGAGAGGAGCCATTTCATGGAGTGGCAGGGGAGGAAGCCATATTGCAGGTGGTTGAGGAGAGTCTTCCATTTTATTTGGACTTAATTTTTTTGAGACAGGTCTCGCTCTGTGGCCCAGGCTGGAGTGCAGTGGCGTGATCTCGGTTCATTGCAACCTCCACCTCCCGGGTTCAAGCAATTCTCTGCCTCAGCCTCCTGAGTAGTTGGGATTACAGGCACACACCACCACGCCCGGCTAATTTTTGTATGTTTAGTAGAGATGGTGTTTCACCATGTTGGCCAGGCTGGTCTTGATCTCCTGACCTTGTGATCGATCCGCCTTAGCCTCCCAAAGTGCTGGGATTACAGGAGTGAGCCACCACGCCCCACGTGGACTCAATTTATGAAGTAAGAGTCAGGTGCTGACTACATGATGTGAGAGGTACAGGAAGGTTTTTACATTTCCTATTACTGTGCCTAGAAGCCTACATGGTGGCCCAATCAGGAGGTAGGAATTTTTCTTCTGTCGTCATCTATTAAAGGGGCTCTAGCCCCAACTCTGCCACTGGGAGTTCTGTGAAATAGTTCTCTGAAATTCCATTTTAAAAGAGAAAAAGTTCTTTAGAAAATGGGCATATGGCTAGGTGCAGCTGCTCACACCTGCAATTCCGGCACGTTGGGAGGCCAAGGTGGGAGAATTGCTTGAGCCCAGGAGTTTAAGACCAGCCTGGGCAACATAGCAAGACGCTATCTCTAAAAAAAAATACAAAAATTAGCCGGGTATGGTGATGTATACCTGTAGTCCCCACTACTCAGAAGGCTGAGGTGGGAGGATTGCTTGAGCTAAAGAGGTCGAGGCTGCAGTGAGCTAGGATTGAGCCACTGCACTCCAGCCTGGGCAATGGAGTGACACCCCGTCTCAAGAAAGAAAGAAAGAAAGAGAGAAAGAGAGAAAGAGAGAAAGAGAGAAAGAGAGAAAGAGAGAAAGAGAGAGAGAGAGAGAGAGAGAGAGAGAGAAGGAAGGAAGGAAGGAAGGAAGGAAGGAAGGAAGGAAGGAAGGAAGGAGAGAGAGAGAGAGAGAGAAAGAAGGAAGGAAGGAAGGAAGGAAGGAAGGAGAAAGAAAGAAAGAAAAAGAAAGAAAGAAAGAAAGAAAGAAAGAAAGAAAGAAAGAAAGAAAGAAAGAAAGAAAAGACAAAGAAAACAGGCATACTAATACCTGTCCTGCCTTCTGCACAGGCAGAATGGTGAAAGAGATAAGAGCACAGGATTTGGACTTGGTCAGACCCAGGCTTTAATCCTGATTTTGCCGCTAGTTAGCTGTGTGACCTTGGGCAAGTTATGTATACCTAGCTTTCTCCTCTGGAAATTAGGGATAAGAGTATCAGCTTCACAGTGATTATGACGATTAGTTGAGGTATGTAAGGCATTCAGCACAGTGACTGGCAGGTAGCAAGCTCTCAGAAGATGACAGTTAATTTCATAAGTGGTCCAAAATACCTTTTGGGAGATAATGCTCACGAGTGTTTTATTCACAGGGTTGCTGGCCAAATGAGAAAATGCACAGGAAAGCAAAATGTAACAGGCCTATCAGGATGAAAACACTGTGAGAAAGGTCACACATTAAACCACAAATGTTTTGGGTTCCTTGACAACTAGATTGTGCTACAGAGTTGGTAGGGTAGGGAGGAAGAGGAGAAGCTGAACTTCAACTGCTGCAGTTTTTCCTGGGGCTGGCCCTTGTTAGAATAATAGACACTCTACCATAGAGAGGCAGTTGATTCACCTATACCTGTTGGATAAAAAAGAAAACCATGTGGCTGGTGGAGCTGAGAAAGTGGAAAGAATAAAGGGAGCAGAAGATATATTGCTTGAAATCAGGCAAAAGTTCCATATATCAAAAGCCTCATTCTGGCTGACTTCATCACCAAACTCCCCTCCCAGAGGCCTCTGCCTGGGCTTTTGCAGAAAACATGTACAAACTCTATGCAAAGTAAGAATCCAAAATAGCTTATTTAGAAATAAACCACCTGCTTGTACAAACAGGAAGATCTGAAATCCCTGGAGTTGGGCAAGTGAGTTCCTTGCTTCCCTGCCTAGCCCAGCCTCCTACTGGACCCCCACTACCACAAAGGGATGGAATTACACTCCTTTCTCTCCAGCCTCTTTGCTTTGCTTTTTCCTTTTATTTTTAGTTGTCATGTAATAATTGTACAAATTGATGGGATATGGAGTGCTATTTCTTTTTCTTTTTTTTTTTGAGATGGAGTCTCGCTCTTTCACCCAGGCTGGAGTGCAGTGGTGCAATCTCAGCTCACTGCAACCTCCGCCTCCCGGGTTCAAGCGATTCTCCTGCCTCAGCCTCCTGAGTAGCTGTGACTACAGGCACGCATCACCATGCCCAGCTAATTTTTTGTATTTTTAGTAGAGACGGGGTTTCACAATGTTAGCCAGGTTGGTCTCAATCTCCTGACCTTGTGATCAGCCTGCCTCAGCCTCCCAAAGTGCTGGGATTACAGGCGTGAGCCACCGCACCCAGCTGGAGTGCTATTTTAATACATGCATACAATGAGTAATGATCAAATCAGGGTAATTAGCATATCATCACTTCAAACACTTACCATTTCTTTGTGTTGTGAACATTCAAAATCATCTTGTAGCTTTTTGAGAATATACAATAAATTATAATTAACCACATTCGCAAAGCACCAGAACTCTCACCCTCCTCCCCTCCCTCACCCACCCTTCCCAGCCTCTAATACTCACAATTCTACTCTCTACTTCCATGGGCTCAAAAAATTTATTTTATCTCCCACATGAGTGAGATCATGCGGTATTTGTCTTTCAGTGCTTGGTGTATTTCACTTAACATAAAGTCCTCCAGGCTCATCTATGCCATGAATGACAGGATTTTCTTCTTTTTTATTCCAACCCCTTTTCTTTGTTCCTTCTCATGGGAACACATCAATAAAGGCACCTACTGGTGGCCAAAGGGGGCTCTCTGATGCCACCACCCCATTCCCTATCCTACCCTTTATCCCATCCTTTATTCCTGTCAGAGACTAAACAGAGACAGGGGAATGAGTTTTCACTGTGGATTACTTAATTTTTTTAGGTCACAGTGTTCTAATCAGTAATCATCCATCTTTCTGTTACCTCATTCTGTGAGGCGAAGAATTTAAAGCCTGCTTGAATTCAAGGTCAGGCTGCCTTCTGCAGCTGGAGGCATCCCCAGCAGGCCAAGGCTTCACTCTCTCAGCTGGTGTCAGGGACCCTTAGGGAGTGGACAGAATAGCATGTGGAAAGAGGCAGTGTGACCAGCCTTGCCACCTGTTTCACAGGTGGCACTGCTGGCTGAGTCAGTCTGCTAAGGAGGACAGCCCTGGAACTGGTCAGAGAAGGCTTAGTAAATCTCTTCTGATTGCTAACCTCTGAGACCTCACAGCCTATAATTTCCCAAGACAGACCTGTTATTACAAACAGTCAACCTAGTAATCACTGCCCAAGCCCAGGTGTCCTGAAGAAGTAGGGTGGAAGCTTGCATTGAAAAAGGAAAATGATAAGGAGATATTTGCCCAGCAAAGATATTCTGTAGAACAGATAACATGGGCACATTGTACTGCCTTCCTCCATCTTCCCACAGCACCTACCAAAGTCCTGGCAAGCCATCAAATTAGGCTTATAGGTAGCTGCCCTTTCTGAAGGCTACATTCAAATTTTTCTAAAAGATAATTTGATTTCATTCAGTTCAACCCAGTGAGTTTATACATTTATTTTAGCATCTATTCTATGCTTGGTACTGTGAGGATGAGCCATGAATTAAAACATCAGGTCAGCGTATACTCGACACAGTTGTAGAAATGAGAACCTTTACTTTTTCACAGTGAAGACCGAGGAAGCTGAAAAGAATGCTTTTGGTTTTCTTCCCTCTACCCCAGACTCTCCCAAGGCCATACTTTTCTCTCTCTCTCTCACTCTGGGGGAAGAAATATTGAAATTTTTTATCTAAGGCTTTTTCCTAGAATTTGAACTGCATAGGGAACATTGCTTCATCATCAACATTTTCTTTCATTTTCAACCTCTTTCCACCTGCCCTAAAAACATGTTTGAATCTAACCCACCCCTACTGTTCTTTCTCTACCTTCATTTCTTCCTGGGATACAGTTTTTCATCTTTTGCTCATGCAATTAATTATTCATTCATTAATTTAACAAATATTTAGTGATGAACAGTATGAGTAAGGCCCTTTCCTACGCTGGAGACAAAAATGAATAAAGCCTTGTTCCTTTAATGAAGCAGTCCCTAACCTTTTTTGACACCAGGAACTGTGTGGCCTAAGTGAGTTACATATTCCCTCTGAGACTCAGTTTACCCTAAGATTCTGTTAACTGGGAATAACTATGTATTTGAGAGTTATTGTGAGGGTTAAATGATATATCGTGTGAAAAGCTCCTGTCACATGGTCAGTGCTAAACAAATATTAGTCACCTTTCCTTGCATGACACTATACATTCTTAGCTCTTTGCCCATTTCTCAGACTGCTTAACCTAGAATTTCTTTGCTGGATCTGTGTTATCCCTATCCCCCTGAATTGTAGGCATTACTTAATAGAAATTTGTTTTTGAGGGTTACCCAGGATCCCCTCACCAAAATTCCAGGGAAAGTTCAGGACTGTAGTTTGGAGACCCCGCCCCTTCCCACTTCCAGCACCATCCCTCATCCCCAGCCTGAGTGGTCTTGGGACAGCAGAAATGGGGGTGACATGTGACCCAGGTTTGGCCAATCAGAGCCTTGCATTCTCCTGAAAGAACAACGATTGGTTCAATGATGGGCACGACACTCCTCTAGACTTCTTTGCTTATATGAGCCGCGAATTCCTCTTTTTGCTTAAGCTCTTTGGATTGGGCTTTCTGACACTTAGAAGCAAAGGAGTTTGAACTGAGAGAGAAATAAGTTAACACTCACTCCTCATTCATTTAACAAATGCTTACTAAGCATCTTCCATTTACTAAACACTGTGCTAAGAAAGTGGCTAGACACCATCCCTATCTTCAAGAAGCTTATAGTTTCATAAGAGAAAAGTAAGTAGGTAATGACAATACAGTGCTATTGGAACTACAGAAAGGGGCTGTACCACACGCTCTTAAAGCCCATAGAGGGGACAATCTAAGTTGGTGTCATGGAAGGCTTTCCAGAGTGTATAATCTACATGGAGACCCAAAAGATACAAGGCCAGGCAATGATAAGGGGAGGGGTGAAGAATGTTTCATGCAGTGAGAAATGGTAAGCAAAGGCTTAGAGAAAATAGCACATGGCATTTTTGGAGACCTGTAAGAAGTGTAATAGTGTTCTAGGGAGAAGGTCAATCAAGAATCTAGAGAGGTAAGCAAGAGCTAAACCATGAAAGACTCTGTAAGCTTAAGGAGTTTCAGTGGCAATTTGAAAGCCTTTGAGCAGGCACGTAGGAGGAAATGGTCACCTACTGCTGCAAACACAAATGTGTCATCCATTCCCACAGCTGTAAATCTCCTCTACTTCTAGGTAGATTAGGTCCCAATCTATGTCTCGGGCCTTGTCTTGAGCTCCAGGTAGGCAACTCCATGAGGATTTCCTATGGGAACTTCAGATAAATCTCCATCTTACTCCCTTCTCTTCTTGTTCTGTTTAAGTCCTCAAATTCAATAATAGCATTGTCCTCTTTCCAGTCGCTGACTGGCTTTGGGGCCCTGAGTCATCTTTATTTCCTCCCTTCCCTACACGACACTCAATGGCTGCCAAGTCACGGCAATTATATATTCAGAATGTCTCTTCCATTTTTATGTGAACTGAAGGAATTATATTTTTAATTTCCCAGAAAGCTTTTTCATCTTTCTTCTTCTGGTAACTGAGCTGGGTATGTGACCCAGGCCTGGCTACTCATAGTGTATGCGGCAGATAGATGCTAGGGTGACCCCCACAGGATCCCCACTTCCTGGCGTTCATGCCTTCATGTGACCCTCTCCCCTTAAGTGTAGGTAGAAACTATAACTTCCTTTTATGCAATAGACTATGGCAAAGGTGAGACGATGTCACGTTCATAATTACATTACATTGTATGAGATTCATCTTGCTAGGAGACTTGCTCTGGAGACTTTAATTGCTGTTCTGATGAAATTCGTAGCCATGTGGGGAAAGCCCACCTGACAAGGAACTGTGGGCAGCTTCTAGGAGGTGAAAACAGCCTCAAGCCAACAGCCAGCAAGAATCCACAGACCTCAGTCCTACAGCTACAAGGAAACAAATTCTGTCAACAACCTCAGTGAGCTTAGAATAAGATATTTTGCAATTGAGCCTCCATGTAAAAACCCAGCACTGGCCAACCCCTTGATTTCAGCCTTGCAGAAAATCCAGGTAAGCTGTGCCAGGAGCTGTACTCCTGACCTATGGAAACTGTGCGATAAGAAATGCATCTTGGGTTGAAAAATTACCTATTGGTTACAATGTGCATTATTCAGGTGATGGGTACACTAAAAGCCCAGACTTCACCACTATTCAATATATGCATATAGGAAACCTGCACTTGTGCCCCCCAAAGATAGAAAAATAAAGATAATAAAAAATAAAAAAGAAACGCATCTTGTTTTAAGTCACTAAGTTAGTGATAAATTTTTATGCAGCAATAGGAAACAAGTACAATGTCCCATTCTCATTGCCTGGAAGATATGTTAGTTGCATACATACTGACTATTTTTCTGTATGTTCTTTCTGTTAGAATACTAATTATGTTTTAGATATTGGGAAACCATGTGCTTTGAGGGCACCTCTCCAACTCTAGCGGGTATAGGGTTAATTGGTCCAAGCCAGCCATATTTTATCCAGTTTGCCTCACCAACGACAGGCTATGCCAACATGTGTATCCTATTCCATAAAATTTAAGAGGATATTTCCTGGGACACTTTCCTCACCCTTAATATGGATGCAAGTCAAGGACTTGTTTCTTCCTGCCCTAGACTTTGCTACTTGATATGATTCTAGGATATGCAGGAGCCATCTTGCCCTTGAAGGGAAAGTTAAGAGAACAGCAGAGAAGTCTACCAGGGACCCTGATGTTATTGAGTCTATATATATATATATATATATATATATATATATTATTTTATTTTTTATTTTTTATTTTTTTTTTTGAGACAGAGTCTTGCTCTGTTGCCAGGCTGGAGTGCAGTGGTAGAATCTTGGCTTGCTGTAACCTCTGCCTCCTGGGTTCAAGCGATTCTCCTGCCTCAGCCTGCCGAGTAGCTGGAATTATAGGCACACACCACCACACCTGGCTAATTTTTGTATTTTTAGTAAAGGTGGGGTTTCACCATGTTGGCCAGGATGGTCTTGATCTCTTTTTTTTTTTTTTTCTTTTTTTTCAGTTGGAGTCTCCCTCTGTCACCCAGGCTGGAGTGCAGTGGCACAATCTTGGCTCACTGCTAGCTCTACCTCCTGGGTTCATGCCATTCTCCTGCCTCAGCGTCCTGAGTAAGTGGGACTACAGGCACCCGCCACCATGCCCAGCTAATTTTTTGTATTTTTAGTAGAGACAGGGTTTCACCATGTTAGCCAGGATGGTCTCGATCTCCTGACTTTGTGATCCGCCCACCTCGGCCTCCCAAAATGCTGGGATTACAGGCATGAGCCACTGCGCCTAGCCCAGTCTTGGTCTCTTGACTTCTTGATCCGCCCACCTTGGCCTCCCAAAGTGCTGGGATTGCAGGCACAAGCCACTGCGCCTAGCCTGAGTCACTATATGAACCTCATAACTTCTTGTAAGTAAAGTATTATATCATCCTCATTATTTAAGCCATTTTTAAATGGGTATCAGTAACTCTCAGCCAAAAGCACTCTAACTGAAACCTTGTAAAAGATTCAGAGCAAGGAATGGGCATGTCACCAAAGCAGGGCCTCTCGGAGCTGATTGATGTCTGGATTCTGGACAAAGTTCTTTAGGCTTGCTAAGTTGGAGAAGGAAGTGAATCCCAGACTAATGGGCACTGTCTTTACCACCACAATCACAGGGCCTCTGTGCAGAAATGAATGAGGCCAAACTTATGGAGAGAGGAAAGACATAGCAGTAATAAGTCGCCATGCTGTCACTGAAGCTTTGGTTTCCTGCAGCTCATTTTGTTTGGTTCTTTTAAATTACCTCACATTCTTTCCAGTTATGTCAACTAATAAATGCATTCTTTTGCTTACATGAGGTTGTGCTCTATTTCTATCAGTTGCACTGAAAGTAACCCAAGAATACACTTTCTTTTCTGCCCCTCTAGAGCCTGCAGCCCACTGACATAATTTATTGCCCACTAGTTTGTCTCTCTCACCCTTTAGTCTATTGTTTCTCTGTATATGGTTAGCCATTTCCCTCCTGAAAAGCCCTCAGGGCTCCTCATGGAAGGCAGCTAGAAACCAGAATTCCTCAGACTGACATTCACAATCTAGCCCCAGCCTACCTTTTCAACATTTTCTATTACAGTGTTTCTTAAACATTTCACTTTTGACTATCACTCACAATAGGAAATATTGTATATACAAGCATTTTAAACTTTTATTTTATTTTATTTCATTTGAGATGGAGTCTCACTCTGTCGCCCAGGCTGCGGTGCAGTGGCACGATGCATTTTAAACTTTTATATTCAATTGTTACAAAAATATTAAGAGCTCCTACCTTACCTTGAGATGCATCATAGTAATAAGGTTTTCTTTCTGTCTTTAATTTAATTTATTTATTTATGTATTTTGAGACAGTGTCTTGCTCTTTCACCCAGGCTGGAGTGCAGTGGTGTGATCTCGGCTCACTGCAACCTCCGCCTTCCGGGTTCAAGCGATTCTCCTGCCTCAGCCTTCCGAATAGCTGAGATTACAGGCGTGCACCATCATGCCCAGCTAATTTTTGTATTTTTAATAGAGACAGGGTTTCACTATGTTGGCAAGGCTGGTCTCGAACTCCTGACCTTAGGTGATCCACCTGCCTCGGCCTCCCGAAGTGCTGGGATTACTGCACCTGGCCTATTTCTGTCTTTAATTTTAAGAATCAGTTGTTTAGTGACATATTGAATATTTTAAGAAAAGTCTTTTTTTGTCATTTACATATATGAACAGGAAATGAAGTAAGTACCATTTTCAATATAAAAAAAAGTGTTTATACATTCAAAGTTTCCCCCAAGAAGAGCTCATTTTTTAAAATTTAATTCAAGGGAAGCCAGTAGAAAATGTTCTGTCAAGTTACCTAAAATATAGCAGATCTTTAGTCACTTGAAATAGAATTAAGTGAGTAAAAAGGAAGTTTGCATTAGTGTTGATATAACAAGTTTCAGTTGAAAGGAGTTGGCTTGCTGCACATTGATATTCTCAGCACTCCCAATCTCTGTTATGAACACATTCCTCTATCTTTCAGTAACATCTTGTATCCTTTTCTCATGGACCTTGCCAACCTCCAGCCACCATGTTGTGTTTCATATATTTCTTAACTTTTTATTTTGAGATACTTGTAGACTCACAATTGTAAGAAATGTTACAGAGAAATCTCCCATACCCTTCACCAGTTTCCCTCAATGTAACATCTTGCATAACTATAGTACAATATTACAACCAGGAAGTTGATGTTGATACAATACACTCATCTTGTTCAAATTTCACCAGTTTTACATGCACCCACTTGTGTGTGTGTGTGTGTGTACATTTAGTTCTACATAGTTTATCACAGGTGTAGAATTGTATGACCACCACCACAGTCGGATATGGAGAAGTTTCATCCTGGGGATTCCTCATGCTGCACTTTTAAAACCACAGCCACATCCTGCTCTTCCTCCTCCCCTAACCTTTGGCATCTACTAATCTAGGGGTCCCCAACCTCCGGCCATTTTCTGATACCAAGCTGCACAGCAGGAGGTGAGTGGCAGGTGAGCAAGCATTGCTGCCTGAGCTTCGCCTCCTGTCAGATCAGCCACCGCATTAGATTCTCATAGGAGTGGAACCCTATTGTGAACTGCACATGCTAGGGATCTAGGTTTCATGGTCCTCCTGAGAACCTAATGCCTGATGATCTGAGGTGGAACAGTTTCATCTCGAAACCATACCCCTACTCCCCATCTATGGAAAAATTGTCTCCCATGAAACTGGTCTCTGGTGTTAAAAAGTTTGGGGACCATTGGACTAATCTGTTCTCCATTTTTATAATTTTGCTATTTCAATGATATTGTGAAAATGGACCATTTAGTAAATAACCTTTTAATATTGCTTTTTTTTTTTTTTTTGGCTTAGCATAATTCCCTTGAGATTCATTCAAGTTGTTTCCTGTATCAATGATTCATTCTTTTATGTTGCTGAGTAGTACTCCATGACATGGATGTAACACAGTTTAACTGTTTCCCAGTTGAAGGACATTTGGGTTGTTTCCACTTTGGTGCTATTATAAATAAAGCTATTAAAAATTCATGTAGATAACAAAACTAAACAAATGCTGGTTACAGCCCACTAAATTGATTGCATGGCCAATGAATGGGCATGACCTGCATTTTTTTTTTTTTTTTTTTGAGACAGAGTCTCACTCTGTCACCCAGACTGGAGTGCAGTGGGACAATCTCAGCTCACTGCAACCTCCTCCTCCTGGGTTCAAGCAATTCTCATGCCTCAGTCTCCCAAGTAGCTGTGATTACAGGCGCCTGCCACCACACCCAGCTAATTTTTGTATTTTTAGTAGAGATGGGGTTTTGCCATGTTGGCCAGGCTGGTCTCAAACTCCTGACCTCAGGCGATCCGCCTGCCTCGGCCTTCCAAAGTGCTGGGATTATAGGCATGAGTCACCACACCCGGCCTATGACCCGCAATTTTTAAAAAATGTTTTCAGTTACTTGGCCTTAGTAACCTTGTTCTCAAGCCACACTAGAGGTCTTGCTTTCCTCATACATGGCCCTTAGGCTCCCTATTTCTGTACTCCTGTTAAGGCTGTGCTTTGTGCCAAAAATTCTCTCCCTGAAGCATCTTTGGCTATTGAAGTCTCACTTATTAATATAAGTTAGGAATGCTTTTGACTACAAACCGCAGAAAAAGTGGACAAAAATATTTGATATCATTTGGATATTTGTCCCTGCCCAAATCTCATGTTGAATTTTAATCCCCAATGCTGGAGGTGGGGCCTGGTGGGAGGTGTTTTGATTACGGGGGTGGATCCTTCATGGCTTGGTGCTCTCTTTGTGACAGTGAGTTCTCGTGAGATTTGGTTTTTTAAAGGTGTGTGGTACCTTCCCCCCACCACTCTCTCTCTTGCTCTGCCCTGTGACCTGCCTGCTCCCCCTTTGCCTTTCTGCCATGATTGTGAGCTTCCTGAGGCTTCCCTGGAAGCCAAGCAGATGCTAGCACCATGCTTCCAGCAAAGCCTGCAAAACCATGAGCCAATCAAACCTTTTTTCTTTATAAATTACCTAGTCTCAAGTATTTCTTTCTTTTCTTCTTTTTGAGACAGAGCCTTGCTCTGTTCCCCAGGCTGGAGTGCAGTGGTGCGATCTTAGCTCACTCCAACCTCCGCCTTCTGAGTTCAAGCAATTCTCCTGCCTCAGCCTGCTGAGTAACTGGGATTACAGGTGCCCGCCACCACAACCGGCTAATTTTTTTATTTTTAGTAGAGACAGGGTTTCGTCATGTTAGCCAGGCTGGTCTTGAACTCCTGACCTCAGGTGATCCGCCCACCTTGGCCTCCCAAATTGCTGGGATTACAGACGTGAGCCACCGTGCCCGGCTGTATTTCTTTATAGCATTGCAAGAACAACCTAATACAGGAAAGAAAGGAAAGACAGAAGAAAGGAAGAAAAGAAGAAAGGAAGAAAGAGGAAGGAAGGAAGGAAGGAGAAAGAGGGAGGGAGGGTGGGAAAAGAAGAGATTTTTCTTTTGCCATAACAAGTATTGCCTAGAGCAAGGGTTGACAACCTTTTCTATGTCCAGAGAGTAAATATTTTATACTTTGCAGACTAAGCGGCAAAATTGAAGATATTGTGTAGGCACTTATATAACAGAAAATAAAATCCTCCCTGTCCTATTTGCTTGAGGTGGGCATGCTTTGCATCCAGTTGCCTTCTGCTGCAGACAGTCTTGGAAGAAAGAGCTTATCAGCCCAAGGAGGGGCCTGGCCAGCCAGGTGTGTAATAAATATTGCCAACCCCCCATGGTCAGTTTCACTCTCCACCCCGGTAACATCCAGTGCCCTGTGCACCCTTCTCTACTCCTGGCAAGCCCAGCCACATCAATTTGGGCAGCTAACCAGAGACAAGGTGGCTTGCAGGGTCACCAACTCCTGGAGTGAGATTCCAGCACTCAGTGCCCAACAGCTGTCAACAATGGAGTCCCCAATGTGTTGGTGGCAATCAGCTGGGCCCTAGGCACTGCAATGCATACCTGCCTACTGGCCTGGGGGCAAGTGCTGGGAGCAGAAGGGAAAGTAGGGGCAGAGGATGCCTTGGCTTAGTCTCTTGGCTCCCAGTGCTAGCCTGCTCAGGCGCACCCTGAGGCATATAAACAGATTTGCCATGGGGGCTGCAGTTTGCCAATCCTTGTTTACAGCAAGTAATTGCTAGTTATTGTTTGGGTAGCTTGAAGATATCAGGACTGACATCTCTGTGATTCTGTGATTCTCTTGGTCTTTCCCTCATGGTCTCAAGATAACTGCTTCAAATCCAACCTTAACATTTGCATTCAATTCAGGAGGGAGGATAAAACAGAAGGGACCATAGACTGTCTCCTTTACTAACAGATGTTTTTCCAGAGCCATGACCAGCAGATTCTCTTTATGTCGCATGGGCCAGAACTGGGTCCATGGCTTAATTCTCAATGTCTCTCAAAATGGTGATCTGCATGCCACGGCAGCACTGGGCTTCTGTGGTCCTCATTTAGCAGACAAAGCAGAAAAAAAGTTTATCTCTTTACTAATGATTCCTGCCAGTCCTGGTGGTCCAGTTCAAATGGTCCAGTTTGAGTTACATTCCCATCCCTGTGGCCAAGGGGGTAAGAAACAGTGCTTGGCCAGCCTGGGTCTATTCCTTTCCCATAAGCCAGGGGATGTGATTGTCAGTGCTGTGGTGTGAGGGAGGGTGTGTTTCTAAAGGAAAATGTGCCAGGCAGAAACAAATATGTACTCCAGAAGGGAGTCAATATGCTTTTGCCAAATTAAATTGAAGTATGATAATGAAGTAGTTATATGCAAGATTTTAATGGATTCTTAAATACTGCTATCCTGGCAGCATTCTGGGCTGTACACAAAATACTTGATAGTATTTGCTTTCAAGAAGTATACAGCCAGCTGGGCACGGTGGCTCACACCTGTAATCCCAGCACTTTGGGAGGCTGAGGTGGGCAGATCACGAGGTCAGGAGATTGAGACCATCCTGGCTAACACAGTGAAATGCCATCTCTATTAAAAATACAAAAAACAAATTAGCTGGGCATGGTGGCATGCACCTGTAGTCCCAGCTACTTAGGAGGCTGAGGCAGGAGCTTGCAGTGAACTGAGATTGCACCACTGCACTCCAGCCTGGGTGACAGGGTGAGACTCCACCTCAAAAAAAAAAAAAAAAAAAAAAAGTACACAGCCTGGAATAAACAATGGTTATTTAGCTATAAATAATTATTTTGGTGACAAGTGAAAAATATATGGCTGGGCACAGTGGTTCATGCCTGTAATCCCAGCACTTTGGGAGGCCAAGGCAGGTGGATTGCTTGAGCTCAGGAGTTTGAGACCAGCCTGAGCAATGTGGCAAAACCCCATCTCTACAAAAAAACAAAAAAAAAACCAAAAAATTAGTTGGGTGTGGTGGCATGTGCCTGTAGTCCCAGCTATTCAGGAGGCTGAGGTGGGATAGCACGAGCCCAGGAAGTTGAGACTGTCATGAGCCATGATTGTGCCACTGCACTCCAGCCTGGGCGACAAAGCAAGACCCTGTCTCAAAAAAGAAAAAGAAAAATATATAGCATAGACAAAGCCATGAGATTCTGAATAACAGGGACTCAGAAGTCAAAAGTATATTTTGCATAAACAAACTGAAACAGAGAAGATTTAAATGATGTATCTATAGGTGCACTGAAAGTCGTGATTCAGGTTGGGTCAAAATACAGAGTTGTTACCTGGGAAGGATCGATTAAACTTCCTGAGTTCATCCAGTTTGGAGTTTTTCAAACAGGCCCTTAGATGAGAGGTACTCTATCCTGGCAGACATAGGGAGTACCTACAGACTGTGATCATGTTTCACCTTGGCATGCTCAAAGCATCTGGCTAGACATTAGACATTTTCTGTGCCTGGCAAGACACATGCTATCTGCAGCCTGTTTGGGACTCGGCCATGAAAGAACCATTTAACAACCAGTGATACAGTACATCCTTGATGACTCAAGACATTCTAGGTTTCTTCTTTTTCCTTTGCCAAGTTTAGACTAGGACAGAGGAAGGGGTAAGTGGCAGTGGAAACCATAAGGCAAAGAGTAGATAGTTGCTGGGTATGTCACACTAAGGTGGGGTTATTAGGTAGAGATGGTCAGAGGACTTGGTAATAACAAAAACAAAGAGCAGAAAATCCTCCTAATGTGTCCTATCCAGTTCAATGTTGCCTTTATTTAACAATTACCAAATTAAACCACTATGCCACAGCATGTAGAAATTCTCACTTGTCAGCCACAGTCAAAATCTCCTAAAAATTCAACAAGATTTGATTCAAAAAAATCACACACACTCCCTAAAATGCAGTTATACCCTCCTTACTAGTGACAATAATCAGGGTAAATAGCACAAACACCAATTCATATTTGCCATTAAATAATGCAAGAATATTCCAGATTTCCATGATGCTGGGGGTATGAGACTAAGAAGGAGGGAGTATTGAAGGGACAGGCCTCTAGAGTGAATATAAGAAGCCCTTCAGTCTTCACTCTGACACATCTGTGTGCTATCAGACCAGGTTCTTTAGCTTTCTGGGTCTCAGTTTCCTCATCTGTCAAATGACAAAGTGACTTCTAACGTCTCTTCTGACTCTATTTTTAAAAATCTTTATGCCTATATTAAAAGCATTCTGAATGCTTTTAACTCTTCTGGTTATTGGCAACAGAAACTCGAGCTAGCTAAAGATCAAAAGAGATGTTTATTAGAAACTCTAGTTTGCAAGGAATGGGACATTAGTAAATTTTCTTTGGCTCAAACAAGATCTAATTCTGTTCTTCCATCTCATTGTGCTGGGAGGAGCATGTAGGATAGGGTGTGTGTAGGTGCAGGGGTCAAGGGTTGAGAAGGGATGCTATTCAAAGTATTTAACAACTGCTATAACTACAAAGACGCATACCAGGGGAACATCGGTCTGGGTGAAAGTGTTTGGGGGTTGGTGAAATGGTCAGAGGAGGCAGTGAAGGAGAATGGATAAAACAAATAGCTCTTCTTCTTTCCGATTCTTTGCCTCCAATAAACAAGAATATGGGTACCTCAATACATTAGCTCAACACATAAAGATACATGGGCATGTAATGGAAGTCAAGGGCAGAGATACAGCCAGCTTGCCAGAATGAATGGAAGCAGGGACTTGAATGCCCCTAAGAATTTAGATTCATCTCTTGCAGCTGCTCTTCTCTTTAGAACTAGTTCACTCTCTTATCTCTGTCATCTGCTGAGACAAGTTTCACCTGGTTTTCCAGTTAGCATGCTGCCAACATCGCCTGAGTTTACTTTTTGTTGTTGTTGTTGTTGTTCAAAATATCACATAGCAAGGATGAACCTAATCCAAATTCCTCTTGAAGGGTATCTAATTGGCAAAGCTTGGGCCAGGTACCCTTACTTGGACAATCTAACTGTGACAAGGCTAGGATCCTGTTGATATTACTATGTGGATGGTGGCATAGGAGGGATACTGACAGTTTTAACAATTGGTATGTTATGGGCAGAACCATTGAGAATGGACACAAGCCATTAACAATCCACTGGTTCCAGAGCCAGACCAGGGCATTCTAGCTAAATATCAGCCTGGGATGAGGAAAAAAGAGGACCAATTTTCAGAAAATGGAGAATAATTGTTGTGAATTGAGCAGTAATCCAAGAGTATAAGGAAGAATCCAAGAGTACATTACAGAGTATAAGAAAGAAACAGTCAACCCTTTTAAAAAATGAAGTAATAATGTTCCTGGAAACTTTTTAGCAATTAGAGGGATTAAGTGCCATTTTGGTTTTTATTTGATTATAGGTAAGAGTTCCATACAATAGTGTGCTAAGTATTGCAAACAATAAAGGAAAAATACAGCATAAGATACCTCTTACACTCTGCCCCCAGAAGTTTTCACACTGATTTGAGAAGTCAGACACAGTGAACATTTACAGAACTAGGCATTTAATTGTATAGCCTACACAGCGAGTGCCCTAGGAGTCAGAAAAGAGTTTCCTGTGGCTAGACTAGTCAGGGACGCCTTCAGGGAGCAGCTGAGGATGCTTTCTACAGCTCCTTTCAGCATAAAGATTTTCCAAATTCTATGGATTAATAAAGAGACATTCCTCCATTTGGATTTTGAAGGATGTACTCTAAAGGTGTGGGAAAGCCTTCTAAGTCAAGGATGGGAATGCAAAAACTTTTGCTAAAAGTTAAACACCAGTCTTCTGAATAAAGTACGGATGCACCCTACAAAATGGATGAAGCTTGAAAACGTTATGCTAAGTGGAAACAGACACAAAAGCCACATATTATATGATTCCATTTGTATGAAATATCCACAATAGGCAAACTCACAGACACAGAAGCATAATTAGTGGTTGCCAGGAGCTAGGGGCAACAGGGAATGCAGAGTGACTGCTAATGGATGTGGGGTTTCTTTTGAGGATGACAAAAATATTCTGGAATTAGATAATGATGACCATTGTACAACCTTCTAATTATACCAAAACCCACTTAATTAGACGCTTAAAAAATGGTGAATTTTGGCTGGGCATGGTGGCTCATGCCTGTAATCCCAGCACTTTAGAGGCCAAGGCAGGAGGATCACTTGACACAGGAGTTTAAGACCAGCCTGGTTAACACAGCAAGACTTCATCTCTGTGAACAAATTAGCTGGGTGTGGTAGTGTGCACCTCCAGTTCTAGGTACTCATGAGGCTAAGATGGGAGGATCCCTTGAGCCCCAGATATCAAAGCTGCAGTGAGCTATGATTGTGCCACTGTACTCCAGCCTGGGCGACAGAGTGAGACTCTGTCTCTAAAAAGAAAAAAGACAGGTGAATTTTATGGTATGTGAATTATAACTCCATAGAAATAAAAAAGTGACAAAACCAAAATAACTTGCCAGCCTTCTGGTTAGAAATAACTTCTTTGGGCCGGGCACGGTGGCACACGCCTGTAATCCCAGTACTTGGGGAGGCCAAGGCAGGTGGATCACCTAAGGTGAGGAGTTTGTGATCAGCCTGACTAACATGGTGGAACCTCGTCTCTACTAAATACAAAAAAATAAAAAAATAAAAATAGGCCGGGTGCGGTGGCTCATGCCTGTAATCCCAGGATTTTGGGAGGCCAAGGCGGGCAGATTACCTGAGGTCAGGAGTTCGAGACCAGCCTGACCAACATGGGAAACTCCATCTCTACTAAAAATACAAAATTAGCCGGGTGTGGTGGCACATGCCTGTAATCACAGCTACTCGGGAGGCTGAGGTGGTAGAATCGCTTGAACCTGGGAGGCGGAGGTTGCAGTGAGCCAAGATCGTGCCATTGCACTCCAGCCTGGGCAACAAGAGTGAAATTCTGTTTCCAAAAAAAAAAAAAAAAAATAGCTGGGCATGGTGGCTGAGACAGGAGAATCACTTGTACCCAGGAGGCAGAGGCTGCAGTGAGCCAAGATCATGCCATTGCACTCCAGCCTGGGCAACAAGAGCGAAACTCTATCTCAAAAAAAAAAGAAATAACTTATTTGGGCTGGGCGCAGTGGCTCACACCTGTAATCTCAGCACTTTGGGAGGCCGAGGTAGGCGGATCACAAGGTCAGAAGATCGAGACCATCTTGGCTAACACGATGAAACCCCATCTTTATTAAAACTACAAAAAATTAGCCTGGCATGGCTGCACATGCCTATAGTCCCACCCACTTGGGGGGCTGAGGCAGGAGAATCGTTTGAACCTGGGAGGCGGAGGTTACAGTGAGCCGAGATCGCGCCACTGCACTCTAGCCTGGTCGACAGAGCGAGACTCTGTCTCAAAAAAAAAAAAAAAAGAAGTAACTTCTTTGTCATTTGTCTTCTTTTTTTACCCTCTCAACCTGTACTTGTCCTACTTATACCTGTGCTATGAATGTCCACTAACAACCTCCTCATCTATCATACCAGACCAGAACTCGCCCCAGTCTTCAATTGCAGCTGAGTATTTTCCCTGGTGACCCCATAGATACCTCAAATAAAACATGACCAAAATGAAACTGCAATTTTTGAATCAAATCTCCTTTTCCTCCTCTACTTCCTCTGTTAGTTGGTAATTTCCCTAACCACCAGTCACTTAGGCCTTCTATGTGCAGGTAATTCTTCATCTCATTTATTTGTTTGTTTATACATTTAGCTAACTTTTTAAAAGACTTGTATCTATCAGGCAGTGTGCTTTGTCCTGGGAGCATAGCCGTGAACAAGATTCACATGATTTTAGCTGTCATGGAGAAGGCTTTAATAAGAAATTCCAACATAGTGAGATAAAAAACTACGACATGGAAAATACGGAAATCTATATGAATGCACAGCATAGGATCCAGCTTCCTACCTATAATTAGCCACCAAATGCTACTGACTTTGCCTTTAATTATGAATACCTCTTGGATCTGGTGTTTGCTCTTCAGCCACAGTAACCTTGCCTTCCTTCAAGCTCTTAGCATCTCGCACCTACAACTGCTTTCTAACCAGTGTCCTTGTCCCAGTGTCTCATGCCTGGAGCCTTGCTAAGTCTCAGATCCTTCTCCCACACTGCTGCCAGCAAGATTTTTCAAAAACAAAATATCTCTTCGTGTGAATTCCCTGCTTATAATTTTTTATCTCCAATAGCAAGCAACCCAGCACCTGAGGGCTATAACTTGCTCCCATCAGAGCAGAGGTCCACATCAATAGAGCTTGAGGACATGAAGGGGGTTTATCCTTCTTCCCCAGCTCTGGTGGAAAATCATTGTGTAGTTCAAGTTCCTTCTCAGGATATGCAAAGTCCTTCAAAATGTGAGCCCGGCTTACTTCTCCAGTCTCATATCTTGCGATGGTTCCTCCCATTTGGTAGGATAGATTTTCTTTCTCTTTAACCTTCCCCAGGCTTCATGGTTTGCACATCACCAAGCTGAGAATGCTCTCTAAGGCAGAGAAGTTGACAGATTTTCTTTTAATATCATAAGTTATCAGGTGGCTAAACTAGACCACATGAAAGGCCTGATGATCTTTTTCAGATATTTGAGCCTAAGGCCAGTTCATGGGCTCTATCCCCCCACCTACTTGATTTGAAGCTCCTGACCCAGTCCAGTAGCAGCAGTGGATGAAATTGAGTGACTTAAAATGTACCTAAGACTGAACATAAGAAGAGGCCAGGTGCAGTGGTTCACACTTGTAATCCCAGCACTTTAGGAGGCTGAGGCGAGAGGGTTGTTTGAGGCCAGGAGTTTGAGCCCAGACAGGGCAACATATGGTGACCCCATTTGAA
The DNA here is from genome assembly GCF_000001405.40 of Homo sapiens. Taxonomy (NCBI): domain Eukaryota; kingdom Metazoa; phylum Chordata; class Mammalia; order Primates; family Hominidae; genus Homo; species Homo sapiens. The sequence goes on from NC_000006.12 coordinate 52,352,040, forward strand.
CAAAAAGTTAACCAGATGTGCTGGTATGTGCCTGTAGTCCTAGCTACTCAGGAGGCTGAGGCAGGAGGACTGCTTGAGCCCAGGAGTTCAAGGCTGTAGTGAGCTATGATTGTGCTACTGCACCCCAGCCTGGGCAACAGAAAGAGACCCTATCTCTAAACAAAACAAAAAAAAAGAGAGAGAGAGAGAAGAGAAGGGAAGGAAGGGGAAAGGGAAGGGCAAGAGGAGGAAGAGGAAGAAAGAAGAATGAGGAGGAGGAGGAGGAGGACAACGATGACACTGGGCAGAGCTGGGAGTGGAGGGAATGCAAACATTTAAATGGGCCAAAGAAATGGGGAAGGAGAAAGCAAGCAGAGAGCCCAGAGGAGAGATGACTCTCCTGCCCTTGCTTACACAAGGTGCTGACCACACAGCCACTGCGAAAGTCGATACTAAATCTTGGTGCTAGTTAGAGGAACTGGTAGGTTGAGTGAAACAGGAAGAGGAGCTGCTCCTGAATATCTGTTCCCCTGAGGATTTTATATGAGTCAGAGCATGTCATGGGAACCCAAAGTAAAGGACTGTGTTTACTTTCTTTTATACTCCATGTGTGTGATGAGGTGACTAACGGTCAAACTATTTGGTCACGGACTGTATAGCTCTCTCTTCCATGCTGAGGGGTATAAGCAGGAGTTGCACCCATGATTTTTTTCCTGTAAGTGTCATACTGCTGTGTGCCTCTGTGCTTTTGCACCTGCTATTCCTCAGCCCTGAATGCTTTCCTCCCCTCTTGTCTGCTTATTAGTCTCAGCCTTCATGACTCACCCTAAGCTTTTGCTGACCCTCCCAACACTAAAAAGCTTGGTAACTAGAGAGCTAGGAATGCCTCTTCTGTTTTTTTCATAGTGTCTAGTGTACCTTTCTTGTAGCCCTTGTAACACTGCATTGTCATCATTTCTTTAAATATGTTTTCTCCACTAGATCAGAGAGTGAAGATTGCACCATGTTCATTTCTTTGTCCTGAGATCTTAGCAAAGTGCTTTTAGCACCTAGGTGGTTTTCAATAAATATATTCTGAATGGATGAAATAATTAATAATAGAATATTGCATACTGAGCAATAGCCATGTGTCCCCTTTGTCCCCAGACTAAATTTTATTTAGTGTCTTCATGGCATTGTAATAAGGTACTTCCCTTCTGACCTAAACAATTTGCTGACCCCTTGTCAGAAATGTGGAGGGATCAGGGCTAATTGGATTTGTCCAAAGAGAAAAAGAGAGAGATTTAAAGCAGTCAGGCCTCATCCTGCTGCAGCGTTTGCTGGACTCAATCTCAATAGAATTGCATCCACTGGCACAATTCTTTTCCAGTCCTGATTTAATAGAGGGGACAAGAGATGTCAAATGCACCATTAAAGAGAAGCATAGGTAGAAGGCAGACTGCTCAGATCCAATGCTGCTAGTCAAAGGACCAGATGTACCCATTAGTGGCCGTTAGAAGGGGGCTCATTGCCTATGAATCTCAGGTTCCTGGAAGTCTGAGCACGCCAAGACTGACCTCCCTGCCACCCACACCTGCTGTACCACAGATGATGAACTGACTCTGACAGTTTTTGGTTGCCTGTAGCAAGTTACCTCTTTTAACATCTAATTTAAAAGAGAATAAATATTTGTTGTTGTTATGAGCTCAGAAGCACAGGATGTTCACAAAGCACCCCACACATCACCATCACAATTGCTATAATTAACTTTACTGTATTTTTGTTGTATAATAATCTATAGCTAATTATAGCCCATTAGAGTTGTATGTACATACCGAGAAATTAGCGACAGCCATTTACGTATGTATTTATTTTATAAAGAATATTTGGAAAATATTGGAAATAATTTTTTAAATGTTATCCTGGAAATGTCATTATAAATGTACAGCTTCTTTCTCTTTATTTATTTTTTTTTTTGCAGTGCATGTACAGCGTATCTTCTTTGAAAAAAAAAAGGATCACTTGGCTGGGCATGGTGGCTCACACCTGTAATCCCAGCACTATGGGAGGTCAAGGCAGGCAGATCACCTGAGGTCATGAGTTCAAGAACACCCTGGCTAACATGGTGAAACCCCGTTTCTACTAAAAATACAAAAATTAGCCAGGCATGGCACACTCCCGTAATTCTAGCTGCTTAGGAGGCTGAGGCAGGAGAATCGCTTGAACCCAAGAGGTGGAGACTGCAGTGAGCCGAGATCGTGCCACTGCACTCTAGCCTGTGCGACAGAGTGAGACTCTGTCTCAAAGAAAAAAAAAATTGGATCACACTGCACTATAACCTGCTCTGTTTTACTAAACCATAGAACCACAGACTGCATATTTCTCTGTGCCATACAGTCTATGTGATTTTTGAAGACTGCACAGTATTTCACATCATGCATAGACCCTAGTTAATTTAGTCAGTCCTCAGTCATCATACCTTATTGCAGGGAATACTTGCTTTGTAAGCCTCCTGCTGGAACTTCCCCTTGACATTGCCAGGATTTGAAGGCTCTTGTCAAAACCCCCAGGCTGTCAGATGATTTTTGGAGGTTACCTGGAACGTTTAGGGAGAAAGACCCGATAAACCTGGCTTTCACACTCAGAGTAGCTTCCAGGGTTCTTCCTGGATGTCCTCAGGGCTGGAGGATCCCAGGCTAGTGGGAAGGATAATCAGAGAATTTTAATTTAATTGAGAGGGAGAACAAAGGAGAATTTTACTTTAGTTTGAACTATTCAGGATACTTCTTCAGTATGTCAAATTCTTGCAACTCAGTTTACTTCAGTTTTTTGTTTGCTTTTTAAGACAGAGTCTTACTCTGTCGCCCAGGCTGGAGTGCAGTGGCGCAGTCTCGGCTCGCTGCAACATCTGCCTCCTGGGTTCAAGTGATTCTCCTGCCTCAGCCTCCTGAGGAGCTGGAATTACAGGCATGCCCCACCATGCCAGGCTAATTTTTTGTATTTTTAGTAGAGACGGGGTTTCACCATGTTGGTCAGGCTGGTCTCGAACTCCTGACCTCGTGCTCCACCCGTCTCGGCCTCCCAAAGCGCTGGGATTACAGGCGTGAGCCACCACGCCTGGCCAATTTACTTCAGTTTAATTCAATTTGACAATTTAAAAAATTGAGCGGTTCATTACCATAGCACTGCTTGCTGGGACCAGAATTAACCCCTGCTCATTCTTTTCCCTTCTCTCTCCCTTCCTCTCAGATTGGAAGACATGCTTCTCTTTAACTGCTTCTTCTTGTCCTCCTTGTTTCCACCCCGGGGCATGTTTTCTTCTGGAACATTTGTAGGTCATTCTAGCCTTCTCTAAGGGTTCAATAGTAAATGATGATGGACTCCTGGACTAAGTGGATTCTCAATGTGCCAAGAATTTACATTATTTGGTTCACACATTTAACAAATATATTTTGAACACATACTATTTGCTATGTCATATGGGTAGGACAATGATTATCATGTATACAAACCTCTCTCCGTAGGAGCTTACAGTCCAGCGGAGGAGCCAAAGAAGTAAAAAGAGATCTGCAAAATGAAAGTATCACAAGAGAGGTCAACTCAAGATGCTATTTCCCATCAGAACAGAAGTCACCCTTGACTAAAACCACAACTTTAAACTTGGCCCAACATCCAGTGCCTTGTCCCCAGGGGTGCAAATATGGACTGGAAAGGACCCCAATTTATCTGCCCTGCCCTGAGGTCTGGGCTGGGATATAGCCCAGGTCTCATCTATCCTGAGGGGCCTTCCAGATGGACACATGGACAGCCAGTTCTGGCCCCCTGACTTACTCCTCTGTAGTGAAAACAGACTCAGTAAACACAAGCTGAATTAAACTGGCCAATTGTTGCATTGATTTTTTTTTTCTTTTTAGATAATTAAAACCCTGAAACCAAGGCAGAGTCAAGCATGAATAATGCAATTGCTACTCATCTTGTCCAAGATTGCCATTTTCACCGTCCCATCCTATTTAAAGAAAGAGAGAACTGAGATAAGTATCCCTGAGAAAGGCTTCAACTAAAGAGCTATGGACAGGGACACTCTGTCACTTCCTGGGATTTTGACCCCCAGCTGTCCAACAGAGGAGGGTCTGTGCCTTCGCTCATTAGCCTAACTTAGATGATAGGTGACAAACTGAAGTGAGCTATAGGGAGTTGTCCACTTCCAGGCTGCTATCAGTATACCAGCTGGGGTGTGGCAAAGTCCAGAGGTTCAAGCCTCGGTTTTTCATCCTGGGTGAGTTCATATGGCTTTCCTTTTCTAGTCCTAAGCCTGAGAAATTTCTCTCCAAAATCTTCTTTTAGAACACAGTCCAGATTGAACTGAAGTTGGGCAGAGTAAAAAATGTTTACTTCTGGTTGGGCACAGTGGCTCACACTTGTAATCCCAGCACTATGAGAGGCTGAGGTGGGTAGATCATTTGAGGTCAGGAGTTCAAGACCAGCCTGGCCAACATGGTGAAACCCCGTCTCTACTAAAAATACAAAAAATAGCTGGGTGTGGTGACGGGCGTCTGTAATCCCAGCTGCCTGGGAGGCCAAAGGAGGAGAATTGCTTGAGCCTAGGAGGCGGAGGTTGTAGTGAGCTGAGATCGCACCACTGCACATCAGCCTGGTGAGAGAGTGAGACCCTGTCTCAAAAAAAAAAAAGAAAAGAAAAGAAAAGAAAAGAAATGTTAACTTCTCGAAGCTTTTGGTATCAGTCTGAAGTTCAATCTTTCTGATTTTCCCAGTGCTCAGGAATTGCCCACCTCCCTCTCTCCCCCAGGATAAAATGACTGAGAATCAGGAGCAAAGTGGATAGAAGAAACAAAATTGTCAGACCTTTTAAAGAGGAGGGAAACCAAGTCCATTTACCCTAAGGCTTTTTAGTTGCAAATTTCTGCTGGAGAATAAGGAAAGGCCTTGTGTTTTGATATCTACACTTTTATTTGCTGTTAAATTACCATGATCCAATTACACACTGTATTTCCTAAATCTGGGTTTTGTTTAGGAACAGGTGTTAAAATGAACACTTACACACATCAAATGTTGTTGGACTGTAGGAATTCATATTATTTTATTAATACTATTCAGCCATAAAAAATGAAATCCTTTGCACCAAAAGGGATGGAACTGGAGGTCATTATGTTAAGTAAAATAAACCAGGCACAGACAGACAAATACCATATGATCTCATTCATGTGTGGGAACTTAAAAAGTTGATTTCATGGAGGTATGGAGTAGAATGATGGTTACCAGGGGCTGGAAAGGGAGGGGGAAGTGAAGAGAGGTTGGTTAATAAGTACAAACACACAGTTAGGTAGAAGGAGTGAGTTCCAGTGTTCAACAGTACAGTAGGGTGACTATAATTAACAACAATATATTATATATTTCAAAACAGCTGGAAGAGAATATTTGAAGTGTTCCCAACACCAATAAGTGATAATGGTGGCTCACGCCCATAATCCCAGCATTGTGGGAGGCCACGGCAGGAGGATCGCTTGAGCCTGGGAGTTTGAGACAAGCCTAGGCAACATCGTGAAACCTGGTCTCTACAAAAAAAATACAAAAAATTAGTCAGGCATGGTGGTGTGCACCTGTAGTCTCAGCTACTTGAGAGGCTGAGGTGGGGGGATCACCCGAGCCCAGAAGGTTGAGGCTGCAGTGAGCTGTGATTGTGCCACTGCACTCCTGCCTGGGTGACAGAGTGAGACCCTGTCTCAAAAAAATAAAAAGTAAATTGAAATAAAAAAATTAATTTAAAAATGTTTTTAAAAAGATAGATGTTTGAGGTGATGGGTACTCTAAATACCCTGATTTGATCATTACATATTGTATGCATATGTCAACATTTACATGTACCTCATAAATATGTACCATTATTAGCATCGATTAAAAATTTTAAAATAAATAAATTAGATAAGACTTTTAAAATAATGCTAAGTCCTTTTATCATTTATTCTTATAGTTTGCCATCTGAAACTCTTCAACTAGGAACTAGTTACATTAGAGAATGAGAGATCAGATATAAGGCCTCAAAACCTCACATGTGCCCAGGGCTTACGGAGGGCCCAGGAGCAATTTCTACATCTCTTTTTTGTCTACATGGGTTAATTTATTTGCTCCCTGAATTGTTATTATTAAAAGTAAACAAAAAGGAAAAAATGGCATGAGCAATTCCTAATGAAAATCAAATTAGCTTTAGTGAGCCCCTACCATTCCACCATTAAATGGATAAAATAGACAGACAGTACAAGAAAATCATGATTTTTATTTTTAATCTGACTAACCACAGTTCTTTAGCATCCTGTATGTGAAATTAGTATCATGGTTACTTTTCCCAGTTGGCCATTTGGCAGGGGATCTAAATAGAAAAACTAAGTATGGATGGCTATCTGATCATGGAATGTCAAGGAATGATGGATTTGACTTCACGGTAAAAAAATACAGACATTCAAGTTTCCCCAAATTCTTCCTATGTAGTCCACTGGGATAGTATATCTTTTCTGCAAGTAGAAAGCATTGAAACAAAGATCCCATAAACAACCACCTAAGCTGGGCACGGTGGCTCACGCCTGTAATCCCAGCACTTTGGGAGGCTGAAGAGGGCAGATCACCTGAGGTCAGGAGTTCGAGACCAGCCTGCCCAACATGGCGAAACCCCTGTCTCTACTAAAAATACAAAAAAATAGCAGGGTGTGGTGGTGGGCACCTGTAATCCCAGCTACTCAGGAGGCTGAGGCAGGAGAATTGCTTGAACCCGGGAGGTGGAGGTTGTAGTGAGCCGAGATTGCGCCATCACACTCCAACCTGGGCGACAAGAGCGAAACTCCGTCTCAAAAAAAAAAACCCACTTAAATGAAGTCATTGTCTTTTCACCCATTTAATCAGGCCTTCATTATAAGATATGTGGGTACAATTATTATTTTTGTGTTAGAGATAAGGATTCTGAAGTATAGAAAAGTTAAGTTACTGGCCAGGCATGGTGCCTCATGCCTGTAATCCCAGCACTTTGGGACCAACATGGCAAAACGGCATCTCTACTAAAAATACAAAAAATTAGCTGGGCGTGGTGGTGTGTGCCTGTAATTCCCGATACCTGAGAGGCTGAGGCACAAGAATTACTTAAAAAAAACCCCGAGAGGCCAAGGTTGCAGTGAGCCGAGATCATGCCACTGCACTCCAGCCTGGGCGACAGAGTGAGACTGTCTCCAAAAAAAAAAAAAAAAAGGAAGAAGAAAAGTTAAGTTACCTACTGAAGGCTCTTACTCCCAAGGCCACACTTTTAACCACTATGCAAAGTGCCTCTCCTTTTCTCTGACAAGATAGTGAAGAAATTAATAGTCCTCAGTCCTTTCATAAGATATAAAAAGAAAACAAAAATAGTACAGCTTTTAAATAACTCTTCACTGTAGCAGTTTTCACAAACAGGTCTACTTTTAGTATAAACCAGTATATATACCAGAATGTTCCAGGCAAGTGGTTTTAACTATTTCACACTTCCATTTCTCCATGTTACAATAAGACTACCAGTTTTTACCCCTTTCCTACTTCATATAAGTGTATGAAGTTGAGTAATATGATGTCATCAAACATACTTTGAGCTTCTTGGAAAAGTGATATGTAAACACAAAGTAGAGTGTTTATAAAAACAGTGTCAATGTGGTATGTATCCAATGTAAAATAGATCAAATTATTTTATTAGAGATTCGGACAAAAATAACTCTTTAATCTTATCTATTTTTTCATCATTTTGCATACTGCCTGTGTCTGTGGCTTTCAAGGGCAATCTGAAAGGGAACTAGGTCTGATACGTGTTGATTGGATTCGCAGTTTAGCATTCTCCTTATTGAGGAAATACTGCAGTACCCAAGATCTTGGCTGTTTCCAGGTTTTGGAAAAATCTCAGGTCAAAATTGTGTTGCCAGATGGGATTATTACATAGAGGAAAGTTGGCTGTGAATTTCCATATACCAAAGGCCATCCTAACTGTCTTTTATGAAGGACCCAACAGGCTTTTATTATAATTCAAAAATAGCCAGGTCACCCTAGGACTTTTTCCAGTGTTACCAAAACATCACTTTTACTGCCCAAACGGAAGTAGGCCATTACCTCACAGTAGAAAATAAAAGAAGCTAGCTTGAGACCAAGGTAGTTTTAAAAGGCATGAAGGATGAGAACCACCATTCTTATTTAGTGGCTCTGGACAGCGTCACTTGGAAACAGAACTGCCTCATGCACAGATAACAATGCCTGACACCCATTACACTTTACATGCACGTTCACATCTGCCTTTTGGATAAAGGGCAAGAAGAAAGGAACATTTACCATTGAGAAAGAATTAGAAGCCTTGTTAGTCTCCTTTTAAGACTTCTTCACATTCCACATGGATTAACTGTTAGGGAGAAAAACACTGCAAAAATAATCAGCAATGCATTTCGGAGGCTCATCAGCTCCCGGCTGACAGCTCACGTTAGTTGGATGAAGGCTGTGGATAGGCTTTTAGATGTGCTAACCTGTAATTTTGTTTCTAGAGTGGCCCAAAGTGGAAGGAGTTTTCACTCCCTCTCAATAAGCCCTCTTGTACGGTTGTGACCTCTGGCCTATCATAGGTTTTTGACGATAAAGGAGAGCCCGGGTTTTTGAGGTTAAGGGAGAGTTCCCTGACATCTTTGGGGTGAAGAAGAGATGGAGGGAGCAAAGCTGCCAAAGACCTCCTGTGACATTTCCACTAGTATCCACCTATAAGTAAGTGCTGGACTATGATTCCCTGGGGAGATCAGTGGCTCTAAAGACAGGCCCCTGGGCTCTTTCCTGGCTCTGACTCAGCTTCAAACCTGCCGTGCAACTGCTCAGAGTCTAAATGTCTTCATTTATGGAACTGAAATAATCCTGCTAAGATTACTTTCTTTGCTTCGTGATGTTTGCCTGAGAATAAGTAGCTGGGACTACAGGCGTGTGCCACCACGCCCATCTAATTTTTGTATTTTTTGCAGAGACAGGGTCTCACCTTGTTACCCAGGCTGGTCTCGAACTCCTGGGCTTAAGCAATCTGCCCACTTTGGCTTCCCAAAGTTCTGGGATTACAGGTGTGAACCATCACACTCGGCTAAAATGTTTTGAAAAATGGAAACATTGTACAAATGTGAGATGTTGTGCAACATGTCACTGAAACACGGTGGTATAAGAGAAGTTTTGGGAACCAGCAGACCAGAATTAGGCCTGAGAAAATCTTACAGTAAGCAGACCAGAATTAGGCCGTCTGAGAAAATCTTACAGTAAGCAGACCAGAATTAGGCCTGTCTGACAAAATCTTACAGTAAGCAGGCCATCTTCCCAGGCCTTCTCTTTTCTCCAGATAATGAAGAAGGCTTTTTAAAAGCAAAGCCAACTTGATTTGTTAATTGATCATCCAACTTCTTAACTGTCTTTTTCTCATGGTAAAATACCGAGAACATTGTGGGTGAGGAGCAAGTCGGGAGGTGGAACCCACCCCCGCACCCTGCCTCCAATAGATTGTATGTGTGGGTCGCTATTGCTGGGACCCACGAAGGCTGTGGATTGAGGACACAGGGTAGAAGTGGGATCTTCTGCAGGTCAGTGTCAGATGTGTCTGTGTGATGTAGTCATGGGAGAGGCGCGAGTCTTGGGCGGGTGTATCTTAGGGGTGTGGAAGTGTCTGCAAGGGCCTCCGTGGTATGTCATCACATTATTTATATCATGGGCATGACCCTGAACGTTCACCCGAGAGTGGTGAGAGAAAGGCCAGGATTTAAATCAGTCTTGACAGCGCAGATGAAGTTTGTTATTGTTTTCCGCCCTTCCCGAGGGACTTCGGAAATGGCCCCCTGAGAGGTGAATTCTTGGAAAGAATATGAGGGCGGTTAAGGCGTCTCTGTCTCAAACTCTCCGGATTTTTTGCAGCTACCAGGGACTGCGAGGGTCTGCGTCCTGGGTGGAAGGAAGCGGCGTCAGTCAACTTCCTCGCAGCGGCGGCAGCGGCGCGGGCTGCAGCGGAGCGCGCGGGTCTGCGCATCCCGCCCCCGGGTCGGGAAGGGGCGGAGCTGGGCGTCACCCGCCCCCGGCGGTCTCCTCCTCCCGGCCGCTCCCCCGAGCCGAGCCCGCCGCGGTCACAGCCACCCGCGGGAAGCTCGTGGCCGGGACCCCGAGGCGGGAGCGCGGGCTGGGCCGGGCTGGGCTACGCGCACGGGCTCGGCCGCCGCCCCTGCCGGTGAGTCCCGCCGCGGGAGGCGCGGAACGGGTCGAGTTGGGTATTGGGACCGCGAGGTCGGGGAGCCCCGGGGCCCGAGCTCGGGAGGCGGGGACGTCAGGATCGCGGCGTTGGGGAGTCCTCGCACCCCGAGCTCAGAGGGGAGGTCCAGAGTCGCAGCGTTGGGAACCTGAGGCCAGGGGCCGGAGTTTAGGGCCCCGATGTTGAGTCTCCGAATCCAAGCCCGGAAGGGGGGACGACGGGTTAGGATGCTGGGGAGCCCTGGAGCTCTGAACGGCTGTAGTGGGGTGGCCAGGACTGCGATGCTGGGGAGTCATGGAGCCTGAGCCTGGAGAGCTGGCGGGGGTGTGGGGACCGCGATGTTGGGAAGGCTGAGCCCGGAGGGCGGGAGATTCAGGACCAAGACGTGGGGGAGTCCGACAGGGCAGAACGAGGGGCGTCCTGTCCGCATTTGTGGGGCGCCCTCCGCAGGGCGGAGGGGAACGGAACCTGGGAGGGGAGTGCGGAGGAGAGGAAGCCCGGGGCGGTAGGGAGAGCCCGAGGAAGGGCAGCCCGAGGTAGGGGAACCCCGGAAAGAGTAGGGTGGGTCTAGGCATGTGCTTTCGCCGGGGAAAGATGGAGGGGGCTTCTCTGAGAGGGTGGGCGCGAGGAGCGGAGTTGTGATGGGAACCGCCGGCAGCTGGCTAATGGGCGGATGCTGGGGCTTGGCTGGATGGGAACGCCGCGGTGGGGTGTCGGAGGTGGCTGGTGGGGCTGGAACGCTGGGAACGTCTGTCTAGGCTATGAGAACGCAGCGCCCTCGGTGGAACAGGGTCGTAGATAACTCGAGAGGGAATCTAGTCTAGGGAGCAAGACCGGGCATCCCCAGACGGAGGCGGGTGGGGACCTCGCACTCAGCGCGCTTGGGGAATATTCGGAGCCTGGGTTTGGGGGCTGCTGCACCTTGCCGACCCGGTGCGGGGACCTGGAGGTAGCCGGGCACAGCAGCTTCCTGTGCAGCTGTGGGTGCTCCAGGCACTGGCAGACTAGTGGGAAGTCCAGGAGCCTTGGCAGGCTCATTGTCTTGACCTAAGTTGCATTCCATATTTCTTAGCTGGGTTAGAAATGATTTTGTCCAGGAACCCAATGAGAAGAGCCTGGGCTAAAAAAATTAGTTATGGAGTGAGATTTCAAATGTACAGGTAATACCTACCCGTGTGTGTGCGCGCCTTAGGGATAACTCATACAATACACTGTATGTGTGATTTTTAGACCCACGTGTGTACTACTTGTTCCAGTACTCTGAGAAGCTGTTTCTGGGTAAAAACGAGGAAAATCCACAACAAATACACACACCAAACAATGTCCACAAACGCACTGCATTCCAGTCGAGTTAAACATGAGAGTATTGTACAGTTTGGGAGTATTTGCTTGTCAGTGAAGACTCCTGTTACTGAAGTTAATAGGAGTTGCCTGCATGGAAGGTAGACTGCCCTTGACTGCCCTGTTAAGGTTATCCACAACGTGTACCCAGCCCTGAGCTGCTGCACCCTTGACCAGGTCAACTGGAAGGGAGCCAGACTGCTTAGGACCTCAGTGGATGAGTATCCAAGTGTGTATCTAAAAACAAAGGACCAAGGCATGGCTTTGTTTTTGTTTTTGTTTTTTATTTCTGCTGTTTGTCCTTGGGTGCGTGTCCTTCAATTATTAGTTAAATGTTGACTATCTTACATTAACCCATCTTGTATTGTTAATTATGTATGGTAATTATTTCAGTTATTTGGCGTAACAACCAATTCTGGAAGACCCAGAGTAGAGGAATCTTATTAAGTGGATATATCCATTGAAAGATATGTTTTTTTTTTTTTTTTTTTTGCGGGTGTGTGTATGCACCAGATTTCCTTCTGGTGCATATAGGTCCATCTTCTGACACACACTGAGATTTGAGCTTCATTGGATAAACAAGGATTATTTTGGCAACTAGCATTTGTTGGGTCTGTTTTTAATTCATGAAAAGGAAATCTTTAATAATTATGCAAGTTAACAGGATAGAAAGCGATTTATTCATTTTACAAGAATCATTTCAGGATAAGCATATTTCCATTAAGGGTGTGTGTATACCTTATTGAGTGGTCAGGACCTTGCATCAAAATCTGCACTATCATTCCTGCAGCAGTGTACTTATTCACTTGGACGTAACACTTGCTGATGCTTCCAATTCTTTATCCAAATGTTAAAATAAATATGCCAGTATTTATACATTCAAATCAGTATTTCTCCCCTTCAAAAGCCTGCTCTTGGCAAGCTGTGTACTAATTCTAGTGATGCTGTCACTACTGAGAATAATTTTGGAGCTCCTGCTTTGGAGTTGCCTTCCGAGTTTGCAACACATTTCCTGATTGCCTCAGTGGTGGCAAACCTTCCTCAGCTGGGAAACAGCCAGGCACTGTGCGGGGCCAACTTGGGCTTCCGAGGTGGGGAATCGAGGTTGTCAATAAGTATGCTCATTAAAGTAATGAAAATTCTCTTGAAAGACTGGCAGTTCTAAAAGGGGCATTTAGTAATGGCATGGAGTATGTATTTAGGATTGGAAGGAATTACAGTTGGTCCCTGAATAACACCGGGGTTAGGGGCTCCCATCATCTCCACAGTGGAAATTTTGAGTACAACATTTAACTCCTCAAAAACTTAACTACTTTGAAGCACAACCTTCATTTTGGTGTTTATGCTCTGGTATGTATGTAAAGTAATTGGTCCTGTCACTTTATTGTTATAGCTTATGGCTTATTGGGCTAGAAAAAGTAAGCCTTTCTTTGCCCCTCCTGATACTTGTTACTAGGCAGTCTCTGTCATTGTGGATTTTTACAGAAAGCAAAACAAAAATACAAAAGACTTGTTGTCTCACCAAAAAAAAAAAGGTACCCAGAAAGCCATTTGCCCCAGCTGTAGGTAATGCCTGGTGCTTGATTTTTGATGTGAAAGGATCCACAGAAGTAAAGGGAAGAGAATGATTTCTGAACATTCATTTCAACTTTGGGATTTCATGGCACACAGTAAAAAATGTACTGAACATATCCCTTTTTAAAATTCGCATTTTTTTTTTCAGGTTGTGTTGCATAAAGCTTCATACAGCCACAGCTTGAATCTTGATCTAGCTGTGGTTTGGGGCAAGTTGTTTCATCTCTTTTGGCCTCAGTTTTCTTAAAATGAAGATATTAATGAGTATGTACCTCATGGGGCTGTGATGAAGATGAAATAACATTGATGCGTGTAGAACACTTGAGTTCGGTGCCGGACACATCATGAGTGCTCAACAGAGTCTACTTATTCTTGTTAGGAATATTATTTATTGATAGTCTTATGTTAAAATTCCTTTGAAGCCATGTGGAAATTTATCATTTCCCAGGTAATGATATTCCCTTCAGTTAGGTTTTGCAACTAACTACAAATAGAACATTTTGGTTTTTGCCCTCCTGGTCTTTTAAGAGTTTTTAAAGGGTAACCTGAAAAGCAACGACAATTAGTTATTTTTTATTTATTCAGAAACGAGGAAATACAGACTCCAAATAAGTGGAGTCAGTGCTCCCAGTTACTTTCTTTTGAATTCAGATTTTTTTTTTAAATGAGCATTCCTGTTATGATTGTATATTATGTATAACAGTTTGGTGTGGTAAGGCAAATCTGAAAGAAAAAAGTTTAAAAGCCTCTTCTCTAATTTTTTTCCCTTCATCCAATGAAAATATTATTCTAACGAAACAGCTACAGTTCTCTTGGCACGTATTGAAAGAGACGATTCTGGTAAACATTCCCTTCATTCCAAATGTGAGTTTTGCTCTGCTGTGTTTTTTAAACAATAGGGAAGAATAGCCTGGCACTGAAATCTCAGCTCTTCTGTAAATGTCAACACTAGTTTTTTTTCAAGTTTATAAATTTTATTTTATATATATATGTACATATATTAGAAAGATGGGAAAGTTTCATCTTAATTTTAATCAGATGATTAGGGGCTGCTATGAAATAGTTAATGTTTCATGAAATGTTGACCATTTAGTGAGAATTCTCTGTTCTAGGCAAGCAAGTGCTGGAGATGGAGAGGCTTGAGACACAGGCTTTGCCCTTCAGAAGTTCATTCACATCATGTGCTCTCTTACAATGATGCAGGAACAAAAGCTTCTTCTCCTAATGGCCTGTGGAGCTAAGAATTCATATGGATTTTACTACATGATATTTTCCTTCAATTTCTCAAAGAAGGGTAAATAGGTGGATCTCTCAATAGTGTTCATATTTTTGAGGTGGATTAACTCTTTCAAAATTAGATCCCAATATGTACTCAGAGGCCATAAAAGGAGAAAATAGCTATAATTAGTGAATTACAAAGTATATCTGCAGGATGGGGTGGTATTATTGCTATACGAAACTTTCCTGGAATGTTGTGTTTGGTTTTTGCTCTGTCTTCTGAGTAGCGGTTTATGTACTTGTAAAGGACCAGGAAACAATATACATTGTGGCTTAGACTGGAGCCATGATTCTTTTTTTTTTGAGATGAAGTCTCCCTCTGTCACCCAGGCTGGAGTGCAATGGCGCAATCTCGGCTCACTGCAACCTCCATCTCCTGGGTTCAAGCAATTATCCTGCCTCAGCCTCCTGAGTAGCTGGGATTGCAGGCGCGCACCACCACACCCAGCTAATTTTTGTATTTTTGTAATTTTTGACCACCATGTTGGTCAGGCTGGTCTCGAACTCCTGACCTCGTGATCTGCCCATCTTGGCCTCCCAAAGTGCTGGGATTACAGGCGTAAACCACTGTGCCCAGCCTGGAGCTGTGATTCTTAATGGGGAGAAGTGGGTGGTGAATTTGCCCCTTTCCCCCAGAGGATGAAATTTGGTGGTGTCTGGAGACATTTTTGATTGTCATACCTGGAGGGGGAGGGATGTTACTGGCATCTAATGAGTGGAGTCCAGAGATGCTGCTAACCATCCTAAAATGCACAGGACAGCCCCGCACAACAAACAGTTATCTGGTTCAAAACATCAGTAGTGCTGAGAAGCCCTTGGCTAGAGCGTGGGATTTGGAGTAAAAATAAACCTGCATTAGCACCCTGACACCACCATTTCTTAACTGTGCCACCCTGGGTGTGTTACTTAATCTGAGTATCCATAGGATGCATATCTGAAGAGATGTGAGTTAGAGTGTGTATGAAATGCTTAACACACAGAAGGATCGCAATAAGTGTCAACTCTTAGTATCATGACTGGTAGATCTAGGTCAAAATCCAAAGACTGTGCTTTAAACAGACACAGCTTTTGTTTCTTAACCTATTATGTACAGAAAGAATTCAGGTTTCTTGTTTTCATTTGTGTGCCCAAGGATAGGGCAGGGGCACAGATGTAGGGCCTCCAGCGTCTCTGGTACCTTCTGCATTTTGTCCTAGGTTCTGCCAGACAGCTAAGTGTACTCTGCAGATCAACCACGCAAACAGGACAGTCCCCCAGACTTGTGTAGAGGAAAGATGAGGATGGAGGAGCTTTCTGTTCCATGTGGGCTACACTTGGAAGGGGGAGATAGCCAGGCCAGGAAGCTCCTTCTGATTGAACTTATTATCTCCCAGGCTTCTGAAGGCTCTTCTCAGACCCTTGTCTAGACATGACCAGAGAGTTTCCTTTGCTGTGTGAGCAGGTGAGGAGGTCTGGCCATTTCCCTCCCCTTTGCTTTTCTTTAGCCAGGTATGGTGATTCATGCCTGTAATCCCAGCACTTTGGGAAGCTGAGATGGGAAGATCGCTTGAGCCCCAGGAGTTCAAGACCAGCCTGGGCAACATGGCAAGACCCCATCTCTACAAAATATACAAAAAATAGCCAGGTGTGGTGGCACGTGCCTGTAGTCCCAACTACTTGGGACGTGCACACACACACACACGAGCCACATGAGTGAGTAATCAACTCAGTAACAAGCAGATCTTCAGCAAACGGGCAAGTGGAGCAAATTCTGGGCACAGAGAATGTTTAGCAGATAAGGATGTAAATAAGTAACAGTGTTTTCTTAGCTGTGATCTAGAAACCATTGGTACTGTGGTTCTCAGTCCTGGCTATAGGATAGAATCACCTGGGGTTGTCCAAGAATATTGATGCCCTAGCCCCACCCCAGACCATTGTTTGCGAGTCAAGGTGAGTAGCACCTGGGTATCAGATTTTTTTAATTTTTGGGTGTGAGTTGAGGGTCAAGGACCACTGCCGTGTGAAATGCATGACTTGTATTTAAAAAAAAAGAAGAAAAGGGAATTAAAAATATCTAAGTAACGTAAGTGTTGTTAAACTTTTGTTTAGTCTTGGGTATATGTTGGCTTCTAATTGGTTGTGGTCAAAGTTTGAAAAACATTGTTTTAGAACCTTAGAGGTGTTTAATTAATACTGATAAATTTACCTCATTCAATATTTCTGTGTGCACATCTGCTGGACAGTTTTCAAAGTAGTTTTATATATCTTCTCAAATATGACTTTTGCTACCATCCCATGAGGCATAAAGAGCAAATATACTGATTTTTTTTTAACAGATGAAGAGTGATATGGTTTAGCTCTGTGTCTCCCACCCAAATCTCACCTTGAATTGTATAATCCCCACGTGTCAAGGGCGGGACCAGGTGGAAATAATTAAATCATGGGGGCAGTTTTCCCCATGCTGTTCTCATGATAGTGAGTGAGTTCTCTCGAGATCTGATGGTTTTTTAAGGGGCTTCTCCCATTGCTTGGCACTCATTCTCTCTCCTGAGAGAAAGATTTTTCTTTTCTCAATGTCTTGGAGGGTATAGGCTTCCAAACCATCTGGGTGGCAAATAAACTGTTCATATTTTCCTATGTGAGGAATATTCAATACCATATCAGAGCAATATTTTTTGAATGAGCAAATAATAATTATGATAAATGTTAATATACAATGGAGGTAATAGGTGACTTCAAAATTTCAAGACAAGTACACCTAGGGAAGACCCAAGGCTGGTTCACCTCTCTTTCCAGGGTGACCTGGTTCCTGACTTTAATCAACCCTCAGTTCCTAGGGCTGTAAGAATTTGAGAAAGACCAGAGCTAGGGTTATTGATTTAAGAGCTTTTTGTTGATTTTGAGACACAGCTAACAGTAGAGGTGGTGACATTTATCCTTTTCAGGTCCAAGATTAAAAGGAGCAAAGAAGAAGAAAAAAATCTCTATTCTCAAAGAATAGAGAATTGAGTACTTTCCAACAATATTGTGAAACTCTGTATTTGCCCTGTCCTTAACACCTGCTCTTTTGACTCCAAGAGAATACCAAAAGGTTCAAAATAAATCCGTAGTCAGGAAACTGGAGGTGAGCTACAAAACCAGGCGAAGATGGACATAAAATATACATACTCTGCTGAATAATGTCTATGGATCATAATTTTGGGAGAAATGACTGTTGGTGAAAACTATAAAGAGAATTTGGTAAATCTGTATAAAATATGGAAGAGCAGATAGTATATAGTCAGTGATGGAGTTTAATGGCTCTCAAATTAGAAAATTTATATTTTCCATGGTGAATTCATTCCAGAAATCCCATCTTAGCTTTTTTATTCCTGCACTTAAGCAAGATAAAGTCATTACTATTATTCCCTTGAGTTGTCAGAGACCCTGAGTACTTTAGAAAGTGGAATTAGTTTCATGGGCTAATACTCAATTGCCTGCAGTGCTAAAATGTTACCCAGATAGGTTCAAGAATGTCACTGAAACCAGGTGGCATTTCAAGAAAGTAGAAACTGATTCCGCAAATCTTGGTTTGATGAAGAGGTTCATGTTAATTCATGAAGTGCTAAAGGTATTTCTTGGATTGCATGGGTTTTTTTTTTTCCCCTCTTTAAAATATACTGAATAATGACTTGTTTATGACTTATATCTCTGGAACTATTGCCACCTTCTGAGAAGCTGCTGGTCTGAGGGTCTCAGACAATGTCTTTGTCTCATCTGGGATGTAAATATCTTAGATTTTTGTAGGTCTCAAGAATCAGTCTAACTCGGACACTTGGGAGGGAGAGGGAGAAAAAGGCAATAGATGTTGTTGGGGCATAAATGAAATAAGGCCAGAGCGGCAGAGGTGGGGTTCAAATAGGATATTTGTCAGTTCATTTACAGGGATATTTTTGGCCACTTAATAAGTACCCAACACTGCTAGATTCCTTGAGAGATGTAAGAGAAGCGTAAAGCACGTCTTTTTGTGCTTAAGGAGCCTAATACATTTGGAGTGTCTGCTTTTTTTTTCCATGAAGGAGAAAACTTTAGAACGTTTATAATTGTGTGTAGGACTCTGAGGCACTGGTAGTAGGTGCAGTACCCCTCAGTGTGAGACAGGGTAAAGTCAGTGGGAGCTCTTACAGTTTGAGTGTAATTCAGGAGAAACAACCTGAGTGAGATCTTGAAAGAAGAAGAATATCCAAAGAGGGGGACATTTATGATGGGAGACATAGCTTCTGCAATGGCACAGAGGCAAAAATCAGAATAGTATATGGTATGTAAGGCCCTGAGGAAATCACTTTATTTGGCTTCATTTTTCTTCGTATCACTTGGCACCACTTCACATGTATGTGTGTGTGTGTTTACTCCCTATCTTCTGCATTGGATTGCAGTGGTCAGCTACATAAGGAATACATAGAGCAGGACCTCAGATCTAGATTCCCTTTTGCAATTGGGTGTTTGCAGAAAGGAAAAAATTAAATCACTCATTGAAAAATATTTTTCAAGGGTCTACTTTACTATATGCTTGGTTGGCAGATTTCTAGGTACAGGAGATAACAGAGATGAACAAGGTCCCTGCCTTCATGCAACATATATTCTCTTGGGGGAGACAAACAATAAACAAGTAAATCAGGAAATGTATGATTTTAGGTAGTGAAAAATGCTATGAGGAAAAATAAATCAGGATAAGGGGAAAGAGAGTGCCAGTTTTAGGTAAGGGTAAGGTAAGGGTAAAATTTTAGATTAGCTCGCTTTTAGCTTCCCTAGAGAAGCCAAAGACCACTGAAGTCTTTGCTAATGGAGTTCCAGCTTTATTATATGCTCATCTTGTCCAGTGACCCTCTCAACAATATATGTACAGTGGACATTCAGCAAGTATTTCATAATAGTAATAACAATGGTCTTGCTAGACTTGAATTGGAGCACTTTTTTTCTCCTTTTTACTGTCTATAAAAGAAGCATGAATAGAAGAATTCTTCTATTACAGAAGAAGCATGAATTGCATAGGAGAGGACACACAGGTACTGTTGACAATAACACAGTGATCCATACATCCATCTCTGTGGAAAAGAAGATTGAACACAGCTGCATCAAAATGTAAAAGAAAATATTAAACTCTTTATAATTATGTGGCTGTGATACATCTCATGGCCTAGAGAACCATTGGGTCTAAATATTAACCAAATTCCAAAGGAGGTAATAATATATCCATGCATATGTAAAAGCATACAAAGACATAAAATAGCTACCATGTATTGAGCAATCACTGTGTGCCAGGCATTGTGCAATGTACTTTACTTGCATTACCTTTGGTCCCTGCAACAACCTTAGGAGGGAGATATCCCAGTACAAATGAAACAGAGATGAAGTGGCTAGTGCAAGGGCTCTTAAAGTTAGTGTCAGAGCAAAGATGGCAGATGCCTTGTTTGTGTGGGGGCATGAAATCGTGTTTGGAAATGCTGGTTTAATTAAGGGATTCCTTGGAGTGCATATCTAGCTTGGCATTACTCCAGGGTGGAGTTCCCTGTCTGTCCAGCTCAGCACTCTATCTAAGAAATCCTAGAAGCTGGGAATTTCTGGGGCTGGCTCTGAATTGATGTAAGTGGTTTCCTGAACCCACTGGAGGCATGGAGTGCATTGAACATTTTTTCACTATTTTGTATGCCTGTGAAACCACATACATGTCTGTCAGGCAGCTGCACGAGCCATTAAAACTTGGAAATGCTTAGCTTTTGGCTGGAAATGACAGTAGCTCAGTTTGGAGCCACTACCAGCTCAACTAAAGCTGACTCGGAACTCTGATTCTGTATATCTGTAAAAGATCTAGGTAATGAATATTGGAAGGATGTGAGATTTAGTAAACTTCCAAAGCATAGAGAACCAATAATGATCAACTTATTGTTACTGATAGTGAAAAGGTTGGGCAGTAGTGGATGATCTAGAGTGACAGTGAAGTTCTCCATGTGTTTAACTCCCTCATGTTGGCCCCAGAACCCACCCATGTTTCTAGAGAGGCAGGCTGGTCTCTTGGCACCTCTGTGACCTGGAAACAATGCCCTCAAAACCTCTGATCTACAACAGATTACATTTAATGAGCACATGTGTGCTAAGAGTTTTACATGTATTTCTCTCTCTCTTTCTTTCTCTCTCTCTCTTAAACTTTCTGTTATTGAAATTTCAAACAGGCAGAGGTAGACAATATGGTATAATAAATCCCCATGTGCCCATCAACCAATTTCAGTAATTATTAGCTCATGGCCAACTCCATATATATATATATATATGGATATATATATATATATCTTCAGATTATTTTAAAGCAAATCCCAGACATCATATTATTTGTGAACATTCTAAAATGTGTTTCCAAAAGGTAAGGACCCTTTTATTATAATTCTTTAAACTTCACAATAACACTGTTAGATATCACTATATCCCTATTTGACAGATGAAGGCTCTGAGACACAAGGAGTTTAAATTACTTGCCCCTGGTCACCCAACTTGTAACTGACGGAGTCAGGATTCAAATCCAAGTTGCCTAACTCCAAAGCCCATCTTGTTTACTGCCATGCTACATGGTTGCTACCAGACCCCACTGTTGTAGCTAATCCTTGCATTACAGAATTGGATCCTGGGATTAACAAACTCCCACGGACATGACTGTTGATTTCTATGAATTCAACCATTTTCCCATTGCTGCAAATTGGGTTCATTTAGGTACACAGGGACAGAATAGCTGTGAAAGGCCCGTCTGAAAGAAAGAAAGGACCAGCCTGAAATATTAATGGATTCTATTAGGGCAGCAAAACTGATAAAGCAGTCAAACCCTTCTTGTGATAGTGTTTTAAATCTTGGAGAAATCCACAATGAAAAGGACTTAATAGAAAATACGACTGTCATTGGGCCATAGCTGCCAAGGGAACTAAAAGGTTTCTTTTAAATGAATTCTCCTTTGGTTTTCTCTTGGCGGAAGGAATCAGCCGTCCCACTGAGTCTTTTCAGTTTGTTTCTAGCACAGCTAATTGTGTTTATTTGTCTCCGGAATCACATGCCTCTCTCCTCTCCCTTGCTTTTTCTTAGGGTCTCTTGCCTGCTGTGTACTGCTTTTACTGCCAGAAATGTTCTCCTCACCTGGGAGCCAGTTGGCTGCCAACACTGAGTAGGTACTGGGAGGCTGATTCTGCCTCTCCAGAGATCTGACCTGGCCTGGGTGTCCAAGATTGCCTTAGGGTAGAGGGAGAGATTGGATAAGCTGGCTACAAAAGGATCTGTTTTTTTTTTTTTTCCTCAGATGTGTCCACTTGGTCCATAACAGCATTAAGAACAGAGCAGACAGCAAGTAAATAAATCGTATTGACTAATTGATCAAGATAGCTTTGCTAGTTGATACGGTTTAGATCTGTGTCTCCACCCAAATCTCATGTTCAGTTATAATCCCCAGTGTTGGAAGTGGGGCATGGTGACTAGATCATGGGGGCAGTTTCTCATGGCTTCACATCATCCCCATTGAAGTTGTCATCCTGATGGTTCTCATGAGATCTGGTTGTCTAAAAGTATGTGACACCTCCCCACTCCCTCTCTTACTCCTGTTCCAGCATTGTGAAGTACTTGCTCCCCCTTTGCCTTCTGCCATGATTGTAACCTTCCTGAGGCCTCCCCAGAAAGTGGGCAGATGCCAGCATCATGCTTCCTGTACAGCCTGCAGAACCGTGGCCAATTAAACCTCTTTGCTTTGTAAATTACCCAGTGTCCAGTATTTCTTTATAACAATGAGAGAATGGGCTAATACACTAGTCAAGTTCAAGAAACTTTGGTTCTCCATTTTTCCTATCAAAACATCACATTGACTTTCCTGCTTAATAGTTTCCTTTGTCATTGGGATCACTGCACTGATATTTACTCGCTTCTTTCCTCCTCCTCCCCTCCCTCTTTTCGTTTTGTTTCGTTTCTTTCATTTCTTCTTTTGACAGGGTCTTACTCTGTTGCCCAGGCTGTAAGTACAGTGGTGTAATCATAGCTCACTGTGACCTTGAGCACCTGGGCTCAAGTGATCCTCTTGTTTCAGCCTTGTTATTAGGTAGGATTACAGTCACATACCACGATGCCCAGCTAATTTTTTGCAGGGTCTTGCTATGTTGGTGCCCAGGTTGGTCTTGAACTCCTGGGCTCAAGCCATTCTCCTGCCTTGGCCTCATAAAGTGCTGGGATTATAGGTATGAGCCTATAGGTATTTGCTTGATTCCTAAACCTCTGTTTCCTTTTCTTCCCCCTTACCTGTCCTGTCCCATCACAGAAGCCATATAACTGCTGGAGAACTTCCTAGCTCTTTTTTTAACCATCTTACTCATAGAGTTCTAGAAGATGGTAGTTGTCAGGATGCAATTGAAGAAAAGCCTAGAAATTCCACCTTTGGCTCTCTATGGGACATGCCAAGGAGGACCTCATTATTATTAGAGATAATAATTAATATAATATTATATTAATATAATAATATTAGAGATAATGAGGGAAATACATTTTCAGGGACAATGTATTTTATTTAAAGATATGTTATTGCAAATATTTTGAAATAGTTTTTTATTATTGATATGATCACTACTTTTTAAAAACGTTTAGTGGGAAAAACAGTAGACGACAAGTCACTTAGTTGTCTATAGTAGAGTCAGCTCGGGGGTGGCAAATATATGGCTCTGTGCCACTGTTCCCTCCTGAGCCCCACCTCCCTCAAGAGCTTGTGGCAGACATTGTAAATCCATAACACCTTGCCCTCTAAACTCCAGTCCAGGCCTGGAATGCTGCTCAACACGTGATTTCAGGAAGCCATTACCAAGCAATAGAGGTTGGCATGACAAGTGAAATCTATTTGCCATCTCCTAAATAAGTAGTCTATAAAGCCCTTCCTGCACTAAAATTCAGTGAGCTCTTTAGCCTGTGGTCATATTAGGTCCCTAACAGCTAGGGAGCAGATCTCCTCATTCATTGACATTACCACATAGATGCCAAACCCTCTCTGGAAAACAGAAGAGAAAGCAAAATTTTTTTGATTAATTTTTTTTTAAGATGCAGGGTCTCACTCTGTCACCTAGGTTGGAGTGCAATGGTGTGATCTGATCATAGCTTACTACAGCCTCCCCTCCTGGGCTCAAGTGATCCTCCCTCCTCAGCCTCCCAAGTACTTGGGACTACAGGTGCATGGCACCACTCCTGGCTAATTTTTATGTGTTTATTTATTTATTCTTTTGTAGAGACAGGGTCTGTGTTGCCCAAGCTGGTCTTGAGCTCCTGGGCTCAAGTGATCCTACTGCCTTGGCCTTCCAAAGCACTAGGATTACAGGTATGAGCCACCATGCCTGGCTGGGATGCTTTAAACACTGATGGTTCATGGAAGATTTGGAAGTTGCAACTCTCCCTTTGCAACTTATAGTAGGTCCTTCAGTGGTTTGTCAGTAAGACTAAATCAAATCATTCTTAAGGAAGAAAAATGCTAATGCAGTGCTGAAGGGGAAGAAAAGGAATTGAAACCCAGAGCCTGTCCTGTTCCTACTCTGGTATAGCAGTTGTATTAAACTGAATCTAGATTATGTGTAGTTTAATGAGATGGGAAAGCAAAAAACTTAGTGCCTGGTTATAACTAACTTGCTGTCACATAGTAGTTCTCTTTTGAAGAAATTTGGAGAGTATTAAGATAATGCGTATGAAGCATCAAGACTTCCTTGGTGAGGTTTTAAGTGTTCATGACCATATTTTAGACAATGTATTGGACAGCAGTAATGGCTTAGGCCAGTCCGTAGTCACCAAAATCATTGTGAGCTGGTAGGCTATGCAGGCAGAAGCTGTGTGGGCTGCTCCAGGCCTGCCTGTCTCTAAGAGGCTTGACAGAGGATGCCAGGCTGCTTTCTGGGTGGTTAAGATCAGACTGTGTATGCACTGGTGTGGTTTTCTCTTGTTTTAATCAACAGTACATTCTTTTGCAAGGAAAAGACAAACTGAGGCTCATTTTGGAATGCTCTGATTTCAGAGCAAGGACAGGCAGAGATACTTTTCCATTTTGGAAGTCTCAACTGAATATTGGATATGGGGTGAGGAAAAGCAGGAAGAAAAACCCATATAGGTTAGACAAAATATTAGATTAGCCAAGTATTTTTAAAGTATTTTCTAAAAATTAGATAAGATTTAGAGCTTACCCCCACCCCATTAATTGTATACTTTTGTCTAGTGATGCGTATGTAAAAATCATACTTAAGCTGAAATCACTTCTGGCTTACTGTTGTTCTTTATTTTCTGCATCTTTTTGGATGTCATATAAAAAGAGGCCCCCCAAATCATCATTTGCTTGTTATTTGGGAATGCGAAAGTAATTGAATTCTCTGGAGGGATGAGTGGTGGTTGAGGCTGAAATAGCAAGTTGGGAATGAATGCAACTTTTCAGTAGATACTATAATCCTTTGTCAAAGGGAGTGCTGGGGTGATGGAAATGAAACTGCAAGTGCTGACCTTGAATTTCTGGTAACATTGAGTGCTTGTCTCTTCCCAGCCCATGTGATCTATGGACTTGCCCAAATAGCTTCTTGCTGGTACTGTATCCTCTGTTTTCTAAAGGCACCTTAGGGACTTCAAAAGGCACACTTTTGCTTTAAAATGCATCGTATTTTAATGTTAACTCGATGGTAAACTTATATAATATTGGCTGTTAGACACTGAATAAGCTTAAAATGGAAAAGTGACACTTTCTCGACCTGCATTCATCTTACTCCTTGTAATTGCATTCATTTTTTTTCAACTTTAATTCAGAAATCTTAAGTAGTTGGCCTTTATTATTATTTTCAGTTTACGGCATTATTGGTACCAGAAGGATTGTGGTTTATTTTAAGTATATGATTCATTTAATCTGATGGGACTCAGGCTTGGACTGTCTGCTTTCCAGCCCACTTTGCCTCCAAGATCAATGCAACCTCAAAGAAGGAAAGTTTTAAGTTTTTTAATGGTGTTTATGATTGATGTACCTTGTTGATATTAATAACTGTATCTGCTACATTATAGCTTTGATTAATCACAGTCTTCAAGTAAACTGACTTGCTGACATATTCCACTTTAGAGAAAAAAATATCAAAACACAGGAAAATCAAATGCTATTAGGACTTTTGTTTAAGAGCAATTTCGCAGGGAGAACATCCTTGGGACTTGTTTAAGAAGCAACTTCCCAAAAGCCTAGGAAGTTTTGTTTAAGAGCAAAACTTAAAGGGGAAACTTAGTTTTGGTTAAGAGCAAAACTTAAAGGGGAAACTTAACTTCCCCTTTAAGTTTTGCTCTTAACCAAAACTTCCTAGGCTTACCATAGACACAGTCCTATCTTCTTCGCATTGGTATCTCTATTAGCCAAACTTTATATGGAAAGAGATAAAGGACCTGGACAAAATTATGTTCACTTACACATTTAGGAAAGTGGACTAATACATTGGTAGAATGATTTCCAATAAACGAGGTTGAAACAGAAAGCATTTCCTGAATAGCATAAAAGTTTAGGGTGTGGGCTCTGGAGCCAGACTACCTGGGCACAGATTCTGGCTCCACCACTTCCTGTCTGGATTTTGGGCAAGGGACTTCACCTGTTTCCTCATCTGTACAATAGCTAAAAATAGTAGATTCCATTTCATAGAGTTGAGAGGAGTAAATGTTTTATTTATTTAAGTCACATGCAATGACCTTAGAACCATGTGTAGTAGAGAGTAAGTGCTCAATATATGTAAGTCATTTTAGTAATTATCACTGGCAACTGGATAAAGAACAGTAACAGTGAAGAAGAAATGCTATATCTCTGGTTTCTGGCTTGAGCACCTGGGTGCAGCCATTTACTGAGATAGGAACAAGAAGCACAGGACAGAAGTAGGGTTAGTGGAAGAAGCTTGATTCTCTTTTGGTAGTGTTCATTTGAGGTATCTTTGTTACAGCTAAGCAGAGTTATCAAGTGGGCATCAAATATACCCCATTCCAGATATAACAAAATTTTGTGGAATATTATTCAACCTTAAAAAGGAAGAAAATTGGCCAGGCGCGGTGGCTGAGGCATGTAATCCCAGCACTTTGGGAGGCCGAGGCGGGCGGATCACGAGGTCAGGAGTTCAAGACCAGCCTGACCAACATGATGAAACCCTGTCTCTACTAAAAATACAAAAATTAGCTGGGCGTGGTGGTGTATGCCTGAAATCCCAGCTACTTGGGAGGCTGAGGCAGGAGAATCACTTGAACCTGGGAGGTGGAGGTTGCAGTGAGCTGAGATTGGGCCTCTGCACTCCAGCCTGGGCGACAGAGCAAGATTCTGTCTAAAAAAAAAGGGGGGGAAGAAAATTGACCAGGCATGGTGGCTTAAACCTGTAATCCCAGCACTTTGGGAGGCTGAGGTGGGTGGATCACCTGAGGTCAGGAGTTCGAGACCAGCCTAACTGATATGGTGAAACCCCTTCTCTACTAAAAATACAAAAATTAGCCAGGCATGGTGGTGGGCGCCTGTAGTCCCAGCTACTCGGGAAGCTGAGACAGGAGAATTGCTTGCACGTGGGAGGCAGAGATTGCAGTGAGCCAAGATCGTGCCACTGCACTCCAGCCTGAGTGACAAAGCAATACTCTTTATCAAAAAAAAAAAAAAAAAAAAAAGGAAATTCTGGCACATGCTATGACATGGATGACCCTTGGGGATATTATGCTAAGCAAAATAAGCCAGTCACAAAAGGAAAGCACTGTATGATTCCACTTATATAACGGACCTAGAGTAGTGTTCTCTGAATTCATAGAGACGGAAAGTAGAATGGCGGTTGCCAGGGGATTGGGAAGAGGGAGCCATGGGGAGTTGTTTAATGGATACAGAGTTTCAGTTTTGCAAGATGAAAAGAGTTCTGGAGATCGGTTGCACAACACTGTGAATTGATTTAACACTACTGAACTGTACACTTAAAATGGTAAGATGGTAAATTTTATGTTAGGTATTTTACTTTATTTTTATTTTTTGAGACAGAGTCTCGCTCTGTTGCCTAGGCTGGAGTGCAGTGTCGCGATCTCGACTCACTGCAACCTCCGCCTCCTGGGTTCAAGTGATTTTCCTGCCTCAGCCTCCCGAGTAGCTGGGATTACAGGTGCGTACCGCCACACCCAGCTTTCTTTTTTTTTTTTTTTTTTTTTTTTTGAGATGGAGTCTCGCTCTGTCCCCCAGGCTGGAGTGCAGTGCTGCGATCTCGGCTCACTGCGAGCTCCGCCTCCCGGGTTCACGCCATTCTCCTGCTTCAGCCTCCGAAGTAGCTGGGACTATAGGCGCCTGCTACCGCGCCCGGCTAATTTTTTTGTATTTTTAGTACAGATGGGGTTTCACCGTGTTAGCCAGGATGGTCTCGATCTGCTGACCTCGTGATCCGCCTGTCTCGGCCTCCCAAAGTGCTGGGATTACAGGCGTGAGCCACCGCACCTGGCCGCTATTTTGTATTTTTAAGAGATGGGGTTTCACCATGTTGGCCAGGCTGGTCTTCAACTCCTGACCTCATGAGATCCACCTGCCTTGGCCTCCCAAAGTGCTGGGATTACAGGCGTGAGCCACCCGACCCGGCCTGGATTTTTTTAAAGTGTGAGCAGAAAATAACATGTTAAGTCACAAGGTGATAAGTAGTACTATGGAAAACAAAGAAAAAGTAGAGCAGAGTTAGGTGTTGTGGAATGCCAGGGAGAGTAGAAATGCGGTATTAAATCAATAGGGTGGTTGGGAAGCCTCCTTGAAGAGGTGAGATTTGAGCAAAGACTGGAAGGAGTTGTTTGTCTCTTGGCTACTATTAAAATCTGTGTCTAAATCTGCCAGGGTCCACCCGTGGTATGGCAATGCTCAGTCAATAATCAAGCTGTGTATATCTTTTAAAGTACATATTCGTGGGCAGCTGTGGACGTGGACATTTCAACTCATTTGGAAAAACAATCCAGGCAGTCAGGTAGCACTTCACAGATTATAATCAGATATCATCTGAGACTTGAGGTTATGTTACAGTAAGGACAAATGGTTATTCTTATATGTGGCCTTTTCTAAAATCAACCTATAACCTAGAAACAAACACCAAGGGTTTGATTTCTTTAGTTATTCCAAAATTTGCATGTTGTTGTTTGTCCTGAGAAGTTGTGGTGCCTTGGGAGCTGAGAAAACGTACATTTTTCAATATGAGTTTTAAACGCCTTCATTAAGACTAGGATTTTCCAGGCTTCAACTGACCTTCCTGTCAACTTAAAGAGGGCAGCTTAAAAATCCTTACTTCATGTATTCTTTATTTGATGGATCATATGGCATGGAATGGTGAGCTGCTTATAAAAATCCTGTGACCTGGACATGTTTTATTACAAATTTATGAGGCTGGTATAAACAGGTATCAACTTGCTATCATTTAAGCCAATACTTTGTACTCACGAACAAACTGAAAGAGGTTTGCATCCTTGGATACTTGAACTGATTTTTCCACATATAATTTCTTAACCTCATTTTTCTAGGTCTAATAAAAAGAAGTATACTGAGCATAAATCTCTACTTTGGAACAGGAAAAAATCTCCCCCACCCTCCTCCTCCCACTGAACTTTGTGGGGAAATTAATATCTATGGATGGACAGGCACCTTTGCTTTTCCCCAATCCTGTCTTCTGGTCAAGAATTCTAAAGCTACAACACTAGCAGCAACTCAGAACACACATGGCTGTTTGTAACTCTCTTGCCAGGCCACATTTATAGAATAATTGCTAAGGTGACAGGAACTAGGTGGGGGAAGAGGAAACGGATTCTCTCTCTAAGTCCTTTCTACACTAATGGCAACAAGCATTGGTGGATTCAAAAAGCACAGCAATGGCTGGGTGCGGTGGCTCGGGCCTGTAGGCCCTATACTTTGGGAGGCCAAGGCGGGTGGAATGATTGAGCCCAGGAGTTCAAGATCAGCCTGGTCAACATGGTGAAACCCCAGCTCTACAAAAAGTATAAAAATTAGTCAGGTGTGGTGGTAAGTGCCTGTAGTCTCAACTACTCAGGAGGCTGAGGTGGGAGAATAGCTTGAGCCCAGAGGTTGAGGCTGCAGTGAGCTATGACTGTGCCACTGCACTCCAGCCTGGGTGAGATCTTATCTCAAAAGAAAAGAAAAAAAGCACAGCACCAATCTCAGAAATTGCCCCCTACTCCAATTTTTGTTAACATTCTTATCCACCCAATGTTTGATTTCTTTTAGTTCTGAACACAATTCTTATAAAATTACTGGCATAAATGTAATATTTTGGGTGATTTAACAAGAAAGGAGGAGAAATATTTTCCTTTATCTTTATGCATACACAGCTCTCTATGGGCATTTAGCCTCAGCTGGTTGTTGAGCTCAGGGTATACCCTAAACATTTAGTTTCTCCCACATACATTAGAGAGCCCCATGAAAATACATAAATAATAACACATGAGAATGTAGCAGCCATTAGGTGTATATTATTGTCATAAGATATATATCATTAGATAATGATAGCAGTACTTGGTAGCAAAAGGAGAGTTTAGTGGATTCAACAGATGTTTGTTGAGGGGCCACTCTGGCAAAAATCTGTGCTAGGGTCTAAGCAGGGAGGTACCATACAACACAATACTTGCCCATAAGAAACTTATGGCCTACTTGGGAATACTCAGGTAACTACAGAACAAGGTTGTATATGGTAGCATCATTTAAGTGATACAAACTGGAGGATGCAGGAGAATGGATGGAAGAAGATATTGCTTTGACCAGGTGAGTTGGAAGTCATGGAAGAATTGGCATGTGAGAAGTGCCTTCAGGGACAGATAAGGTTTTCTGACAGGAAGCTATTCCAGGTAAAGGCAACAACCTGGGCAAAAGTCTATAAAGGAATCCCCTTCTAGTCATATACATATCCAATAAGACATGGGCAAGACTAGACTGCAGCCTAGGGTGTCGGAGCAAATCACTAGAAACAACCTCCATGTCCATCCACAGGAGGATGAACTAAAGAATTGTGGTATATTCATACAGTGGAAGTAGTCAGCAAAGAAAATGAGTCAACTAGAGAATAGCAACTAATGTGGAAAAACACAAACGTAGATTAAATGAAAGAAGAATGTTAGGTACAAAATTTGTATCAAGGTTAAAAATATCCAAAAAAATCTTATTTATAAATTTCATGTGGTTTTATTGTATCATTATATGTAGATATAACTATAATTTCAAAATGTTTTCATGTGAAAACAGTGGGAATGAAAACCACCCACAATGCATAGAGACTGCCAGTGGGGAGGGTGGGAAGGGAATGGGTAGACATAGGAAGCTACGTTTCAGTTGAATCCATTTTTTTTTAAGACAGGGTCTCACTCTGTCACCCAGACTAGAATGCGGTGTCACTATCATGGCTCACTGCAGCCTCAATCTCCCAGGAGCAAGCAGTCCTCCCCCTTAGCTGGGGCCACAGGCACATACTACCATGCTCAGCTAATTTTCTAAAAGTTATTTTGTAGAAACAGGATCTCCCTATGTTGCCCAGGCTGGTCTCAAACTCCTGGGTTCAAGTGATCAGCCTCCCAAAGTGTTGGGATTATTGGTGTGAGCCACTATGCCCAGGTAATTGTATCTGCTTTAGAGAGAAGAGGACAAACAGATAGATACACTAATATATTTATAGACACATATAAACACATATACTATGTACATATCTATTTTAAGATCTAAAGTAGACATCACGTTAACGTGATAAATGTTACGTTATTCTCTACACTCTTCTACATACTTGAAATATTTCATAATATAAAAATGAAGGAGAAAGTCACAGTTCAGGTTTAGGAATAGCAAATGGTATAGAACAGTGATTCTCAAACCTTAACATGACCCTTGGCAAGAAATACATTTTATTTTAGAAACCAGGAATTCGGCCGGGCGCGGTGGCTCACGCCTGTAATCCCAGCACTTTGGGAGGCCGAGGCGGGCGGATCACGAGGTCAGGAGATCGAGACCATCCCGGCTAAAACGGTGAAACCCCGTCTCTACTAAAAATACAAAAAATTAGCCGGGCGTGGTGGCGGGCGCCTGTAGTCCCAGCTACTTGGGAGGCTGAGGCAGGAGAATGGCGTGAATCCGGGAGGCGGAGCTTGCAGTGAGCCGAGATCCCGCCACTGCACTCCAGCCTGGGCGACAGAGCGAGAGTCCGTCTCAAAAAAAAAAAAAAAAACCAGGAATTCCATGACAGTACTTATCCTTAATATACTGGATGTACTCTAACATGTTAATATTTGCTCTTTTATTCTGCATGATATCAAGCAGTGGTTGATGCTTACAGATGCAGATAAAGGCTAGGTCCTGGAAGGCTTTGACGGTCAGGCTCAGGAATGTAAGCTTTAGTTGGCAAAGAGGAAAGGCCCACTGGTGGCTTTGGGGCATGTTATGTGAGCTAAACTTTAGCTAAATCAAAAAAGGTGGAACTGAGGCCAGAGATTGGATGATCCAAAATCAGTCAGGAGGTTATCACCATTAGTGTAACTGGAACAGGGTATGGGTCTGCAGGGGAAGTGAAAAAAAGGGACAGGTTTTGCATTTGCTGTGATTAAAAATAATACAGATAATATGGATTTGATGACTGGGGTTTCAGGGAAGCGGGAGGGAAATGAGACAAATTTCACTCTTGATTTCAAGGCTTGATGCCTGAGAGATTGGTTACATCAATAACAACTATGTATATCAGGAGAAATTTGGTTTTAAACACTATGTTTAAGGTGCTGATGGGGACATCTACACATACGTAGTGAAGCCATGGCTGAGGTTAAAAGGAATGCATAATGGTTTCACAATGTACTATGGCTTTCTATAGCAGTACACAGTACCTGGTGAGGGAAAAAATGAAAGGTGTAATCAAGGTGGGGCCAGGCAGGCAGACCTAGCAAAGGTGTGGCGGGTGGAGGGTGAGGAGTGCTGGTTAGGGCAGAGTGAAATGGCTAGCACTGGGTTGGGTTTGTATTGGGATGGCAGTGAGTCCAAATGCAATGGGTCACTGAGAGAAGAAGAGTTGAGAGACTAGAGGTTATGAGACACCCAAAAAGTATCTTTAGCAGGTGTGATGAAATATTACAGGTGGAAGTTAGGAGTGTTGTAATCAAGGAGGAGGAATTTCAAACCTGAAATCTTGGAGCTAAAATAATTCTAAGTTAGAAAAAGAATACTATTCTGAAATTCATATGGAAACAAAGAGCCTAAATAGTGAAAGCAATCCTAAGCAAAAGGAACAAAGCCAGAGGCATCACATTACCCAACTTCAAAATACTACAAGGCTATAGTAACCAAAAGGCTACAGTAGCATGGTACTGGTACAAAAAAAGACACACAGACCAATGGAATAGAGAACCCAGAAATAAAGCTGCACGCCTACAATCAACTGATCTTTGATAAAGTTGACAAAAATAAACAATGGGGAAAGGATATCCTATTCAATAAATGGTGCTGGGAAAACTGGCCAACCATATGCAGAAGAATGAAACTGGTCTCCTACCTATCACCATATACAAAAATTAACTCACAATGGATTAAAGACTTAAATGTATGATATGGTTTGGCTGTGTCCCCACCCAATCTCATCTTGAATTGTAGCTCCTATAATGCCTACGTGTTGTGGGAGGGACCCGTTGGGAGATAATTGGATCATGGGGGCAGTGTCCCCCATACTGTTCTCGTGGTAGTGAATAAGTCTCACAAGATCTCATGGTTTTATTAGGGGAAACCCCTTTCACTTGAGAGGGGGAAACCCCTCTCATTCTCTCTCTACTGGCTGCCATATAAGACATCCCTTTTCTCTTCCATCGTCTTCTGCCATGATTGTGAGGCCTCTCCAGCCATGTGGAACTGTGAGTCAGTTAAACCTCTTTACTTTATAAATTACCTAGTCTCAGGTATGTCTTTGTCAGCAGCATGAAAATAGACTAATACAATGTAAGACCTCAAACTATAAACATCCTTCAAGAAAATCTAGGAAGTACCCTTCTCGACATAGGCCTTGGGGAAGATTTATAACTAAGTCCTCAAAAGCATCTGCAACAAAAACAAAAAATTGACAAGTGAGACCTAATTAAACTAAAGAGCTTCTGCAAAGCAAAAGGAAAACTATTGGCCATGCACCATGGCGTATGTCTGGAATTCTAGCACTTTGGGGGGCAAGGTGGGTAGATTGCCTGAGCCCAGGAGTTTGAGACCAGCCTGGGCAACATGGTGAAACCCCACTCTCTACAAAAAAATACAAAAAATTAGCTGGGCATCTGGTGTGCGCAGGTAGTCCCAGCTACTTGAGAGGCTGAAGTGGGAGGATCACCTGAGCCTGGAAAGGTTGAGGCTACAGTGAGCCATGATCACACCACTGCTCTCCAGTCTAGGTGACAGAGTGAGACCCTGTCTCAAAACAAAAAAGAAACTTTCAACAGAGGAAACAGACAACCTACAGAATGGGAGAAAATATTCATACATTATGCAGGGGTCTAATATCCAGCATCTATAAGGAACTTTAAATCACCAAGCAAAAAACAACTCAATTAAAAAGTGGGCAAAGGAAATGAGCAGACACTTCTCAAAAGAAGACAGACAAGTGGCCAAAAACATATGAAAAAATGCTCAACATCACTAATCATTAGAGAAATGCAAATCAAAACTACAACCAGATACTATCTCACACCAGTCAGAATGGCTATTATTTAAATTAAAAAAAAATAACAGGTGTTGGTGAGGCTGCAGAGGTTAGGGAACGTTTATACAGTGTTGGTGAGAATGTAAATTAATTTCAGCCACTGAAGAAAGCAGTTTGGAGATTTCTCAGAGAACCAAACACAACTACCATTTGACCTAGCAACCACATTACTGGGTATGTACTCAAAGGAAAACAAATTGTTCTACCAAAAAGACACATGTACTCATATGTTCATCACAGCACTATTCAAAAATAGCAAAGATCAACCTAGGAATGAACCTCAGTGCCCATCAACAGTGAATTGAATAAAGAAATTGTGGTATGTACACATAATGGAATACTGTGGAGCTGTAAAACAGAATTTGCAGCAACATTATCTTAAGTGAATTAATGCAGAAACAGAAAACCAAATACCACATGTTTTTACTTATAAGTAAGAGCTAAACATTGGGTATACATGGACATAGAGAAGGGAAAAATAGACACAGGACTACAAGAAGGGAGAAGGAGGGACCGGGGCAAGGTTGAAAAACTACCTGTTGGGTACTATGCTCACTACCTGGATGATGGACTCAGTCATACCGCAAACCTCAGCATCATGCAATATACTCTTGTAACAAACCTGCACATATACCTCCTGAATAGAAAAGAAAAGTTGAAAAATTTTTAAAATGAAGTAATTCTGAGTGATAAACAATCACAACCTTTGTAGATACTACAGGTTAGGCAGGTAGGTAATTGTAATATCATGGAGATGAAAGCTGTAGCTTTGTGATAGTTTACAATTACTGATCTGAACTGAGTAGATTGACTTTTCAAATGAAGCTCTTCTATGGAATAACTAATGATTTTTTTTTTTGAGACGGAGTCTCACTCTGTCACCCAGGCTGCAGTGCAGTGGCACAATCTTGGCTCACTTCTCTGCAACTGATTATTAATTACTACTTCTAATTACAGAAAAGGCCACACTGGGAAGTGGAGCAGGGTCTTCAGGGGTGCCCTTAGGAAAGAGCCCTGATGGGATGTCTTGGGAGAGAAGGCTCTGGATAGTGCTCCTGGGTCACTACAGTGAGCCAGGATTCCTAGTCCATCAGCAGCTCAGAGATGGACAAGCACTATCTTCTCATCTAATACTTCCTTTTCATTCACAGCTGATAGATGTTCTTTCACAAAGACGCAGTCAGTTGGCTGGACTCTTGGGACACGGGTCAGAATTATTGGGGTCTGCCCATACCTTATTGTTGATTTGGTTTAGGGCTTTGAATAGGTCACTTAAATTCAGTGTACCTCAGTTATTCTCACAATCAAGTAACACAAGCTAAAATCTTTGAAAAAATATTTTGAATAACTTCCTTATGCAACCCAATGAATTTCACAATTTAATATAAAGGAAGACACATGTATAGCCAGTTATAGCATAATGCTAAGAGGATGCTATAAACTGAAGTGTCTCCCCAAATTAATATGTTGAAATCCTAACCCCTAATGTAAGGATATTAGGGGGTGGGGCCGTTAGGAGGTGATCACCTAGATCAGGGATCCCCCAACCCCCAGTACCTGTCTGTGGCCTGTTAGGAACTGAGCTGCACAGCAGGAGGTGATCAGTGGGCGAGTAAGCAAAGCTTCATCAGTATTTACAGCCGCTCTGCTTTGCTGGCTTTACTGCCTGAGTTCCTGTCAGATCAGCAGCAGCATTAGATTTTCATAGGCGTGCCAATCCTATTGTGAACTGCACATGCAAAGGATCTAGGTTGTACTCTCCTTATGAAAATCTAATGCCTGATGATCTGTTACTGTCTGCCATCACCCCAGATGGGACCGTCTAGTTGCAGTAAAACAAGCTGAGGGCTCCCAGTGATTCTACATTATGGTGAGTTGTATAATTATTTCCTTATATATTATAATGTAAAAATAATAGAAATAGGCTGGATCCGGTAGCTCATGCCTGTAATCCCAGCGCCTTGGGAAGCCAAGGTGGGCGGGTCACTTGAGGTCAGGAGTTTGAGACCAGCCTGGCCAACATGGCGAAACCCCATCTCTACTAAAAATACAAAAATCAGCTAGGTGTGGTGGTGCATGCCTGTAATCCCAGCTACTTGGGTGGCTGAGGCACAAGAATGGCTTGAGCCTGGGAGGTGGAGGTTGCAGTGAGCTGAGTTGGCATCACTGCACTCCAGCCTGGGCAACAGAGCAAGACCCTGTGTCAGGAAAAAAAAAAAAAAGCAATAAATGTAATGGGTTTGAATCATCATGAAACCATACTCCTCAACCCCCAGCCCCCATACGTGGAAAAATTGTCTTCCATGAAATTGGTCCCTGGTGCTGAAAAGGTTGGGGACCACTGACCTAGATGAATGCCTAGATGAATGGTATTACTGCCTTTATAAAAGAAACTCAGGAGAGCTCCCTTGCCTCTTCTGCCATGTGAGGACATAACAAGAAGACAGTCATGTTTGAACCAGAAGTGGGCCCTCACTGGACACCAAATCTGCTGGTGCCTTCATCTTGGACTTTTGCAGCCTCTAGAAACTGTGAAAAATAGATTTCTGTTGTTTATAAGCCACCTAGTCTTTGATATTTCCTTACAGCACCCTGAATGGACAAAGACAGAGGGCTTAATAAGACATGATGAGTTCTACTTCAGGCTGTCGCTAAGCTTCACAGGGGAGGGGTTATATCTGAGCCTGAATTTGAGAGAGAAGTGGGTTTTGCCAGGCACAGCAGGCTACAATAACATTGGCGATGTCAAGTGTGTGGCTTGTTCAGGCAATCAGGACAGTCTGTTCTGCCTTTTGTATGCAACAAGAATAAAAACGAGTTCTAACAGTGCTCCAGTGTTATTTTACATTATGTTTCTCTGCCTGGCCCCTCCTTTTCCTAAGTCTTTGCTTAGGCATTCTTGGTCATAAAAATGACAAATGGTAGGAGATGATAGACCAAAAACAAGCTGATGGTTAGAAATTCAGCCAGCAATTTAAATATTGGTGCGGATACCTAGCAAGTGGATGAACCACACAAATAAATAAGATCCAACTCAAATGGTGTTTTCTTTTGAAAACCCACATTTTCGTTTTCTTAGATCTCACTGGTTTTTACCTTTAGAAGCAGGCAAAGGATAGTCATTCACTTTGTTTTTGAACAATGATCTATTGACACATTCTGGGGACATCTTTCCTCTGACTGTTTGCTGATAGAAATAAAGCATAGGTAAGCCAGTGTTCCTGTCTCCAGAGGCTTGCAATTCAATAAGCAGAAGAGAGAAGGCTCTCTACACACACAGTAGTGAAGTAATGGGCAAGCCTGATGTTCTCCTTACCAAAATATGTGGAATAGATAGATAAGGGTTGGGGGCGGGGGAGGAATCAAGATGGCCTGGAGAAGGCTTTGTGGTGATTTGGAATTGAACTAAGGCCTTGGAGATATCTAAGGAGAAATGAAGAATAAAGTGACTTGCTTGACTCTTTATAGCAAATAAAATTGCTGGGTCTTAGAACCACCAGGAGAGTGTACTGTTGTCACTGCAGAAGAGTTAATGTTTAATTGCTAGGGAACACAGCTTTCTTTATATGGTGCTCCAAACTCTAGCTCGATTTGTTATCTGATTTTCTGCTGTGGAAAGGGCATTTCCAAGATTGATTTCCTGCCAGTGGAAATGAGCAGCTCTCTTCACGTTCACCCGGGTTGGCCCGGGTCCCAGCTG
The DNA here is from genome assembly GCF_000001405.40 of Homo sapiens. NCBI lineage: Eukaryota > Metazoa > Chordata > Mammalia > Primates > Hominidae > Homo > Homo sapiens. Next base: position 52,389,871 of record NC_000006.12, read on the forward strand.
GTTTGCAGATCAGTGATGAAGCTTCCTGCCGGTGAGAAGCTAGATCTAGTTGAGAGGTTGCCTGACTGAAGCCAAACCACACCTAACGAAGCCGATAGTTACACTCATGTAGAAAGTCCAGGGAGACACCTGTCCCTAGGCTTTAATTAGTGGGAGTTTCAGACAGCAAAGTTTACCTTTACTCAAACAAGAAGCCTCAGAAGAACATGATCTTCACACCTGAACTGTTGATTGCCTGGAGACTGCTCAGTGTGTTCTCCCAGTAAATTGTTCCCAGCTCCTCTGACTTCTCCCACTCGACAGATTAAACACAGATACTATTTATTCCATGTGGCAGATGCATTCTCTGTCTGTAATGATGCATTTTGAAACCAGTACTTTCTCAAGTGAGATTAGCTGAGATGTGGAAAGTATAGGAAGTGACAGAACAGACAGAAATTCTAGCTAGAGGGTTCTAGTTAGATAAAGAGAAAAAGGCACTCAGAGGAAATTTGCTCTGCTCATCTTTCCCAGGGCACAGCAACAAATTAAGGCTGTCTTTTCTTTCTCCTCTTAGGAATATTATAGGGCACCACAGAGGAAAAGATTCATAAGTGGAGAGCTCACTGAGCCCAGAAGGACACATCTTGCTGCCAGATCTGTGGCAAAAAGGTGTACCTTACTTTTTTTTTATAGGCACGGTTCAGCCGTACCACAAACCCACATGGTCAGGAAGTGACTCACGTATTAATGCCGTTTGAGTTTGTGTGCTGTGGGGAAGGTCTTTTGACAATATTGTGTATACTGGCTTTTCCAATCTAAGAGAACATCTTTGCTGCATTAACAGTAGATGTTACATATTTTTTTCCCTTTAAACCCCCCATGACCAATAGCTTACCCTATGGCAAGTATAGTTAGGTTACTCGTAATAATTAATTTGGTATGCTAACTAGTTGAGCTCACAGAAAAATGCAAGTATGGGTGTATTCCTTTATAATGCTGGGGTGTTTCTTGGGGAGGGTCTTAATATTTTACCAACTTAGGTTTTACCAATTTTTGCATATTTATGTCAAATATTCCTATTTGCAGAGTAGTACTAACTTTTGCTTTCCAATTACAAAAGTAGTAAATGTTTGTTGTTAAAAAGTACGATAATGATAGTATTTCCAGAAGAAAAGTAAAATTCCCCACAATCCCTTCATGGCAATAGCTATATTGTTTTGATTATATGCACTTCCATACTTCATCTGTACCATGTTTGTATGATTACAAAAATAGGGCTGGGCGGAACACATACTTTAAATTTGTTTTTTCCTTTACATGTCTTTGACTCATTTATTCATTCAAGAAATCTTTTTTGAGAATGTACAATGTGCTAGTCCATCACTTTTCTAAGTGCAGTGGAGACTACAGTGAAAAACCAATGGAGCTCACATATCATGTGTATCTTTGTATAACAATAAATGTAAATATGCTAGTTATTTTAATAAGTGCATAGTATTCTATTTTATAGATTTATCTTAATTTACACAATCAAATACTCCATTTTTGGATGTCGAAATTCTGTTTGTTAGGTTTTGTTAAATATAGGGAGGAAATATGCACTGACCATTGGTGAATCTGAATCGATGTTCAAATGATCTCTGCTAATAACAGGATTGCACTGGTAGTGCCATTCTTTCAAATATGACTTTACAAATAGTGATATGCTCCTTGGAAGATGTAGCTATAAAGATCAGTATGAGCCCAGAGTTCTCTCACTTAACGACTATGGAGATCCTGAGGCATGTGAGACTGTTTCCAACTCCACCTCTGGCTCAAAGGCTGCTTAAAGCACAGTTCCAGTCCTTATAAATGGACACCAAGTTGTCATTTTGGCTGCTATTCCTTTGCAGCCATTTATAATTATGCAGTGATGTGTGAAGCTGGGCTTCTGTGAATTCTGGAAGCATTTCTTTTGCCTTTGATAGGAATTGCTGCTCATTTGTCCTCTATCCAACAACCAGCAGGTCACTTTCCTACCATCTGTGTGAGTCCCACACACAGTGACATGAAGTGATGTCACAGGATCTGTTTGTTGGTGATTCCAGCATGCTGCTTGATGTTCAGTACAAAGCAAAACATAGCCCAGATGAATTACAGAATTTTACAGTATTAGAGCTTATATAGATTACACCCCCATCTTAAGGACAAGGGCACCAAGGCATAGAGAGGTTGAATAATTTGCTTAAAAATCACTTAGAGCACTTTGGGAGGCCTAGGCGGGCAGATTGCCTGAGCTCAGGAGTTCGAGACCAGCCTGGGCAACACGGTGAAACCCCGTCTCTACTAAAATGCAAAAAAAACTAGCTGGGTGTGGCAGTGTGCGCCCTTAGTCCCAACTACTCGGGAGGCTGAGGCGGGAGAATTGCTTGAACCCAGGAGGCGGAGGTTACAATGAGGCAAGATCGCGCCACTGCATTCCAGCCTGGGTGACAGAGCGAGACTCCATCTCAAAAAAAAAAAAAAAAGTGTCACATAGTGATAGAGCTAGAACTAAACATTGGGACTTCTAATTTCTTGCCCAGTGTTCTTTCCAGGGAATCAGCTATTCCAAGTTTGTGGTAGATTCACATAGCATCCTTGTAATAGGTCAGGAAACACTATTGCTTTGGAGTGCTTCTATTTGTCATCCAGATAAAATGTCTTCAGTACCAAACAATGCCAGTTTCCCAAATATGGAGCTTTTCTTTAATTCCCCACTTTGTTAATTTGGGAAAGGCTTTTTAGGTAGCTTGCTATATGCATAGCAGATTTAGTGATCTCATTGTCATTGTGCTTTCCATTAGTAGGCTGATAAATGACCTCAGGTTTATGATTGGAATGTCTCACTACACCAGTTCTGTAAAGCTAGCCACAACAAACCATGTGTCTCTTTAATATGAAAGAAGCCCATCAGATTTATGATCATATTTATCTGGGCTAATAGACCTATTTGGATTATTTGATAGATTCCACTCAGATTTTGTGGAAGTCACATTTTATTCTCTTAGGGAGTATTGGAATCTGATTTACAAGTAAACTCAGTGTCAAAGATCTGAGAAACTTTGCAGTACTGATTGTTTTTGTAAGGCCAACTGCAAGTTATTTTTGTTAATGAAGCAAAGCAGTATTGCAGCAGCATATTTGAAGTTGTATATCAAAAAATATTGGGGTTTAGTCATAGAGGGCATTTTTTGAGGCATAGTGGTTAAGAACGCAGACTTTAGAGTCAACTGCTTAGTCACCTCCTGGATCTATCACATACTGTGCAGCCTTGGACAAGTTATGTAATCTCTCTGTAACTGTTTCCTTATCTGTGAAATGGGAATGATAATAGTACTGGTGTCAGGTATTGTTGGGAAGTTTAAATAAGTTAATATTTTCAAAGCACCCAAAACACTGTCTGGTATGTGCTAAACATCATATAAGTGTTTGATACTATTATTCTGACACTTTCTCTCTCTTTTTTTTTTTTTTTTTTTTGAGACGGCGTCTTGCTCTGTTGTCCAGGCTGGAGTGCAGTGGCATAACCATGGCTCACTGTAGCCTCAATCTCCTGGGCTCAAGTGATCCTCCCACCTCAGCATCCTGAGTAATTGGGACTACAGGTGTGCGCCACCATGCCTGGCTAATTTTTAAATTTAGAGATAGAGTCTTGCTGTGTTGCCAAGGCTGGTCTTGAACTCCTGGGCTCAAGCTATCCTCCCCGTTCGGCTTCCCAAAGTGCTGGGATTACAGGTGTGAGCCACTGTACCTGGTCGATTTGGACACTTTCCATTCATTCATTCATTCGTTCATTCAGTGATTTCTTGGAATATCAATGTGATAGGCACAATGCTAATGATAAAAATATTCTCAGCCCTCAAAGGATCTTGCAGTTTAGTGGTCAGAGAGACATATAATGCAAACCATGTAGGCATACAGTAAGGAAAGTCCTATAATGAAGGACTTTAAGTGCAGTGGCAGTTAGGTGAAGGAGCACCTGAGGGGAAGCCTTCACAGGGACCATTTGAGATGGGACATGAAGCATGAGTAGGAGTTGGCCAGTGGACATCAGTGGTGTGGGCATTCCAGGCATGCATAGAAGCACAAAGTCCTGAGAGGATGGCAGAATAACTGGAACACAAAGTGTCAGAGTGGGAGATGCTTTGGGGACAGTTAAAGAGACGCACAGGTAGGGGACCAGGAAGGCCTCCTGTATCCTACAGAGGTTCCTGTGAGAGATAATAAGGACTCAAATTCAGACAGGGGCCAATGAGAGGGAACCCAGCAGATGGAGGAGTTGGCCAGGAGCAGTGAGTGCAGTGACACGGTTACACCTGTTTCTCAGGTGATAGGAGACGTGCCCAGGTGCTGCTCTGCTTATCGATATAGTTCCTCTCTGAAAGTTAAATGGTCTTTTATGGGTACTTCACGTATTTTTACTGTGTTTTCAGGGGATAACAACTATCACCAAAAACGTGTCATTTCATTGTTTTATTGAAAGTTACTGAAAAGGAAATGCATTTTAGGTAGTTTCCATCAGTCAGAACTACGAAAACAAAACCAAACCTTAAGAATACAGATGATCCCCAACTTAGGATGGTGTGAAAGTGATACACATTCAATAGAAACCATACTTTGCATTTGGGGTTTTGATTTTTTCCAAGGCTAGTGATAGGTGGTGAAATACTCTAGCAATTCTGGGCAGCAGCAGTAACCTGCAGCTCCCAGTCAGCCATGTGATCTCAAAACAACCAGTACCCTACGGTGTCCTCTGTTGCCAGATGACTTTCCCCACCTGTAGGCTAAGTGTGTGTTCTGAGCACATTTAAGGTAGTGTAGGCTAAGAGTGGTTACGTTCAGTAGATTAGGTGCATTAAATGCATTTTCAACTTAAGACGTTTTCAACTTAACAATGGGTTTACTGGGCTATAACCCATCATATGTCAAGGAACATCTGTATTTAGCTTAGTTCTGTGATTTACTTTTAAAAAGAACACCTAAATGCACAATTTTTGGCTAAAATGTCAGATTTTTAACCATGAACTTGGGATTTTTACCCCATTTTTCTCTTTCCATTAAAAAAAAAATTTGAAAGGCGCTTCTAAGATAAATTTTTAAGATTAGATCCCGGCCGGGCACAGTGACTGACGCCTGTAATCCCAACACTTTGGGAGGCTGAGGTGGGTAGATCACCTGAGGTCAGGAGTTTGAGACCAGCCTGACTAATATGGTAAAACTCTGTCTCTACTAAAAATTCAAAAAATTAGCTGGGCATAGTGGCATGCACCTGCAGTTTAGTCCCAGCTACTTGGGAGGCTGAGACAGGAGAATTGCTTGAACCCGGGAGGCGGAGGTTGCAGTGAGCCAAGATTGCGCCATTGCACTCCAGCCTGGGCGACACAGCGAGACTTCGTCTCAAAAAAAAAAAAAAAAAAAAAGATTAGATCCCTACATAATGCAAGGCATTATTCAACATTTTTTAACACTTTCTTATAAACATTAAGTGAATTCATGGTACATATACTCAGTAAATAGAACTTTTAATTCCAATTCCATTATAATCTGACTCTAATTAAAAATCCTTAAAGGAGATAGGGGAGTTCAAATATCCCACTGCTCTAGATGTGTCCAAATGAATGTCCTCCATGGGCACTTCAAACTCAACATTTTCAAACATGTCTTTCAGCCCAGACCTGACCCAGGGAGGCAGTATTATGATGATTCCCAGGAGTGTTACAAAACAAATAATATTCCTTTTTGATTTTAAAAAATTGCATTAAAATCAATTATAAGGTAGAAAATACGTGTGGATAGATTTATTTTTACTAAGTTATATCCTTCAGTGGGCTCTTTATTTGAAATATTACTAGGACTTTATGTACATGTTTTGCCTCTTGAAAGTACTATTCCATTACTGACCATTTTGTTATTATTCATTCTGTTTTCTTCCTAAAAAGTGGATAGACAGGAAATCACCTCCTCTCACCCACCCACCCTTTTTTATGAGGACAATGACACTGAGTAATTGATTGTCTTAGGCATAGCCACACACCTGAGTAGAGCAAATACTAATAGCCAGACTTCCTGACTCCCAAACCATTACTTCTTTTTTCCTTCACCTTTGCAGAAGAGAAAGAAATTGGTGCCATGAGCCTGGGCCTAAAGAACTGTTCATTCAGTAAATAATTATAAGGTGTCTTCTATATGCCAGATATTATTTTCAACATGGGGACTTCTGCACCTAACAGTCCCTGCCTTTAAAGGAGCTGGTGGCTAATGGGAAAGTAAGTGGAGTAAACAAACGAACCCAGCTCCATGAATGAAGAAAACTGGGAGAGGCAAGGCCAGAGTCTAATGAAGGCTGGAGAGAGCCCTAAGCCAGTCTGGGAGTTAAGAAAAGCTTCCTGGTGGAGCCGACTTCTAGTTAGAGTGTTGAAAATGACCCAGAGTTGCTGGGCTAGAGGGTACTGAGTTTGCATGCATGGGAGATAGAGTGTCAAGAACTCCCAGTATTAAGAGTATTAAGATCTGGGCCAACAAATTGGCCTTAGAGGTATGGGCTCTGGGAGAGGAGGCTGGAATAGGAAGGAAAACAGAGAAAGGATCTGTTTGAATAATTAGGGCTTAGAATTTGTATTGTAAACAAACAATGGTGAGCTGTTGAAGAATTTTGAGGAGGGAATGATAATCAGATTTCCATTTTTAAACTGTTGCCCTGAAGTGATTTGGAGAATGAAGTGAGGGTTGGGGATGTGAGTTAGGAGAGCCATTATTGATGATGAAAGGTCAGTTATGAGACTGCTATTGTCATCATTAACATAAGTTAATTTTGAAGACCTAAATTAAGGGAGAGCAGTAGAAATGGAAAGGGCAAATGGCTTCCAGAAATGTTGAGATAAAATCAGCAAACCTCGATTCTGATTAGATGTAGGGGACGAGTCAAGTCTGGGTTGAAGGAAATGTCTGGAGATGAGTCTGAAGTGCCCATGGGGGACATTCTTTTGGACACATCTAGAGAAGTTGGATATTTTAATTCAAACCTCAGAAAAGATCTGGTTGGAGGCAAATTTGGAAATCAGCGGATACAGGTGTAGCTGAAGCTAAGGGCCTGGGAGAAGTACCTGTCTGAGAGGCACTGTGGATGGTGAAAAGGGGGCAGATACCACAATTGACAGGGATGGTGGGAGAAGAAAGCCAAGGTGGGGCCAGAGAGGGTAGTGTCATTGTCACTTAAGCCAAGAGAGGAGGCATTGGTTAGCATTGGGAATCCTTGCAGAGCTCAGGAGAGATAAGCATTAAAACAGGGTAATAGTTTCACGGGAGAGAAATGACTCTCATTTCCTCTGTAACATCAAACCTAAACTTTCACTAATTCCACTGCACCTAGCCCACTCCCTTCCTCATTACTCCCCAGTAGCCCCTCTGCTCACAGACCTACCAGGAAGTCATACCATTCCTATGCTCTTATTTTGCCTCTTTGCTAGAATGCCCCAATTCTCACTTGTCTGAGCTCTATCCAGCCTTCTAGGGCTAACACAAGCCCACTTCCCCCCAACGCTGCCCCAGGATACTCCGAGTTTGTTCTCTTCTATAGATCTATTTGTATTTCGCTCTAGTTTACACTTGTTTATGTGTGTCATCTGGTGTTGTTGGCTGTTGATTCATGAAGTTTGACTCTTCTAAGCTTCTTGAGGTAAAGGGTCTTATTGTATTCTTCCTCTGCGGCCTTTGTAGCCTGGAATAGTGTTGAATAGATAATCCTTGCTCTGAAAAAGATTTCTGGTTGATCAAAATTACAAGACTTGAGATTATCCAGTTAATAAAAATTCTTGAGGAAGATTTAAATTTCAGCTGTCCAGGAGCTGGAGTGAACCCTGTGCAAAGGAGATTGTTCTAAGGTAGAATCTTGGTCAGCTGATAGTCACATCAGGTTAGGTAGGAGGGTGTGGGAACAGAGGCCAGAAGTGAGGGAGGGGCTCTCTTACTCAGTGCAGCCACCTGGGAAGGCTGGGAGGCTTCAACATCATGATGACAATATGTGGTTTCCTCCAAAACGGGCTCAAATTTTACAGCTGGTCCTTTGAATCATGGAAGCATTGCCCATACCTGCTTGGTGAAAGTGAGGCCTAAGAGGGAGGGGGGCAGACCCCACTTGACAGTGGTTTCTGAAGTTAATGATGATAAAAGAATTATAACTCATGGTACCATTTTTGTAGCTGTGTTAGCTGCTCTCAAAGGGAGAATTTCATGGCAGAGGAAGAGGTGGTTGCTAAGGAAATGACAGAAAAAAAGAAAACAACCCAAACCCTCTTTCTGACCACAAGTTTAGAATTTTTCTTTTCTTTTTTCTTTTTTTTTTTTTTTTTTTGAGGCAGAGTTTCACTCTTGTTGCCCACGCTGGAGTGCAATGGCGTGATCTTGGCTCACTGCAACCTCCACCTCTCTGGTTCAAGTGATTCTCCTGCCTCAGCCTTCTGAGTAGTTGGGATTACAGGAGCCTGCTAACACACCCAGCTAATTTTTTGTATTTTTAGTAGTGACGGGGTTTCACTATATTGGCCAGGCTGGTCTTGAACTTCTGACCTCAGGTGATCTGCCCACCTCAGCCTCCCAAAGTGCTGGGATTACAGGTGTGAGCCACCATGCGTGACCTTAGAATTTTTCATGACCTTGCACTACCAAAGGGAAATTTAAGTCCTTTCTTGTTGTTGTTTTTGAGATGAAGTCTCGCTTTGTCACCCAGGCTGGAGTGCAGTGGCACGATCTCGGCTCACTGCAACCTCCTCCTCCTGGGTTCAAGTGATTCTCCTGCCTCAGCCTCCCTAGTAGCTGGGATTACAGGCACCGGCCACCATGCCCAGCTAATTTTTGTATTTTTAGTAGAGATGGTGTTTCAGCATGTTGGTCAGGGTGGTCCCGAACTCCTGACCTCAAGCAGTCCACCCACCTCAGCCTCCCAAAGTGCTGGGATTTACAGGCGTGAGCCACTGTCCCTGGCTGGGAAATTTAAGCCCTTTTTACCCTCAGAGGACAGATCTTTGCAACCCTCTCATTCCTGAGAGGTAAGGAATCATATTCTGAGTTAGAGCCTATGGTGGTTGTATCCCTGGACTCTCAGGTTCCTTTGTGGCTATTGGGTTACACACTCCAGGGGGTGGAGTTATTAAGAAGACCCTGAGATCTCTGTGGCTGCATTTTAAAGATCTCATTTGTAAGGGAAATGATGATTCTGCCAATTTCTCTCCCCTTGTGCACCTTTTCTTTTGAAGTTAAAGTTAATATCCCTTTGGACTTGTACCTCTCTGCTTCTTAGTTCTATAAATCTCTTCCTAGTTTATTTTCTGAAAGAGTGAAGTAGAAATAATTTCCAGAAAATAACTTGTCAACATAAAGTCATGAGGGAGGCTGGTGATATGAGAAATAGAAGGAACTGTCAGAGCTCTGCAGTCATGGTCTTCTGCAGACCAATAATAAGGCAGTATCATGTTCCGTCCTTTCTCCCTCAGAACAGACAGATGCCAGTTAGTTCCCAGGTCTGAATTGTGCTCTCTTCCAATCGCTAAACTACTAAAACCCAAAGTTTTAGTCTTTAGAAATTCAGTTGAGTTGTCAGTTTATAAGAACCTGCTATGTGATGGATACGCTATTTTAAGGATATGAAGATTAGTAGGAATTGTGTGGTTATATATTATTTAACTCTGGATGCAGGAATCGTCTGATTGGTTTGGGTTCCCAAAGATGAGAGAAATAGCCTTGATTTTAGACAGCATGCAGACAGGGATACTGGGAGCATCTTTGGGGATTCCTTCTTCTATAGTCACTGGGGTTATACCCAGTGACTCACCTTGATTTCTCCCAGCCATAAAATCAGACTGGTAATTTCATCTGGTTTGCTCTCTACTTCACAAGAGGTAGTAGAAGACTATATCTAAAGAATAGAGCACTTTAATTCCCCAGAACTCCAACAAGCCCAGCACCCCCAGATTATATGTTGCTAACAGCAACAGGGCAACTTGAGAAGTTATCCCACATCCCAGGCCCATTCCTGTAGTTCGTCCACCAAGGTCAGTTGGAGAAACTTCCATCCAGAACTGAACTCTAAGGCACTCGGATCCCTCTGCTGGCTGATAGCAGAAGCACCACTTAGCTTTTTCTTTTCTTTTTGTTTTCAAATGAATTCAGGTATTCTAATTAGCATTTTCTTTCTCTCTCCCACACTCCCTCTTTCTGTGTTTCTCTTTCTGGCTGACTGTAATCCTTAATACACTTCTCTTGGTGTCTTTAATTCCTACATTGAGCTTGAGTTCATAGCCCATTCCTGGTAGAAGACCACTGTCTGATGGGTGCTGGCTAAATGAATGCCTCAATACAGGGTTACAGGGGCTGCCATAGAAATAGGTTCAAGGTATGGAGGGGACATTAGGCCCTGAACTCATGAATGATTCCTGCATCTCATATCAGTGATGGTCATAATAATGGCAAGTAGTTATGCAGACTTGGAACCAAGCACTTTGTTAAACACTTTACAGCCATTATGTCATATAGTTCTTTTTCAGCCCTGTAAGGCAGCTTCTCTGTCATTTACTCCACAGATAACAAAGCTCAGGCTGGATTCATGCAGCTTGTTGATGGTGGGGCTCAGGATGTGAGTTCAGGTCTCTCTGGCACCAATGTCATAACTGCAAACTACAATGACTTCAGATACTCCAGGCTTTCCAAGCCCATATCTTGGCAGAAGTTCTTTGACCTTGCTCTCTGCCTAGAAGTCTCTTCCGCCTTTATCTTTTCTCAGGAATTCTGATTTTTCCTTCAAGATTCAGTTCAGGGTCACTTCAAGAGGGCTATACCCCCATCCTTTCCCTGTTTTGGTTGTTTGCTGAGACCTCTGTGAACCAGTGTTTGTCTCTAATGGAGCACTTATTGCACATTTTTGTGTTGATTCCCCTACATGTCTGTCTCCCCAGTAAACTTTGATCTCTTTGAAGGCAGGAAGTGTATCTTACCAGTCTTTGTATCCCTAGTACCTAGTACCTAGCACAGAGCCCAGCTCATAGCAATAAAAATGACAGCAATATTTCACATTTACTACGCACTTACCTTGGGCTGGGCAGAGTGCTAAGCACTTCATTTTTTAGACCCTCTCATTTAACTATCACACAACCCATATAATATATAGAATTATGAAGAAACTGAGGCTGAGAGAATTCTATAACTTGCCCAAGGTCACCCCAGTAAGTGGCAAAACTGGAGCTTGACTCCAGGTCTCCCTGAACTTCTTTACATTTTATTAATTTTCATGCCCTACACTTTTTTACCTGATTAGGTATTTTTTCTCTTCCAATATTGATTGAGACGTATGAGTAGGAATTACATTTTCTTTGCTAAAATTAGTAAGCACCTTGAACAGTACTTGCTGTATGTGCTCCAGTACTTGCTGTATGTGCTTGCTGTATGTGCTCCATTTAGATAAATCAGATATTAAATTTTTCTGAAGAAAAAAGCTTGGGAAACATAATTACATAAGGTAACTAGAAATGATCAAAATCTATTTCTTTACCTAGCAACTTCAGATGAAATTTTGCAGCAGTTTCATGAAATATTTTATGAAATAATTGCTGTATTCGTCTGTCACTGAGAAATACAAGTGTAAGTTAAGCATTTCTGAAGCCTGAAATTCACCGAGTGCAGTTTTAATTACCCAAGAGAAGCAAATCTAAAACTACTTGCTTTTCAGAGCATAATTTAAAAAATGAACAACAGTCTTTGCAATGAGATTTTATGTTAAATTTAGGTCACATGTTAATTTTAACTGTTAGGATATCCTAGAATGTGCATTGTTCTTTACCAACCTAACTGACGAGTCAATTTGCCTGTCTTAAATATGAGGCTTAGTCAGTTGCTCACCTCATATTTTCAAAGTACCAGTGAAATTAGTGGATAGTTTAAGATTAGGTAGGTGCTAAAGAAATACAGTCTATCATTAGCTATATCAATATTTGTAATTCTTATACTTCAATATGATATTTCATGCTATTAAAGCCTGTTTATTACATTTTAATATCGAGAAAAGCCCATATCCTTTAAAGGTTACCTTACTTATAATTAAATCTTGATAATCATTAAGTCATTGGTATCACTAAATTATGTTAGGGTAGCTAACATTTCCATTTTACAAGATGTAACTTTGCCTCACACTGAGTGTAGTAAACATAGAATATTGGGACAGGCCAGGCATGGTGGCTTAACGCCTGTAATTCCAGCACTTTTGGAGGATGAGGTGGGAAGATCATTTGAGGTTAGAAGTTCGAGACCAGCCTGGCCAACATGGTGAAACCCCATCTCTACTAAAAATATAAAAATTAGCTGGGTGTGGTGGTGCATGCCTGTAATACCAGCTACTTGGGAGGCTGAGGCAGGAGAATTGCTTGAACCCGGGAGACGGAAGTTGCAGTGAACCAAGATTGCGCCACTGCATCCCAGCTGGGCGACAGAGCAAGACCCTGTTTCAAAAAAAATCTTCGGGAGGCTGAGGTGGGCGGATCACCTGAGGTCGGGCGTTCCAGACCAGCCTGACCAACATGGAGAAACCCCATCTCTACTGAAAATACAAAATTAGCCAGGCGTGGTGGCACATGCCTGTAATCCCAGCTACTTGGGAGGCTGAGGCAGGAGAATTGCTTGAACCCGGGAGGCGGAGGTTGTGGTGAGCCGAGATGGTACCATTGCATTCCAGCCTGGGCAACAAGAGTGAAACTCTGTCTCAAAAAAAAAAAAAAAAAAGAAAGAAAGAAAAAAAAGAATATTGGGACAGTAAGGGATCTTGGTCCAACTCCATTATTCTACAGATGAATTAAAGGAGGCTCAAAGAAGCTGTCTGCAGCTCCTTGCTTCCTCTACTGTACCAGAAAGCCACGTTGCATTAAAATAACCACGGATCCTAGCCGGCCTGGTGGCTCACGCCTGTAATCTCAACACTTGGGGAGGCTGAGGAGGGAGGAGTGCTTGAGCCCAGGAGTTTGGGCCCAGCCTGCTGTACATAGCGACACCCCTGTCTCTACAACAACAGCAGCAACAAAAAATTATCCGGGCGTGTTGGCGTGCATCTATGGTCCTAGCTACTCTGGAGGATCACCTGAGCCCAGGAATTAGAGGTTGCAATGAGCTGTGATCGTGCCACTGCACTCTAGCCTGGGCGACAGAGTGATACCCCGTCTCAAAAGAAAAGAAAATAGCCATAGTTCCTTGTCCGTCTTAGCTGCATTCGTGTCTCACTGCGGCTTTGCCAATTTTCCTTTCTTTTCTGCAGGTTGCATACCCTGTCCTGAGGGCGCGGCACGGAGTGCATGCGGGCCGCTGCCATGACGACCGCCATCTTGGAGCGCCTGAGCACCCTGTCGGTCAGCGGGCAGCAGCTGCGCCGCCTGCCCAAGATCCTGGAGGATGGGCTTCCCAAGATGCCTTGCACTGTCCCAGAAACGGATGTGCCCCAGCTCTTCCGGGAGCCTTACATCCGCACCGGCTACCGCCCCACGGGGCACGAGTGGCGCTACTACTTCTTCAGCCTCTTTCAGAAACACAACGAGGTGGTCAACGTCTGGACCCATTTACTGGCAGCCCTGGCCGTCCTCTTGCGATTCTGGGCCTTTGCCGAGGCTGAGGCCTTGCCATGGGCGTCTACCCACTCCCTGCCTCTGCTCCTCTTCATCCTGTCGTCAATCACTTACCTCACCTGCAGCCTTCTGGCCCACCTGCTGCAGTCCAAGTCAGAGCTCTCCCACTACACCTTCTACTTTGTGGACTATGTTGGCGTGAGCGTTTACCAATATGGCAGTGCTTTGGCTCATTTCTTCTACAGCTCTGACCAGGCCTGGTATGACCGGTTCTGGCTTTTCTTCTTGCCAGCAGCTGCCTTCTGTGGCTGGTTATCTTGTGCTGGCTGTTGCTATGCCAAATATCGTTACCGGAGGCCTTATCCAGTCATGAGGAAGATCTGTCAAGTGGTGCCAGCAGGTCTGGCTTTTATCCTAGACATCAGCCCTGTGGCACACCGTGTGGCGCTCTGTCACCTGGCTGGCTGCCAGGAGCAAGCAGCCTGGTACCACACCCTCCAGATCCTCTTCTTCCTGGTTAGCGCTTATTTCTTCTCCTGCCCCGTGCCTGAGAAGTACTTCCCGGGTTCCTGTGACATCGTGGGCCATGGGCATCAGATCTTCCATGCATTTCTGTCCATCTGTACGCTCTCCCAGCTGGAGGCCATCCTCCTGGACTACCAGGGGCGGCAGGAGATCTTCCTGCAGCGCCATGGACCCCTATCTGTCCACATGGCCTGCCTCTCCTTCTTCTTCCTGGCTGCCTGCAGTGCTGCCACCGCAGCCCTTCTGAGGCACAAAGTCAAGGCCAGACTGACCAAGAAAGATTCCTGAGGCTGGCAAGTGGGGCAACGTGTGGAGGAAGCCCCTCATAATTTGGAGAAAACTTGATACAATAGAAGCTGACTTTTAAGGCATTGGCTTTTAAATTAATACATATATCCAAGGATATGTTATAGCTGCAGTGTTTGAAAGCCAAAGGATTTAAGAGTTTTGTTGTTGTTAATAAAAGGAATACTCCTTTTCCTTTTGGATCATAGCTTAACAAGGCACAGGAAGGGAAGGGATCTTGACTAAGATTCATGAGACATTGAATTAAGGAGAATCATCTTCATGCCTGAAAATTTAGCAAAATTCCGACTATGGCCTCCAGGGGCAATTCCTAAAAGCTGAATGGATAATAAAATTGGACTGGAAAGTAAGTAGGTGGCTGGTCCTCACCCTGTTGGAATGGCTATCCTACTATGCTGTTCTTTGGTAATGGAATAAATTGACCCAAGGACCGAATTTCATTTGGATTTCAAATTGTCCAGAGTGGAAAAGCCTTCAAGATGACATGATGAATTACTCAGTTCATCTGATTTCTGGTCCCTCCTTTCTCGACAACTATAATACTAACCCTTTTCTCAGGATAACTGTCTACACCTGGCAGTTTTCTCTGACGTGCTGTTCACTCACATCCCTACCTTGCATGGTAATATAAAGGACTAGGAAGCAGTCATACTTCCAGGAAATGCTTGGATTCATGTGGACATTCAGGAAGCTTATTCTCATATAATACTAATCTAAACAGTACTAGAAATTACAGTGCCAAGAGCCACCAGGAGGCCCAGCCAATAAGCATAGATACTATATGGTATCATGGGACCCATCTATTTTTTACCAGTGGACTACAGGATTACTTGAGAGTTATCAGGGCTGCCTAACAGACCAGGAGATCTGGGGGTTGCACCAGGGAATCGCCATATTTGACCAGCATGTTTTAAAAGCTCTTGGTAGGATTAGTTGGTTCTAAGGATCCCTCTAGGGACCTCATTATTTCAAGAGGAACCCAAAGTCCAGCCTCCTACATAGATGCTGCCCCACGAAGGACCCACAAAACTAACCTAGTTCAGGGTTCTCAGGCAGGCAGTTCTGCTTCAGCTTAGAGCAGAACCCATAAAATACTCAAGTACTGGGATAGGCAAGCATGTGTGTTTACTGTGGATTGGTCCCTGAAGGCTCCTTTGGGTGAGAACATGTGAACCAGGCACCCTGGTTTGTTTGGAGCATTGCTGCCCAGAAGCTTCTATGGGATAGGTGGTGCTTGGGATTGATGTGTTGTGGCCATGCAGCCCTCCCTGAGGATTGACTTCTGCACTAATCCAGTGAAGGAGGCTGTGTCAAAAGAAGGGCTCAGAAGCCCTCTTTTCAGAGGCAATGATTCCTGTCAGTATGAGGTCCCTTAGTTACTAAAAAGGGACATGATTTAACTCCAGTTTGATGAACCTCCTCCGAGTTTACTTTATTGTCTTCAAATCTTTTGTTTTCTTCCTTTTTGTGAGATTTGTGGGTTTTGTGCCTTATAAATGGAAATGTATGAACACAATATATGCTCATGTAGAATTTTCTGTTCTGGGTTATTGGGATAAGAAAAAATATATATTGCTCTTCAACTAGTGAATGAAAGAAACTTCAGAAAGCTAGAATTGCTTATCAATCAAAAGACTTTCTCAATCTATTTTGGCCACAAACAAACATATTCAACTGAAGCTTTCCAATAATCTTTATATCAAGAAAGCATGCGTCTTGTCAGCTACATTGTTTTCTTAGATGGATTTCTCCTGTTAATCCTCAAATATCTGAACTTCTGTGTTACCCAAGTGTCTTATACAAGCTTCTGGTGTCTAGGACAAATTTATGGCAAATAAAATTAGCAAAACTGAACTGGGTTGAACTGAACAAGAGGATGGGGGAATTGTGCAAATACGTTGTTAGTAGAAGGTCAATTTAAAATAGGGACTAGAAATTATTTGAAGTTTTCTTTATTACGGATTCAAAGACTTATTTTGAAAGTTGGAAGGAGAAGGGAGGGAAGAGAGCAGAAGGGAAGAAGGTGTAAGTCAAGCTCTTGAATATAACTGGTGGTATTGTGGGCAGAGATCTTTAGTTCAAATCCACGTATTTTTTAAAAGAGAGAACCGGAGGTAGAGCAATGATCAGATGGGTGCACAGACCAGTGCCAATCTGAACATTGTTAATGGCCTGTGACATGATGAGCACAGGAACAGGCATGAAGATATTGCCATACAATTTTAATTTATACAAGTATTGGCCCCTCAAGTGGTTGGAAATTTTTTTTTTAATCTCTTTTTCTGAGACAGGGTCTTACTCTGTCGCCCAGGCTGGAGTGCAGTGATGCAATCACGGCTCACTGCAGCCTCGACCTCCCCAGCTCAAGCAATCCTCCCACCTCAGCCTCCTAAGTACCTGGTACTACAGGCGCGTGCCACCACACCTGGCTAATTTTTGCATTTTTTGTAGAGACAGGGTTTTGCCACGTTGCTTAGGCTGGTCTTGAACTCCTGAACTCAAGTGATCCGCCCACCTCAGCCTCCCAAAGTGTTGGGATTACAGACATTAGCCATCACGCCTGCCCTAGAAACAGTTTTTTAATAGGAGATATTTGAGAGGCATTGAGGTAGGAGACTCTATGACATGCCCTCAGAATATCAGAATCTTCTTAGAAATAAACTAGGAAATGCAGATGTTTTTAACTACTCAGACTTTTGAGGAATTAATCCTTTTAAAACATTTTTGTTAAAGTTAGTGTATCAGTAAGAAACAGACCTAGTTTAAAAGGAATAATCAACAATTTTATAAAGGAGATGGCTTATTCAACCATAGCCCCTCCAACATATCTACTGGAAATTCTGCTGGTTAACTTTATCTCTCTCTCTCTTAATTTAGACTTTCAACCTATGAAAATGTAAATACCTTTGAAAAAACTAAACTATCAGTCATTTACATCCTCTCATGAATGAAATGCAGTGTAGGGAGAGGAGATGGCAGGACACAGCAAACAGGACACATTTGCCTGCTTCTCTCTTGCCTAATTCTTCCTGACCTGTATTTACTGATGCTTAATAATACTTGTAAGACTCTAGGGGTTCATTTCCCATTTCAGCGGAAAGTACTTCACTCAACAACAATATTCTCAAGAGTCTTCTACTGGAAGCTAGAAAGAAATAGGAATTTAAGTCCATAGAATGAAGGTAGTTATTCCTGCCTGTGTTGCCCACCTGTTCACAAAAAGTACCTTTATGCTTGAAAACATTAGGTTCTTTGGTTACTGCACTGTAGTTTCAAATGGATCCTCCAGATGGCATTCATGTCTTACTCAGAAAGGGCACTGCCATTGTCCCCAAGGCTTCTGTCTACTAATTCTATTGGTCTTGTGTTTTGCTTGCTTGGCAAAAAAAAAAAAAAAAAAAAAAAAAAAAAAAATGGAGCTATTTTCTGTCTATATAAATCTACTTATATGAATAACCATTAAAGTGATTTTGTATATGCATTGTTGTAGTGTCAGCAGTTTAAAGAAACAGCTACTTTGTTTCTTTGACAAGGTCTTAACAAGGACTACCCTGAAGAGGCCCCCTCTGAAAGGTTTTATTTATACAAACATTGTCAGGAAAAGGAGGTCAGGACACTATCTCTACCAAGAAGCAGGAAAGTATAAAAACTTTTAAAAAATCTCCATGCCTTATCCCCCATACACATATCCCCCATACACACACCCTAATACCTACTTGTGAGTAGAACAAATTGCTTCCCCACAAAATGCTATGAAGTTGATTTCTCTGAAGATTTCAATGTAATTAAATAAATATTCCTAGTTTCATAGATGATAGTGTAAAAGATTTCAACATTTTTAATTCATTGGCTACAATTTTATAAATGTAAAAATTATGAATTATACTATGATTTAACTATAGCAGGTACTACAATGTACGTGTTGTGAAATGTGGCATCTATTAACCAACTAATTATGTAGCCTTCAAAGTTAGATTAAAAGAGCTGTGTAAAAGGTGATTCTCTAGGCACTGCTGAAGCTGCAACTGCAGCTTCAGGCTATAGTACTATCATAATCACTAAGAAAACAGCATTTCTATGGCTAGAGGCTCCACTGGTCGAATTATGGTTGTCACTCTTGCCCAAACCCTTTTTTTTTCACCAGCAGGGGCCCCAGGCAGTTTGAAAATCCTTCTGTTGTTACTGTTACTAGTTTAACCACTCTTCAGTTATTAATTTAGCAAGAATTTATTGAGCACCTATTGGTGAAAGGTACCACCTTGGCTCTGGAGACACCACAGTGTGGAAAAACACACTCTGTGGGCAGAGAGTCTGCCGTCTGCTAAATGAGGACCAGTATCTTTTCCTTGGGCCATGAGGGTCCCTCTCCCCGGATCGTGGTTCCAATCACAGCCTGAGGGCCAGGAGGCTGGGACCTGGTTTGGGCCAGAACTTCTTCATAAGGATTAAGCCCTCTCTCCCCTTTACCTCCAGAGGTTGGAAACATCTTCCCCTGTAGCAAGGCAGTCACCTTAAAGCTGCCTCTACTTCCCGTTACTCCTGCTACTTCTCCGACCCTTCTCACTACCCTCTAGTTGTTTTAACTCAGTCATGGGGATCCTTGACACATCCAGACAGAGAGAGAGAGAAGGCCTAAATTTCCACAAGCAGTAGCGACTTCCCAGGTACATAAAGTCCCATCCTTCAAGGAAGAGGATGTGTGGTTCCAACCTGAATACAGGTTCCTAACTTGGTAAGTTGAAAACAGCATGCTGCACTCTGGCTACCTCCTTAAAACAATAACCATATCCTTTGTGGAATTATTATAGAAGTAATTTAACATGGAAGGAAAATCATTGCATTAAAAAGATAATTCATTTAAATATTAACTTTGGGAGCATATCTATCTATGGTAAGGGCTTTTCTTACATAACAGGATTCTCACTGGAAGAGGTATTCACTATATTTTAAGATTCCAAGAGGCCTGGACCATATGGAAGGCTACAGAATAACAGCTCAAATTTTATTGTGCATTATGATTTCTAAAACATTTCCACATCAATATGAGCTTCTAAACTGTATGAGGTAAGTAAGGCCAAACAGGTCTCCATTGAACTAGGAAACACTAGAAAGGTCAAGTGACTGGTTTGAAGCCACACAACTAGTTATAATGTTTAAACTCATTTTTCCTTCAGAAAAATTCACGGTCCAGCTAATCAGAAACATCAGCACCAAATACTTGCAGAGCTTTTTACAGCAAATGAAGCACTTTTATGCATTATGTACACTTTGACATAATCTTTTAACTTTTGATCCTAATATCTCATGCATAGCCAGGGTTGCATCATTTCTTTTTTGAGTTAAAGTGACTTCACTCCACCCACATCCTTGGATGCAGAATAAAGCATTCATTGCATCACAGAGGCTTCTCAGAACCCCAAAGTTCATTGTCCATGGGCCCTTGGGGACTGGATTATAAAGTCAAGTCCTACTCTCCAGTCAGTTTCCTGAAAATATGTTTGGATCCTTGGATGAGAAAGTCCTGCCAAATCTCAAATCCTCCCTTTTATCTTTTGATGGGATTGTCAGTTCTTTAAACAATCACCTTTCCCCGGGATTTTGACAAGAGATATGAACTTGAACATGGGATTTAAAAAATGTTTCTCTGCCATATGAAAGAGTTTTGCAGACTTACTAGAAAGCACAAAAAAGTCTTTGATTATTTCTTAAAGCAATATATGCTTATTAAAGAAACTAGAAAAGTAGTAAGAAAAGATAATCCTTGGATCCATCAGTAAAATAAAATCCCTGTTAGGGAAAAATAAGGCTTATGTCAAAATATTGTCAATGATAAAAGGTGTAGCAGTGTCATGTAAAGATTCCTGAAAAAACAGATATTGTAAACTAGAAATTTTAAGCAGCCTAGTATTTTATTCTTTAAGTTACAAAATCAACCGTCTGGCTCAGTTTACAGGAGTACCGAGAATGACATTACACTCCCTTCTGACATTATATTATGTAGGTAATTTGATGTTGTTGTGGCTGATACTGGCTCATTAATCCAAGCCAATGATACATTGTCTCTCATGTTGAAAGAATTGCATGGAATGTTTCTCCTGAATCAAGCTCTCAGAGAGGACTGTGCTAGAAATACCTTTACTGGAGGTAAGGACTGGCCTGCTGAACCTGTGAGTATGTGGATTCATTGTCAGTCCTTCCACAGTGACCACTGCTGGATACCAGGCTCTGTTCTAGGCACCTGGGATACAGGAATGAATAAAACACACAAATTCCTGCCCTTATGGAGAAACAATGAACCAAATCAATAAATTATATATTAGAAGATAACAGTGCCAAGGAGAAACAGAGAGCAAGGAAGAGAGATAGACTGGAGAAATTGGTAAGTGTGCCATTTTAAACAGGATCAGGGAAGAATACCAAAAAAGGTGATGGAGCCAGCTCTGTTTCTCACCCAGGCAAAGGGAAGAAGTGCAAGGGCTCTGAGCCTAGGGCATGCCAGGAATGGCCAGGAGGGAAAATGCAGAGAGGGAAAATACAGCAGAAGATGAGGACAAGTTGTATAGGTCTTGTGAAGAATTGCTTTTACTGTGACTTTGGGAATGGGGTATGTGAGGAAGAATTCTGTCCAAGGAAATTCAGGGTAGCTATCTATCGATATGGATTAATTACTAATTGCACATTACTTTGCCTTTAGGAAATAGAGCAAATTCTGTTTCCTGCAATATGCACAAAACCAGACTGACATCAAGTTATTCCATGTGTAGGCCAGCAAACTCTGTGTTCCTGTGGCCACACTCTCATGCTTGCAGAATTCTTCCCAGATTCCTCCCAGAGCATTTTTAAAGTGCCCAGAATGTTGACCTCTGCTTCTGACATAGGCTTTGAATGTTTTCTCATTCTTTGGACACTAGTTTGTACTCTGGATAATCCTCTGGGCAGAAATGACATGACATGTCTAAGGCAGAGCCTATAAATTGGGGATAATAACAGTTTACATTATCTAGTACTCACCACTTGCCAAGAACTGAGCTGAGCTGTTTTCCTAGATTCCTTCATTTAACCCTCATAGTAGCCCTGTGAGGTAGGCACTAATACTGCCTCCATTTTGCAAATGAGGAAACTGAGGCATAAAGTAAATTTGCCCACAACTACCTGGCTCTTAAGTAATGGAATCTCACAGACACTCAGGCCTTTGAATCCAGAGTCTATATTCTTAGCCACTAAAATTAAGTGAATGTAGAAGATTCTTTCCTCTAACTTCTCACATTGTCACTTGTGTGAACCATAAAAAGTTTAAAATTAAGAGGGAAGTGTAATGTAGATTTCCATCTCCCCACCCCTGATAAATGAAGTAAACCTAAGGATGCAGTTCTCATTTTATTTCTAGACACTTTAGCCAAGCAAAAGTCCTTATACTGTTATTGTCGAATGGTACCAAGGCTGAGATTCCTAAGTGTATTTTGTGCTAGAATACAACATGGCGCTACTCACATTACAATCTCAGAAGCCCTCTGTAATGACCTGAAGGATCTGAAGGACAGAAACTCACTTTAAGAACCACTGACTTCAAATTATTTTTGCATGCTTCTCTAATGTTTATAAAATGACTCTAGTGAATACTTTCTCATCTTTAGGACCTTTTAATATATCTTATTCCTCATTAAAATAAATTTGAGCATGATTCCAGGCTAAACAAATTTCTTAAAGACAGCAATGGCAACATGCAAAATATCTCCATCTAGTGTTTTCTCTTTTCTAAACAAGAACAAATTATCTTGGAATCTGACTAATTTTGCTCCAGGAAAAATACCTTTGCACACAGTACCCGGCACAAAGTTTGTGTTCGGAAAGTGCTAGTGGTAATCACACAGTCATTATTTCTTTTTCTATTTTTTTTTTTTGAGATGGAGTTTTGCTCTTGTTGCCCAGGGTGGAGTCCAGTGGCGCAATCTCAGCTCACCACAACCTTTAGCTCCCAGGTTCAGGCGATTCTGCCTCAGCCTCCCTAGTAGCTGGGATTACAGGCATGTGCCACCACGCCCCGCTAATTTTGTATTTTTAGTAGAGACCAGGTTTCTCCATGTTGGTCAGGCTGGTCTCGAACTCCCACCCTCAGGTGATTCGCCCGCCTCAGCCTCTCAAAGTGCCGAGATTACAGGTGTGAGCCACCGCACCTGGCCCACAGTCATTATTTCTATCACTTCACGCTGAGCAGGGTGTTGTGAGTTCTGCACAAATTCATCCACACTCTCCAAGGGCTCCCAGACGTCTCTCACCAGAACAGGAGCTCTCTGTCCTTGGGAGGGATTTTTCTCCACCCACAACGGAATAAGATGTAGTTCATCTTCCCTGGGAAATGGGGGATTTCTTGCTTTCCTCCACATTCCTTCCCTGACATTCAGTCTGCATGATCAAAGACTCTCTCAGGCATCAG
Source organism: Homo sapiens (assembly GCF_000001405.40). Taxonomy (NCBI): domain Eukaryota; kingdom Metazoa; phylum Chordata; class Mammalia; order Primates; family Hominidae; genus Homo; species Homo sapiens. Next base: position 52,412,731 of record NC_000006.12, read on the forward strand.
GAAGAACCTTCCATTGGTACACACACACACCACCCAGACATTCTGGCAGCACCGCCCTTTCTCACTATGGTCCCCAAGTGTTCTCAGACTACAGAAGAAACCCTACTGGTCCACATACTCATTTTTTCTACCTTTTGATTCCCATCTATTATGTGTTTGTGTCCCTTAGATATATTGAAGTCCTAAACCCCGCTGCCTCAATTAGTGACCTTATTTGGAGACAGGGTAGTTGTACATGTAAGCAGTTAAGATGAGGTCATACTGGACAATCTCTTAATTCAATATGACTGGTGTCCATATAAGAAGAGGAGAAGACACAGAGGAAAGACAGCCATGTGAAGACACATAGACACACACAGGGGACAGCATCATGTGACAATGTAGGCAGAGATGGGAGTTATGTATCTGCAAGCTAAAGAGTGCCAAGGATTTCTGGTAATAAGCAGAAACTGGGGGATGGGGTGTGTGGGTTAGGGTGGCGGGGCAGGCAGAGAGAGAGAATGGCCTTGCCAGCACCCTGATTTCAGACTTCTAGCCTTCAGAACTGTGACAGAAAAAAAATTCTTTTTAAGCCACCCAGCTTGTGGTACTTTGTTACGATGACCCTAGAAAACTTAATACAGCATCGCAGGGCCAACCTCAGTTTTAACCTCCCTATGAAATTGACAGTTTTTTCTAACCAGTGGCTCTTGGTCTCTCAACTCAGCAAGCACAGGTAGAGAATGGGACACGAAGACCCCTCCCTTCCCCCCCATCTATACCCTATTAAAGGGAGAAATGGGATTTGCAGATCTCAGCAGAGATACAGATGGGAAGCTTATCATGTGTGTGAATACAATAGAACCTCTGTGGTAGGGAGTTAAGTACAGAGAAAATGTTGTGAACAGCCAGTTTCAGTGTGGCTGTGTTTCCCATCTGAGTCTACCCTGTGTAAGCAGGTGCTCCTGGGTTGCACCTTGGCAACTTCCCACCTGGGTCTTTGCCTCTACTCTTGGTACTCACAACCAACTCATCTACCTGCAAGCACCTTCATCTTTGGGTGCAAAGGTTTTATATTCACCGTCTGCCTCGCATTCTAGTGGTGATAAAAAAAATAGTAAACCAAACAAATAGGGAAAAGACCATGGCTCCACGGAAAGCTCCAGCCATCTAGCCTCCTCTGTGGCCCACCAGAAAGCTGTTGTGCTCTTTTCATAAACTCTACGTTGAAAAGAGATTAGATGCCCTCCTACCCTCTAAAAGGATCTGGGTGTGTGTGTGTGTGTGTCTAAAAGGATCTGGGTGTGTGTGTGTGTGTGTGTGTGTGTGTATGTGTATGTGTGTGTGTGTGTGTGTGTGTGATATTTATTCAGAGTTGGTAGGTGGGGGGTGGGTAAAAAGGAAAGAAAGACTTAACTCACACAAACCAAACCCTTCTACATGTTGCATTCTCTAAAGTGCCCAACATATTTCCCTACCCCCCTTTTCTCCTTTCTTTTTACCTTAATCTGTCTTTAATTTTCCATAGTTTTTCCAATTCCCAGTCACTGACCAAACTGTCCATTCACCATGCTCCCCCAGACAATGGTAATAGCAAACAGTCAGTGAGCGCTTACTATGTGCCAGGCACTACAGTAAGTGCTAACATATATGAACTCATTTAATGCTCACAACAACCTTGTGAATTGGGAATAACAATTATTATTCCTGTTTATGGCTATTAAAAGGTTAAGAAACTTCTGCAGGGTCACAGAGCTGGTAAGTGGTAGGATTTGCAACTCTGCAGTCTGACTCTGCAGTCCATAATATTTTATTTTTATTTTTTTATTACGAAAAACCTTGAGCATATACAAAAGTAGATAGAATTGTATGATGAATTCCCATGTAATCACATACACAATTATCAAATCATGGGGAATCTAGTTTCATCTACATCCCTACTCACTTGCTTCTGTCCATATTATTTTGGACATTATATAATTATATAATATATACTATCTCATATATTATATAAGATATTATATAATATCTATAATTTTATAGATGTTATATAATTTTTCCTACAATACATGCTTTTTATGTATCCTTAAAAGATGAAGACTCTTTACACAAGAATACAATATCATTATCATGTCTAAAAAACTGAAGAACAATTCCTTACCATCAAATATCCTGTGTTTGAATTCCCAATGGTCTCACAAATGTGATAATTATTTCAAAGTATTTAGTTTAAATCAGGATCCCAATAGGACCCACACATTGCAATTGGTTGACTTTTTACTTAAATCTCTTTCTAATTTATAGGTTTCCCTTCTACCCCAGTCTTTTTACTCCTTTCCAATTCAGTTGTTGGCCAAACAATCATTTGTCCTGGAGAGTTTCCTACAGTCCACTCACTTTACCGCTACATCATTCTGCCTTTGGGGTACTATATTGTAGACTTTTCATTCCATAGATTTTAAAGAGGGGAAAACTCAATGAAGTGATTTCTAGACTCACTGGAGCTTTCATGAACTACATGAAATTATAAGTACATGTGAATGTGTGCATTTTAGGGAACCAAAGTCTAAAGCTTTTACAAGATTTTAAAAATGATCCCATGACCCTCAAACAATTAATGGTCATTAGCTCTGGTCCTGGCTTTTCATTTTAGAGATGAAAAGCAGGAGACTTGGATAGGTAAATTGTCCAAACTCACACAAATATTCTTAACAGGACAGGAATGTGGCTCTCAGGACCTAACCTGTTCTACTTTCTGTTTCATGCTGCATATGTGAAAGGGGAAAAGGAAAGTGGTTTGAGATGCTCAATAGAAGGTGTCAATTTCCCTATTGTTTCAAAGTTGCCATTTACCTGAATTAATGAATTCACTTCTTGTCCACATTTGGAATCTAAAACTCTAGTCAATGTTACTACCACAACATTCTCACACTTCTCTTTCTCCGTACTATTGAGAGCTTTATTATGCCAGAGATGTCTCACAAGCAGGATGCCAAGATCAATGATCTGTCCTGAGCTAAATGAGGACTGTCTTTCCTAGATGTCAGAGGATTGAGGTGGAGTGTAAGAAATACTCAATTGGGAACCAGTCATTAATTGATAGTTCCTTGATCTCTTTTGGTCTGGAGATTTCTCATTAGTAAAATGAGCTAACCGGACTGTGTCAATTACTTTTCAAGCATTTTGACTGTGATCATGATATACTCTCACTATGAATGTATATGTATGTATATATCTTGAAAAAACTTTCACTGAATTATTCTTACAAACAAAATGGAATGCATCTGGATAGTTTCTATTCTATTCTTTTTTAAAAATAATTCTCGTTGTGGTCACAACCTATTAAGTTGATTTGAAGAACTGCTAAAGGAAATCTGCAGCAGTTTGAAAAATACTTTCCCACGTGACCGCTGAGTCATTCATTCATTAACTGTAGTAGGTCAGTAATTTTCCAACTATTTAATGGACATCTATGTAGTGCTAGGCACTGTGATGAGAGTTAGGAAAATGGCAATGAAAAAATGAAGACCATCTTCTTATGACGCTTATATCCTGTGAAGTATGTTCCATCAGCTTTGACAAGGAAAGAGAATTCCAACGGAATCAGCTAAAGCTATTGAATAGGTTTGACTTAAGGGAGGAAAAAGCAGCAGAAATACAGGTTTTTCCAAACCCCAGGCAGGAGCCCACATCAAGACTAAAATAGTCTAGACCCAAATGATGTAATTTTTGTGTCAAATGAAGATCTCCTGTGGATCCTAAATCTAATCACTGGATGTTTCTCCTTTTCCCATACTTTGCAAAGATCGAAGTGGATGACTGGGCCCTCTTTTTAGATAAAATATTTCAGAGGCCATGGAGTGATGGAAAGGAATGCTAGAGAGCACTCTGACTGAGGGACACCCCCTGGCCATATTCACGTGCTCACCACACCCCCAAGTACCTGCAAAACCTGCAGGTATGTAATTGGTTGTTTTCTTTTCCAGAAATTTTGCTGTACCATTTTTACCCAGCAGAGGGAAGCAGAACACCAAATCACTGCAGAAGTAATCCAGGACACATGCACACACAGCCCTTTGGTATTTTTTGTCCTGTGAATTTAGGTATTATAGAATGAGAATGTCACAGTTTTGAAAACAAATTCTGGGTAAAGTCAGCTCTGGGCAAAATGCTGAAAGAGGAGAGGTTTATTTTAGCTGACTGCTTATGGCCTGTCCCATCAGGATTGCCTGGAAGACATTACCCAGCCCACAAGGCCCTCTTTCAGGCTTGGCTCCTGGCAGTCTGACCTTTCAATTTTTTTCCATTCCCCAAGTTTTGGAACACCTGCTAAAATCATGCAATATTTCTGTGGTCTTCTGAGTCAGGCTTTATGCAATGGCCTTTCAATCATGGCATTTCCTACTTTAGCTGCCAGGAATGGTCAGTTTCCTGCCCTCTTTTATATATTCCACTAAGTGGGAAATGGTGGGTACAAACTGAAGTGCAATGCATGCTAAGTGGTCATGTAGACTGGAGTGCAGTGGCATGATCTCTGTTCACTGCAACCTCTGCCTCCCCGGTTCAAGCGATTCTCCTGCCTCAGCCTCCTGAGTAGCTGGGACTACAGGCATGTGCCACCACGTCCAGCTAATTTTTGTATTTTTAGTAGAGATGGGGTTTCGCCAGGCTGGTCTCAAAATCTTGGCCTCAAGTGATTTGCCCACCTTGGCCTCCCAAAGTGCTGGGGTTACGGGCATGAGCCACTGCACCCGACTGGGATACAAACTCTTAATCACAGCAGACCTTCTGAGGATCCAGGTACCTTTCTGAAGCCCTGCCTTTCCTCCCGCCCCACTTCTTTACAGACTTGTCCCTGTGCCTTTTAACACTAATGCAGTACGTCTGACTTCCCCTCCTCAGAGATGATAGCATTTTTAGGAGGCCATAGACCAACAGAAGTTGTCTTCATGCATTTCTGGGGTCCGAAAGTAGTTAAAACACACCCCTTAGCCATTTAACTGGCGTGCTTTTCTGGAAAGAAAGGCATGAGCAGAGGGCACTCCTCAAATAGAAACAGATGCGATAATGGACAATAGGCTTAGGCATGACTCAGCCTTTCCAGCTCCACACGCTCCTTCCCTACCCAACCCAGGAATATAGATCCAAGTGCAACCATGCACTTAGTCAAGAAGAGCTCTTCAAAGTGTGTCCTAATGCCATGAAATTTACTTTTAATAAGAGAGTGGGTAGGGAGGGATCATGGAACTTCTAACAGTTTAAGGTTATCATGAAGAGTCAGCAAAAATTACAGTAACCAGTGATTCTGGGTAATCAGCGTCAATGAGGTGGAGAGAAGTGGGAGAGGTGCCTTATCTTTGAAAGGTTAAACTTGCCATCTTTTTTTTTTTTTTTCCTTTTTTTGAGACGGAGTTTTGCTCTTGTTGCCCAGGCTGGAGTGCAATGGCGCGATCTCGGCTCACTGCAACCTCTACCTCCCGGGTTCAAGCGATTCTCGTGCCTCAGCCTCCCAAGTAGCTGGGATTACAGGCATGCGCCCCCATGCCCAGCTAATTTTGTATTTTTAGTAGAGGTGGGGTTTCACTATGTTGTCCAGGCTGGTCTCAAACTCTGACCTCAGGCGATCCACCCGCCTCGGCCTCCCAAAGTGCTGGGATTACAGGCGTGAGCCACCGCACCCAGCAAACTTGCCATCTTGACATATTCCTCCAGTGACTGGCATCCATCCTCAGTTGGTGTCTAAGGTATAATACAACGGACAGGTACTTTAAAAGTTTTCAGTAACTTCCACAATGCTAACCAATGTTTGAGGAATATGATTACATTTATTTTTTTAAAAAATAAGCAAGTTTTGTAAAAAGCACCAAAGGCAAAAAAACTTCATTGAAGTTTTTAAAAAATGTATTAAACTGCTGCATTAAGGTAATGTACTTACAGAAAAAGAAAAAGAGGTTTAAAAAAGGACAAGAACAGGAAACAGATGTAGTAAGGGGAGAAGAGTTAGAAAGGAAACTCTCTGGGCAGGGTATGGTAAGCAGGCATCAATAACTGCCTCAGGTGCCACTTAATGCATTCATGTCCTGGGCCTCCTGAGCGTCACACAAATTAGTGAAACCCAACAGGGGGATTTGCTCTGACAAGCAGCAATAAAAGTAAAGCTGCTGTCTGTATTGGCAGTAAACTACCTGTGACACTGAGATATGCCTTCTGTGTCTGGCTTATTACTCTATCATGTTCCTAAACTGGCTTGTCACAAACGCCTGTTACAAAAATCAGATTCCTGGCCTCCATGTCAGACCTAATGAATCCAAATCTCTCGGCACGTGGGTTTTGATTACTTTTTATTTTTAAGCTCCTCAGCAATGATGGATAGCTTTCTCCCCCCCCCCCCAAAAAAAATGTTTCAGGAATAGGATTATGTTTCTTTTAAGAAAAAATAATTTAAGCAAGTTTTGTAAAAAGCATCAAAGGCTATACCTATGATGCTGACAATATTTCACCTCACTTATCTGCTTCTTTCCCAAGACTTAGTCTTTCTCTTTGAAGGAGCTGTGTTCCTCCTAGTGGTTCTGATCTTTTTCATTGCAGCTGCAGGTACAAACGAGGGATTGAGGTGACCACCCTTCAACCTGCAGCTCTTCAGTCAACAAAAATCAAGTACCTATCAGAGTGCACCCTGCCCTGCAGCACATATTCAAGGCTTTCCCTACAAAAACAAAGGTGTTTAACCGAAGGGATTGATGGTAGAATAAAGAGAGCTGGGCGCGGTGGCTCATGCCTGTAATCCCAGCACTTTGGGAGGCGAGGTGGGCGGATCGCTTGACCCCAGGAATTCGAGACCAGCTTGGGCAACATAGTGGGACACTATCTCTACGGAAGGAGGGAAGTAGGGAAGGAAGGAAGGAAGCAAGGAGGGAAGGAGGGACGGAGGGAAGGAGGGAAGGAAGGAAGGAAAAAGAAAAGAAAGGAAAGAAAGAAAGGAAAGAAAGAAAGAGAAAGATTGATTTTAAAAAAGAGTTAAAAGGGGAAAAATACAATGTGGCAGTGGGAGAATTAAGGATGAGATGATTGCATTAGTTCATTGACCATCCCTGAGCAACAGAAACACAATCATGGGTAATCCTCGGCCCCTGCCTACAAGAAGCATGGGTCTAGTTTAGTAGCACTGCCAACTGGACCGACCATTTACACTTCTGTGTGAAATGGGGCAGAGGGGGGAGAAAAGAGTGCCTGAGCTCACAGCGTTGGCGGGGCGCAGTGAGGTCCGCCAGGACTAGGTGGAAGGAGAGAAGGAACGTCCCTCTCTGCAACTCATCTAAGGGCCTGCTCGGACCCCGGATCTCACAGCGAGAACTACCGCCTCGCTACACCCGCCTTTCCCCGCGCCACCCAACAGCTCCCACGTCTCATCCTCCGGGAGCGGGGCGGGGCGAAGCGGAAGAGGAGGGGCCGACACAACCACGCCCACTAGCCGCGCTCCAAGGCCGCGGCCCACTTACCGCGAGAACGCGGAGTCCTGCGGATGGCGCACGCGCAAACCTCCTGTGATGCCTGCGCCTCCTGGCCCCGCCTTCCGCTCGTGGGAGTTCCGGATGTTTAGCGTTACCATGGATCCTGGAGGTGCCCGCGAACACTGCTTGTCGCCTGGGCAACCGGAGAGGACGAAGCAGGACCTAGGTGGCGGCGGTGGTACCGGCTGCAATGGTGTCCAATCCCGTGCATGGCTTGCCCTTTCTTCCGGGCACGTCCTTTAAGGACTCTACGGTGAGCAGTTATCTGCCAGACTCCCACCTGTCCCCACCTTCCAGCAGCCCAGGAGGTTTCCCCGCTCAGTGCACCTCCATTCCCCTCCACTCAAGTCTGTCTTCTCTCCAAACACGTCTTCTGTCCTGACCCTGTTCTTTATTCTGGGCCGAACTTCTGCCGTTCTTCCCTAGCCATCCTCATCCCCTCTCTCCGATCCTTTGCCCTCCGCCTCATCCCTCTCTAGTTTTTTCCCACTCCATCTTGGCAGTGTGTTGGCGCCTTCATTCTCATCCCGTTAGCCGCGTTCTTTCTTACGGCCCTGCTCCTCCAAGCCCCTGCCTCTTGTCCCTTTAGATCACTGTTTCCCCCACCCTACTCCCAACCTATCTCTGGGCCCTCTCCCTAGCTCGTTCTCTCACATCATAACCTGTCTCCGTCCATCGCCGCCCTTAAAACCCCCCGCCACTATGCACCTTCAACCTCATTCCCACAGGTCCGTCATTCCCGCCCCACCTCTTCCTCTTCTGAATCCTGTACCCGGTAGTATCTCCCACTCCCAGCTCCATTTCCTGTTTTGTATGTATATCGATTCCGCTCCTCTTCTTTCCGCCAGGTCTTTTTCCTTTCTTCTTTATGCTTGCATCCAACCCCATTCTTTTTTCTCCATCTTCTACATTTTCCACAATTTAGTCCCATCCTCTCCCCATTCCTTTCTTTCTCCGTTGCGGGTTTTCCCCAAAACTTGCTCACCTTCCTCCCAAAGCATCTTTCCCTGCTTTGTAAGAGATATTCCTTTCCAGTTCCCTCAAGAATTGATTAGTTGCTGTTTATTCTTCCCCGGCCCTGTTCTTTTTATTCTAACGTTTTTGTAAAAAGATTCCTGTTTAGATTTTGTTTTGCTCCTTCCCCAACCTTGTGTTTTTATTTGCATTTTCTAGACAAAATTTTTTAAAAAGTAGCAGCAGCTTGGATTCTTTTTTTTTTTTAAACTCTTGCCACAGTTTAGCTCTTAAAATTATTTGGTTTGTTTTAATTCTGACAGGGCTACTGAAATGTATGTGCTGAAAAATCAATAATGAGATTCAGTAGACTGATCATCATAGATGAGCTAACAGTAGTTTATGTTTATATAGTTTAATACTTTAAACTCTTGCCTTCCTCTCCAGCTTCACAAAGTTAAAATATTTTGTCAATTTATTTTCTTTGGAAGAATCAATTTAGAATGAAATCGAAAGTTTGGTGAGAGAATTTGTATTCTGAATCTCTGTAATTATCCCTGCATTAAGACACAACATCATAGATTTTTAGTTTCAGTGGACTTTTCAGTTTTATGTAATTTAGAAAATGTTGTAGGCACTTGCCTGCCCTATACAGGATGAGCTTAAGCTTTTGGTGTTGGTGAGTATAGACAGGGCTGAGTTGATACAGGGAATTACAGAGGTGTGGATGGAAGTGCAAAGCTCTAAAAACATATTGCTGTATTACAAGTAAGAAGAACTGTGCATTGGACATATTTCAGATTTTAAATACACTGGCCAAGTGTCAACCAATTTGCCCTATTTGAAATTTGAAAAGCATCGTCAGTATATCTTCAGCAGTGAAGGACTGAATATGTATTAATGTAATTCTAAAGACATGCAGATAAGAAGTTAAAAAATTTTTAAAGGGGAGTGGGAAAACGATTTTAAAAAAAGACACACAGAAGGTGAACCATAATGGACAAGAGGGGTGGAAAGGGCCGAGGTTGCCTTGCCTGGGGTGTCTGTGAGTTATGGCTGAATGATGGTAGAGACATTTGTCTAAAACAAAGAAATAAACTGAAGTCACTGATGTTGCTTCTGTCTTTGGTGGTGGAAGAAGAGCTTGAAGTTCCATAAATTACCCAATGAGGATGTCAACTCAGCGCATTTTGTTCTATGTCATGTTTACTATATACCTGGAGCAGTCCCTGTCAACTGACTTGTGACTCTGAATACATGACCTTTAAAAACAAATGTCATACATTTGTTTTTATGGGTTATATACAGTTTATAACCCTTTTAGCAAAAGAAGTTTATTCTGTTGTACCTTTCATGTTAGTACAGATCTTGAAAGATGGTAGGCTGGGCTCTAAAGCAATTAGGATGTAGAAAGTTTTTTTCATAAAAATATTTTTTATGATTAATCTTAAATTGTATCTATGTATATATTTGAATATTATAGATAAGTAATTGTGAAAGTATCCTCACAACAGAAAAAGGAAACCATTAACATAACCTCTAATTTGCCTTTCTACTCTTTTTTATTTAATCTTTTAAATAAAAATGTGTTCATTGTAAAAAATCAACATAATTTAGAAATGTATAATACAGAGGACCAAACCAGTCTCTTCATGCACATATTTCCATGCTTATAATTGCAGTACACATATAATTTTATATGTTGCTTTTTCAGGCTTATTAAATCATAAATATTTTCACCAGGTTGCCACGTGATCTCTAAAATCAATATTTTAATGACAGCACCATAATCCATTGAGTGAGTTTTCGATCATTTACTCATGTCTTCATATGACTGTCTTTTAGATTGTCTTCAACATTTACCATTGTAATGGGCAGCTTCAGGCATATAGTTCTTTCTCATAATTCTGAATCATATTCGTAAATAAATGGTCGGGGTAGAATTATTGAGTTCAAGACTTTAAATATATACCATCCAGTTGCTTTCCAAAGAGTTGTAAGAATGTATCACTGTCATTGTGACAAGAGGGACAGGTAAAAATAAATTCATTCCATGTAAAAATAAAATTCACAGAACCGTATCTTCTAGGTTCTACAGTTTTTACGGCCCCAGATATCAGATGAAAAACATGAGAAGACTAGTGAAAAACTTAAGAGTATAGATGAGATACTCTTTTAATCTCTCATGCAAGGTGAATTGGTAGTTAAATTGGGCATTACAGAGCACAGCTTTAAATTTTACTTTAAGCTTAGGTGGCTACTTCGCTCCTTGTTCTTGTTCAAGTGTTTTAACTTAAAATACAGAATCTTTTAATGTAGGTAAGCTTTTGTTTTGTTTTGTTTTTTTGAGACAGAGTCTCACTGTTGCCCAGGCTGGAGTGCAGTGGTTCAATCATAGCTTATTGCAGCTTGGACCTCCCAGGCTCAAGTGATCCTTCCACCTCAGCCGACTATAATAGGCACAAGCCACCACACCCAGCTAATTTTTTTTTTTTTTTTTTTTTTTTTTTAGTTTTTGTAGAGACAGCATCTTGTTGCCCAGGCTGGTCTCGAACTCTGGGGCTGAAGTGATTCTCCCTCTTCAGCCTCCCAGAGTTCTGGGATTATAGGCACGAGCCACCATGCCCAGCCTTAATGTTGGTAAGCTTCTTGATGTAAGTTTTGTGATGCTTATAAGCAAAGATTCAAGTTATATTTTTAAAAGTTAGTTTTTTTTTTACCTAACAAATATTTGTCTAATGTTATTAATGACACATTCTTTTCTTCTTCAGAAAACAGCCTTCCACAGAAGTCAGACGCTGAGCTACAGGAACGGCTATGCAATTGTTCGACGTCCAACAGTTGGGATAGGCGGAGACCGGCTCCAGTTCAACCAGCTGTCCCAGGCTGAGCTGGATGAGTTGGCCAGTAAGGCACCAGTCTTAACTTATGGCCAACCTAAACAAGCCCCACCTGCGGATTTTATTCCTGCGCATGTGGCCTTTGACAAAAAGGTATCATCTGGAATTTTAGGGTACCCCTTGAATTAGGGTCTGAGAGCCAACTGCTTGCAAAAAAGTTAAAACAGTAAACCACAGAATTTCCAAAGGGCTCTGAGGAGAAAATTGTTCAGATGCCTTAACCCTTAGTCATGGACAGCTGAACTCAGGCTAAAAAGAGGCTTTCTTTAGTCAGGAAGCTGATTACAGGGAGTAAAGTAGTTCCCTGTAGACTTCACCAGACTATTTTCCAAATGCAGTTAAAGAAAAGTTGGCTATAATTCTGAATTCTTGAATTTATATTCTATGTTTATCAGCCGTGTGTTCTCCACTTTTTAAAGGTAACTGTATTCTGTAATGGTGACATATCTAATCTTCATGAGATGCAGAATATCATTATGAAAACAATGACTCCATCTATTGTCAGTTTTCTGCAAGGCAGTCTCCATAAGTTTTTGGTTTTCAGGGAACATTTCATGTTTGATATTACATAACCAATGGGTGGTATAACATTTTTGTTTGTTTCTCATTTATCTTTATGTTTTTGCAATGTGAGTTTCCTCATTTCCATCTATTGACATTACCACATCATTCTTGTTTTTCCTTGTCAATGAGCCTCCTCTTTTCACTAAAGTGAAGTAGCCCTAGCCCTGACCATGTAGCAGAATCACTGGCGAGATTTTTAAGAAAGTTACGTTATTCCAACCCTCATCAGTTCTAATTTCCAGATGAGCTTTATGTGTAACTGGTTCTGAGAAGTACTGATCAGTTTTGATAAGTTAGCTTTCTTAATTTACTCTTAGTCTGTTTCTTTTCTTGTCTTAATTTTTATTTTATTATTCCTGTTAAATGTCTATAACATTTTCATCCAGCCAGCCAACTTTTATTGAGTACCTGTTGTAAGCTAGAGGCTGGGGAGGAGCTATGCCATTTACATGATAGTCACTTATTTTTAAACAATTTCAGTCTCTCAACTAGAATCTGTATCATTTCCTCTTCCCCACTTAACTCATTTATAGGGACACATTCACATATGCATTCATAGGCCGAACCTAAACATCCACTAAACAGTATGATTTATATAATTGGATGTATCTTTTCCTTTTGCTTGTTTCTTTTGTTTATTTGTGGCTTTGACAGACATTGCAAAATCAGCAGAGAAGGGAGAGGGCTGAAAATACAAGAGAGAAGTGGGATAGGCACTAAATAATTACCAAGATATGAATCCTGGTATGTTTAATTTTTACTGAAAAGAATAGTAAGTAACTGTTATAAAGTAGAAGGTGATAAAGTGATATATGTCGTAAGAAAGTATTAGTAAAATTCAGAGGAGAAATTGCGCTTGAGTAGGAAATAGGCTTCCTATTTTTTGTTTTCTATGTTATTTTACACTAATTGTTGTTACTTAATTTGTACTTATTTAATATTCATAATTCATTTCTTTAAGGATAGTGCACATAAAAATATTATTTTTATTTTCCAATTCATTTTACTTGGATCATCACAATTTCTAGATAAATGAGCCTTAGCATAGATAATGGGGTAGAGAGAAGCTAAATGCATGACTTTGAAACTAAGTTTGTTTGTTTATAATAAGGGAATTATGGTTTCTCTGAATTAAATGAAGGTTCTAATTTTAAATGAAGGACCTCTAATACCCAGAGGTCCACATAATAGCCAACATATTTGTCTATATTTTGGAAATTCTTAGGACTGTTCCTCATAGACAGAATATAACTTCATTTCTTACTTAGGTAATAAAGACCAGGACATCTATTCCAAGTGCCCTCATCTTTTCCCCTTGCTCCTGTATAATTCCAGCATCACCTACTATATTGTGTTTCCCAGACTGACTTCCAGCTCTTTATTTCTGATGTTCTTCTTTCATCTTTTTCATCTTCAAGTTTCATATTATTTCTATTTCAGACACTCTAGTGACTGCTTCTCTAGCTAGAGTCATATCATCCTGTCCTCTTTCTATAATACCTTGTGATGCCTTTAAGCAAGATAACTTTGTTTCTCACTTGACTGTCAAATCACTTACAATCTGACTTCTCCCTACCCACAGCCCCAGAATACTTTCTCCTAGGTAGCCAGTGCTGTCCTTTTACCAGATCTAGAGAGGTTTACTTTGCCAGCATTGTCTTTGGCTTGTTTATGCCATCTGACACTGTTGACCCTTCCTCCCTTCTTGAAACTGTGCTCTTCTTTTGCCTCCATGACTCTCATTTTCCTCCTTCTTTCTATGTGGTTGCTTATTCTTTAGCCTCCCTTCCTCTTTTCAATTCTTAACTTACAAGTATTTTCAAGGCTCTATCTCATTCTTTATATAATTTTCTTGAGATCTCACCCACTTTCGTGATTTCAACCGTCACCTCACCGTAGAGAATGTCACTATTTAGTTCCAACTCTGACATCATTGAGACTCCAGATCTGTATCCCCCTGGCCCATGGGATATCTTCACCTGGATGAACTGTTGGTACCTCAAGTTCTGTATGTCTCTAACTTATCTCTATCCCTCACCTTTTCCCATAGATCTGCTTTCCCTGTGTGGTTCCACTAGGTAATCCAAGCTTGAAACCTGAGCCATCTTTGGCTTTTTCTCTCCTTTATCCTCCACACTTAATGAGTTGCCAAGTCAAATATCTCTCACTTTCATTTCCTCTGCCACTATCATAGTTCAGACAAGCCAAATGACTACCTAACTGTTGTTTTAGTCTCATTCCTAGTCCTTATGCTTATAACAGGTATGCTGCCTTGTTTATTCTCTAGAGTTCAGCTCTGATTATGTCATTTTTCTGGGAAAATGCCATCAGGCTTTCTTAACCAATACAGTAAACATTACCACCATTCACCTCACTGTGACATGAAAGTCATCTTTCATTCTTCTTTCCCCTCACAATCCACATCTAATCTATTAGCAAGTTCTATTGTTTCTGCTTCTAAAATATGTAACTAATTCATTTACTTATTTTCATCCTCACTATTACCATAAATTTATTTTCCACAGAGCAGCCAGGCTTATTTTTTGAAAATCAGATTATGTCACATACTGACTGAAACACTTCCATGGCTTCCCTATCATCTATAAAGATCCAACTCTACAGGTTCCTCACAGCCCTACTGGAGCTGGCCCTCCCTGCTCTCTCCCCAGCCTCATCTTGGGTCCTTTTTCTCACCTATCATGTTTCAATACATTGGATTTATTTTTACTGATTTCCTTGAAATGGCAGCATTTGAAAATTCCAATTCAGGGCCTTTTTGTACATGGCATTTCTCCTATCTGAAATAGCTTCCCCACCATCCTTAAGTGGCTGACTCCATCTTTCCTTTCAGTGAGGCTTTTCCTGGCCACTCTGCTATGGCAGTTCCTCCTCATTTTTCTATATCACTTCCCTCTCTTTTTTTTTTTTCCCCTTTGCAGCACTATATTATAATTTGTGTTGCTGATTTGTTTAGTGTTTATCTGTCCCACCTGAGTGTATACTTCATGAAGGTAAGGACTTATATAGTTTATTATATATTTAGTGCTCAATAAATATCAGTTCTAAAATGACATGAATAATTAACAAAATTTATTTCTTGTCTGTGTCACTGCTGAAAATTGGCAAGTCAAACACGTACCATATATGCTTATAATAATGTAAAATTAAAAATGTGACTTGGCTTTTTATAATTGTGTGTGATATGAAAATATTTATGCAGCATTTCCCCCCTTCATCTTGAAGTAAATACAAATATTTTTATGTTTATTGTGGCATTCTGAGCACTTCCTGGGAGTTAGAAGACCTGGATTCTAATTCTGGGTCTCCTACCAGCTAACATTGTGACCTTGTAGTCACAATCTCTAATTTCCTCGTCTATAAACTCAGAAGGTTAGAATACATGATAATCAGGAGCCCAGCCTGCTATAAAATTCCATGAAAAGTATATTTTTAAACACAGTATTTAAATATAATTTTTCTTTTCTTTCTACGTAACAATCAAGTTCTTATTCTACCTGGGAAAGCTGATGTTATCCCACTACTTTAAAAACAATTTTTTTTATTTCCATAGGTTACTGGGGAACAGGTCGTGTTTGGTTACATGAGTAAGTTCTATAGTGGTGATTTGTGAGATTTTGGTGCACCCATCACCCAGGCAGTATACAGTGCCCCCAATTTGTAGTCTTTTATCCCTCACCCCCTTCCCACCCTTTCCCCCTGAGTCCCCAAAGTTCATTGTGTCATTCTTATGCCTTTGCATCCTCATACCTTAGCTACCACTTATGAGTGAGAACATACAATGTTTGGTTTTCTATTCCTGAGTTACTTCACTTAGAATAATAGTCTCCAGTCTCATCCAAGTCACTGTGAATGCTATTAATTCATTCCTTTTTATGGCTAAATAGTATTCCATCATATATATCACATTTTCTTTGTCCACTTATTGATTGATGGGTATTTGGGTTGGTTCCATATTTTTGCAGTTGCAAATTGTGCTGCTATAAACATGCATGTACAAGTATCTTTTTTGTATGATGAGTTCTTTTCCAATGGGTAGATACCCAGTAGTGGGATTGCTGGATCAAATGGTGGTTCTACTTTTAGTTCTTTGAGGAATCTTCACACTTTTAGTTCTTTAAGGAATCTTCCATAGTGGTTGTACTAGTTTACATTCCCACCAGCAGTTCCCAGTTCATTGCATCCACACCAACATCTAATATTTTATGATGTTTTGATTATGGCCATTCTTGCAGGACTAAGATGATATCACATTGTGGTTTTGATTTACATTTCCCTGATCATTAGTGATGTTGAACATTTTTTCATATGTTTGTTGGCCATTTGTATATCTTCTTTTGAGAATTGTCTATTCATGTCCTTAGCCCACTTTTTGATGGGCTTCTTTGTTTTTCCTTGCTAATTTGTTTGAGTTCATTGTAAATTCTGGATATTAATCTTTTGTCAGATGTATAGATTATGAAGATTTTTTCCCACTCTGTGGGTTGTCTGTTTACTCTGTTGACTGTTCCTTTTGCCGTGAAAAAGCTCTTTAGGTTAATTAAGTCCCAGCTATATATCTTTGTTTTTATTGCATTTGCTTTTGGGTTCTTGGTCATGAAACCCTTGCCTAAGCCAATGTCTAGAAGAGGTTTTCCAATGTTATTTTCTAGAATTTTTATAGTTTCAGGTCTTAGATTTAAGTCCTTGATCCATCTTGAGTTGATTTTTATATAAGGTGAGAGATGAGGATCCAGTTTTATTCTCCTACTTGTGGCTTGCCAATTATCCCAGCACAATTTGTTGAATAGGGTGTCCTTTCCTCACTTTATGTTTTTGTTTGCTTTGTCAAAGATCAGTTGGCTGTAAGTATTTGGCTTTATTTCTGGGCTCTCTGTTCTATTCCATTGGTCTATGTGCCTATTTTTATACCAGTACCATGCTGTTTTGGTAACTATGGTCTTATAGTATAGTTTGAAATCAGGTAGTGTGATGCCTCCAGGTTTATTCTTTTTGCTTATTCTTGCTTTGGCTATGCGGGCTCTTTTTAGGTTCTATATGAAGTTTAGGATTGTTTTTTCTAATTCTGTGAAGAATGATAGTGGTATTTTGATGGGAATTGCATTGAATTTTTAGATTGCTTTTGGCAGTATGGTCATTTTCACAATGTTGATTCCCACCCTATCAGCATGGAATGTGTTTCCATTATTTGTTTCATTATTTGTGTCATCTGTTATTTCTTTCAGCAGTGTTTTGTAGTTTTCCTTGTAGAGGTCTTTCACCTCCTTGGTTATGTATATTTCTAAGTTTTTGTTTGTTTGTTTGTTTTTCAGCTATTGTAAAAGGGGTTGAGTTCTTGATTTGATTCTCAGCTTGGTCGCTGTTGGTGTAAAGAAGAGCTACTGATATGTGTATATTAATTTTGTATCCAGAAACTTCGCTGAATTCTTTTATCAGTTCTAGGAGCTTTCTGGAGGAGTCTTTAGGATTTTCCAGGTAAACAATCATATCATCAGTGAACAGTGACAGTTTGACTTCTTTACCTATTTGGATGACCTTTATTTCTTTCTGTTGTCTGATTGCTCTGCCTAGGACTTCTTCTAGTACTGTGCTGAAGAGGAGTGGAGAGAGTGGGCATCCTTATGTTGTCCCAGTTCTCAGAGGGAATGCTTTCAACTTTTCCCCATTCAGCATTATGTTGGCTGTGGGTCTGTCATAGATGGCTTTTATTACATTGAGGTATGTCCCTTGTATCAATTTTGCTGAGAATTTTAATCAGAAAGGGGTACTAGATTTTGTTGATTGCTTTTTCTGCATCTATTGAGATGATCGTGTGATTTTTGTTTTTAATTCTGTTTATGTGG
The DNA here is from genome assembly GCF_000001405.40 of Homo sapiens. Classification (NCBI taxonomy): domain Eukaryota; kingdom Metazoa; phylum Chordata; class Mammalia; order Primates; family Hominidae; genus Homo; species Homo sapiens. The sequence goes on from NC_000006.12 coordinate 52,430,500, forward strand.
TGTATCACATTTATTGACTTGCGTATGTTAAATCATCCCTGCATCCCTGGTATGAAAACCACTTAATCGTGGTGGATTATCTTTTTCATATGTTGTTGAATTCGGTTAGCTAGTATTTTGTTAAGGATTTTAGCATCTATGTTCATCAGGGATATCAGTCTATAGTTTTATTTTTTGGTTATGTCCTTTCCTGGTTTTGGTATTAGGGTGATACTGCCTTCATAGAATGATTTATGGAGGATTCCCTCTTTCTCTATCTTGTAGAATAGTGCCAATAGTACCAGTTTTTCTTTGAATATCTGGTAGAATTCTTCTGTGAATCTGTCTGGTCCTGGACTTTTTCCTGCTGGTAGTTTTTTAATTATTTCAGTCTTGCTGCTTGTTGTTGGTCTGTTCAGGGTATCTAATTCTACCTGAATTAAGCTAGCAGGGTTTTATCTTTCAGGAATTTATCTATCTACTCTAGTTTTCTAGTTTATGTGCGTAAAGGTGTTCATAGTAGCCTTGAATGACCTTTTGTATTTCTGTGGTGTCAGTTGTAATATCTTCCATTTTGTTTCTAATTGAGCTTATTGGATTTTCTCTCTTCTTTTCTTGGTTAATCTTGCTAATGGTCTATCAATTTTATGTAGCTTTTCAAAGAACCAGCTTTTTGTTTCATTTATCTTTTGTTTTTTTTGTTTGTTTATTTCAATTTCATTTGTTTCTGCTTTGATCTTGGTTATTTTCTTTCTTCTGCTGGGTTTGGGTTTGGTTTGTTCTTGTTTTTCTAGTTCCTTGAGGTGTGGCCTTAGATTGTCTGTTAGTGCTCTTTCAGACTTTTTGATGTAGGCGTTTTGGGGTTTGAACTTTTCTCTTAGCACTGCCTTTGCTGTATCCCAGAGGCTTTGATAGGTTGTGTCATTATTGTCATTCAGTTCGAATGATTGTTTAATTTCCATCTTGATTTTATTTTTGACCCAAAGCTCACTTAGGAGCAGGTTATTTAATTTCCATGTATTTGCATGGTTTTGAAGGTTCCTTTTGGAGTTGACGTCCAATTTTATTCCACTATGGTCTGAGAGAGTGCTTGATATAATTTCAATTTTCTTAAATTTATTGAGGCTAATTTTGTGGCCTATCATATGGTCTGTCTTGGAGAAAGTTCTATGCGCTGTTGAATAGAATGTATATTCTGCGGTTGTTGGGTAGAATGTTTTGTAAATATATTAAGTCCATTTGTTCCAGGGTATAGTTTAAATCCATTGTTTCTTTGTTGACTTTCTGTCTTGGCCTGGCTAGTGCTATCAGTGGAGTATTGAAGTCCCCCCCTATTATTATGTTGCTGTCTATCTCATTTCTTAGGTCTATTAGTAATTGTTTTATAAATTGGGTGCTCCAGTGTTAGGTGCATATATATTTAGGATTATGACATTTTCCTGTTGGACAGGTCTTTTATCATTATATAATGTCCCTCTTTGTCTTTTTTAATTGCTGTTGCTTTAAAGTTTGTTTTGTCTGATACAAGAATAGCCACTCCTGCTCACTTTTGGTGTCCATTTGCATGGAGTTTCTTTATCCACCCCTTTACCTTAAATTTACATGAGTCCTTATGTATTAGGTGAGTCTCTTGAAGGCAGCAGATGGTTGGTGAATTCTTATCCATTCTGCGATTCTGTATCTTTTAATTGGAGCATTTAGGCTATTTACATTCAACATTAGTATTAAGATGTGAGATACCATTCTGTTCATCGTGGTATTTGTTGTCTGTATACCTGGATTTTTTGTTTTTTGTTTTTAATTGTATTTTTGTTTTATAGGTCCTGTGAGATTTATGCTTTAAAGAGGTTCTGTTTTGATGTGTTTTGATTTGTTTCAAGATTCAGAGCTCTTTTTAGCAGTTCTTGTAGTGCTAGCTTGGTAGTGGCAAATTCTCTCAGAATTTGTTTTTCTGAAAAAGACTGTATCTTTCCTTCATTTATGAAGCTTAGTTTCACTGAATACAAAATTCTTGGCTGATAATTCTTTTGTTTAAGGAGGCTGAAGATAGGGCCCCAATCCCTTCTAGCTTGTAGGGTTTCTGCTGAGAAACTGCTATTAATCTGATAGGTTTTCCTTTATAGGTTACCTGGTGCATTTGCCTCACAGCTCTTAAGATTCTTTCCTTCATCTTAACTTTAAATAACCTGAGGAAAGTGTGCCTAGGTGATGATCTTTTTGTAGTGAATTTCCCAGGTATTCTTTGAGCTTCTTGTGTTTGGATGTCTAGAGAAGTTTTCCTTGATTATTCCCCCAAATATGTTTTCCAGACTTTTAGATTTTTCTTCTTCAGGAATGCTGATTATTCTTAGGTTTGGTTATTTAACATAATCCCAAACTTTTTAGAGGCTTTGTTCATATTTTCTTATTCTTTTTTCTTTGTCTTTGTTGGATTGGGTTAATTAGAAAACCTTGTCTTTGAGCTCTGAAGTTCTTTCTTCTGCTTGTTTGATTCTATTGCTGAGACTTTCCAGAGCAGTTTGCATTTCTATAAGCACATCCATTGTTTCCTGAAGTTTTTATTGTTTTTTATTTATGCTATTTCATTGAAAAAAATTTCCCTTCACTTCTTGTATCTTTTTTATTTCCTTAAATTGGGCTTTGCCTTTCTCTGGTGCCTTCCTGATCAGCTTAATAACTAACCTTCTAAATTATTAGGTAAATTAGGGATTTCTTCTTGGTTTCAATCTATTGCTGGTGAGCTAGTGTGATTTTTGGGGGCATTAAAGAACCTTGTTTTGTCATATTACCAGAGTTGGTTTTCTGGTTCCTTCTCATTTGGGTAGACTCTATCAGAGGGAAGGTATAGGGCTCAAGGCTGTTGTTCAGATTCTTTTGTCCCACGGGGTGTTCCCTTGATGTAGCATTCTCTCCCTTTTCCTATGGATGTGGCTTTCTGAGAGCCGAGCTGTAGTGATTGTTATCTCTCTTCTGGATCTAGCCATCCAGCAAGTCTGCCAGGCTCCAGGCTGGTACTGGGGGTTGTCTGCACAGAGTCCTGTGCTGTGAGCCGTCTGTGGGTCTCTCAGCCATAGATACCAGCACCTGCTCCAGTGGAGGTGGCAGGGGGGTGAAACGGACTCTGTGAGGGTCCTTAGCCTTGGTTGTTTAATGTACTATTTTTGTGCTGGTTGGTCTCCTGCCAGGAGGTGGTGTTTTCAAGATAGCATTAGCTGTGGTAGTATGGGGGGAACAGGCAGTGGGTGGGCCCCTAGAACTCCCAAGAGTATATGCCCTTTGTCTTCAGTTACCAGGGTGGGTAGGGAAGGACCGTTAGGTTGGGGCAGGGCAAGATGTGTTTGAGCTCAGACTCTCCTTGGGCAGGTCTTGCTGTGGCTGCTGTGGAGGATGGGGGTGAGGGTCTGAGGTCAATGGAGTTGTGTTCCTAGGAAGATTATGGCTGCCTCTACTGTATACTTCAGGTTGTCAGGGAAGTGGGGGAAAGCCAGCAGTCATAGACCTCACCCAGCTCCCATGCAACCCAAAGGTCCAATCTCACTCCCACTGTCCCGCCCCTCTCCAACAGCACCAAGTCTGTTTCCAGGCAGTGGGTGAGCAAGGCTGAGAACTTGCCCCAGGCTACCTGCCTCCCAGCTTTGAAAGCAAGTGGGGCTTTCCTTCTTCCCCCACCTGTGGAATCTGTACACTGGATTCACACCTTCTCCCGAGTTCTGGCCAGGAGACTTCTCAATTGGTTCAAATCATTACACAGTTCAGCTGGAGGTTCCCTTCTTCCTGTGGCCTTTTCCCAGTGCCTCTGGCTGCCCTCCCCAAGTACCCCTGTGAAGCAAGGCAGAAATGGCTTGGTAGGGGACCCCAGGGAGACCATAGGACTTTTCCCGCTGCTTCCTCTACCCCCGTATTTCACTCGCCTCTCTGAATTGACCCAGCTCCAGGTAAGGTCAGAATCTTCTCCTGTAATCTAGACCTTCAGGTTCCTCAGTGGGGGTGTGTGTTCGGGGACAGATGATCTCCCTTTCCCACTTCCATAGTTTGGGCACTCACAGTATTTGGGGTGTCTCCCGGGTCCTACAAGAGCAATTTGCTTCCTTCAGAGGGTCTGTGGATTCTCTCTGCTTACCTAATTTATTCCTGCAGTCATCCTGGAGCAAAAAAGCTCACAGTGCAAGCCTTCACACGCTGCTCTGCCCGTCTGAGTGGGAGCTGCAATCTAGTCCTACCTTCCATCTGCCATGATTCCAGGGAAACTTTCCAAAGAGCTTTTCTACATTAACTCTTCTATCCCATTCATTCTTTGTGGGAGGAGCACAGAACTCTTAATTCTGTTCTTAATAAATAGATAAGTGCCTTTTAAAAATTAACAATTAAGTAATTCTTTTCGGTTAGCATATTCTTTACCTGAGACCATATATATATATATATATACATACACACATATAACAAGACCATATATATATGTGTATCTCCTTGCCTCCCATTCTCAGGCCAACTTCCTGTTGCCATAGGCATTTTCATGCCCACCAATCTTAGAAAACAGATGGTTTGGGAGCATGGCTGTGGCCACAGACTTGATCTTTGGTTATCTTCTCTGTGATTCTCTTCTCACTCCTTTGGTGAGTTGTCCAGGTTCATGGCTTGAAATGTCCTCTTTATGATGATAAGTTGTCCTCTAAACATATGTATACATAAATGCCTATTTGCCATCTCATCTTGAATGTCTAATAAATATCTCAAATTAAGCATATCTAAAACTGAACTCCCAATTTTGTCTTCTTACCCCCAAAATCTGTTCTGCAGCAATCTTCTTCATATCAATTTGATAGTAATTCTATGCTTTCAGTTGCTTGGCCAAAAATGTTTGCATTATCCTTGAATGTTCTGTAATATTTACTTCTTCCCCTAAACCCAGTCCTGCAGTATAAATTACCCCCTGCAGTATACAACTTGTGCTGTCACTTAAATTCAGTAAGTCTAAAATCAAACTCACCATCTGCCATACCCAAATTATCTTCTCCTTATGTTTACATTTCTATGAGATCACCACTATATCGCCAGCACTGGGTTTTCCTCAACACCTCATCTGCTTCCACCTTCCCACTTCCTTACTATCAATCCAGTCAGACTTCTGCTTTTCCATTGCTGGTAATTAATTACTGCAGACCTGGACTATTGAAGGGGCTTCCAGTCTGATTGCCATGCCTAGTACTTCCTCCTCCATCATAGCCTGCATACTGCTGCTGGGTTTCCTTCCTCTGCTTCTGTTATTACCACTGCTTAGAAGCCCCCCTTGTATCCTCTGCTGATCTAAAATCTTTCACTCTTCAAGTCTAATACATCTTTTGTTTCCTCCTAGTTAAGCTTTCTCTGACCACTTTAGTCCACACAGATTCCTTCTTGGAACCACGATAGCATTTGTTACCTGAGAAGTAGCAAGATGTGTGGAGAGAATATTGGGTTGTGAGTTAATAGTCTGAATTTCAGTTCCAGTTCTGGCCCTAACCCCTTACATGGCCTCAGGCACGCCACCTTACCACCCTGGGTCTCAGTTTCCTCCTTTATAAAATAAGTGGGGTTGGGCTAGCTGATCAGTTCAGCTTTAACATTTTATGTATTTATAAATATATGGCTCAGATACAGGCCATTTTATATATGAATTACTATGATCATGTCCCCCCTTTCAGTTCTTTGCAGTTGATCTAAAATGTTACTTCAACATTATCTGTCCTTTGCTTTTACCATGTTATTTTTCTCCTTCAAACATTCCACTGCACTTATCCATTTTATCTTTTTATTATGAGTTTTAAGGCCTTCATTATATTCACATTTCTCCTATGCACTTGTATGCACTTGCCAGTTCTCTTGGTTTTTATCTTGTTTTTCCACAGTAGTTACGCTACCCATTTTTTTTTTTAGCAACAGTGTCCGTGTATAGAATTATTTCATCTTTCCATTTATCAAGCCATATTTCTGTTTCATTTAGGATCTTCTTGATTTGTTCCTCTTATTCTAGTAGAGGCTTGGGTAAACTATCTTGCCTGCTTAGAATCCCATTCTAATACTTTCTCTCCTTGAAAAGACACATTAAAAACAGAGACAAAATAACAGAAATTTAAAAATCCCAAAGCATGTTAACATATTCTTTTTATAATATTGTTTTATGCTTTTTATTTTTTATTTTTTTGAGATGGAGTTTCACTCTGTCACCCACGCTGGAGTGCAGTGGCGCTAACTCAGCTCACTGCAGCCTCCACCTCCTGGGTTCAAATGATTCTCCTACCATAGCCTCCCAAGTAGGTGGAATTACAGTTGCCCACCACCAAGCCTGGCTAATTTTTGTATTTTTAGTACAGACGGGGTTTCACCATGTTGGCCAGACTGGTCTCAAACACCTTAACTCAGGTGATCTGCCTGCCTTGGCCTCCCGGTGTGCTGGGATTACAGGCGTAAGCCACCACGCCTGGCATAGTTTATGTTTTTTAAATGTGTAATCTATATATTGATACCATGTTGACTTCACATTGATGATGATGCTCCCCAGAGGACCAATGGTTTGCTCAATGTAATATATATGTTCCTGAGCACAAGGAGGGTATTTACACACGTTTTAGAGATTGTATAGCGGATTGATGATGAGGGTATGTACACACCCTTCAAAGATTCTGTAGTGGATTGATGATGTGAAAGTCATTCATATAAAGTTTATAATAATGAACGTAATTAATATACATTTACAAAGGACTACACTTCTAAAGAAGTGCAATTAACCCTTCATTTTCAGTTTGAAACCAAAAATCGCAATCTTATCCAAGATTTTTTACTCTTCCCAGAAGTTCTGGGAGGGACTTTTGACATGGAGGTGAAGCTAGTAGAGTTAAGTCCTTTAAGATGTATTCTCACCAAGGAACATATGCAATAAATAGTTTATACACATTGTGAGTATTTAAAGCAGATGTCAGCAAACTTTTTCTGTAAAGGGCAGTTAGCGTATATTTTGGCCATTGCAGTGGTTTTAGCCTGCGTAGTCTGCCACAACAAAATACCACAGATTGAGTGGTTTAAATAATAGAATTTATTTTCTCACAGTTCTGGAGGTTGGAGGTCCAAGATCAAGGTGCCAGCTGGTTTGAATTCTGGTGAGGGCTCTCTTCCTGGCTTGCATACAGCGGTCTTCTTGCTATGTCTTCATGTGGCCTTACCTTGGTGTGTACATGTGGGAGTTAGGGGAGGGAAGTAACTCTCTTTCTCTTCTTCTCTTCTAAGGCAACCAGTTCTATGGGATTAGACTTAAAGGTGGCATACCTCTATCCTTAAGATCTGGTTTAACCTTAATTACCTCCTAAGGATCCTGTCTCCAAATATAGTCACATTGAGGGTTAGGGGTTCAACATATGAATTTTGGGGATGAGGGGGACACAATTTAGTCTGTGTATCTCTGTCACAACTATTCAACTCTTCCCTTGTAATGGGAGAGCAGCTGTTAACAAAAAAGCGTAAATTATTTACATAATTATTTGTGGATTGAAAATTTAAATTTTTATAATTTCCATGTGTTATGAAACATTTTTTAAAATTTTTTAAACCATTTAAATATGTAAAACCCACTCTTAGCTTGCAGGTCATAAAAAAAACAGGTGGCAGGTTAGATTTGTCCCATGGACTATAGTTTGCAGTATCTGTAGTTTTAGAGTATCAAGATTTACAGGATAGAAGTGATGAGTGTTAAAATCTCCCTGTGTGGTTCTGTTTTCAGGAAGGTACTTGATATTTTTCAGATGACTATGACAAGCTAATAGTACACCATTTCTCCTTTCCTTGTATGTTATAGGTACTGAAATTTGATGCCTATTTCCAAGAAGATGTTCCTATGTCAACTGAGGAACAGTATAGGATCCGTCAGGTGAACATTTACTATTATCTAGAAGATGACAGCATGTCTGTCATAGAGCCTGTTGTAGAAAATTCTGGAATCCTTCAAGGCAAGTTAATAAAACGCCAGCGGCTAGCCAAGAATGACCGGGGTGACCATTACCATTGGAAAGACCTAAATCGAGGAATAAACATCACAATTTATGGCAAAACTTTCCGCGTTGTTGACTGTGACCAATTCACACAGGTATAGCATATATTTTTGAAAGTTGTGGGGTCTGAGGCATCATTCTAATTTATAGAAGGATACATTTCATTTATTAGGGTAAGGGGAGGACATTGGTAATCTGTCCTGCATGAATTATTATGAATGGCTAGGTATTTGCATGTGTGTATGTGCTAATATGTGCCAACACTAATAGTAACATAATTTTTTCAGAATGATATTAATACTTATTCACTCAAAATCAAACTCTCATCATAGCTGAATAATTTGGTAAGAAACCAGGTTAAAATGGCAGTTCAAACAGGGAGTAGGGGAATAGCATCCCTGCTGGGATGTAAGTATGGAAGAGGGATTAAACGTTTTATCTTAAGTGTGAGTTTACAAAAATAGCACTACTTCTATTAGCAGATATGAGCCTAAAATTTTTTGTGTAGCTCATATATTTTTGGTAAATGATACTTGCTATATTCTAGGAAAGCTTACCATCTAAAGAATTTCTGAAATGAAACCATTTTTAAATGAAAAAACCTCTTCTATATGTAAAAAGTCCTCTATTTCGTAAGTTTGGATTTTTTAATACAAAGGAAACTTTTATTAAAGTTACATGCATAGAGGATATAGGTGGCCTTTCTTTACTACAAAGTGTAGGAATTAGGAAGTCAATTCCAAATTTGTCTTAGTTAAAAAAATATTTCTAGCAGCAAAGATATAGTTTCTGAAGTATTTTATGTCCCTATTCCAGGATACCTAGTGCCATATGTGACTAATTTTTACCATGCACTGAGCTCCTATGAATCCATTATTGTTTTCATTTAGTAGTTTGTTTAACAGATATTTATTTGCATGCCTGCTTTGTTCCATGCACTGTTCTAGGTGCCAGATGTTTTCAGGAAGGTACTTGATATTTTTCAGATGACTATGACAAGCTAATAGTGCACCATTTCTCCTTTCCTTGCATGTTATAGGTACTTGCCCCTATAGAGGTTCCAATCTTGTTGGAGGAGATAAGCAATAGCAAATAAATAGATTGGTTATATGTCAGATGATGATAACAGCAATGGAGGAAAATAAAGCTGAGTAAAGGGAATGGAAGTTGAGGGGCTCTTTATAGAGGCGGATCAGAGAATGCCTCAGTGATAAGATGACATATGAATAGAGGCCTGAAGGAAGTAAAGAAAGGAGCCATGGCATCAGTGCCATTCCAAAGCAATAGAGAAAAATAGCTTCAAAAGTAGAGGTGCTAGACCATCTTTGAGATATTCTCCCGTTCCAACATATTTTTATCTCTTTGCTTTTTAGGTGTCTGAGGTCTTATATATCATAGGCAGTTTCACAATTGTACCAACAGTGAGAAATGATAAAATGTTATCTAAACATAAATGTATTAACAATTATTTTTACAGTTGTGTTTTCATAACAATTATTTTTACAGTTGTGTTTTTATGGGCAATTTGAACATTTGCAAGTTAATCACTGAGCGTTTGACCTAATCTATTTATAGTCGGTTCTCATTATTGACAGTAATTAGGACTATAAAGTCACCACAAACACTGAATTAGTGAATACTGAACCACTAGTCTTAGAGGAAATACAGGGTTAGGTTCCCACTAATCTCTGGCCACATTTTTGTCAACTGATCAATACATAAGTTTGATTCATGTATGTTTCTGTTTAAAGACACCTTATTTAATATATACGGTTGATTCATTAACATTAAACTCACACCCAACAGCACTATAACTCACGTCTGAACAAAGCTTATCTAAGACATGCATTTTCTCCATGAGGTGTGTTACAGCCTTCTTGTGCTTAGGAACACTAAATAGCACTTCATCACTAGGCACTGGGACCCTTTAAACAGCAAAATCACCAACAAAAAACACAAAAATGCAAAAAATCTGGCACCTTCATGTATATGTATATGTATGTGTATATGTATCACATTTTCTTTTTCCAGTTTACCATTGATGGGCATTCAGGTTGATTCCATGTCTTTGCTATTATGAATAGTGCTGCGATGAACATACTTGCGGGTATGTCTTTATGGCAGAATGATTTATATTCCTTTGGGTATATACCCAATAATGAGATTCCTAGGTCAAATGGTAGTTCTGTTTTCAGGTCTTTTAGGAATCACTACACTGCTTTCTACAATGGTTGAACTAATTTATACTCTCATCACCAGTGTATAAACATTTCTTTTTCTCCACAACCTTGACAGCACCTGTTATTTTTTTACTTTTTAATAATAGCCATTCTGACTGGTGTGAGATGATATTTCATTGTGGTTTTGATTTGCATTTCTCTAATGATAGTGATGTTGAGCTTTTTTTTCATATGGTTATTGGCCATGTGTATGTCTTCTTTTGAGAAGTGTCTGTTCATGTCCTTTGCCCACTTTTTAATGGGGTTCTTTGCTTTTTTTCTTGTAAATTAAAGTTTCTTATAGATGGTGCATATTGGACCTTTGTCAGATGCATAGTTTGCAAATATTTCTTTCCCATTCTTTAGATAGTCTTTTTACTCTGTTGATGCTTTCTTTTGCTCTGCGGAAGCTCTTACGTTTAATTAGATACCATTTGTCAATTTTTGCTTTTGTTGTGATTGCTTTTGGTGTCTTTGTCATGAAATCTTTGCCCATTCCTATGTTTAGAATAGTGTTGCCTTGGTTGTCTTCCAGGGTGTTTATAGTTTTGGGTTTTACATTTAAGTCTTTTATCTATCTTGAGTTGATTTTTATATCTGGTGTAAGATATATGGCTAGCATATGGCTAGCAGGTTATCCCAGCACCTTTCCCCATTGCTTATTTTTGTCAACTTTGTTGAAGATCACATAATTATAGGTGTGTAGCCTTATTTCTGAGCTCCCTATTCTATTCCATTGGTCTATGTGTCTGTTTTTGTACCAGTACTGTACTGTTTTGGTTACTGTAGCCCTGTAGTATAGTTTGAAGGCAGGTAACATGATGCCTCCAGCTTTGTTCTTTTGCTTAGAATTGCCTTGACTATTCAGGCTCTTTTTGGGTACCATTGAATTTTAAAGTATTTTTTTCTAGTTCTGTGAAGAGTGTCACTGGCAATTTGATAGGAATAGCATTGAATCTGTACATTGCTTTGGGCAGTATGGTGACTGTAAAGATATTGATTTTTCGTATCCATGAGCATGTAATGTTTTTTCATTTGCTTGTGTTATCTCTGATTTCCTTAAGCAGTGTTTTGTAATTCTCATTGTAGAGATCTTTCATCTCCCTGGTTAGCTGTATTCCTAGGTATCTTATTCTTTTTGTGACAGTTGTAAATGGGATTGTGTTCCTGATTTTACTCTCAGCTTGGCTGTTGTTGGTGTATAGGAGTGCTAGTGATTTTTGTATGTTGATTTTGTGTCCTAAAATTTTGCCGAAGTTGTTTATTAACTTAAGGAGTTTTTGGGATGAGGCTCTGGAGTTTTCTAGATATAGAATCATGTTTTCTCCAAACAGGGATAGTTTGACTTTCTCTCTTCCTACTTGGATGTCCTTCATTTCTTTCTCTTGACTGATTGTTCTGGCCAAGACTTCCAATATTGTCTTGGATAGAAGTTGTGGAAGAGGGCATCCTTTTCTTGTGTCAGTTTTCAAGAGGAATGCTTCCAGCTTTTCCCTGTTCAATATAATGTTGGCTGTGGGTTTTTCATAGATGGCTCTGATTATTTTGAGGTGTGTTCCTTTAATACCTAGTTTATTTATTTATTTATTTTATTATTATACTTTAAGTTATGGGGTACATGCGCACAACGTGCAGGTTTGTTGCATATGTATACATGTGCCATGTTGGTGTGCTGTACCCATTAATTTGTCATTCAATTAGGTATATCTCCTAGTGGTATCCCTCCCCACACCCCCCACCCTATGACAGGCCCCAGTATGTGATGTTCCCCACCCTGTGTCCAAGTGTTCTCATTGTTCAATTCCCACCTATGAGTGAGAATATGCAGTGTTTGGTTTTCTGTCCTTGCGATAGTTTGCTCAGAATGATGGTTTCCAGCTTCATCCATGTCCCTACAAAGGACATGAGCTCATCATTTTTTATGGCTGCATAGTATTCCATGGTGTATATGTGCCACATTTTCTTAATCCAGTCTATCATTGTTGGACATTTGGGTTGGTTCCAAGTCTTTGCTATTGTGAATAGTGCCGCAATAAACATATGTGTGCATGTGACTTTATAGCAGCATGATTTATAATCCTTTGGGTATATGCCCAGTAATGGGATGGCTGGGTCATATGGTATTTCTTGTTCTGGATCCTTGAGGAATCACCACACTGTCTTCCACAATGGTTGAATTAGTTTACATTCCCACCAACAGTGTAAAAGCATTCCTATTTCTCCACATCCTCTCCAGCACCTGTTGTTTCCTGACTTTTTAATGATCTCCATGCTAACTGGCATGAGATGTGTGGTTTTGATTTGCATTTCTCTGATGGCCAGTGATGATGAGCATTTTTTCACGTATCTGTTGGCTGCATAAATGTCTTCTTTTGAGAAGTGTCTGTTCATATCCTTCGCCCACTTTTTGATGGGGTTGTTTTATTTTTTCTTGTAAATTTGTTTAAGTTCTTTGTAGATTCTGGATATTAGCCCTTTGTCAGATGGGTAGATTGTAAAAATTTTCTCCCATTCTGTAGGTTGCCTGTTCACTCAGATGGTAGTTTATTTTGCTGTGCAGAAGCTCTTTAGTTTAATTACATCCCATTGGTCAATTTTGGCTTTTGTTGCCATTGCTTTTGGTGTTTTAGTCATGAAGTCCTTGCCCATGCCTATGTCCTGAATGGTATTACCTAGGTTTTCTTCTAGGGTGTTTATGGTTTTAGGTCTAACATTTAAGTCTTTAATCCATCTTGAATTAATTTTTGTATAAGGTGTAAGGAAGGGATCCAGTTTCAGCTTTCTACATATGGCTAGCCAGTTTTCCCAGCACCATTTATTAAATAGGGAATCCTTTCCCCATTGCTTGTTTTTCTCAGGTTTGTCAAAGATCAGATGGTTGTAGATGTGTGGTATTATTTCCGAGGGCTCTGTTCTGTTCCATTGGTCTATATCTCTGTTTTGGTACCAGTACCATGTTGTTTTGGTTACTGTAGCCTTGTACTATAGTTTGAAGTCAGGTAGCGTGATGCCTCCAGCTTTGTTCTTTTGGCTTAGGATTGTCTTGGCAATGCAGACTCTTTTTTGGTTCCATATGAACTTTAAAGTAATTTTTTCCAATTCTGTGAAGAAAGTCATTGGTAGCTTGATGGGGATGGCATTGAGTCTATAAATTACCTTGTGCAGTATGGCCATTTTCACAATATTGATTCTTCCTACCCATGAGTATGGAATGTTCTTCCATTTGTTTGTGTCCTCTTTTATTTCATTGAGCAGTGGTTTGTAGTTCTCCTTGAAGAGGTCCTTCATGTCCCTTGTAAGTTGGATTCCTAGGCATTTTATTCTCTTTGAAGCAATTGTGAATGGGAGTTCACTCATGATTTGGCTCTCTGTTTGTCTGTTATTGGTGTATAAGAATGCTTGTGATTTTCGCACATTGATTTTGTATCCTGAGACTTTGCTGAAGTTGCTTATCAGCTTAAGGAGATTTTGGGCTGAGAGGATAGGGTTTTCTAAATATACAATCATGTCATCTGCAAACAGGAACAATTTGACTTCCTCTTTTCCTAATTGAATACCCTTTATTTCTTTCTCTTGCCTGATTGCCCTGGCCAGAACTTCCAACACTCTGTTGAATAGGAGTGGTGAGAGAGGGCATCCCTGTCTTGTGCCAGTTTTCAAAGGGAATGCTTCCAGTTTTTGCCCATTCAGTATGATATTGGCTGTGGGTTTGTCATAAATAGCTCTTATTATTTTGAGATATGTCCCATCAATACCTAGTTTATTGAGAGGTTTTAGCATGAAGGACTGTTGAATTTTGTCAAAGGCCTTTTCTGCATCTATTGAGATAATCACGTGGTTTTTGTCTTTGGTTCCGTTTATATGATGGATTCCATTTATTGATTCGTGTATGTTGAACCAGCCTTGCATCCAAGGGAGGAAGCCAACTTGATCGTGGTGGATAGGCTTTTTGATGTGCTGCTGGATTCGGTTTGCCAGTATTTTATGGAGGATTTTTGCATCGATGTTTATCAGGGATATTGGTCTAAAATTCTCTTTTTTTGTTGTGTCTCTGCCAGGTTTTGGTATCAGGATGATGTTGGCCTCATAAAATGAATTAGGGAGGATTCCCTCTTTTTCTATTGATTGGAATAGTTTCAGAAAGAATGGTACTAGCTCCTCTTTGTACCTCTGGTAGAATTCGGGTGTGAATCTGTCTGGTCCTGGACTGTTTTTGGTTGGTAGGCTATTAATTATTGCCTCAATTTCAGAACCTGTTATTGGTCTATTCAGGGATTCAACTTCTTCCCAGTTTAGTGTTGGGAGGGTGTGTGTGTCCAGGAATTTATCCATTTCCTCTAGATTTTCCAGTTTTTTTTTTTTTTGGTGTAGAGGTGTTTATAGTATTTTCTGATGGTAGGTTGTATTTCTGTGGGATCGATGGTGATATCCCCTTTATCATTTTTTATTGCATCTATTTGATTCTTCTCTCTTTTCTTCTTTATTAGTCTTGCTAGCGGTCTATCAGTTTTGTTGATCTTTTCAAAAAACCAGCTCCTGGATTCATTGATTTTTTTTTTTGGTTTTTTAATTAATTAATTTATTTATTTTTTTATTATTATACTTTAAGTTTTAGGGTACATGTGCACATTGTGCAGGTTAGTTACATACGTATACATGTGCCATGCTAGTGTGCTGCACCCACTAACTTGTCGTCTAGCATTAGGTATATCTCCCAATGCTGTCCCTCCCCCCTCCCCCTACCCCGCAGCAGTCCCCAGAGTGTGATGTTCCCCTTCCTGTGTCCATGTGATCTCATTGGGATTCATTGATTTTTTGAAGGGTTTTTTGTGTCTCTATCTCCTTCAGTTCTGCTCTGTTCTTAGTTATTTCTTGCCTTCTGCTAGCTTTTGAATGTGTTTGCTCTTGCTTCTCTGGTTCTTTTAATTGTGATGTTAGGGTGTCAATTTTAGATCTTACCTGCTTTCTCTTGTGGGCATTTAGTGCTATAAATTTCCTTCTACACACTGCTTTAAATGTGTCCCAGAGATTCTGGTATGTTGTGTCTTTGTTCTCATTGGTTTCAAAGAACATCTTTATTTCTGCCTTCATTTTGTCATGTACCCAGTAGTCATTCAGGAGCAGGTTGTTCAATTTCCATGTAGTTGAGTGGTTTTGAGTGAGTTTCTTAATCCTGAGTTCTAGTTTGATTGCACTGTGGTCTGAGAGACAGTTTTATATAATTTCTGTTCTTTTACATTTGCTGAGGAGTGCTTTACTTCCAACTATGTGGTCAATTTTGGAATAAGTGCGATGTGGTGCTGAGAAGAATGTATATTCTGTTGATTTGGGGTGGAGAGTTCTGTAGATGTCTATTAGGTCTGCTTGGGGCAGAGCTGAGTTAAATTCCTGGTTATCCTTATTAACTTTCTGTCTTGTTGATCTGTCTAATGTTGACAGTGGGGTGTTAAAGTCTCCCATTATTATTGTATGGGAGTCTAAGTCTCTTTGTATGTCACTAAGGACTTGCTTTATGAATCTGGGTGCTCCTGTATTGGGTGCATATATATTTAGGATAGTTAGTTCTTCTTGTTGAATTGATCCCTTTACCATTATGTAACGACATTCTTTGTCTCTTTTGATCTTTCTTGGTTTAAAGTCTGTTTTATCAGAGACTAGGATTGCAACCCCTGCTTTTTTTTGTTTTCCATTTGCTTGGTAGATCTTCTGCCATCCCTTTATTTTGAGCCTGTGTGTGTCTCTGCACGTCAGATGGGTCTCCTGAATACAGCACACTGATGGGTCTTGAGTCTTTATCCAATTTGCCAGTCTGTGTCTTTTAATTGGAGCATTTAGTTCATTTACATTTAAGGTTAATATTGTTAAGTGTGAATTTGATCCTGTCATTATGATGTTAGATGGTTATTTTGCTCATTAGTTGATGCAGTTTCTTCCTAGCATTGATGGTTTTTACAATTTGGCATGTTTTTGCAGTGGCTGGTACCGGTTGTTCCTTTCCATGTTTAGTGCTTCCTTCAGGAGTTCTTTTAGGGCAGGCCTGGTGGTGACAAAATCTGTCAGCATTTGTTTGTCTATAAAGGATTTTATTTCTCCTTCACTTATGAAGCTTAGTTTGGCTGGATATGAAATTCTGGATTGAAAATTCTTTTCTTTAAGAATGTTGATTATTGGCCCCCACTCTCTTCTGGCTTGTAGAGTTTCTGCCGAGAGATCCGCTGTTGGTCTGAATGGCTTCACTTTGTGGGTAACCCGAACTTTCTCTCTGGCTGCCCTTAACATTTTTTTCCTTCATTTCAACTTTGGTGAATCTGACAATTATGTGCCTTGGAGTTGCTCTTCTCAAGGAGTATCTTTGTGGCATTCTCTGTATTTCCTGAATTTGAATGTTAGCCTGCCTCACTAGTTTGGGGAAGTTCTCTTGGATAATATCCTGCAGAATGTTTTCCAACTTGGTTACATTCTCCCCATCACTTTCAGGTACACCAGTCAGACGTAGATTTGGTCTTTTCACATAGTTCCATATTTCTTGGAGGCTTTGTTCATTTCTTTTTACTCTTTTTTCTCTAAACTTCTCTTCTCACTTCATTTCATTCATTTGATCTTCAATCACTGATACCCTTTCTTCCACTTGATCTAATCGGCTACTGAAGCTTATGCATGCATCACATAGTTCTCATGCCATGGTTTTCAGCTCCATCAGGTCATGTAAGGACTTTTCTACACTGTTTATTCTAGTTAGCCATTCGTCTAATCTTTTTTTCAAGGTTTTTAGCTTCTTTGCGATGGGTTCGAACATCCTCCTTTAGCTCGGAGAAGTTTGTTATTACTGATTGTCTGAAGCCTTTTTCTCTCAATTCATCAAAGTCATTCTGCATCCAGCTTTGTTCCATTGCTGGCGAGGAGCTGCGTTCCTTTGGAGGAGAAGAGGCACTCTGATTTTTAGAATTTTTAGCTTTTCTGCTCTGGTTTCTCCCCATGTTTGTGGTTTTATCTACCTTTGGTCTTTGATGATGGTGACGTACAGATAGGTTTTTGGTGTGGATGTCCTTTCTGTTTGTTAGTTTTCCTTCTAACAGTCAGGACCCTCAGCTGCAGGTCTGTTGGAGTCTGCTGGAGGTCCACTTCAGACCCTGTTTGCCTGGGTATCACCAGTGGAGGCTGCAGAACAGTGAATATTGCTGAACAGCAGATGTTGCTGCCTGATCCTTCCTCTGGAAGCTTCGTCTCAGAGGGGCACCTGGCTGTATGAGGTGTCAGTTGGCCCCTACTGGGAGGTGTCTCCCAGTTAGGCTACTTGGGGGTCAGGGACCCACTTGAGGAGGCAGTCTGTCCGTTCTCAGATCTCAAACTTCGTGCTGGGAGAACCACTACTCTCTTCAAAGCTGTCAGACAGGGACGTTTAAGTCTGCAGAAGTTTCTGCTGCCTTTTGTTCAGCTATGCCCTGCCCTCAGAGGTGGAGTCTACAGAGGCAGGCAGGCCTCCTTGAGGTGCCATGGGCTCCACCCAGTTCGAGCTTCCCAGCTGCTTTGTTTAGCTGCTCAAGCCTCAGCAATGGCGGATGCCCCTCCACCAGCCTCGCTGCCGCCTTGCAGTTCAATCTCACGCTGCTGTGCTAGCAGTGAGAGAGGCTCTGTGGGTGTGGGACCCTCTGAGCCAGGTGCGGGATATAATCTCCTGGTGTGCCATTTGCTAAGGCCATTGGAAAAGTGCAGTATTAGGGTGGGAGTGTCCTGTTTTTCCAGATACTGTCTGTCACAGCTTCCCTTTGCTAGGAAAGGGAATTCCCCGACCCCTTGTGCTTCCCAGATGAGGCAATGCCCTGCCCTGCTCCGTGGGCTGCACCCACTGTCTGACAAACCCCAGTGAGATGAACCCAGTACCTCAGTTGGTAATGCAGAAATCACCCGTCTTCTGCGTTGCTCATGCTGGGAGCTTCAGACTGGAGCTGTTCCTGTTCGGCCATCCTGGAACCTCTCCTACCTAGTTTATTGAGAGTTTTTCTCATTAAGGGATATTGAATTTTACCCAAAGTCTTTTATATAGCTATTGAGATAATTATGTGGTTTCTGTCTCTAGTTTTGTTTATGTGATGAATCACATTTATTGATTTGTGTATGTTGAACCAACTTTGCATGCTGGAAATGAAGCCTACTTGATTGTGGTGGATTACCTTTTTGATGTGCTTCTGGATTCAGTTTGCAGATATTTTGTTGAGGATATTTGCATTGATGTTCATCAAATATATTGGCCTGAAGTTTTCTTTTTCTGTTGTGTCTCTGCCAGGTTTTGGTATCAGAATGATGCTGGCCTCATAGAATGAGTTAGGGAGGAATCCCTCCTCCTCAACTTTTTGGAATATTTTCTGTAGGAACAGTACCAGCTCTTGGCTGGGTGCGGTGGCTCACGCCTGTAATCCCAGCACTTTGGGAGGCTGAGGCGGGTGGATCATGAGGTCGGGAGATCGAGACCATCCTGGCTAACACAGTGAAACCCCATCTCTACTAAAAATACAAAAAATTAGCCAGGCGTGGTGGCAGGCGCCTGTAGTCCCAGCTACTCGGGGCTGAGGCAGGAGAATGGCGTGAACCCAGGAGACAGAGCTTGCAATGAGCCGAGATTGTGCCACTGCACTCCAGTCTGGGCGACAGAGCAAGACTCCATCTCAAAAAAAAAAAAAAAAATAGTACCAGCTCTTCTTTGTATATCTGATAGAATTCAGCTGTGAATCCCTCTGGCCCTGGGCCTTTTTTGGTTCATAGGCTATTGATTACTGATTCATTTTCAGAGCTTGTTATCAGTCTGTTCAGGGAATCAGTTTCTTCCTAGTTCAGTCTTGGGTGAGTGTATGTGTCCAGGAATTTATCCATCTCTTCTAGGTTTTCTAGTGTTGTGCATACAAGTGTTCATAATATTCTCTGATGGTTGCTTATAATTCTGTGGGGTCAGTGGTAACATCCCCTTTGTTGTTTCTAATTGTGTTTATTTAGATCTTCTCTCTTCTACATTAGTCTAGCTAGTGGCCTATCTTTTTAATAAAAACCAACTCCTGGATTCATTGATCTTTTGAATGGTTTTTTGTGTCTTGATTTCCTTCAGTTCAGCTCTGATTTTGGTTATTCCTTGTCTTCTGCTAGCTTTGAGGTTGATTTGCTCTTGCTTCTGTAGTTCTTTCAGTTGTGATATTAGGTTGTTAATTTGAGATGTAACTTTTTGACATCGGCATTTAGTGCTATAAATTTCCGTCTTAATACTGCCTTAGCTGTGTCCCAGAGATTCTGGTATGTCATATCTTTGTTCCATTACTTTCAAAGAAATTCTTGATTTCTGCCTTAATTTCATTATTTACCCAAAAGTCATTCAGGAGCAGGTTGTTTAATGTCCATGTAATTGCATGGTTTTGAGTGGTTTTTTTAGTTTTGACTTCTATTTTTATTATGCTGTCATCTGGGAGTGTGTTTGCTATGATTTTGGTTCTTTTGCATTTCCTGAGAATTGTTTTCTGTTTGATTATGTGGTCGATTTTAGAATATGTGCCATGTGGTGATGAGAATAACGTATACTCTGTTGTTTTTGGGTGGAAGGTTCTGTAGAGGTAGGTCACATCCATTTGGTCCAATGTTGAGTTAGGTCCTGAATATCTTTGTTAATTTTCTGCCTCAATGATCTGTTTAATACTGTCAGGGAAGTTTTAAAGTCTCCCACTGCTGTTGTATGGGAGTCCAAGTCTCATTGTAGATATCTAAGAACTTGCTTTATGAATCTGGGTGTTCCTGTATTGGGTGCATATGTATTTAGCATAGTTAGTTTTTTTTGTTGAGTTGGATCCTTTACCATTATACAGTGCCCTTCTTTGTCTTTTTTGATCTTTGGTGGTTTAAAGTCTGTTTTGTCTGAAATTAGGACTGCAACCCCTGCTTTTTTCTATTTTCCATCTGCTTGGTAGATTTTCTTCTATCCCTTTATTTTGAACCTTTGGGTGTCATTGCGTGTGAGATAGGTCTCTTGAAGACAGCATACCATTGGGTCTTCCTTTTTTATCTAGCTTGTTATTCTGCATTGTGGTTTTTTTGTTTGTTTGTTTGTTTTGTTTGTTTGTTTTTGAGACAGAATCTCACTTTGTCACCCAGGTTGGCGTGCAGTGGCGTGCTCTCAGCTCACTGCAAACTCTGCCTCCCAGGCTCAAGTGATTCTCCTGCCTCAGCCTCCCGAGTAGCTGGGATTACAGGTGTGTACCACCATGCCTGGCTAATTTTTGTATTTTTTAGCAGAGACTGGGTTTCACCATGTTGGCCAGGCTGGTCCTAAACTCCTGACCTCAAGTGATCCACCCACCTCTGCCTCCCAAAGTACTGGGATTACAGGCATGAGCCACCATGCCTGGCCTCTGTGCCTTTTAAATGGGGCCTTTAGCCCATTTATAATTAAGATTAGTGTTGATATGTGTAGATTTGATCCTGTCATTGTGTTGTTAGCTGGTTATTATGCTGGTTTGTTTGTGTGGTTGCTTTATAGTGTCACTGGTCTGTGTACTTGTGTGTTTTGTATTGGCTGGTAATGGCCTTTTCTTTCCATATTTAGTGCTCCTTTTAAGATCTCTTGTAAGGCAGGTCTGGTGGTAATGAACTCTGTCAGCATTTGCTTATCAGAAAAGGATCTTATTTCTCCTTTGCTAAGAAGCTTAGTTTGGCTAGATATGAAATTCTTGGTTGAAGATTTTTCTTCTTTAAGAATGTTGAATATAGGCCCCCAATCTCTTCTGGCTTATAGGGTTTCAGCTGAGAAGTCCAGTGTTAGCCTGATGGGGTTCCCTTTGTACGTGACCTGCCCTTTCTCTGTAGCTGCTTTTAACATTCTTTCTTTCATTTTGACCTTGGAAAATCTGATGATTATGTGGCTTGGGGATGATCTCCTTGCATAGAATCTTGCAGGGATTCTTTGTATTTCCTTAATTTGATTGTTGGCCTCTCTAGCGAGGTTGAGGAGGTTTTTGTGGACAATATCCTGAAATATGTTTTCCAAGTTGTTTGCTTTCTCACTGTCCCTTTCAGGAATGTCTGGTGAAATTTGAGCACTTGGTTTGTCTTTCCTATTTTGCTAACACGTTTTCTGGTCTAATATAACCAGTGGGTATGCTTTCTTTTTTTTCTTTTTTGGTGAGGGGAAGGGACTTAATCATATACAGTATTTGTTTTAAGTGAATTAGAAAATTGGGAATATGATTTCAGCCTAACTTGGCCATTGTGCATCTTGCCTCCAGACCTAATAGGAATTACATATTGTTTGAAACCATGGTTAGGTTCCAGATATATGAAAGTAAGCAATCCTAAGACTTACTCTGTTACAGGCACCTAACTAAATTTGATTGATTTAAATTATTTGAAAACAGTTATTTTGCCATTGTGCCTCCCAACTAGCTTAGCAAATACCTAGCAATATAACAATATAAAATACTTCAGGTAACTCTCAATTATTACCTGCATTATGGAGTTGGCTCAGTTGGAGACTTAATACAGCTTACATGCGCTCAAGCAGCAAACTAATGTTTAACTTAAGCAATGGCATAGAAATCATTATTACACTTTTTCTTTCTTTTTTTCTTTATTTGAGGCGGGGTCTTGCTGTGACGCAGGCTGGAGTGCAGTGTCATGATCATGGCTCACTGCAGCCTTGACCTCCTGAGCTCAAGCAGTCTACTCACTTCAGCCTCCTGAGTAGCCTGGACTGCAGGCAAATGCCATCAAACCAGTCTAACTTTTAAATGTTTTTGTAGAAACAGGGTCTCACTATGTTGCTCAGGCTGATTGTGAACTCCTGCGTTTCAGGAGTCCTCCTACCTCAGCCTCCCAAAGTGCTGAGATTGTAGGCCTGAGCCACAGTGCCTGGCCCATACACTTATTTTTATATAATCAGTTTATAACTTACTCTGAAAAGCTCCAAGAAAGATGATCATTGTTAACTTTCAATTATTTAGGTATTTTTAGAAAGCCAAGGAATTGAGTTAAATCCACCAGAGAAGATGGCTCTTGATCCTTACACTGAACTCCGAAAACAGCCTCTTCGTAAGTATGTCACCCCATCAGACTTTGATCAACTCAAGCAATTTCTCACCTTTGACAAACAGGTAAGTGACATAGGAACCACAATAGGCTTACTTATTTCCAAATGTGACCTACATTTATTGGCAAAAGGTTTGGGTAGCTGTATTGGTAACTATTTTGAAACATTACAGCTATAATTGAACTGTTTGGACACAGTACTGTCTTTCTGCTTTCATCAAGGGTTACAGGTACAGGAATGCCTACATTTCATATGGAGATCCAAAGAAGATCGTGGAGTTGCGGAGTTGTTTTGTGAACCTCACCAAACATTTAAATCTCAAAGCAATTCCTGAGCTACATCTGCTTCCCACCTTACGTTTCCAATTGACAATTTCTTTCCCTTAAAATGAGCTAATTTCATAGACTCCTTTGTGAAACCATAAATCGATTATTAGGAAATTTCACAAATATGCATACATGTAGGTTGTAATGTTAAAATGTTTAATTTCACAGAAGCCCCACTACAGATGCTTCCTTGTTAAATGTTATATTAATATTGGAGTCCAGAATGTTCTGAGCATTTTCCAACTCTGTTCCAACCTTCCTAATCCTCTCCCTTGTGAGCTGATGTGTATAAGCAGATTTAAATCCTTCCCTTTCTGTACTAAAGGGAGAAAGAAAAGGAAGAGATCACCCTCAGTGCTTCTTTGCTGCTCCTTTTCTTTAGACATTTAACCCCTTTTAGTTCAGAAAATGTAAACTAGCACTAGCATGGTCTTTTAAGGATTTTGTTCATATCAGTCATATATCTGTTATTATTTTGTATTTAAAGATTGTGTTTATTCCCACGATTTGAAGAAGCCTAGCCAAAAAAAAAAAAAAAAAGATTGTGTTTATATTATTGCTAGAAGATATGTGTTGATGGGACCAAAAAAAGACTGGTTAATAAATAAAAATTTTTTCTACACTAATTATATATAAACCATATTCACATGTACCTTTATTAATATATATATACCACTATGTAAAGAACTTCATTGCTCTTTTAATTTAGCTTCTCTTTCACTGACTAATATTTTGGATCAAAGTGAGCTCTTCTTTTTTGGCACAAACTTATAATCCTATTATTTAATTCTTTCCAGCTGCTGACATATAGTACATAATTTCAGATGTTTTAGTATGTTTGATGAATATTTCTTTTTTTTTCAATTTACCCCATCTGAAATTACTTCATAGTCTTTCCAGCTAGTCTTTCCATCGTTGATACATAATTGCCAAAGTAGCCAAGTTGAACTCCCTACTTTTAGGATTCTTGAGTCACTACTTTGGATTCTTCAAAGGTCCTTCGATTCTATGCAATCTGGGATGATACAGACAGCATGTATGGTGAATGTCGGACCTACATCATTCATTACTATCTTATGGATGATACGGTGGAAATTCGAGAGGTCCACGAACGGAATGATGGGAGAGATCCTTTCCCACTCCTAATGAACCGCCAGCGTGTGCCCAAAGTTTTGGTGGAAAATGCAAGTATGTTTGATTCAGTTTATTCTCTGTTACTTGGGATGTTTTTAGGTTCTTAAAGGAGTTACTTAATCAGTATGCAAAATTCGTTTATACTTGGAAGCCTCTAGCTATTTTTGCTTAGATGCTCAGAAAATGGCTTCCCACAGCTTTCCTCCTTTACTTGCCCCTCGGTCCAGGCGTGCCCCCAAGACAGTCTGGTACCCAGGTCAAGGAAACAAAACCAAAACAACAGTGGGAGATTTATTTAAAGTGCAGCAGAGCAAGGTTTCTGAACTGAAACAATTTAATATTAGATTTTTAATGCATTTTTCAAACAGGCTTGTTTTCATTCAAGGATATGAATGAAAGCTTAGCTTTTCTTTATATGCTTTCCTGACTTTGCTTCTCACTTCAACTACTTCCTAAACAGGAAGTTTCTATGTGGTTTAACTTGAGATTGGAAAAGGCATGTCTGTGACTCATAGAGGTGAGGTCCATTGTGTCAAACCCAGCTCATTCTTTACTGGTTTAAAATTACCTAGCATGGGCTGGGCATGATGGCTCACTCCTGTAATCCCAGCACTTTGGGAGACTGAGGCGGGTGGATTGCTTGAGCCCAAGAGTTTGAGACCAGCCTGGGCAACGTGATGAAACCTCCTCTCTACAAAAAATACAAAAATTAGCCATGCTTGGTGCCGCACACCTGTATTCCCAGCTACTTGGGAGGCTGAGGTGGGAGGATCATCTGAGCCTGGGAGGTCGAGGCTGCGGTGAGCTGTGATTGTGGTGCTGCACTCCAGCCTGGGCAACAGTGAGATCCTATCTCCAGAAAAAGAAAAAAAGTTACCTACCATATTTGAGAGTGGCAGTGCAACAAAATGGCAGCAAATACCTGCTGTTCACTGTTTCCTGGGATGAGTAGGCTTGCTTTAGTTATTGTCTTAGTAGTTTTTACATTTCTCTTAGAATAATGTCATCTTGGTCACATGTAATGACTGATAGCTCTTATGTTTGGGTGGCTGACAGGATTCTGTAAATGTGTTCACTGATTTTTTTTTCTTTTTACTATATTTTTTGGGAATTAGGATATAAGAAATTTCAGGTATTGGGGCTGGGCACGGTGGCTCACACCTGTAATCCCAGCACTTTGGGAGGCCAAGGCAGGTGGATCATGAAGTCAGGAGATCGAGACCATTCTAGCTAACATGGTGAAACCCCATCTCTACTAAAAATACAAAAAATTAGCTGGGCGTGGTGGCGTGCACCTGTAGTCCCAGCTACTCAGGAGGCTGAGGCAGGAGAATTGTTTGAACCCGGGAGGTGGAGGTTGTGGCGAGCCAAGATCGTGCCACTGCACTCCAGCCTGGGTGACAGAGTGAGACTCCATCTCAAAAAAAAAAAGAAAAAGAAATTTCAGGTATTGAGCAAGAAGTTTGTCTACATTAGAGGTTATAAATAAATGTGTAGTCTGAGGCTAAATTCAACGTGTCTGTACATATTGCTTCACTTGCACAGTGCTTTTTTATGAAAAATGCAGTATTATTTGTGGGCAAGGAGTTGGAGGTTTCCATCATTGAGAGAATGGATAAGCAAAAATGTAGTGAAGGTACATTTTGATTAATATACAGTAGTTAGAAGCAGTAAACAAGATGTACACAGAAAGCAAGTGGATGGATCTTAAAAACATAGTGCTGTGTAGGAAAAAATACATGAAATTAGATATATAATGCTATAACACATGCAAAACATAGTACACGTAGGACACATTCAGTCACATAGCTGCATTAGAATGATTGCATGTGAGGAGAGGAGAATGAGATTGGGGAAAAGGATAAAAGGGAGTGAAAATTGTCATCATTTTAGAATTAGGAAAGTTTATGTTATATATTTTTTTAAAAAAATGAAAATACTGCTAATTCAGCTTGTATTCTCAAATAGAAACAACTGGATCTGTGCCCTAGTTCAACATAGTTTGGCTTCTACCTACTATACATATTCTTATAATCAGTTCTCTACAGAACCGTCTTAGAGTTCAATGACAATGGGACTAATATAGTAATTTTGGCCTTTCAGAATGCTTAAACAAGCCTGAAATCCATGCAGTTCGGAGCTAACAAACATTAGATTTACAATAGATAAAGAAAATGGATAGGAATATATTCAGGGTGGCATGAAAAGTCTCACTGAAACTAAATCCCTTTAAATGACAGATTCCAGGTTTGTCTCTGCTTTATCAATGTGACCTATATTGAAAACTTAATATATAATTATCCTCTTCTATAATTTCCCAATTAAAAATTTTTTATCAAAGTTGCATGGAGAGGCAGCCTGGTGGCATATATAGGGTTCTTTTAAAAAGTAGGAAACAGGCTGGTCGCTGTGGCCGAAGCCTATAATCCCGTCACTTTGGGAGGCCAAGGTGGGAGGATCACCTGAAGTCAGGAGTTCGAGACCAGTCTGGCCAACATGGTGAAACCCCCTCTCTACTAAAAAATACAAAAATTACCTGGGCATGGTGGCAGGTGCCTGTAGTCCCAGCTACTTAGGAGGCTGAGGCAGGAGAATTGCTTGAAGCCAGGAGACAGAGGCTGCAGTGAGCGGAGATTGCGCCACTTCACTCCAGCCTGGGCAACAGAGCAAGACTCCATCTCAAAAAAAGAAAAAAGGTATCAGTCATGAGGTACAGAAAAGGCTATGTTCCCATCAGCTACATAATTCCTTTAACTAGAAGGGTAGTGTTAAAAGAATGATGTCTAATTGACTCTCAAAGGCATTTATCCAATGGGTGATTTTTATTAAATTCAATTAAACAAGAGGTAAATAATCTGCTATGGGAACCATTTCACATGCTAAATGCTATGGAGGACAAAATGTAACTCCCATTCCTAGAATCCTATCTTTCAGTCATTTCTAGTGTCATTAAGAAGACAAGGCATATAAAATACACAAAGCTGTTAAGTAATAACATGAGTATACCAGATTATCTGATTATGTAATTAGTTAAGTCATGCAGACCGAGGTCAGAAGGACAAAGGTGTGGGCCTGAAAAACTAAAGAAGTCTTTGTGGAAGAGCTGGGATTAGACTCAGATTTAGAATGGCAGAGAACAAAGAGCTCACTAGAAAGAAGAACAAGAGCAAAAGTTGGGAATTAGGAACAAGTATGGCATGTTTGGGGGCGCCCAAGAGATGGTGGCTAGGCAGAGAGTTTGTATTAGACAGTAATAGGAAATTATGGGAGTAACTTTCAGAAGTCCTCTCAACCAGGGCCTCCTTTTAAGTAGCTAAGATAAATCAAAATTATATATTTATAATGGATGGAGTTAAAATATCAGAAATTCAGAAAGTTATTTCTTCGTCAAGGGCAATTGCATATTACCAATAGGTGGCAGGTAATATCAAAACAGGACATCTTTTGACTTAACAAAAGCTTTCTACTCAGCTCTTGAACCCAAGGAACCAGGTTCTGAAAGTCTAAATATGTTAGTTATCCTTCAGACTGGCTTTCATAGTTTGATCTTGCCCTTGCCTGTTAGATGAATCTTGAACACCCCTTAGACCTTTAGTGTTCCAGAAAGTTGAATGTATTTCCTCACTTTCTGTGCATCTTTGTTGGCTCACTCAGTCATTCGAATAATATTAATCGAACATCCATATAGATGAAGGAAACACCATGCTAGGCAATGGAGATCTGAAACTACTATAAGCCCCATATCTCAAAGACTTTACAATCTGATGAGATCAACATACAGATCAATGAAATAGAACAAATTGTCCAGAAATAGATGCACACATATGAGGTCATTTGATTTTTGACAAAGGTAAAAAAGCAATTTGGTGGAGAAATGATTGTCTTTTTAACAAAAGGTGCTGGAACAATTCAATAGCCTATGCAAAAGTAAATAAATAAATAAACTTCAACCCTTACCTCACCATACATAAAAGTTAACCCCAAATGGATCATAGACCTGGGCGACAGAGTGAGACCCTGTCTCAGAGCAGGGGGAAAAAAAAAGCAAATGTAATGAAAACAAAAATTGACAATTGGGACCTAATTAAACTAAAGAGCTTGTGCATTGCAAAAGAAGCTATCAACAGAGGAAACAGCCTACAGAATGGGAGAAAATATTTGAAACAATGCATTTGACAAATGTCTAATATCCAGAATCTATAAGGAACTTAAATCAACAAGAAAAATAACAAATAACCCCATTGAAAAGTAGGCAAAGGACATGAACAGACACTTCTCAAAAGAAAACATACAAATGGACAACAAACATTTTAAAAATGCCCAACATCACTAATCATCAGAGGGATGCAATCATACCAGTCAGAATGGCTATTATTAAGTCAAAAAATAACAGATGTTGGCAAGCTTGCAGAGAAAAGGGAATGCTTATCACTGTTGGTGGGAATGTGAACTAGTTCAGCCCCTGAGGAAAACAGTTTGGAGATTTCTCCAAAAGTAGAACTACACCAATCCCATTATTGGGTATATACCCAAAAGAAAATAAATTGTTGTATCCAAAAGATACTTGTATTCATGTTTATTGCAGCACTGTTCACAATAGCAAAGACATGGAATCAACCCAGGTGCCCATCACTGGTGGATTGGATAAAGAAAATGTGTTAATGGTACATATACACCATGGAATACTATATGGCCATAAAAAATAAAATCATATTCTTTGCAGCAACGTGGATGCAGGTAGAGGCCATTATACTAAGTGAATTAACACAGAAACAGAGCATTGGGTATACACATGGACACAAAGACAGGAACAATAGACACTGGGGACTCCAAAAGGAAGAAGTAAGGGAGAGGGACAAGGGTTGAAGAACTACCTATCAGGTACTGTGTTCACTATTTGGGTGACAGGATCAATAGCTCAAACTTCAGCATCATGCAATATACCTGTGCAACCAACCTGTACATGTACCCTGAGTCTAAAATTTAAAAATAAATACATAAATAATAAAAGTTTTGCTTTTCAAAAGACACTGTTAGGAAAGTGAAAGGAAAAGCTAAAGATTGGGAAAAATATTTGTAAAACATATTTGAGAAGGTACTTGTCATAGGATATATAAAGTGGCTCTTAAAACTTAGGAAAACAACCCAAATAAAAAATAGGTAAAGGATTAGAATAGATACCTCACCAAAAGCATGCATGTATGACAAGTTAGCACACAAAAATATATTTGCCATAGTTACTTATTAGAGAAATGCAAATTAAAACCATGTAAGATACTACTGTATACCCACTAGAATGTCCAAAATTAAAAAGACTGACCATACCAAGTGTTGACAAGGATGTGAAGCAGCTGAAAATTTCACACACTGCTAGTGGAAGGTCAGCTGAAACAACCACGTTGAAAAATAGCGTGACAGGTTTTTTTGTTTTGTTTGTTTGTTTGTTTGTTTGTTTTTTTGAGACGGAGTCTCGCTTTGTCGCCCAGGCTGGAGTGCAGTGGCATGGTCTTGGCTCACTGCAAGCTCCGCCTCCCAGGTTCACACCATTCTCCTGCCTCAGCCTCCCGAGTAGCTGGGACTACAGGCGCCTGCCACTACGCCCGGCTAATTTTTTGTATTTTTAGTAGAGATGGGGTTTCACCATGTTAGCCAGGATGGTCTCGATCTCCTGACCTCGTGATCCACCCGCCTCGGCCTCCCAAAGTAATCTGAGATTACAGGCATGAGCCACCGTACCCGGCTGACAGTTTGTTTTTTAAAATTGCACATATATCTACCATACAAACCAGCCATTCTTTTCTTGGGTATTTGCCAAGAGAAAGGAAAACATATGTCCACACAGAAACTTATGTGAATGTTTATGGCAGCTTTTTTTATAATAGCCAAAAGTTGGAAAGAATGCAAATGTCTATTAACAGTTAGTGAGTAAACAATTATTGTATATCAGTACTTTGGAATACTACTAAAAAACAAAACAATTATTGATGTATGAAACAACATGAATGAATCTCAAAGTAACTATGCTAAGAGAATGAATTCAGACAAAAATACATGCCATATAATTCCATTGGTGTAAAATTAATATAAATACAATATAAATAAGCAAAATAGATCAGTGATTGCGTGAGGATGGTGAGAAGGAGAGTTAGATTATAAAAGGTCATGAGGAGACTTTTGGATGTGATTGGATGTTTATTATTTTGATTGTAATGATGGTTTCATGGGTAAATACATATGTCAAGCAACATCAAAATTGTATACTCCAAAAATGTGCAGCTTATTGTAGTCAATTACACCTCAGTAAAGTTGTAAAAATATAAATTCCTATCTAGATATGTCATAGTCAAATGTAAGAACACTAGATTCGAAAAGATCATGAAAGCAGCTCCAAAGAAAAAGGTAACCCATACCAGATGGAAGTTAGAATGACAGCTGACTTCTGTAGCAACAGTGATTACCAGAAGACAGTAAAATAATATCTTCAGAGTGCTGAGAAAAAAATAAGAGTTTAATGCCTAGAGAAACTGTCTTTCAGGAAGACAGTGAAATACATTTCCAGGCAAACAAAACAGATTTTACTAACAGCAGACCTTTACTGGGAAACTTCTAGAGTATACTTCAAGTGGAAAGAAAATGAATGCAGAAGTAAAGTCTAAGATACAAAAAGTCGTGAATAAAGAAAATAGCAAAGTAGGATAAATCTAAATAATCATTAACTATACAAATTAAAAGAACAATATTGAATTTGTGAGAGTTAAAAATATCAAAGTAGAACTGACATGTATTACAGTAATAGCATAAGAAAGGGTGATAGGATTAAATATATAACAAGTTTTGAAAATTTTTTTTTAACTTTTAAGTTCAGGGGTACATGTGCAGGTTTGTTTTATGAGTGAGCTTGTGTCATGCAGGTTTGTTGTACATTTTGTCTCCCAGGTATTAAGCCTAACACCCATCAGTTATTTTTCCTGATCTTCTCCCTCCTCCCACCCTTCACCCTCCAATAGACCCCAGTGTGTATTGTTCCCTCCTATGTGTCCATGTGCTCTCATCATTTAGCTTCCACTTATAATTGAGAAACGTGGTACTTGATTTTCTGTTCCTGCATTAGTTTGCTAAAGATAATGGCCTTCAGCTGCATCCATGTTCCTGCACAGGATATGATCTCATTCTTTTTTATGGCTGCATAGTATTCCATGGTGTATATATACCACATTTTCTTTATTCAATCTGTCATTGATGGGCATTTAGGTTGATTCTATGTCTTTGCTATTATGAATAGTGCTGCAGTGATCATACACTTGCGTTTCTTTATGATAGGATGATTTATATTCCTTTGGAGATATACCCAGTAATGTGATTGCTGGGTCGAATGGGTAGTTCTGTTTTTAGGTCTTTGAGGAATCACCACACTGCTTTCCACGGTGTTTGAACTCATTTACCCTCCCATGAACAATATATAAAAGTGTTTTTAAAAACATACTTAAGATATAGGCAAATATCTTTAAAAAGAAAAATAAATAGCAAAAGAAACTGATGAGGTATAAAACAACTGATGAAGCTATATTAGTATAATACAAAAAGACATTTGGGCAAAAAGCTTTGATTGAGATGAAGAGGATCATTACCTATTGCAAGAATATTTTATTTACTAGGAAAATATAATAATTCTAAACTTGAATGCAGTAATAACATGGATTCAAAATATAAGAAAAATCTGTAGCACCATTATTCAGTGAGACTGGAAAAATATAGCATAATAGTGGGAGCCATTAAAACATTTCTTTCAATAGTTGTTAGATCAAAAAGACAAATCAATAAACAGGTATAAGACTTGAATAATATTATTATTCATTTAATATATATATGCTTACCCAACACCCAATTTTCAACAAAATTAAGTTAGAAGTCAATTTTGGAAATATAACATGAAAAAAACCGTGTATTTGGAAATTGAAAAACATATTTTCAGATAACCCATGAGTTAAAAAAAAATATTGTCAGAAAATACCTAGAACTGAATGGTAGCAAAAACTCTTAAAACTCTAAAAAAAAGAGGTACTTGGAGGAAAATATATAGCTTTAAATGCTTACTTAAGAAAGAAGAAAGATGACAATAAGTTAGGCATATTTCTTAAAAAGTTAGAAATCTAAAGAATTTAAAAATTAAAATATTAAGAAATTAAAAGAAGGAAATCATAAAATAAGAGGCTGAAAATAAAGAAATTGAAAACAAAGGTAACAGAGAAGATTTGTCAAGTCAAAAGTCATCTCCTTGAAAGGACTAATAAAGTGACAAACTATAGACAAGATTTATGAAGGGATAAACAAAAGAAGGCACATATACACCATATTAAAAATGAAAGAAGTGGCTGGGCATGGTGGCTCACACCTGTAATCCCAGCACTTTGGGAGGCCAAGGCAGGCGGATCACTTGAGGTCAGGAGTTCGAGACCAGCCTGGCTAATGTGGTGTGAAACTCCATTTCTACTAAAAATGCAAAAATTAGCCCAGCATGGTGGCACGCACCTGTAGTCCTAGCTACTTAGGAGGCTGAGGCAGGAGAATTGCTTGAACCTGGAAGGCAGAGGTTGCAGTGAGCCGAGATTGTGCCAGTGCACTCCAGGCTGGGCAACAGGGCAAGACTGTCTCAAAAAAAAAAAAAAAAGCATTCTTTAAAGTGCCATAGCCATTAAACATAAAATAAAATAATAATACAACTTTATGCCAATAAATTTAAAAACTTAGGTAAAATGAGTAAAGTTTTTTTTGTTTTGTTTTTGTTTGTTTTGTTTTGTTTGTTTTTGTCTTTGAGACGGAGTCTCTCTCTGTCGCCCAGGCTGGAGTGCAGTGGCCTGATCTCGGCTCACTGCAAGCTCCGCCTCCCGGGTTCACACCATTCTCCCGCCTCAGCCTCCCGAGTAGCTGGGACTACAGGTGCCCGCCACCACACCCAGCTAATTTTTTTTTTTTTTTTTGTATTTTTAGTAGAGACAGAGTTTCACCGTGTTAGCCAGCGTGGTTTTGATCCGCCCACCTCGGCCTCCCAAAGTGCTGAGATTATAGGCATGAGCCACTGTGCCCGGCCAAAACGAGCAAAGTTTTAAAAAAGTATAACTTGTTTATGAAGAAATAGAAAACCAAATATCTTCAGCCATTAAAGAAATAGATTTAGTTTAAACATTTCCCACAAAAAATCCAGCAGATCCAGATAATCTTACAGATGATTTTTGACAAACATTTAAAGAACAGGTAATTCTAAGCTTAACACAAACCCTTTTAGAGAGAAGAACTTCTTAATTCTTTCATTTAAAAAGGCCAGTGAAACCAAAGTCACCATGAGAAAGAAAAACTACAGTCATTCTCACTTAAGAAGATATGTGCAAAAATCCTAAACAAGATATCAGTAAACCTGATCCAGCATTATATGAAAAAATAATTTGTTGAGCAAACAAAGGCAGATGGCTGGACAGCACACACACATATACCAGATCTCCTGGAATATTGTATACTAAAGGAAGTTAATATAATCACAAGCTATGTCCCTCATTGCCCATCACTTCCTGGGGAAGCTCAAAGGGAGGTAGTAGGGTTGAGAATAGACATAGGGAGACAGATCCCTTGGACTATAGAGCTGTTATTAATAAGATGCATTATTAGGGAAATACCAGGCCCTCCTTTGCTATGATCAAGGGCTGGAGTTCAAACTTTTATGCCTGTTATAGCAGAAACTTAGCCTTATTCCAGTTTTTCAATCTCAGTAATTACTAGTTAGGAGAACATCAGCCTACTTTTCATCCCCCTTGTGATCAGGGTTCTGTGCCAAAGCTTTGTGGTTACAACTATAAGATGTGGCACTCTACTAGAACTGATTGACTCTTAAGATTTCCTTGGATGCCAGGCTGCAGGTAATCAATCTTAAACAAGTTAATCCTTAGTTCTCATGAAACAGTAAGACAAGAATGGAATTATTCCACAAATGCAAGATTGATTCTACATTTGGAAATTATTTATTCCCACATGAATGGATTATTGTCATCATCTCATTGACTGTCCCTGCCCCCTGTCTCCAGGACTAGCTTACACTGTCCTCATAGCAGTGATTACAACCTGAAATGAAACCATCATTTATATAATTTTTTAGTGTCTGTCTCCCCAAAGAGAATATTTTCTCCATGAAGTCAGGAATTGTATCTACAGTGTTAATTATCGTAATCCCAGTATTTAGCAGTGTACCTAGTACATGATATAGATGGTCACTAGTAATTGCTGGATGAATGGATAAACGGGTGGGAATTTGAGCTAAATGACTTGGATCTTTCCTAGACCTAGGACTTTATACTTACAGAAGGACATTTGTTCTTTCCTCCTGTAGTGATTTATTTTAAGCATTAATTTGCTAAAATTAGTGATTTATAGTGATAGTTTGAGCTGAATATGGGAGAGAGACTTCACAAAAACCGTATTATGTACGTGTCGTATCAACAGATGGAAATACACAGCCAAGTGTTCTAGTGGGAATGTTGGGGAGACCCTGACTCTTGACCAGAGCAAAAGACTGCACTCCCTCAGGTTCTCAAGAATGCCTGGCAGTTGTGTGTCAAGTCTTTCTTGACACACTCATTCCTTCTTTTTTTCTCTCTAACACCATCTTATATTAGAGAACTTCCCTCAGTGTGTGCTAGAAATCTCTGACCAAGAAGTGTTGGAATGGTATACTGCTAAAGACTTCATTGTTGGGAAGTCACTCACTATCCTTGGGAGAACTTTCTTCATTTATGATTGTGATCCATTTACTCGACGGTATTACAAAGAGAAGTTTGGAATCACTGATTTACCACGTATTGATGTGAGCAAGCGGGAACCACCTCCAGTAAAACAGGTAATCAGATAGTACTTCTTAGTGTGGTGAGAAAACTAATTTTTTGAGGTAGAAATTTAAGAAAAAAAGACTTCTATGCAAATATTCGATAAATAATGGACAAAGTATATGTAACACAGTAGTTCACAAAAGAAGAAATACAAATGACAAAAAAATTATGAGAAGACCCTCAATCTAACTGATAATCAGTGAAATAGAATGAAAATAATGATGTTTTTGGATCTGTTCAATTTTAAAAGATTCATGATATCCAGTGTTTGCCCTATATGAAGAAATGGGAATTTTCATATACTGTTTATAGGAAAGCCAGTCAGAGTAAACTTTCTGAAAGGCAATTTGTTGTCTATTTTATTTTGAAAAAAATAAAATAGACATTTTATTTTTATAAGTAAATAAAATGTATATTTTCTGGCTGGGCACAGTGGCTCATATCTGTAATCCAGCACTTTGGGAGGCCAGGGCAGGTGGATCCCTTGAAGTCA
Source organism: Homo sapiens (assembly GCF_000001405.40). Taxonomy (NCBI): domain Eukaryota; kingdom Metazoa; phylum Chordata; class Mammalia; order Primates; family Hominidae; genus Homo; species Homo sapiens. The sequence continues at coordinate 52,465,598 of NC_000006.12, forward strand.
GGAGTTCTAGACCAGCCTGGCCAACGTAGTGAAACCTTGTCTCTACTAAAAATACAAAAATTAGCCGAGTGTAGTGGTGCGCACCTGTAATCCCAGCTCCTCGGGAGGCTGAGGCATGAGGATCACTTTAACCTGTGAGATGGAGGTTGCAGTGAGCCGAGATCATGCCATTGCACTCCAGCCTGGGCAACAGAATGAGTGAAAGTCTGTCTCAAAAAAATATGTATATATTATATATCTATATAATATATATAATATCTATCTATATATATATTATAAATCATATTGTTTATAATATATGATATTGGATATATATGATAGGACACATCATAATATGGTTTATATTATGACATATAGATATAGATATATCTCATATCTTTTACCTGGAAATATACTTTGGGAACTCTAAAAATGTATATGGAAGAATGTGTATTGTAGCATTATTTATAAAAAAATAAAGTGTGAGGAGATTGACAAAATAAATGATATCCACTCATGAAATGGATGTATGAAAATACATGCATTCATACAATTAAAAGACAGTTAAAATACACCCATTCATAAAAGACTACTATGTGTGTAAAGTATCACTGGGCCCTTTCTCCTCAAAAGAAAGGCATGAATAAAATTATGGAATGTTTGAGTACCTCCAGCCAGGGCCCTGCCTTCCCTTCCAGCGGCTGCTCCTCTTGCTTGCAGTTGGCCTCCAGTCGTACTGAGTTCTCTGGTTCTACCAGTACAGCATCTTGTTTTACTCCCAGGAACTTTTGCTTGTGCTCTTCCTCCTTGAACCACTTTTCTGTTATTCTTACATGCAGCTCTTTTTTATCCTCCAATACCCAGTGTAGGCTTCTTCCCCAAGAAGTCTTTTCTAAAGCTCCAGGTAGGGCAAAAAGCCTTTCATCTCTATTCCTGGGGTATTCTCTGCCTCCCTCTACTAGCACTTCTCTATTATATTAAATTATCTGCTAGTGAATATTTTGTACTAGATTGTAACTCCCTTGAGGCCAAGGACTATGTCCTATTCATCTTTCTCTCCTAGTACCTAATACAGTGCCTAATAAATAGGAGGTATATAATATGTTTCTTGAACTGGACTGAAGAAAATTGGCTATGAAGGTGTTCTGCAAAAAGGAAGTGATGTCTTAGGCAAAACTTTTAGAAACAATGTTTTATAGAAACGATTACAAAGAAGGATTTGGATTTTGGTATGCTGTGAGTTCCCAGAGGCAATACAATTTCTGGAAGGAAGTGTGGGTGATAATACCTCTTGCTGTCAGTTTTTTCTCTGATAGATTTCTTTATCAATGATGTGTTCATTGATTAAGAACAATGATAAACCCTCTCCTGGTGTAATGCATTGTGAAAAGAAAAAGAATTATGATAAACTCTCTGCCCCCAAGTTTCTTGGCAGCATTTGATGCAGTACACAGGGGAAAATACCATGAGAACAGATTTAGATTTTGATCAAGGAAACTATTTTACCACTTCAGTTAATAGATAAGGATGGTTATCTAACCAGGAGGTAGAGTAGTGAGAGATTACAACATAGTGATGCCCTTTTCTTGGTGAAAGGACTTTGACTTTTTTTTTTTTTTTTTTAAGACAGGGTCTTGCTCTGTGTCCCAGGCTGGAGTGCAGTGGTGCAGTCTTGGCTCACTGCAACGTCCACCTCCCAGGTTCAAGCGATTCTTGTGCCTCAGCCTCCCCAGTAGCTGGGACTACAGGTCGTGCCACCACACCCAGCTAATTTTTGTATTTTTAGTACAGACGGGGTTTCACCATGTTGGCCAGGCTGGTCTGGAACTCCCTACCTCAGGTGATCCACCCACCTTGGCCTCCCAAAGTGCTAGTATTACAGGCATGAGCCACCGCACCGGCCTGATCTGTCTTTTGAGCCAATGGAATTTTTTGAGTCTTAGAATACCTCTGTTCCCCATCCTTATTACTATCATCTTTTTTTTCTCCTAACCTATCTTGAAGTAAAGAAAAGAGAGGGAAGCCCTGGATAAAGAGCAGAGGGGAACTGAAGATCTACTGTAGATTTTGGTTGGTTGTTTTGCTCTATCCCAGCCCTTTTGTATAATAAAACTAATTTTATATAATAAAACATCTATACATATGGCACATTAATTATAGTGTTTGGTCAGTTTCTTTCCCGTACTTTCTCTATAATAAATAGCTCTATAATAAACAAATTCCACCTGTCCATGAAATTTGTTAGAGATAAATAGAATGCCAATTACCAATCAGCAAACGCTTTTTAGTCATTATACCTCAGTCATTTTAACCCTAAATAACATAAATGGAAACCAGGGATAGGAATTTGTAGCAGAGTCTAGAGGAATAAAGCTAGAGCCAAGCCAATGCAGGGATAGAAGTAGATACGAAATGGATATATTCAATTCGAGAGGTATGGCACTTGTAAGTCAAGCTTCTCTGCTAGATCAGGAATAAGTAAACATAAATGCAATAGCCAGATGTGTTTTCTGTCAGGCTGGCTCCATCTGGAGGCATGCTGGTAGGGAAAAGAAAGAAACCAGAACTAGGAGAGCTAATCTGCTATGGAGACTTCCCCTGAAAGCAGTATCTGAAGGTTATGGTACTCTGGGGTTCTAAGGGTACTACTAGCTTGGTTGAAGATGTCCAGACAGAAACTCTGGTAAGTGGATCATATGAGCAGGAGTATCTAGGAGTGATGATATCCATAGTCAGATGAGTGTTCATCTAGTTTACAACGGGACCCACCCAAGCAGTAGCTTGAAGTATGAGAAGCAAGGTGCAAGGATACCGTACATATGGACTGATATTTAGGGAAGGTCTTTATTCCAGGCAGGGGAAGTGAGTATATTCAGGAAAAACAGGTAAAGTTTGTTAAAATACAATAGGAATTTGAGAAGAAGGCCCAGAGGCTTTATAGCTACCTTCTTATTGCAAAATCCTTCAACCCTCAGTGACCTCCCTATTGGCCCCCCAGCCAGGATGCTCTCATTGTGTGGTGTTGGTACAAGTGCAAAGCAAGTTCAGATACCACCACTTTGCAGTTTCTGCCTAGCCTCCAGAGAAAACTCAGATGCTTAGCATGTAGGCCGTCAGCTCAGGGTTCCTCTGTCCATAGTTACCTGTAAATTCACTGAGTAGTGGTTTTGCAATTGAAGCAAATTAGGTCATTTTCCATCTGCTAAATCCACTAGTCATATTCTAGCCATGATTACCACATTAACTACAGTCCCAGCAAGTGATTTTGGGGTCAGTGTTCCAAGTAGTACGCCGTAGACAAATTTAATAGTCCTTTGTTGTTGAAGAAATACTCTGTTATGGATGGTACTAGGGACTATATGGACTTACTTGTTAAAGTGCCTGAAAATAATATATAAAAAGATTTTGTGGAGGTATATACAAGAGAAAATGTGTGCTACACAGGACCCTCACTGGGGTGGGACTAGGTCCTGCTTTTGTAGTAAGGGGTCAGTGGACATCAGCAATAGTTTCTCTGTAGCCCTGAGAGTTACTTTAGAGCATCATCAGTTACTTCTGTGATCAGTGAACATGATGCAAAATCCACAGAGGAAGGGGATAAGTGATATGTTATATTTTCTGACTATATTTGTTTATGTAGAAAATATATTTGCATAAGTATTTTCTAGAGTTTTTTCTTTAAACTTATAGTTACCTTTAATGTAATCTTAACACAAGTAGTATCTGCCTTACTTCTTGCTTCCTATGTATCTCCAGGAGTTGCCTCCTTATAACGGTTTTGGACTAGTGGAAGATTCTGCTCAGAATTGTTTTGCTCTCATTCCAAAAGCTCCAAAAAAAGACGTTATTAAAATGCTGGTGAATGATAACAAGGTGCTTCGTTATTTGGCTGTACTGGTGAGGCTAATTTTTATATACTAAAGATTCTCTTCTATCTCAGTACTGTGTACAATTGTTTATTTTATCTGTAAGCTGTAGATTAACAGCTGTCAGAGTTATGTGTTGACTCAACCAACCATTGTATCTAGTACCCAGCCTTCAGGGAGGTTGGATAGTATTAAGTATGGTGCCCCTGAACTAAGACCTAGATCAAGTCCTATCTCTCCCAAGAATCTTTCTTAAGATCATTAATCTCTCACTCTTACACCTCAAATGTTGACAGATCTTTTGCCTCTTTTATTAAGTAACTATGAAATTGCTTAATATTCAAACCATGTGTGTATCTGTGTGGCTTTTTGGTATACTGTGATTTCTTTGAGGTTAGGGACCATGTCTTAGTAAGTTTTGCGTTTATCTGTGATATCTTGCCTGATATCTTGAGAGGTTATGTGACTAATAGTTAAGAGCATGGAGTTGGAAATAGACATACACTCAAATTCTGCATATCCCATTAATTAGCAGAATTGTATGAGAGAAGTTGCTGATAGAAATTCAAAGTGTAAGGTCTTTAAAATGGAAAAAAAATGTAGAATAGGAACCTAACCATTTTATTAGAAATATGAACATAAATAGCAGAAGTTGAAATAAGTTATATCTCAGAATAGGAATTAGGAGCTGGGGGTAGGAGGTGTCAGGTGACTTTTCAAACTATATACATGTATTTGAAAAGATAAAAACTAAGGTGAAGACAACTGAATAATAGATTTTAGAAAACGATTGCACAAAGCTTTAAATAAAAAGAGAGTTCTGGCTAAAAACAAAATTTTTTAAGAAAACAACAAAACAGCAAAATGTAGGCCAACTAGAACACTCTCCATAAGAATTCTGACCAATAAAGGTTTTGTGGTACTAGATTCTTTCAGTTACTGTTAAAATTCAAGCGGCTTGTTGAATTATTATATGGTAACTATAACTCCTTAAGGGCAGGAATCATGTCCTTCTAGACTTTGTAGGTACTCAGTAACTGTTCGTTCAGTAGGCAAAAGAATTTATTTCTGCACACATTATCCATGAGTAAGGCAATACAATATTGTACCCATTTTATGTTTCAAAACTTAAGAAACAGAAAGGCTAATTGTCTTGTCCCAGGTCCAGTGCTGCTTAGACAGGGGTAGGACTAGAACTCAGCCTTCTGGCTTTCAACCCAGTATTCTTTTGATGAAGAACCAGTATAATACTTAGGATTAGAAAAGGGAAAGGAACTCCTATGAGTCTGTAAACTGCAAAATTGTAAGCTTACCTTTGATAATGAAAAACCTGGAAAAATTAATACAAAGTTGATTACAAAAATGGCTATGAATAGTGTTAGATATTGCTAAATGAGGAGAAAAGATAAATTTCTTTTGATTGCAGCCTTCTGTACTCACAAGCAACCTGGTCAAACATGATATATCACTAAAAGTTAAAGCATTTACAGAGAACTTCTATTTCTAGCAATGATAGACCAAATAATTTGGATCAGCCCTCTTGCTGAGGTGTATGTTTGTGTGTATGTGTATGTTTATGTGTGTTAGCACTTGAAGGTGCTGGACAACTAGCAAGATGTGAAGAATCACAGAGCAAGAACCAGGGGAACAATGAGAACCGCAGAAGTGAACCTGACATTTGGGTTCATTTTTCCGCTAGGCGTGTTTGCTGATTCCAGAAGACCCACCTGTGAGGACAAACATTGGAATCTATTTAGGGCCTGTCAAAGGCAGAAGCTCCTGGGAAACCCTCTGTGCTTAAGTCTGTCTGTAGCTAATCTTTGAAGGGACTGTTGTCTGGCTTTGAATTATCATAGTCCCTGATTGTCTCAGTTTTACAAATCAGATTAAGGTGATCCTGGATTATAATAACCCCAGGTGACTGTCAGAAGCAAACAAATTCTCTGCAGATGACATCATTTTCAGCTTCAATTTATTTCTACAATTTTAAAAATACAATGTGTGGCACTCACAAAAACAATATTAATAATACAATGTTCAGAAACAAGACAAGATAACATAAAGAAAAGTGACCAGAAATAAGAGACAATAGAATATACTTATAGGGATTTCAGATACTGGCACTATGAAACTTAAACTTAAGCCGGGAGCAGTGGCTCACACCTGTAATCCCAACACTTTGGGAGGCCAAGGAGGGCAGATCACTTGAGGTCAGGAATTTGAGACCAGCCTGGCCAACATGCTAAAACCCTGCATCTACTAAAAAAATACAAAAATTAGCCAGGCATGGTGGCATGCACCTGTAATCCCAGGTACTCAGGAGGCTGAGATATGAGAATCGCTTGAACCTGGGAGGTGGAAGTTGCAGTGAGCCAAGATTGTGCCACTGTACTCCAGCCTGGGCGACAGAGCAAGACTCCGTCTAAAAATAAAATAAAATAAATAAATAACTAAATAATAAAATTAAAAAAAAAATTTTTAAAAACCTTTGTTTACCATGTTTAAGGAGATAAAGAATAAGATTGAGAATTTCAGCAAAAGATGAGAAATAAGCCAAAAAAGTCTATTTCAGTTTTGAAAAATCATCACATTAACAGAATAAAAGAGAAAAATTAAATTTTGAAAAGCATTTGCTAAAATCAATCTAATATGATTTAAAAATAAAACTCGCATATACCCCTGAACCTAAAATAAAAGTTTAAAAAAGTAAAAATGAAAGAAAACAAAACTTTTAATAAAAAAAAAGAATAAAAGGGGGTTTCCTTTATCTGTTAAAGGTTATGTATGAAAAGTCTACTGCAAACAGCTTACTTAGTGATGAAATGTCGAAAGGGTACTTTCTGAGATTAGGAACAAGGCAAGACTGCTATCACCCCTTCTGGTCCACATTGTTCTGGAAGTCCTAGCTGGAACAGTGAAACAGGAAGCGAATAAACAAGTATATGGATTGAAGAGGAAAAAATAAAATTGTCATTATCCAAAATGAACAATTGTATATATAGAAAATAAAGAATCTACCTTCTACATTAGGGAAGTCAATATACAAATAGCAACAAAGAAAACATAAAGTTAAAAAATACCATTTACTATAGCATCAAAAATATTAAATTCCTAGGTATAAATTAAATTCCTTGGTATAATATTTTAGGTGTTACATACAAAAGATATGTAACACCTAAAAGATGTATCTTTATCATACAAGAGATATGTAATATCTTTTACATACAAGAGATATGTAATATCTTTTACATACAAGAGATATGTAATATCTTTTACATACAAGAGATATGTAATATCTTTTACATACAAGAGATATGTAACACCTAGGTGTTACATATCTTTTAGGTGTTACATACAAAAACACTTTAGGTGTTACATATCTTTTAGGTGTTACATACAAAAGATATGTTACATACCAAAAATATGTAACACCTAAAATATTATTGAGAGAAAATTAAGAAGACCTAAATAAATGAAGGGATATACCATGTTCATTGGCTAGAAAATTCAGTATTATAAAAATATTTTCCCCAAATTGATCTATGGTTTAAAATTAAGTCAAAAAATCCAAAAATGTTTTTATTTTTACAGACAAATTGATTCTATAATTTAAGTGGAGAGGCAAAGCACCAGGAATAGCCAAGATACTCTTGGAGAAGAGCAAGATCAGTGGATTTTGCTCACAAAAATATCACTGTGTATTAAAAGTCACAGTAATTAAAATAACATGTTATTGGTGCAAGGATAAACAAACCAATGGAACAGATTAGACAGCCCAGGAAAAGACATATGACAAATACAGCACTGCAGAGGGGCTGGGAAAGGAAGATGTTTCTAATCAGTGATATCAAACAATCAGATATTCATGTAACAAAAAAGAAAATTTGACCTCCATCTCACTCCAAAAGTGGAAATCAGGTCTAGGTAGATTGAAAATCTAAATGTGAAAGGTAAAACAATAAAACTTCTTAGCAATAAATAATCTTAACATTATAGTAGGGAAAGATTTATTTAGTCGGATACAAAAAACCAGTCATGTTTTAAAAATGGATAAATGACCGGGCACGGTGGTTCATGCCTGTAATCCCAGCACTTTGGGAGACCAAGGTGGGCAGACTGCCCCAGCTCAGGAGTTTGAGACCAGTATGGCCAACATGTTGAAACCCTGACCCTACTAAAAATACAAAAAATTAGCTGGGCATGTTAGTGCACGCCTGTAGTCCCAGCCACTTGGGAGGCTGAGGCAGGAGAATCACTTGAGTCTGGGGGGCGGAGGTTGCAGTGAGCCGAGACTGAGCCACTTCACTTCAGCCTGGGTGGCAGAGAAAGGCTCTGTCTCCTTAATTAATTAATTAATTAAAATGGATAAATTTGATTATATTAAGATAAAGAATTTCTGTTCTTCCAAAAAACACCATTAAGATTGTAAAAAAAGGCAAGCTTCAAGTGGGAGCAGATGTTTAATACAGAAATCAACCAAGATCTTATATTCAGAATATATAAAGAACACTCTGAAATCATTAAGAAAAATGAGCAAGAAACTTGAACAGGCATTTCACAAAAGAGGATATCCAAGAGGCAACTAAACATATTAGAAGGGCCAGGTGCAGTGATTCACACCTGTTTTCCCAGCACTTTGGGAGGCGGAGGCAGGAAGATCACTTGAACCCTATGTCATAGGGCAACATAATGAGACCCTATCGCTACAAAGATAAAAAAATAAGTTAATTGGGCTTGGTGGCATGTGCCTATAGTCCCAGTTACCTGGGACACTAAGGCGGGAGGATCACTTGAACCCAGGAGTTCGAAGCTGTAGTGAGCTATGATCCTGCCACTGCACTCCAACCTGGGCAACAGAGACTCTGTCTTTAAAAATATGTACATATGAGAAGTTGCTTAGCTTCGTTAGTAACTAAAGAAGTGCAGATTACAATCATAGTGAGTTGCCTCTACCCACCCATCAGAATCATTAATATGTTGATGAGAATATGTAACCATAGGAACTCTCATACTCTTTACTAAGAGAGTATACCCACTTTGTAAAACAGTTTGGCATAATAAATTTACTAGATGGTGCTAAGGGTGCAATATATGTTCACCAAAAAATAAGAATGTTTATAATAGCGTAATTCATAATAGCAAAAATAGACCTAAATGTCTACCTACAACAGACTGGATAAGTTGTGGTATATTTGTGTCATAATTTGATTTCTGTTCAATGAAAATTAAGGAACTACAGCTACTAATAACAACATGGCTAAATCACATAAACATAATTTTGAATGTAAGAATCCAGACACAAAAGAATGCATACATATTATGTAATTCATTTATATGAAGATTAAAAAGCAGACAAAACAAAACTTTATGGATGTCTGCTTTGTAGCAAAACTAAAGAAAACCATACAATTCAAGGCAATGGCCTGTTTGGTGGGGGAAGGATAGAATATTGATTGGGAGGTTCTGGCAGCGTTCTGTTTCTCAACCTGGATGGTGGTTATATGGGTGTTTACTTTATTAAAATTCTTTCGGCTGTGCATTTTGATATTTTTATTGTTGTTTTGGGTTTTTTTTTTTTGCAGTTTTCTCTCTGTGTTACTGCTCACAGTAAAAAAAATTAAAAGAAAGCCAACAGAACTATTAGTAAAGAAATAGTGGATATCTTTATGTGGGCAGGAAAAAAGAGGTGATATTCTGGTCATGGTAATTTTCAGATGTTTTCCCCTGACCTATTGGGTGAAATAGAGAATGTATTCATTAGACTCATCACAAAAGTTCTTGAGGAAGAAAGGGTGCTTGACAATAAGGGGAAAAGGTTTATGAGTGAGGCGGGGACTTCAAAAGAAAATATATGGAAATTCAAAAAGAAAGGAGTATGCTATAGAAATGATCAGAGACAAATTAATTAAATCCCATGGAGGTCAGACTAAGACACTGGATGTGTTCTGAGAAAATAACATGTACTAAATCCTAGTAGGCAATTGGTGCCTAAGTAAAAATATGCTGGTAAACTCTCTGGGACTGAGAGTGGAATGCTGGCTGAGAAACTTGGCAAAGCTTTCGAAGAACAGAAACATGATTTGAACCATAATCTTCAAAGCAGCTGAATGTCTTCCAAGAGATACGCAAGACAGTACCATGTGTGGTGTTTGTTAAGAAAATATTACAGCCTCTGTTTATTTTATTTACTATGAGTGCATTTATTTTATAGCCTCTGATATTTTTATATGTGCCTTTTAATGCACAAACTATATTTATATAGAAGAACATATGTTTAATTATTAATTCATTCAACAAATATTAAAGGACTACTCTGGGCTAGATATGGTTCTAGATACCAAAGGTACAGTGGAGAACAAGATAGACAAATATTTGCTCTCATGGAGCTTACATTCTAGTTGACATTCTAGTCAAATAAATACATTGTATAAGGATAGGTAGTAACATGTGCTGTAAAAAATAAAATGAGACAGAGAATGATGGGGAAGGGGCTCATTTATATCAGCAGAATGGGGAAAGCCTCTCTGAGGAGGTCATAGCAGAGCAGAAACCAAACGAATAGCTGAGGGAGCCAGCCAGGGGAATACCTGAGAGAGCTTCATGTAAGACCGAGACAGTGTGCAGTGAATGGAGGGCAAAAAGGTGGAAATGACAGGTCGGGGGCCAGCCAGGGCTCTGCAACCAGTGGTATAACAAGGCCAGAGGAATGGGCTGATGGGAGCAGTCCAGGTAACAAGAAAGTATAGATAACAAGCTGCAGAGAATTTAAAAATAAAACCAACTAAAAGTTGGTCTGTTTCTTCTTATTATCATGTGCCTGTAATTCTAAACAACATCAGTGATACTCATCCCCAAAGGGATGGCTCCTCCATACAGTAGAATTTCAGTTAATTAATGTAAAAGAAAAGTGGGAAGTAGTAAAATTATCATTAGGCACACACTGCTGTAATCATGGTTGCAGATAAGATCCAGCAATGGCTGCTAAAATTAGTGGGAAAACCTTTGAGGAGAAACAGGATTCCCATAATCTCAAAACATCTCCCCCAAGATGTTTTGTAATTGCAAAGGGAAATATGGTAACTTTAAGGGAAGAAATCCAGCAGAAACCTTAACCAAGTGATCAAGGTCAGTGTTATCCATAATAAGATATATTGACATCATAAACTCCCTGGTATACACTAAAGACATGGTATCTTTTCTGGGTTACTTTTGCCAAAAATGCAAAAATGAGATGCCTGAGGAACATTCAAGAAAATAATTGATGAGTAGTCTTCAAAAGCGTCAAAGTCATGAAAGAGAAGGGCAGATTGAGGAACTATCTATCACATATTGGAGGAGACTAAAGAGAAATAATAACTAAATGCAATGTGGGATCCTGGATGGGATCCTGAAACAAAAAGAGCATTTGTGAGAAACAGGGTGAAATTTGAATAAGGACCATAGTTTATTTACTAATATTGTACTATTGTTATTTTCCTGGTTCAGATAATTGTACTAATGGCTATATAGGATGTTAACATTAGGAGAACCTTGGTGAGGGGAGTGATAATTCTCTGTAATATTTATGCTTTTCTATAAATGTAAACCTCATTCCCAATAAAGACAATAATTTTTTTAAAGTTTTATAGTACTCTTTCCTGCCATAATAAACCATTACCATTGTCCCCCCCAACCCCCCGGTATGCCCCTGCTTAGAAGTTTGTATTTTATTCTAAGTGTGCTAGAAATTCTTTGAAGGTTTGAGAGCAGAGGAGTGATATGATTTGATTTTAACTATATTGTAGTTGTTTAACATTTATATTTTTATTACATGGGTGTACAATCCAAATGATTTGGAGACTATTAGATGAAGGAATGATATGAGAAAATTATTTTACTAAGAGAAAAATCTAATGACTTTTTTAATAGATGAGGAATTATTACACAAACAATCCCATGGTCTTAATGAGAAGATGTGCTACAGTTACAATATGAGCGGATTTCAGTCAGGAATAAACAAATCTGTATTAAGTTTTGTTGGAACTGGAATTTCTTCCTTAGGGGTTGTGTGATCACTCTGCAATTTGATTTAGAAAAAGTCTCATCTGACAAAGGGCTAATATCCAGCATCTACAATGAACTCAAACAGATTTACAAGAAAAAAATAAACAACCCCATCAAAAAGTGGGCAAAGGACATGAACAGACACTTCTCAAAAGAAGACATTTATGCAGCCAAAAAACACATGAAAAAATGCTCATCATCACTGGCCATCAGAGAAATGCAAATCAAAACCACAAAGACATACCATCTCACACCAGTTAGAATGGCAGTCATTAAAAGGTCAGGAAACAACAGGTGCTGGAGAGGATGTGGAGAAATAGGAACACTTTTACACTGTTGGTGGGACTGTAGACTAGTTCAACCATTGTGGAAGTCAGTGTGGTGATTCCTCAGGGATCTAGAACTGGAAATACCATTTGACCCAGCCATCCCATTACTGGGTATATACCGAAAGGACTATAAATCATGCTGCTATAAAGACACATGCACACGTATGTTTATTGCGGCATTATTCACAATAGCAAAGACTTGGAACCAACCCAAATGTCCAACAATGATAGACTGGATTAAGAAAATGTGGCACATATACACCATGGAATACTATGCAGCCATAAAATTGATGAGTTCATGTCCTTTGTAGGGACATGGATGAAATTGGAAATCATCATTCTCAGTAAACTATCGCAAGAACAAAAAACCAAACACCGCATATTCTCACTCATAGGTGGGAATTGAACAATGAGATCACATGGACACAGGAAGGGGAATTTCACACTCTGGGGACTGTGGTGGGGTGGGAGGAGGGGGGAGGGATAGCATTGGGAGATATACCTAATGCTAGATGACGAGTTAGTGGGTGCAGTGCACCAGCATGGCACATGTATACATATGTAACTAACCTGCACAATGTGCACATGTACCCTAAAACTTAAACTATAATAAAAAAAAAGAAAAAGTCTTGTCTACAAGGTAGTTTCTCAGAATCACTTTCAATTCTTTGATTTTATATTACTCTTATCCCTTCTTTTTGAATTTTATTTTTTACATTATGTATATAAATTGATTTGCTTAAAAAACGAAACCTTGCATAATCATCTTAGTGTTCATGAAGTTGAACATAATGTCAGCCAACAGGTCTCAACTAGCAGCCTGTGGTCAGAATGTAGCCCACATATATGTTCTAGTATACTGTGTTTGTTTGGGCTTCATGGTGCTTTAAAAGAGTTGGAATCAGTACTTTAAAATCAGAGGTTTAAAATAATAATCCACATTTTTATCTTTTGAAAAACTGAAAGATCTAGCAACATTGGGCCTACATTCTCACAAGGCAACAATTGAGTTGAGTTGGTGCGGCCTCCCTTGGGAAGCTTCCCTTAGATGAGGCATGTTCTTCCCAGAGACACCAGAGTTTCCCCATAGATGGTTTGTTTATATTGTAAAAACCCAGACTGCTTCATTTATATCCTATACCTGGCCCCTATAGGCATTTAAGTTGGCACATCTGCATAGACCATGAACCTTCATAATATCCTCTTTTCTTCACCTTTGTAGGAATCCCCCATCCCAGAAGACAAAGACCGCAGATTTGTCTTCTCTTACTTTCTAGCTACCGACATGATCAGTATCTTTGAGCCTCCTGTTCGCAATTCTGGTATCATTGGGGGCAAGTACCTTGGCAGGACTAAAGTTGTTAAACCATACTCTACAGTGGACAACCCTGTCTACTATGGCCCCAGTGACTTCTTCATTGGTGCTGTGATTGAAGGTAGGTCTAAACACAGTCCAGAATTTCCTACTGGCTGCCTGAATGAGTTCTTAATTGGAATTTAATTCATTTAACCCTGTAAGAGGCAATTAGATTGTATTGCAACTGAGATAAAGCTACTATCCTTGTATATATGGTATAATGTGTTAATCGCCTTCCTAATCAATTAAACTCTTAAGTTGATTGCATTTGTTGGCTACAGATGTCGACAATAAGTTTTGTAAATACTGAGCAAACGACTGCATATTAGTATGTCGTTTAAAGAAAGCTCATTAGTTTCTGTCATAAATGCATACCTGTGAATTTATCATTGGAGGGTTAATACTATTTTACTCCTGATTGCGTGAGAGAACATCACCAAGCTAAGTGTGTTGCTACCTTCTCTCCAGTGTTTGGTCACCGGTTCATCATCCTTGATACAGACGAGTATGTTTTGAAATACATGGAGAGCAACGCTGCCCAGTATTCACCAGAAGCACTCGCGTCAATTCAGAACCATGTCCGAAAGCGAGAAGCGCCTGCTCCAGAAGCAGAAAGGTGTGTGTTTGATTGCTAGGGTTTGGCACACTCAAGATATTCAGGAAGTAATTCTTGAGAAAACAAATGAGTAATCACATTTTAGATTTTCTGATTTCTCTCACCAGGTGGGAATTATTAGATATAAACAGAAGGTTCCCTGTGTCAATGTAATAGCTAGTAACTTAGAACTTTTTCAACTTCATTTGTTTAGCAAATACAGTTGACCCTTGAACAATGTGGGAGTTAGGGGTACCAGCCTCCCTCCACAGCTGAAAATTCATGTATAACTTTTGACACCCCAAAACTTAACTACTAATAGCCTACTCTTGACTGTAAGCCTTACTGATAACATAAACAGTTGATTAACACATATTTTCTGTCATGTGTATTGCATCCTGTATTCTTACAATACGGTAAGCTAGAGAAAATTAAGAAAATAATAAGAAAGAGAAAATTATTTACTATTCATTAAGTGGTAGTGGATCATCTTAAAGGTCTTCATCCTTATCTTCGTGTTGAGTAGGCTGAGAAGGATGGGTTGGTTTTGCTGTCTCAAGGGTGGCAAAGCAGAAGAAAATCCAAGTTTCAGTGGGCCTGTGCAATGCAAATTCTTGTTGTTCAAGAGTCAGCTATAATTATTAAATGCCTATTATGTGTCAGAGACTATCACTAGGCCCTTGGACTTTTATCAGTAAACAAAATAGACAAGAAGTTGCTGCCCACATTGAGTTGACCTTCCAAGCAGCAGGAGATAGACAATAACACAAATAAATTATACAGTATATTGGGTGATGAATGCTGTAAAAATTGGAGCAAATTAAGAGTAATAAGTGTTTCTGGAGAGTGGCAGTAGGTTGTGAAGGTAGGTCAGGGTAGGTGGTTGTACCTTGAGGTGACAATGAACAAACACTTGAGGGGAGTTAGCTGGGTGGATTTCTGGAGGAAGTGCTTTTCAGGAAGAGGAAATAGCGCATGCAAAGGCCCTAAATACTAGCAATATTTTACTTAAAGTACTCAAGGAACATTGGGAAGAAGTAGGCCAGTGGGGGTGGCTGAAATTGAGTGAGTGAGAGGAAGAGGAGTAGGAGATGGAATTAGAAAATTAACAATGGGCTAGATTGTGTAGGACTTACTAGGTCTTTGGAAAGGTGCTGGCTTTTTTCTCTGAATGAAATGAGCCATTGGGAGCAGGGGCATCTGAATAGAGGAGTAGCAAGATTTGACATATATTTTAAAAGAACTATCCTGGCTGTTTTGTTGAAAGTAGATTAGGAGAGAGATTAGTTAAGAGACTATTGCAGTATTCCAGGCAAGAGACGGTGATGTTTGGGCCCAGGATGGTGGTATCAGTGGAGGTGGGGAGAAGTGGTCTGATTTGGATGTATTTTGAAGGTAGCACCAATTGGACTTCAGATAGATTTTCTAGGGGATGTGAGGGGAAAAGAATAATTAAGGATGACTCCAAGATGTTTGGCCTGAGGAACAGGAAGGAAGAAATTGTGATCACCTGAGATGGGGAAGATGCGGGATGTGGGTAGAGCAGTTGCCTTCTTTGTTGGTTGGGGTGGGGATTTCAGTTCTGGATATATCGTATATTAGGTTTAAGACAGCCAAGTAGAGAGCATATAGTCTGTTGGATATGTAAATCTGGAGTTTGAGTGAGAGGTCTGGGCTGGCGATGTAAATGTGGGTGTTGTTGGCATATAGTGATATTTTAGGCTGTGAGACTGCATGATCTCTCTCTCTCTCTCTCTCTCTCTCTCTCTCTCTCGACAGGATCTCGCTCTGTACCCAGGCTGGCATGCAGTGCCAATAGTGGAATAATAGCTCACTGCAGCCTCAAACTCCTGAGATCCTCCTTGAGTTCAGCTTCCCAAGTAGCTGGAACTACAGGTGTACACCACTATTCCTAGCTAATTTTTAAATTTTCAGTAGAGACAGGGGTCTCAGTTTGTTGCCCAGAACTCCTGGGCTCAAGTGATTCTGCCTCCTTGGCCTCCCAAAGTGCTAGGATTACAGGCGTGAGCCATTGCTCCTGGCCTGGGTGAAATCTCTAAAGGAGTTAATGTAGCTAAAGAAAAGAATGGCTCTAAGAACTAAGCTCTGGGGTCCACCAACGCTTACAGTTAAGGAGACTGAAAAGGAAAACGAATAAAGCAGGAAGAAAATGTGGTATCCTGGATGTCAAATGAAGGGGTAGCATAGGACTGTAAAAAATAACATGCAAAACAATTTTAATAATCAAAGGGAAAATGTACAATTGTTCTGTGCCCTTTAAAAATTTTTGTCACTGCCAGGCGCGGTGGCTCATGCCTGTAATCCCAGCACTTTGGGAGGCCGAGGTGGGCGGATCATGAGGTCAGGAGTTCAAGACCAGCCTGACCAACATGGTGAACCCCCGTCTCTGCTAAAAATACAAAAAAATTAGCTAGGCATGGTGGTGCAGACCTATAATCCCAGCTACTCAGGAGGCTGAGGCAGGAGAATCACTTGAACCCAGGAGGCGGAGGTCGCAGTGAGCCAAGATTGCGCCACTGCACTCCAGCCTGGGCGACAGAGCAAGTCTCCGTCTCAAAAAAAAAAAAAATTTGTCACAGCATTAAAAATGTTATGGTTGTAAATGTATAAGGACATGAAAAAATAGTAAAACTAATTTTTACTTAGCACATTGTAATTTAAAACACTGATAACATTAATAATTAAAGTGTTTTATTTCTTTATAAAAACTTTATCAAAAGTGGTTTGAGCAGCACTTGCCTACTTCTCATTGTATAACTTATGATGCAGACTGAACGTCTGTTCTGTGCCTTGGTGAATTGTCATATTCCTGTTTAAGATTGGATCAACTTCCAACATTTTATGATTTTTGCTTTCAATGTTATAAAATATGTCTTAGACTTCCTTTAATGAGAATGAAATATCTCTGAGAGTTCTTTTAATGTGAAGCATTTTATAGGCATCTGGGATATCTTCATTCTTTTTATTACAAACACTTTTCTCATTTATGTTGATAGGTTTGCCTTCACCAGTTTCCACTGGCTGCACATCCAGATTCTCTTGAAAGGCAGCTGTGTCGACATTCCTACAGTCAGCTTTCTCTTCTATAACTCTATTTATATTTGACTTGAATTCACTTCTTGCATCTTTGCTGTACTTTCATCCTTATTGGCCAATTCTCTCTTTTGATTTTCCATTTTTGTAAAATAAAGTTTGTGTATCACTGAGAGACAAGGAGGCAAGATAGCTACACACTTTACTGTCTGCGTGAACTATAAAACAAATATACAGTGACTAGTCACCAACAGACTTTGAAAGAAGTGATGTAATTGTCACTGATTGTGATATGCATCTGTTTAATTACATTGTGGTTAGTGGACTAAAGTCCTGACAGATAAGTTTGTACTTTATGCAATTACTCATAGTTATTAACTGTGTTAACTGAAATTTGAACCATGTTGTTGGGGGAATGGGTTATTTTACTAAATGGTGGTAATCGAAATTCATGCATCTTGTAACTGTGCAAACTGAGAAATGCCATCATATCAAGGAAGACAGACTTGATGGAGGACAGGTGAGCTTCAAAATTAGGGCTCAGCCAGAGAGAGTTATTGGCTTTTCCCAAGAAAGAATTCCAGGGAGAGCTGGTGCTGTTAAACAGCAACTGTTTTTAAGCAACAGTGTACAGCAGCAGCTGAGGTTCTGCTCCTTGTAGAGTAGGGATACCCCATAGGCATTGTGCCCAGAATTGTAGCTCAAAGGCAGTTCTGCACTCATATTATGCAGAAATTTCCAGGAAAAGGGTGGTAACTTCCAGGTGTTCGCGTCGTTGCTGTGGAAAGGGGTGGTTACTTCCGGATGTTGTCATGGCAATGGTAAACTGATATGGCGCACTGGTGGGCATGTCTTATGGAAAGCTGCCTCTGCCCCAGACCTATTTTAGCTAGTCCTCAATTTGGCCCTGTGTCTGAGCCGAGCCTCCAGAGTCGAGCCCCACTTCCTACCTCAGAATGATTCATTATGTCAGATGGGGATTTAGCAATATTAAGGGAATTGGGGACCTTGGAGACCTTAATGAGGAGTTTCAGTGGAATGGGAAGAGGGGGAGAACCTGATGGCAGTAGATTTAAGAGAGAATGGGAGAGAGGAATTCTGGATCAGAGCGGAGACTACTCTTTTGGGGAGGTTTGGTGCAAGGGACAACAGAAAAATGGGGCAGCAGCTGGCAGAGAAAGTGAAGTCAGGAGAAGTTTTTGTTTTATTTTGTTTTTGCTTTTGTTTTTACATAGAATAAATAGCATGTTTGTATGCTAATGGGAATGATTCCATAGAGAGGAAAACATTGATAAGTGTGTGAGAGAGCGGGGACAATTTCTGGAGTTTGTGAGAGGATGGGGTTTAGTATGAGTGGAGGAATTGGCTTCAGATAGAAGCACCAACTATTCACCTAGGGCAGTATTTCTCAAACTTCCGGGTCTTGAGACACCTTTATACCCTTAAAAATTATTGAGGGCCCCAAAGAGTTTTTATGTGTTTATATCTATTGCTATTTAGCATATTAGAAATTGTATCTGAAAAATTTTCAAATATTAATTTATTTTGAAAACGATAAACCCATTTCATGTCAACACAACATAATTTTGTGAAAAATCAGTTTTTACAAACAAAAAAAATTTAGTGAGAAGAGTGATATTGCTTTACATTTTTGCAAACCTCTTAATGTCTGACTTACTTAGTAGTAGAAGATGACTGGATTTTCATGTGCTTTTGTATTCTGCCTGCGGTGATAGCCTGTGTTGTGTGACCTTTGGAAAACTCCATTGTGCACTTATGGGAAAACAAGAGTAAAAAGACAAATAATGACTAAGTATTATCACAAGAATAATTTTGACTTCACAGACCCCTGAAGGGTCTTGGGAACCTCCAAGAGTCCTGGGATTACTCTTTAAAACCTTGATCTAGGGCAACAGGCAAAAGGCAGCATATGTGGGTTCAGATTCTGGTAGGTGGGTAGATATTGGGAGGCCTTGTGATTGTTTCGTGATAGTAGTGCAGTAGAAACAGTGAGGATAGAGGGAGATGTTGGAGGTTTCAAGAGAGAGGAGAAGTTATGAAATGCTCTATTTTATTGAATATATAAATATCAATAAAATGAATATGAAATAAAATCTAAAACAGCATATTTTAGCTACTACTAAGAAAGAAAAAATTGCCAAATATAATCCATATCATTAATTGAAAATGCATGTTAATTCCACAGATGTTAAAATGTAAAAAAAAAAATTGTCTCATTTCATGGACACATCTTTAAAAAAAAATGCCTCAGGACTTAAACAAATATGATAGCTCTCCAGGAAAGTGGGAGGTTGAACGGACTAGAGAAGCGTAGTTTGGTGGTTGGACAGCATTAAAGGCCCACTTCATATTCATAGTCATATATTTAATTCAAGTACTTCCCGAAAGTTTTTTTCTGTAATTGTCACTTGTTTATGCAAATACCAGCAGACACTGGAAAGCTTCTTGCTTCAGCATACCACTAATTAAATCATCTTTAAAATTTTTTTAAATTTAGTAATTTAAGTTTTTTAAAATGTAGTAATGAGGAAAAGATACCACTGTGACTCTTAGAATATGATATCAATAAAAATAAGGAGAAATTCAAATTTTAGGTTGCCATATGGATATGGTTTGTTTGGCCCCAGCAAGCTATGGTTTTAGATATGGTTTGTTTGGCCCCATGAAGCCTTATGTTGAAATCTGATCCCCATTGTTGGAGATGGGCCTCATGGAAGGTGTCTGGATCCTGAGGGCAGATCCATCATAAATAGCTTGGTGCCATTCTCATAGGAATGAGTTCTCACTTGTAGTTCCCATGAGAACTGTTGTTGAAAAGAGCCTGGCACCACCTACTCTCTCTCTCTTGCCTCTTCTCTTATCATGTGATCTCTGCACATGTCTGCTCCCCTTCCCCTTCCACCATGAAGGGAAGCAGCCTGACATTTTCACTAGAAGCAAATGTTGGTACCATGTTCCTTATACAGTCTGCAGAACTCTGAGCCAAATAAGCCTGCTTTTCTTTTTTAAATAAATTACCAGCCTCAGTTATTTCATAGCAACACAAATGGACTACGACATGGGGTAAGAGATCCATTGCCATCCTCATTTTGATCCTCACCCCCGCCCTTCTTCTCTTGTGATGGGTCAGAGAGATGAGTTAGGAAAAACACATGGAGACGATACAAATCCACTGTCGCATCTTCTGTGCCTCTTAGCTATTCTGCGTTTAGCTCCCGACTCACCCATCTGATAAAGAATCGCGATCTAAGGAAATGCAGTTACAAATATATTTTGCCACTCATTGCAGAGTCATGAAAGGGGATCATGAGTACTTGTCAGACCAGTACTTTTTATGTCAATTGTCAGTTCTAAGATGATGAAATTTGGAGTTGGCCATTTGCTTTCTCTGAGCCAGAAAATTAGAATAATGCATAGGTAACTGAGTATTAACTTCATCTTCAAGTTCTTAAATTCTCTTTGGGTTTGGGGTCCTCCACTGCAGTATTTTGAACTCAAGACTTAAGGCCAGCAAATGCACACACTTATTAACCTACCTTCCACAGGAAATCCACATGTGTGAATAGCATAGATACATACACACATTTGTTCATATGTATTATTCTTGTTCCATTAACATGCCTATTTGTGCACTTTAGCTTCAAGAGGACCCTACTCACTTACTCAATTATCTTTTTAATCCTTTTCTTTTTCACTTCTAGCTACTTTTCCCATGAGAATTTTCCAAATATTCTCATTTTCTTTTCCATTTTCTTTAAGGAGATAGAAGTAATTGGTTTCAAATATGAGATCAAATGATCCAATGTGGGCTTCATCAGTTTTCTCACCCTTCATCTTAGAATGTTTCTCTACTATCACTCTTCTTCTCTTTACCTTCTTTTGTCAGAGATAAGTAACTCCTCCTATTTCTTCAAATCTAATTCTTCTATTTTGTGTCTGTAACCACTTTCCTCCTGACTGCTCCAGAATCTTTTTGACTTTTTTTAATGACTGCTTCATAAATTGCTTTCTTGAAGGTCATTGGTTGTTTCCAAGTATAATGGACTCTTCTCATTTAGTCATTAATTCAACAGATATTTGAGCTTATACCATATACCAAACTTTATATTAAATGCTTAGGCAATTATATGAGAGAATAGGGAGCTCATAATCTAGAGCAAGGGTTGGCAATTTTTTTTTTTTTAAGTGAAGGGACAGGTAGTAAGTAGTTTAGGCTTTGTGGGTCATACCTTCTTTGGCATGACTACTCAACTCTACCCTTACAGCGTGAAAGCAGCCGTAAACAATACATAAATGAATAGGAGTGGCTATATTTCAATAAAATTTTATGTATAAAAAATAGGCAGCAGGTTGGCTTTGGCCTGGGTGTCATAGTTTGCTGACCCCTTGGTATAGTCTTTAGTTTTTCTGATCTACATATAATATTGATTACTCTTTATTACCCCTCTTTTGAAATCCTCTCTTGAGTTCTGGAAATTCAAAGTTTCTGGTAGTCCTACCTCTCTTAAAGCCTATTGTGTGTGTCTTTCCTACTTCCGTCTACTAGGTTGGCATTTCTCAAGGTCCTGTTTTTGGTCCTTTTGCTTGCCTTCTCTAAACTTTCTAGACATTGCAGTATCTGAATTGCTCTCCATTCTGCTGAATCTATTTTCAACATGTCTTTGTCCATCTGAGCCACCAGCATCTCCCACTTTGTACAACTAAAAATGAAGCCATTGTCATTTTCATCTTTCTAGCACACCTGCTCTTCCTTATTCCTTCTTTTTGCTTATCTGTCTCATTTTCTAAGTGGAGGACTTTGCCAGGATGCTCATAGCAAAATATTCTAAGAGCACACAGAAAACTGTGACATCCCTCTTACCTCTGGAAGATTAGCCACTCTATAAAACACGTTCACTTTTATGGAAGTTATGGAAGGTCATTGGAGGGCTTGGCACAGAGTTCAACTAGCATGTTAGGACCTCCGGCCACCTCTCAGTTGGCAGTCCCTGTTGGACATAACCAGCTGGCCCCTCTGTTTTCTTGTTGAGCCATGTGAGCAAACCTTGCCCTGTAACTTGCAGCTCTTTTCCAGAGTGTGCCCTGACTTGGGCTTTGGCAATAAAGTAGGGGCTGTAACTTTAACTAGCTCTTCCTTAAACAGTACCACCTATTGCCATCTATCTGTGAATTTACTCCATCTTGCTCAAAGGCAGCAGATGCCATGGGTATTTTTCCTGCTGTATAAAGGGGAATGGGAATCTGGCTTCTTTGGGAAAGGGAGAGTTATTGTCTCTTTCCCCAAATGATTGGATGATCACATTTTAACTTTATATGTTTCATGGCTCTAGTTCTTGGAAACACATGCAAGATTGAGGTTTGACTGCTTTCTGCCACTAAAATAGCTCCCTGGTGGTCATTCATAATTTAGTATATATGATTTGAATTACATTCATCAGATAAACACATTCTGCTTCTATAATTAATAATGCCAGAGAGCATTTAGATATTGGGGATTATTACAACAATTTTTATTGTTCTTGGCTTACTACAAAAGTAACACATGACCAGAATTTGAAAATTTAGGGAATAAAAATCTAGGTAATAGAAATGGAAATAAACAAAAATTTTTGAAAATCTTATAACTCAGAGATAACTGCTTCTAATATTTTGTTTTTAAAGATGCATATAAAGTGGAAAATTCTGTAATACTATTTTGCTTTTTTCACTTGATAGTCTATCATGAACCCTTGTGAAATGAAATATTTGAAGACACAGATATGAAGGGACCAAGGAAAAGCTTTGTTCCTACCCCATCTTTCATGTACCCACTTCTTACCCTCCACTCCCCATAGGTAACTACCTCTTTCATTTATTTTTTTGAATATCTTTTCAGAGTTTCTTTAAATAATATAAGCAACTTTAAGTATATACTCTTATTCCCCCACAACTTTTATAACACAAGGTAACACTCTATACATACTTTTATGTCTTGAGTTTCTCACTAAAAATATCTTTATACTCTTTCTGCAGCATTGTCAATGGCTGCAGTATTATTCTGTTGCTTTATTGTAGTGTAAATTATTTAATTCCCTATTTTTGGACATTTAGACTATCTCAAAACAATCTTATAGATGTATCTTTGCATACAACCCATGATTATTTCCTTAGGATAAATTATTTGAGATTATTTGCTGGACTTTTGCTTCATGTTTCCAAATTTTTCCTGAAAGGTTATTCCACTTTATACCTTCCCCAGCAAGACTTGCCAGCAGGTAAAAGAGGGAAATAAGTTAAACAGAGGCTATTTGCAACAGTGAACTTTAAAAATATTATACGCAAGAAAAGTAAATACAGAAAAGCAATGGTAGATTGATAGTTTTCAAGTTACGGAAGGAGAGGAATTCAGTGAGAGGTGACTGGGCATAATTGAGAGAATATGTTGGAACTGGAGTGGGATGTGAGTGCTAGTTTTGCCGCTGACATGGGATCTGGGATCAGTCACTCGGGTCTTCAAATGTGTTTTCTCATCACTGAAAGAGGGAAGAATGCTTACTGACTTTATGTGGCCCATTTTGTTCTAAAAGGATTTATGAAGATGAAATATGAGGGAATCTTTCAGCTCTAAAATTTTTAATTTTATAACTGTACCTTCATGTTCAGAGGAAATAAAAATTGAGCCTCTACTTATTGTGGTTGTTTTTTGAAGGGTTAGACCTCTCTCTTCCCAACACCCTGTGTTACTATTCTCTCTTAATTTCAGTAAATGCTAAGCCCAAACTTCTCACTCTACCTCACAGAGCAATCTCTTAGCTTCCATAGATAACCTTTCACAAAATTCAGTGTGAATTGGAGAGGGAATAATATTAAAACTATAAAAGGTTGATTCTTGGCTACAGATCTATAGCTATATATTTATATCTATCATCTCTCTTTATATATATCACTCAGGCATTTAGTTGTAGATGAGGAAACATTAATCTGCAACAGTAGTAAGAGACAATGATGTGATTCTCACAGATACCAAATTTGGCATGGTGGTGGTATTAGATTTGCCTCCTTGTGATGCAGTGATTAACAGATGGCAGGAAAGGAGGCTGAGCAAGAAGGGAGGAAATTCAAAAACTGCCCCCAGTCGGGCCTTCCTGATGTGGAGGTCAGCTATCGGCCTGTGGGCAAGTGTTCAGTTATTGGTCAGCTCAGTCTCAAAGCTGTGATTAGAAGCTTCCCTGATTTCATCAAGTAAGAACTTTGGTCACCGAGATGAGACTGATCAAGAATAAATACCATGTGCAGTCATTTCCTTCCTTTCTCTACAGCAAGCAAACTGAAAAGGATCCAGGCGTGCAGGAATTGGAAGCATTAATAGACACAATTCAGAAGCAACTGAAAGATCACTCATGCAAAGACAACATTCGTGAGGCATTTCAAATTTATGACAAGGAAGCTTCAGGATATGTGGACAGAGACATGTTCTTTAAAATCTGTGAATCGCTTAACGTCCCAGTGGATGACTCCTTGGTTAAGGAGGTCAGTATGAATTACTCTTCTGAGTTCATTGCAGAGGCTAGGCACTGATCATTCTTTTCTAAAGGCAATTGTGTGTGTATTTCACTACAACTGGGCCAGATTTAGGATGTTCAGATCAGATCTACTATTCTGTCCTGATTAGGTATTGCCCGTTGATTCTAGCATTGGTATTCTTTTCTAATTGCTGTTGCAGGGCATCTCTTTAAGTGGGCCTGGGGCTGGACAACACAGAGTGGTTAGTAGACCAACATGTCAGGACTGAAGAAGGGCAACAGAGACGATCCAGGAGGGGTGGCTACCAAGGGGAGACTCAAAGATAAGTTGATAGAGCAGACTGGTTGGCAGCCTTTGATACCCTTCACAGCTGATACCTACACTGGCCCATCAGTAGGGTTAGCATGAAAGAAGGCATGACCACTGCAGGAGGGCTGTGGCATCTGTCAGTAGTGGTAGCATGGCCAGCAGCTGATGGAGGAAGGGCATGGAAGTTTTCTTCCTTGAATTTTCATAAGTGAGTTGAAGGGGGACTTTCATGCCTTTTCTTCATTATAAACCCTTTAGCCAGGGTTCCCTTGGAAGTCAGAACAAAGTCCCCCTGAGAAATGCCAAGGACTGTGGCTTATGATCATTGAGACATTCTTACTGATTAAAAATATTGAGATTCTGAGGCCTTTTTAAAGATCTTTTAGCCAAAACAGGTGTTCAGAATTTAAGAGTCATTTAGGAAAGGGTTTGGTTTAGGGCTAGTGACTAGGTTGGAGATGAGGATTTTTCATAGACAGAAACATTAGCAGGGAGTGAGTAGGAGGGCAGATAGAAGAGTATTTGTTCATGTGGACCAAACACACATTTAGCTCCCCAAATTTTAGGTTGACAGCATGCCCAACTTTTGATTTTCAAATTCTTCATACTGTCTGATGTGGGAACTGACATGGGAGAGAGGGATGGCAGTCATTGGCAAGTGGAGCAGGGAAGTGGGGGTGGGACAGATTTGCACATCTTATAAAAATAACCACAGAAAATCAGTCTGTTACCAGTCACAGTCGAGTTTTAAGGGACACAGGTTGAGCAGTGGCATAACCAGACCCTTCCGTTAGGCTGTGGTAGCAAGAGCCTGCTATTTAAAAAGTCTTACTCCTCATGAGCTGAGTGGACAGTCTTTTATTTGAATATAAAAACAACTAAAAGTGCTTTTATAAATATGGATGTTAGTTCTGAAATCTTGGGAAATGTGGCAGACTGCCACGGTTACTTGAGACATCTCTACGACAATTACTACTGTTACTACTTGAGACCGTCATTACGAGAGTTAACGAAGGAAGATGAAAGCAGAAATGAAAACTTAAAACAAAAGTAACTATTTTAAAGGAAGGGAAAGAAGAGAGCTCCCTGCTTCTAGTGAGCAAAGGCAACCGCCCGAGCTGCTACAGCCCTTCATATTTATTGGGTAGAAAGAGCAGGGATTAATTGATCACAGGTTCACATTATTGCTAACAGGCTTCAGATGTGTCTAATCACAAGAAACACTTGTGCCTGGGTCGTGACTGCCTTCAGCGTTCCTTCTGGGCAGCAGACGCAGTTTGTCAGTTTGCCAACATCCTGCTTTCATGAGAAACAGTTTACTGTTTACTCATAGAGCCTCCAGTGGTATACTGAGTTGATCATGACGCTCATTCTTTCGGCCTTCAACAGGGAAGGTCATTTACTCCATCCAGCTTTGGTTTCATTAAGTGTAAGATGGGGATAATGTCTGTCCTACCTGCCAGGTTCACAGGATCATTTCAGAATCAACTTGAGGATACAAAAATTCTGAACTGATTTACAAAGGCTCGGGATCATTATGCATAAGCGCACTCTGCAGTTGAGCTGACGGAAGCCCTGCAGATCTGTCTCACCTATTCTCTTTGCTCTCTCTGCAGTTAATCAGGATGTGCTCTCATGGAGAAGGCAAAATTAACTACTATAACTTTGTTCGTGCTTTCTCAAACTGACCTGCTGATGAGAAAATGCAAGACAATTTTTGATACTGGAACTATGCTTTGAAATACACCTTACACTCTTCATAGAGGCATTTACAGGGTTCCTGAAGTTTTATTTCTGTTTTGGTTCTTCTTTCACTCCTACTGAAGTCGAAACTAAATTGGATCTAATAGGATCTAAGATTGGTGCCTTATTTAGGGTGATAGGGGTATAGCAATGTCTAATTTTGTGTGTCAAATTGACTTGGCCACAGGGGGCCCAAATATTTCCTTTCTTTCTTTTTAAAAAAATAAATTTTTTTAGAGATGGGATCTCACTCTGTCATACAGGCTGGAGTGTGGTGGCACTATCCTAGTTCTATGAAGCCTCAGACTCCTGGGCTCAAGTGATCCTCCCACTTCAACCTCCCCAGTAGCTGGGACAACAGGCTCAAGCCACCATGCCCAGCTAATTTTTAAAATTATTTTGTAGAGACAAGGTCTTGCTAGGTTGCCTGAACTTGTCTCAAACTCATGAGCTCCAGAAATTCTCCCACCTCAGCCTCCAAAAGTGCTGGGATTATAGGCATGAGCCACTGTGCCCAGCCTCAGATATTTCATTATTCTGGGGGTTTCTCTGAAGGTATTTTTCGATGAGATAAACATTTGAATCAGAAGACTAAGTAAAACAGATAGTCCTCCCTAATGTGGGTGGGCCTCCTCCAATCATTTGAAGACATGAGTAGAATAAAAAGGCTGACCTTTCCCCAGGTAAGAGAATTCCTCCTGCCTGACTGGCTTCAAATTGGAACATCAGCCTTTTCTTGCCTTCAGACACAAATGGAAACATCAGCTGTTGGTCTGGAGCCTGCTGACCTTCAGACTGGACCTAAACCATCAGCTCTCCTAAGTCATAGGCCTTTGGATTCAGACTGGAATTATACCTTTAGCTCTCCTGGGTCTCCAGCTTGCCAATTTACCCTGCAGATCTTGGGACTTGTAAGCCTTCATAATTGTGTGAGCAATTTCTTATAACTCTCTCTTTCTCTCTCTCTACATATATATATATATATATATTTTATATGTACACATTCATACACACACACGCTTATATGTATACATATAGTATGTATATGTGTATATATATTATGTATATACATATATGTGCACACATCTCTACTAAAAATAGAAAAATTAGCCAGGTGTGGTGGCGTGTGCCTGTAGTCCCAGCCACTCGGGAGGCTTAAATGGGAGAATCACTTGAACCCTGGAGGCAGAGGTTGCAGTGAGCCAAGACCACGCCACTGCACTCCATCCAGCCTGGGTGACAGAGCAAGACTCCATCTCAAAAAAAAAAAGGTTAGAAAAATGCTGCTTTTAGAGAGCCTGGCCTTGAGAGAGGAAGGAAAGACTAGTTGCAGTTACTATTCTCTGGTGAGCTCTGACTGGCTTTTTACAAACAGGGCTTCTCTTTGGTTGAAGTCAGCCACTAAGTTCATCTTTAAACATGCTATCTCAAATTCCCCGAAGCCACCCAAAATGTGGTATGAATGAGGATAGAGTTACACAGAATTCAGACTGCTTTGCCCTCTCAGAACTTCTAGGGAACTTCCCTTGGTGTTTCCTTCCCTAACGAGCTCAGCCACTTGTAACCAGCTTATTGAAAGGGCTGTGAATGTATTATGTTGATTCCTTTTCTGTTCCAGGTTATTATCTTGGGAATAACCCATGTTTTGTTTTGTTTTACCCTCAGTCGCTCATAACTATTTAAAACAGTATCTCTTTCAAGTACAGATGCTCCTCTACTTATGGGGCTATGTCTCAATAAACTCACGTAAGTAAAAAATATCACAAGTTGAAAACACATTTAATAACCCTGATAAGCCCATTGTAAAGTAGGCAAATAAGTTGGACCATTGAAAGTTGGGGACTATCTGTATTTTAGAAGTTTTTTCAGCTTAAAAATTACCAAGCTCTATCCTACTTGGCCCAGCTCAGTCCTTCCCCCAGGCTTAGAAGCCTGTGGTAAAGAGTGTGTGTATACTGGGGTGATGATAGTGGTTTCTTCTTACTCCCTTCTTTCTGTCTTCTGCTCCCTTTGTTCCTATTCAGCCATGCTGCTGTTTCTAGCCCATGTAGGCTCTGGGAAAGGTTAAGCGGGTAGAAACCAGAGAAAAAGGGCAAAGTCTTATTTCTGTGGCTAGTAATGTCGTAATGTGGGGCCAGGTCTGAGTGACATGTGCCGAAAGGCTGACTCTTTCTCCCAGAGCACCTTTTCTCTCTTTTTGGATTCAGGGGGTACATGTGCAGGTTTGTTACATGAGTATATTGCACCCAGGTAGTGAGCATAGTGCCCAGTAAGTAGTTTTTCCACACATACCCCCTCCTTCCCTTCCCACTCTGGTAGTCCCCAGTGTCTATTGTTCCCATCATTATGTCTATGTGTATTCAATGTTTAGCTCCCACTTAGAAGTAAGAACATGCAATATTTGGTTTCCTATTCCTGCATCAATTCACTTTAGGATAATGGCCTCCAGCTGCATCCATGTTGCTGCAGAATACATGATTTCATTTTTTATGGCTGCGTAGTATTCCATGGTGTAGATATACTTCATTTAAAAAATCTAATCCACCATTGATTGGCACCTAGGTTGATTCCATGTCCTTTGCTCAGAGCCCCGTTTTGGTGAGTTCTTAGAACTCTTTCCAACCGGAAACTGCCCAGTGCACCACTCTCAGATGGACGGGACCCAGTCTGTACCTGATCACCCCGGCTCTAATGGTATGGTCTCCAAGGCTCCTTCTGATCTTCCCAGGAGGCCCTTTCAGGCTGACACACCTTCCAGGGTGTGCACTCTCGCCATGTTCTCACCCAGATGGCTCTCTTGGCTGTGTAATTAGGCAGCTCAATCCCTTTCCTTTAGACTGTTTCAGGGGAGAACCAGGTACCCCAAATCTTATGCTCTCCAAACTCCAGGGGACAGACACATGTCAAACCCTGAGTCTTTTAAAGTATACCCTCACTTAGCTTGCAGACCCAAGGCACTCCAGCCCCTTTCAAGAAGCTTGCACTTTCTGATATTTTCTCCATCACTCTTGCCTCCTGTGGTAGAGGAGCTTTGGGCTACTCCTTAACAAATCATTCATGGATCGGCAGCAAATCTGCAACATATGGATATATTTGCCAATTTTTGTCCTCAGCTTTGGGTCTCAGCCAAAATGGAGATTTAGGAAAGTCTCATTTAGCATCCTCTAGCCTGCTTTTGGCTGTTTTGTTTTGTTTTTGTGTTTGTTTTTTAGAGACAGGGTCTTACTCTGTTGCCAGACTGGAATGCGGTGGTGTGACCATAGCTCACTGCAGCCTCAAACTCCTGGGCTCATGCAATCCTCCTGCCTCAGCCTTCTGAGTAGCTAGGCCTGTAGTCTCAGAGGGAACTGTCTTCAATAAAGTTGGCACTGTCCACATACACTCCTTAAGTTTGCTGTCCACTTCTTGCCTTGCATCTCCTTTTAAGTTTACTTAAGACTGAGAAGCTGAGATCTGACAGCACCAACACAAGGTATAAAAGAGATTTCATGAAAGACCAAAGCCAGCAGGCCATTTCTGTGGTGTCCAAACACTCGCTGCTCACCTGTTTATACAAAGCAGCAAGTATAGGAGCCACAAACGTCAGAGCAAATCACTTTTTCTACTAAAATCCTGAATGGCAGTGCAGCCATTAGATGTCACTAATTACCTTATGCTACAGTCATAGCTGGCATGCATCTGGAGTGTCAGGTTCAGGTGGTGGAAGGGAGCTGAGCATTACCCTGTAGCAAGCAATATTGTAGGAAGCAGAAATGATCATCACTTCAAACTGGCCACCAGGGAGTTGAAAGATTCTAATACACACACACACCCACACACACACACACACAAAGAGAGAATGAGAATTATTAAGATTAGCACTGGTAGCTGAAGCTATCAGGTCTAACTGAAGCATTTGACTAAGACTGCTTATAGTGCTTACGGCTTTGGGACTAATAAAAATCTGCCTTGCGGGTAAAGATGGGCTGTGAGTTAGCCACTACTCAGAAACCTGGGCCTGTACCTTGTCTGCACCATCAGGGGGCCTTGAAAATACCATCCAATTAAGGTGTATCAAATCCATATCTATAGGCTTTGAGGGTATTTGGGACACATAGGTAGAGAAGACGTCTCTAAATGTTGTCCAGAGAATCCACTTGGTTAAGTGACTCCTGAGTATCCTGCTGGCACATAAGTTCATTTTAAAAAGCCAATATGAGTGCTTTATATGTACCATGAACTTAGCATTCAGTATCTCTAAATCTCTCACCATGACTCCCCACAAAACATGAAACCCTTTTGACACAGATGCACAAAAAGACTCGGAAGGGTTAACTGCTTGAGTTCACCTAGCTTCTCATGGCAGAGCAGGACCCAACTCTACAATGAAGCTTGCCATGCATCAGAACCACTCACCTTCACCTCAAGCAAACATTTCCTCTTTCTCACACCCCATGGGTGTCCTTGACTAACTGCCACCTGTAACTGCACTCATCTTTTGAGATCTTTTTCCAAAGAAAGATGGTTCTGGTAAACACAGCAAGCAGCTACAGCCAACAGCAGCCATGTAAGTGACACCAGCAATCCCCACTATTACTAATACTTGGATGTCTTCTAGTCAGCACCAACATATTTGTTGGCCTTTACACAAACGAAACCCCATTTCCTCCAAGCTAAATAACATCATAGTATAGTAGGCATCAAGGATGATGTGCTTGTTTCTGGAGCTTCCTACCCACAAACCCCATGTTAAGAAAACCTCTTTTCCACTTTACTATTAAAGAGTCAAATAAAAATGATGCTTATTGCTATCCAGCACTTGACATAACTGACTCTCCATCCTTAATTCCCTAATTCATATCACAATGGACAAATACGGGTCAAAATATATAAGAAATGACTAATATAGTGAAAAATAATAGACATGAGGGCTAAAATTCATTGCAAACTCCTTTAAGCAAACGTAAACATCCACGTTAAAAGCATCACTGTATAAAAGCACGTCAAGGAAATAATTATGAGACAATTCTGATAATTTTCTGCCTTTTATTGTTATTTCAGAAAATATTTGATCATTTGTTCCAAAATGTACATTTAAAAAATCCATACAAAACTGTAATTTGTTTTAAAACCAGACAGAAACAGTGGAAAAATGATTTTGAAAAAAAGTTCACCAAAAGCAAAAAGACACCCCTCCCCCCAACCCTTTTTTACATGAAAGCATAAATACGGCAGGTACAAATTTTCCTTGAGTTCCTTGTTGAAATTTGGTCCATATGAACAGGCTAGAGTAGAAAACAGACACTTTGTCCACATTTGCATTATCAGTTGCTCAGGGCACCAGCAGCCTTAGTTCATCCTTCAGATGTTTTTTTAAACAGAGGAACCGAAAAATGAGGTTTACAGTCTCATCACATGAACACTCAAATCTGTACCCAAGGAAACAGCGGTATTATATTTACTGTCACAGCTAGACCCTATCAGGTGAACAGGGCTCTCCACCTGCGGCTGTTGCTTCGCAAAATATCCTTCCTCTCCACGTGAACAAGTAGCTCTAGAGTGCTTTTAGGCAGAGTGACGGTGATGTCATGGGCACCACGCCAATCTTATTCCTGGACAATGACTTAAGCCCCATCGTGAGAATGGTTTTTTCCTCTTCAACACATTTTTTAAAAATAGACCTCTAAGATGATGCTACATGTTCTAAAAGAGTGCCACAGAAACCCACCCAGGATCACAAGAATGACAACAAAAGGAAAGTGGCTATTTCTTGTGTAAGGGATGACGACTCCCCCTCCCATGGGTCCCATTTCTCCCCCAGTTGCAGGTGTTTTAAGGGACAGAAAGGCTGTGGAAAGGACCACTGGCTGGGAGAGTTATTGCACAACCCGGAAGAGTGAGAAAAACGTGGGCGGGCAAGGGGTAGGGGAGAGGGTTGCTGCGACTAAAACAAGGTAACACTGAATTAGGAGCTCGAACAGTTCTGCAACAGTCAGACATGTATGTGTTTATGTGTTAGCACTTGGAGACTGGGAAGTAAAAGTAAACACCTTTATCATATAAACTTTGGGCTGAATGGGAAGCAAAATAGACCAAAAGAGGTTACGGCAAGTGGGCCTTTTAAAAAAAATCTGGGGGTGGGGAAAATAACGGAGAAGGAGTTTGCTATGTGGGGCCAGAGGAGAGTTTTCGAAGTGGGGGCTGGAAGCTCTGGGCTTCTCTTAATAGGTATGCTTGTGGTTGGGCCACCTCACAGACTTCCACAGCCACCCAGCTGGGCCAGAAGAGAACTGACACAAGGGAGAAACCAAAAACAAAACAGAACACACCACAGACCCTAATCCTGGGCAGCGGGGTTAGAAACAAATGGGGTGAAACTGTCACAATCCGTGTCCCTTTTATATATAACTATACTGAGGTATGGTGTCCTTGGCTGCCGTCGAGCCCTGGCAACTGGGGGCTGGCCACGGAGTACAAGTTGAAAACCACACAGCAAAGTAAGGCACTTATTCTCACACACAGGCGCACGCACGCAATCTGCTTGGGACAAAAAGTCTACAGGGGTTGCCAAGCACGAAAGGCTACATGGAGACTGCAAATCCCAATGCTCGTCTTTATAGCTCTGCCACTCCAGGGAACTCCATAAAAGAATGAGGCAGCTTTCACTGGGGAGAACTGGTCTTCAGCCTTTGCAAGGTGGAGCTAACACTCATGTGAGTAGTGGGGTAGAGTGAGAAGTTGGTAAAGTCTTCCTCACTGGGACAACCTTGAGCTGGAGAGAGATCCTATTTAGGTTTTCCAGTCATCTGACAATGACCTAATCCTCCAATAATCCTGAAAATCCTCTCCTGAGAAAAGGAACCATAAGCTCGGAAGGCAGAGTGAGGGAGGAAGAGCACTCCATTGTCTTGACTCAAAAGCTTTCAGCACTCCCTCTGTTAGAGGAGAGAGCTTAGAACATCAAGAATTGAAGTTTGTGCACTTGTGCCATAGGCCCTTAAGCAAAAGAATTAGTTATGTGCAGACTTCCCTACCTCTCACACCAGGCCTAGAAAAACCAACTAGGAAGGCTGAAGCATACAAAGGAAACCCAAGCGAAGGCCTTTTCTAGGCACAAGGGGGTCGGCAACCCACTTCCAATTAAAGCATCCATGGAAGATAAGAATTTTGTTGTGGAATCCTGGGAGGAGATGCACTCTTTCACCCAACCTCTTATTAGCTGCTTAGAAAAAAGAAGGGGTACTGACAAAGGAGGTCCCAAAAGAGACCCCAGAAGCACACACCCACCCCAAGCTTCAGGGGTTCTTAGGGTCCCAGGGTTTCCGGTCAAGAGAAGGATCTGTGAACGTGGCCAGGGCAGAGGTGTCTATTGGGGTTTCTTAAATGTTGGGAAGTTATGCCTTGGGACATGAACAGACAAGTTTCTCAGCAACCATTTCGGTCTGGTGGCCCAGACACACATGGGATTAGAACTGACTCAAAAGGGAGGACAGCAGATCCCCCGCCGGCTCAGCCTGCTCCCCTCTCACCCAGAACCATCCCCTACCTTCAAAAGGAACACATGCAATTTATTAATAGTGCAGCTATCAGCGCCCGGATGGTAAAAATAACTCCCATCATCACTGCACCTCCAAGGAGGGGAGCGGGTAGCACAGATCCTTGGTCCACCAGCGCCACCTCCCTCTCCTCCTGCTGTGTCTGTTGGCTTCCCCACAAATGTAAGTTAGTTAGCCAGGGCTGTCGAGAGGCCACAGTTGCTGGGGTAGGTTTACGTCTTTTCTCCTGCTCTTGGTGCATGGTGCTGAGCTCTCAAGCTTGGAGGTGTCTGGCAGAGCCTTCACAAATGGCTTGGCACTTTGGGGCAGGAGAGAATGCATAAAACTGAAGAAAACAGCCAAAGTGGCCAAAATTAGAACAAGCTAGCCCAACACGCTCATAGGATGAAGTGGAATTATTTCAGCTCTGGCAACACAGTCTGTGTCAACCTGCCACAGACTTGGCTCTGCTGTGAAATAAACGTGCCAGGGAGGGTGGCAGGGGGAGGGGGGTGACAAAGTACCCTACAACTACCCTCTAACCACCCCCCCCAAACATCCCTGAAGCCCAGGCTGGCAAGATGCCAGCCCCACTCATGGTCTCAGGGTTTTTTTTTGTTTTTTTTTTTTTTTTTACATAAAATAAACCCTTAGCACACCCGTCCACTGGGAAGCAGAGCCTAAGCTGACCCCGGCCACTGGGCTGGTGGGACCACATCCAAGGCATGAAGTACTGGCAGCACGGGGAGCTTGCAAGAGACAGGGACATGAAGTTGTGGCGTCTCTGGCACGCAAGTGTCCTGGGACAGAGCAATGGAAACCTACAGGCATGAGAATGAGGGTTGCTTGATGGCAAGATTTCAGCTGCTCTGCTCACACTACCTCTCCAGCAACTGGCACAACGCAGGCACCTGGCACATCCCAGCATGCCATACATATCTGTTGAAGCCACAACTCAACAGTTTAACCTGGACTCACCTGAGAGAGGCCTCCTGCATGTGAAGCCCTGCCAATGACACAGCCTGGAGAGCACCTAGGATGGGTGTTCTCTAATGGGGGAGGAAGGTGGGCTTAGGAGGCTGCTGGCTGAACATGCGATTTGCAGTTATTAGGCAAGGTGGGGGGCCTGAACTCAATTATAGACTCTGTCAGGGCTGTTTGACTAAAGTGGCTAAGGGATCCCATATCAGGTCTGCTGTGTTGAAACCAAACTGCCCTTTTACCAACGTTTCTGCTGTGCAGCCCAGAGAAGTGTCAGGGAAGGAGAGGGAGAAATGGGGGAAATACATATTTTCAAAAACACTGTCTCACTTCCTAAGGGTAATCAAAAGCAACCACGGGTAGCTCTTCCCATTTCTGCAACCTTATCGTAGAGAGGGATGAAGGCCTCCAATGGCGTTAGGAAACAAATCCCTCAGTTACTGGGAAGCTAAAATTTATCTATGATGTAAGTGACTTGGAGAAGGGGAGTTGCCTTGATGAAAAGACCCATTTCCCCCCTTTTGAATCTAAATCCAAGGTTTGGTTTCTACTGTGATGTCAGAAAGATGACCAGTATTCCAAATGACACTACTATTCCTGCACCTACCAAGAACTACTCCCCTTTGCCTCAAAACAGAGTTCGGAGGTTCTTAATTGGGACTTTTGTTTTTTTAGACAGAATTTCGCTCTTGTTGTCCAGGCTGGAGTGCCATGGTACAATCTCCGCTCACTGCAACCTCCGCCTTCTAGGTTCAAGCGATTCTCCTGCCTCAGCCTCCCGAGTAGCTGGGATTACAGGTGCCTGCCACTACACCTAATTTTTTGTATTTTTAGTAGAGATGGGGTTTCACCATGTTGGCCAGGCTGGTCTTGAACTCCTAACCTCAGGTGATCTGCCCACCTCGACCTCCCAAAGTGCTGGGATAACAGGCGTAAGCTACTGCGTCCGGCCGTAATTAGGACCGGCTTTTTAAAGCTGAACGCCCCTTCTAAAAGTCCTCACAAGGCACCAAAAGGACTTGGAGGCCTTCTCTTCAGGTGGAGGGGAGGGGAAAGAATCTGTGAGGGAAGGGGCCAGAAAGGCGCCTATCATCTACCCAGAGAGTGACTCTCAGTCAGTCATGGTTTCATGCAGTCTAAAATGCTGTAGTTGTGCTCAAAAAACGACAATTCCAAAGAACACTCAACAAGGGCGGCCAGATGAACAGCGGTCCAAGTGACCCTCCCTGAACACCAAGGGACCAGCATGGGGCTGAAGCCCTTGAGACTTAGTGTTTCTGCAGCT
Organism: Homo sapiens; assembly: GCF_000001405.40. Lineage (NCBI taxonomy): Eukaryota > Metazoa > Chordata > Mammalia > Primates > Hominidae > Homo > Homo sapiens. The sequence continues at coordinate 52,502,177 of NC_000006.12, forward strand.
AGAGATGAAGTCAAGGTAGTAAGTTTGGCCCCTGACGGGGCTGGCTGGCTCTGGAGGTGAGGACCAGCCTATCTCAGGCAGGTATATGAACTGCTGTTTGGTTTGGTTTTGAATGCTTGTGAATGGCTGAAAAAGCAATGGCGACTGGGACTGCTGGAGAAAGGCCTAGGTCGACTCCACTGTGGGTTCTGCCACCATTACCTTTCTGGAGGTGCCTGCTGCGCAGTTTGCTCTGCTCTCGCTCTAAGCAGTGGGAAGACGTGTCCCCCCCCACAGAGCGACAGCAGGCTGGCTTCCAATCCGCGGCCAGCCACTGGTAGGAGCTCGAGTCACGGGACCCAACCGAGTTCACACCATCCTTCTGGATTGAGTTGTCACGTCCCAAAGCCAAATGCCTTGGCATTTACAACGAGCAGTGGCTGCTGTGCCTCAAGATGGTACATGCAGAACTGGAATCATATATCTCGTCAGTTAATCAGCACCAAGGAGATTATGATCCGAGATGGCCGCTCTCTTCTTGCCCATCCACATGAGGACCACCAAGGGCCTACCAGCCCCAGGCTTCTGACCGGCAGGCCCTGGGGGACCGAAGGACAGGACTGCAATCTTAGCTCCCCTCCCATTGTAAAAATCAGACAGAAAAATTGCAAGATAAGGTGAAAATAGGAAGTAAAAAGGAAAAGCAGCAGCCATAAGGCAAGAGACAGAGCAAGCAGAAAGGTGCCAGCCATGGGCGCCTGGCGTTCCAGAAAAGCCAGCACAGGACAGGAGTGAGGACAGGAGGTGGCCTGAGGGGGAGAAAGAGAAAGATTTTTGGCTTTATTGAGAATGGTTTGTGGAAGAATAAGAGGAAGCCAAGAAGAAGGAAAGCGAAACGCCCCCTCCCCCCATTGCAAGACAGGTTTCGGCTGTTTGAGACGGAGCATCACAGGCAGGAAGGAGGAGGCAGGGAGGGGGCCTGGGCTCCTTGCCCCCTGCTCGGCCCCCACCAAGAGGATTCCTGTTCTTAGCACTTTGGCCTTAGGGAGACTTGAGTTTCTTAGTCCGTGGGGAGGTTCCGTTCTCTGCCTTCACCACTCCATTTTCATGGTAACCTGGGAAGTGGAGAGAGACAAGCATACATGGTGTTTCTGCTGGAGCTAAGGCAGAAGAGGGGAGGGTGGGGCCAGGCCAAGGAAGGGGCCCGGGCAGCCCAGCTGCTATACATGGATGCACCAAAGGGGCGCCAGGCTGCAGCCTTGCACAGCAAATGCAAGCCAGCAGACGGCTCCCAGGAGGGTCCTGTCTTCCCCAGGGCCCTGGACTAGTGGCCCTGTTTGAGAGGCTTGGTCTCTGACTGCACTTTAGCAGGAGGGGCCTGGGATGACACACAGTAACTCAGCAACAACAGAGGCCAGCCTGCCCAAGCCTGAGGCTGGGGCTAGATACTCGCCGAAATCACTTAGATGCTGTCACTGCTCACTGTCCTCAGTTCTTCTCAGGCCCCTGCAAGGCATCAGCCCACTTCCAGTTCAGCAAGAACTCCCAGGAGCAGTGGCCACAGAAGGGAGGGGGACAAGAGGCTGTAGGAACAAGGCCTCAAGCAGGATGCCTGACACTCCTCTGGCAGAAAAATTGTGCTCTATTGTTCAAAATACCTCCGTGCGCTTGCTCAAATTCAGAGGTACTGGCTGCAGTCTTATGCCCCATACCTCCCCCGCCAGCCAGGCCTGACTCTGTGACACACCCAGCTGCGCGCGTGTCTGGTTCAAACACACATAAGCCTTTGCCAAGCAGGTGGCCACCTAGAGAAAAGCAGGTGAGTCAGAAAGCAGCGCCCAGTGCAGACAGGCCCCCAGGCTGGGCAGAACGTGCAGGGCTGGCAGGGCCTGAGGACCTGCTGAAGGTGGGTGATGACTGGAGTGCGTGCACGGGCCAAAGGATAAGTGTCCCACCCCTACCCCCCACCTAGCACTATGTCACTGTGAGTCATTCTTGGAGACAGAGGAGGAGCCAGCAAGCTGGGAGGCAGGGGCAGGCTAAGATGTGGAGCAAAAGGGCAGGTGAGGACAGAGGCCGCCGTCCGGCACTGAGAATGGGCGGCGGCGGCAGTAGCAGCACTTGGCTGGGGTCCAGAAGCCACCCTGAGGACACGCTTCCTGCCAGAGTTCCCCACCCAGCCACTGCCCTGCCCCGTGGTGGCCAGGGCTCCCAGCCTAGTTAGGGCCAGCCCCACCCACAGCCTGTCCCTGGCCCACACCCAGCCACGTGCCAATCAGGGAGCTAGGAGCCCCAGCCCTGAGGTAAGAGTCAGGAAGGAGAAGCTGGCAGGATTGGTCTGGGCAGCGCCCAAGAAGCCAGGTGCCTTGGCTCCTCCCACCCATCCCAGACAGACTTCCCTGGCTCCACTCTCTGCCAAGGGCCCTGGCACTCACCAGATTCCCTCTTGATGAGCCTGGCTGGTAGTCTGGGTGTGGCTGGGACTCTCCGCTTTGCACTCTGCTCATTCCAGTATTCCCGCCAGTGCCGCAGCTGGGAGTGGATGAAGCGCCACATGAGCCAGGCCTGGGCGGCACACACCAGCAGCAGCACGCAGAGCCTGCAGAGCAGGGGGTTAGGGGCTTAGGCTGGGGCTTGGGCTCACAGCCTTGGGCTGGGTTGTGCAGGGGAGAACAAGGGCCAGGGGCCCTGCAGTTCCCATGGCTTATCACGTCCGCCTTCACCACTGGCCCTCTTCGATACCACCACTATCACCAGGAAGAATGTGTGCTTCAGTCAGTCTCTGCTCCAGCATACATCACATGTGCCAGGGAGACGGGAAGGAAGTGGCGACAGACGTACGGCCAGCTCTACAATCACGCTACTCCTATGACGAGGGAGGGGTCCATGGCTGTGTCTGTTTTGCGCCCATTGCACAGAACAAGACTAATGTAAGCTCCACAAATATTGGTAGCATTCAAATGAACTGAATTTCTGGAAGAGTGGCTTCTCATTTAACATGTCACTTAAAAGTGGAGCAACCCTGGACAAATCACTCTCCTGGGCCTAGGGGCTCCGGAAAATAGTGGCTTCCTCACTGCCACAGGAGGCCACTGGCCAAGCCATTAAGCACATGGTTTTAAAGCACCCACACACAAGAAGAGGAGAATGATATCAACTGAGAGACTGGGTGTGATGCCTCTGTGCACCACAAAGTGCCAGACAAATGTAAGGGATTCCTATTTGGACTACAGTCTGAGCAAACCAGGACTAGGGGATGAAGATGGTTTGGATGGAACCAGAGGCTGCTATCTCTTCTCCCCTCAGGCCTGATATCCAGAGATTTCCAAAAAATAACAATATGTGGGAGACTAAAGGGTCTGCTGCCTCCAGACCTTCTGCAAGGGCTGTGCCAAGTTCAGGAGGCTCCCTGGCTTATCACCTTGGACTTCTGCTCGACTCACCTGCAAAACAAAGTGTTGAAGTTCCCTTTCTCGGGATCAAATGCCTGGTTTTCCATGCGAGCCAGTCCAAAGCCAATGGCCAGCACGGCAAGGGTGAGGATGAAGAGGCGGGTAACCCCAAAAACAGCAGCCCAGGCACTGAACCTGCTCACAGAGGCAGAAGAGGGATGTCAGTCTTTAGCGCCCTTGAAGGAATCTTCACCCACTTCTCCAGAAGAGACCCCGAGTGGGAAGAGGATTCAAGGGTGGCTGGGGAAAGTGCTTGAGGGACGAGATATCTAAAATCAGATGTTCCAGAAAAAAATAACGGGAGGGCACCACCTGCAGGTAAGCGGGCAGTGTGCAACCAGGGAGGGACCCTCCAACCATCCGGGCCTCGGGGGAACCCCTGCCCAGGCCTCTAAGCGGGCCAGCCTGCAGCAGACCCACTTACAGTTTCTCGTTGTTTTCATCTGCAAAGTAGAAGAGTCTAGCCGTGTGGAAGAGGAACTCAGTTGAGTACTGCAGCAGCAGCAAGATCAGGCCCAGGCGGCTCAGGCTGGGGGTGGGGAAGACTAGACTTACATTCCCTCCAAGATGCTGCGTGGAGCAGAAGCCATTGCATCTTGGCTCAGGCTGTCCCCTGTGCCTGGCTGGGCTCTGCTTTCCACTCCCACTTTCCCTGGCTGGCTCTGCTCCATCCTTTGGATTCAGTTTAGCTCTCACACCTTTAAGACATTTTTCCTAATACCGACCCGCTGGCCGTTCAGCTGTCCTGTCTCAGTCAGATGCCCTTGCCTGCTCCCACAGCAAACCTCGCATAGGCCCTTCACAGTACTTAGCACCTTGCACTCATCACCTAGGCTGGAACCAAGTACATAAAAGGTACTCAGAACACATTTGCTGAGCTCTGAGTATAGGAATATGAAATGTTCCTGTTGTCTGACTTTCCATTATCCAAGTCTTCACAGCTCCGAGGTACATGCAGAAGCAGCAAGTGCTCCTTCTGTGTGGCCCTGCTTATACGTTCTTCCCCGGTCCTCGCCACTGCTACGGTGACAGTGCAGACTGGCTTCTTAGACCCGTTATGCATGTGACACATGACCATCCAACACAAGGGCAGAGCTGGCATCACCCCACAGCCTTCAGCCCTCAAAGACCCATCCGGGAACTGACGCTGCTACAGGCCACCAGAGACAGGAGACAGAGTTTGAGAGCTCCTTCCCTGCCTCAGTCTTACTAATCCAAGTCAGTCATTCACACAGGATGCCTGCTGCAAGGACCTAGTCCAACGCACCTCGGGATTTCCAGGCACCTCGGCAGAAAGTTACACACAGTGAGCTCTGTAAGTGCCAGCCTAGAGAAAGTGTGGGGTGCTTTTACTGCATGGATAACACTCAGCAAAAGCCCAAATTATCAATGACACAGCTTATTAACATCAAAAGGATTCTTTTCATAAAAGAGGCTCTTCGAGAACTAATATTATAGCAATTCTTTCTGCCTCTAGAACAACCAAGAGAGACCTACTCTCCATGTCATTATAAACCAAAGGGAAGGGAATTCCAGGGCTACGAGCTCTAGCAGTGTTTGCATTGGACACTGTGAGGTAAGAGCCCAGCTTTGGGAGGCCTTCAAGCTGCAAAGCCATGGTTCAAAGGCCGACATCCACTGGAAGTCTTCCTGGCTGTCTCTGTTGAGGGTCTTCTTCTGGGTTGCAGAGCAGATGATACATACTGTGTTATGGTGTTCATCACTCTCAACTGTCCTTACTTATGTCTATAACTGTCTCTTCAGAATGAGAATGAACCACTGAAGATAAAGAATCTTCCATTACCATCTTTGTATTGCCAAGTCTTAGCATAGTGCTAGGCACACAGAGGATGTCAACAAATGCCTGATAATTATATGAGTGTGTGGACAGATGCATGGACATAAAAGGGCAAGGAAATCTGGCTGGCTCCATGGTCTCACTCACTTTAAGAGGTATGCTCCAGCTATATGCACCAGGTACAGGCAAATATACTGGAGCTGGCGGGGAATTTCCTCCTGGAAACAAGAGAAGCAGATGGTAAATTTGCTAATTCCCTAACTGAAGATTCAGGGAAGGGGGAAAAGTGCAGGGGGATGAGAGAGGGCCAGGCTCCTCTGGGCTGCTTTAACACACAGTCCCATGTCCCACGAGTCCCACAGTCCCACTGCACCAGGCTGCTGAAATTCAAGGGCATTCAGGTCCATTCCCAAATTCCAGCAGCCTTGGGTCTAGTGTCAGAGGGTGAGGTTTGGATTGAGAAATAAGAGACAGGGACTGGAGAAGAGGGCTCTTGGAAATAATTCAGAAGGAAACTATAAAAAGTAAAAATAAAAAAAGACTATGGAAATGGCAAAGACCTCTCCTTTGACATCTATAAGATGAGAGTTAGGTTTCCTCCAAAGCCACAGGTCTGGTGGAAGAGGCAGGCAAGAGACTGACACTGGTGGTCAACTACATGACACTTCTCCAAGAGATGACTCAGCATGTTGCTCAATCCCCAACATATTCCTATCACCACCCAACACTCCATGCTTCTGGAGAAAAGGAAGGGAGGTACCCCTGGGAATAGCAGGAGGGGAGTGGTCAATGAATGGCCTCCAAGAAGGGAGAGAAGTGAGCACTCACCTTCCGTACCTTCTGGAAGTATAGCTCAGGAAGTGCGTGCAGCCAGTAGGCCAGCTGGCATAGGTAGAAAAACTTCACCTGGAAGCTGGAGACAAGGGGGCAAGTCACACGGGCAGGATAGAGAAAAGTGTCCCTGCAGGTGCTGGCCAAGCACAGGAGGGAAAAGCATGGGCTGAGACTCTGCCTGTGAGGAGCTGGTCCAGGAGCAAGGGAGTTAGGCCAGTGACCGCCGCACCCTGAGCCTGGGACCCTGGCTTCTCCATTGGCCTGTGCCCTTGTTCCACATACAAAACCACTTAAAGGACACGGAAAGTCCACAGAAAGAAACAAACATGATTAAAATAGTGCAGAGGAGGAGGAATCCTTCAGCCTTGAGGAGGGAGCTGATTACAGAGCACTGTTGGAGATAGGGACCAACAGATACACTGAGACAACAAACAGCTCTAAGTAGCAAGGGAAGGTTCTAACTCAGCCCTACATCCTTTGCTATTATTGCTCTTAAAGATCTCGGGAAAGGCAGCCAGGCGTGGTGGCTCACGCCTGTAACCCCAGCACTTTGGGAGGCTGAGGCAGGTGGATCACCTGAAGTCAGGAGTTTGAGACCAGCCTGGCCAACATGGTGAAATCCCATCTCTACTAAAAATACAAAAATTAGCTGGGCGTGGTGGCACATGTCTGTAATCCAAGCTACTTGGGAGGCTGAGGCAGGAGAATCGCTTAAACCCAGGAGGTGGAGGTTGCAGTGAGCTGAAATCATGCCATTGCACTCCACCCTGGGCAACAAGAGCAAATCTCCATCTCAGAAAAAAGACAAAAAACAAAGATCTCGGGAAAGGCAAAGGGTGGCCTCCTGAGGGAGATGGCCCCAGGTATTGCCCTTGGGGTACACTGCCCTCTTGGCAGCACTATATGAGGCAGAGGACACTGGCTCTGACAGACCACCAGCCATGGCAGGCCAGAAGGGAAGACACTCTGTGGATGTCAGGGGGTCGCCAAGAAGGTAGAAACCCAGAGGGCATTATGGAGAGAGATGTTCTGCTTCTGAATCTGTCTCATGCAGTTGAGGGACCTCTGTGATGGGAGCCAGCACAGATGGAATTTCATCTGGGGATTCTCTGGTCAAGCATGCTGAGAAGAAGTGGCTTCCAGACAAGTCTACCATCCACAATAGGCTCAGGGCATGATCTGCTCGTCAGGCCAGCTGGGCCTGTGGTGTTCTGGCCACACTCCGCTGGGACAGGAAGGCAGTGGGCCCGGTCGCTCCTCCCTGGGGCTGAGTCAACAGAATACTCACGGGAGGTGCACATGCGGGTAGTCTTCCCAGAGGCTTCTTGGGTTTGTTAAGTATCCTTCCTGCAGTGGGCAAGAAGAGAGACCATTTAGAGATGTGGACGTGAGACCTGCTGGGGCCCTGGGACCGGTCCAGGGGTCAGGGATGCATCCAGTCCCCACCTGACAGAAAGAGGAAGGAACAGGAAATGTGAAAACAGAGAACTTCTCTGTGTGGGACCCCTGGCGCTTGGCTGGTTTCTTTACTGTGGAAGAGTCATGCTGGAGTAGGAAGGGCCACGCTCTGAGGTCCAACGACCCATATCTGAAGATGAGTCTGACAAGCGAATTAGTCTTGCTCCTCTGAGCAAGCTAATTAGTTTCCCTAAGCCACAGCTGGCTCATCTGCAAAACAAAATAAAAATACCCACCCTCACAGAGTTATTGTTGGAAATGAATGGGATAGTTTATGTGCCAGTGTCTAGTCCTGTGCCTGGCATGCAGGCGCTCAGGAAATGCCTCCATAATGAATAAGCAAATGAACTCTAGAATCACCACTCGCTGGAAAAATGAAAAGCCTACTTTGGCTTTTCACAGCCTGCTGAATAAAAAACATGGCAGGACCCCATAGGCCTCACCATGCAGCTGGACTCTGACACCTACCACACTGTGTCATTACTGTCAGTTGTTTCCATTACTCTTGCAAGTCCCTTCACACTAGGGCCTTTTCTTGCCTATCTTTAGAATTCTAACATGTAGTCCAGCACCTTATATGGGGTGGGGATGGCAACATGAAAATCCTTCCATCACAAAACATCTAGAAATGCTGGGTGAAATCTAATGAATATTCTTTTAAATGCAAAGAGCTGAGCTCACAGTAAGAAAGGGAAACCCCCTGGGACCCAAAGGGAGAGGGAGGCTAAAAGGCAGAGCAGTAAAGTGACACTGTAGCAGCCCAAAAGGCACTAGTTATGGGCCAGGGTTTTTGTGCCCATGTGAGAACAGAAGATGGTGCCTTGGGAGGTGGAACCCAAGACCTTGTATAAGACCAGGACCTCTGAAAGGCCACAATCTCAGAGAAAGGAAAAGACTAGAAAGTGTTTGCTGACCAACACAGGGAAATGAAGATGTCTGCTCAGCCCATACCCAAGGTGAAAACAAAATCATTTATTCTAAAAATCTGCAACCTCAGGTTCACTCTGAGTTTGGAGGTGAAATATACTACCTGTGTGATCCAAAAGCCGCCAAGGTAAGAAATTAGAATTAATAGTGTGGTGGGCCAGTGATACCCTGGGGACATACCCTCATCCAAGGATGCTCCACAGATAAAACCTTGCTAAAGATGAATTTATAATCCAAGAGTACAAAGCATGGGAAGAAATAATCTACCACAAGCAAGAGTCAGCTGAAACTACAGGAGTGCAATACACACCAGTTGGTTGAATGAATGAATGATGAATGCTTTGGGCAATTTCTCTCTTCTGAAGAAAGGGCTCTTATTTGTCACTCAGAGAAGGCAGAGCAGATTAGATTAGGATGACTTCATTTTAGAAATGGGAAAATGAAAAAACAGATAGGAAGGATCTCCTGAAATAAGATAGTTTTGTTTTGTTTTTTTGATATGGAGTTTTGCTCTTGTTGCCCAGGCTGGAGTGCAATGGCACGATCTCAGCTCACTGCAACCTCTGCCTTGCAGGTTCAAGCGATTCTCCCGCCTCAGTCCTCCTGAGTAGCTGGGATTACAAGCACGCAACACCACACCCGGCTATTTTTTGTACTTTTAGCAGAGACGGGGTTTCACTATGTTGACCAGGCTGGTCTCAAACTCCTGACCTCACTTGCCTCGACCTCCCAAAGTGCTGTGATTACAGGCGTGCACCATTGCGCCCAGCCAAGATAGTTTTTCAGTAGCACAGCTGAAATCCGAGTTGGGCCACAAGCCTTCTGGTCCAATAACTTCAGGCTAGGTTGCTTCAGTAAATCAGAAAATCAGCTGAGCTGGTGGCTTTGATGAGAAGGCTGAGAACCTCAGATGTTCACACTGGGATTAAAGGCAGAGGTTTTACAGTGCTCAGAATGAGGCCAACAGGGTTTAGTAAGAAGCATTCTAGGTTATTGTCTATTAGGATCTTTAGTTGTATTTCCAAGTGAGGGCTGATCCACCCACCTTTGAGTCACTAAACGCCCTGTGACCTATCAGCATGCCTTTCGGGTATAGTCCACGGCCCTAATCCCACAAACTTGGGCCTCCATGAGCACAATAACCTGACTGATAAGTCCTTTTATCGGATACATCTATACCACTGTAGTCACAGTCACCTGGATTAGAAGGAAATGATCTCACTTCGAACTTACATGGCCTCATTTCTAATCTCTTCTCACTACCACTCTCTCCTCCCTGGGTCACGTGCCGATTGAGGAATAAAAGTGGATGAGGCTCTCGGGTGGTGGCGTGTGTGGTGGCGGTGACAGTTGTGAGCTCTCTCAAATACACTGCTTCTATCACCTCTACCCACCCACTCTGTCGGGCATACGCCTGCCTTCATCAGCTCTCCTGCCCCAGGCTACCTCATTCCAGGGACATCAGAAAGGTGAGAATGTCTCTTCCTAGAGGAAGCAGGAATGTACTTAGCAGGAAAAATGGTACTTCTGAAACTGAGGTGGGAGAGAAAGTTTTGCCCAAACAAGACTCGCCAAGAAAAGCAGCACTGAGAGCAATGTAAAGCCCAGAAAATCTCGTGATTTTAAACAGGAACGCTCCTTGGCTTGGCCTCTTACTTAGAGACAAAGAGGTCAGAACTTTGAAGCCAAAAAGCAAAGAAACTCCCCAGAAAAATGTTGCCTGCTTGTGAATGTCCAGTCCACGGGGACTGGAGGAGGAAAAGGGTGGAGGGAGGAGAGCAGGGGGAGCCAGAGGAAAAATGACTCACTGCTCTGAGAACAGCCTTTTCCAGACCTCTGTCCAGGCAGCTGTCTGAAGGAGGACTGAGGCTGGGGCACCCTCTGAGCTCAGGCACGCAAAGCACCTGAGTCCACAGGGGGCTGAGTGTGACCCAGCAAGCACCTGAAACCCACCCCAAATCCCATCCACTGACAGGCCCCAGCAGATGGTTTGGAGAGGCTTTTGAAATCCTTTGTTCTCTCGATTCTACAAATCCACCCATGAGCTAAGCAAGGCCTCAACAAGGTGGAGAGATCCCTCCTGTTTCCCCAGCAGCCTTCCTTTTGGTGTGTGAACAAACACAACCACGAAGAACAGCATAATTCAGATATAGCACAGGCAAGTGCTACATAAATTCAGACATACCTTATATTATTTGACCATCAGAACAACCATGCACTAAAAATCTGCCCTAAAGCAACTAGTCTGTTAGTAGAAACCGGTCCTGGTACAAGCACCAGCATTAAGGACATTCCCTCTACTTGGTTCTAAAATCTACGGTGGATTTTAGGTTCTAAAAGATGAAGCCAAATATAGCAAGGAAGTCAGACAGGGAAGACCAAACGCCCACCCATCCTGCTTTCTCCAGTGGAGTGTTTTTTTTCTTTTTCCCTCAACAATGAGTAGTCGATCAAAGGTAGATTAAAAGTTGGAGGCTGACATTCCTATAAAATTATTGGCGGTCCAGCCACACTCCCACTGCTCTGCCTCTATATATGCAGAGAGAAATGTTTCAATCAAACACCAGAATAATACTGGTATTTCTGGTGGGAGGAATTTGCTTTTTTGAACTTCTCTATATTGTTCACTTTTTAAAAAATGATCATTTATGATATTTATTAAAACAACCAATTCATTACTTTAAAAATGTTGAAGGCTGGAGAGAGAAGATGCATTTGCAGTTTATTCACTCATTCTCATAGCCAACATTTAGTGGGCACTTAGTATGTGCCAGGCACCATACCAGGGATACAGCAGTGAGCACCGTGCCTGCTAGCAGGCAGCTCAGAATCTAGTGGGAGAAACAGAGAATACAGAATACACAATCAAGAGAAGCACCAGCAACAGGCACAGTGCAGAAAATGCAAATTGGTGGGGGGTTCTCTGAGGAGATGGTATTTAGGCAGAGACTTGGATGGCAAGAAGGAGTTGGCCATGGGATGGCAGGGGATGGAGCCCTTGAGCAGAGAAATCACCAGTACAAAGCCCAGGATGCAGAACAGCCAGGCCAAAAGTGGGGGTGTGGCCAGTGAGATGAGACCAGCAAGATTAGCAGGGCCCAGATCACATGAATGGGGAGGAAAAAACGATTTCACTGCAAGTGTGATGGGACTTTTAAGCACGGGAATGTATGGTTTTATTTCTGTTTTAAAAGATCCATCTGGCTGAGCAGAAAATGGATTGGGGTGGGAGGGTACAAGAGTGGAAACAGTCTCCTTCTAGAAAAAAGATATTTAGTGTCTAGGCAAGAGATGATGGTGGCTTGGACTATACAGATCGAGGTTTCTCAATCTTGGCACTATGGCCAGATAGTTCTTTGTTGTGGAGGCTGTCCTGTGCATTAAACGCCATATCGTAGCATCCCTGGCCTCCACCCACTAGATACCAGTAGCATATTGCCAAATGTCCCCTACAGGCCCAAATCTCCCCTGGTCAAAGGTCACTAGACTAGGGTTGGTGGTGCAGGCAGAAAGCAGCAGACAGTCTCAATGTGTTTGGGAGGCAGAGCTGGCAGGACCTGCCGATGAAATGACTGTGGAGAGTGAGAGAAAGAAGAGTCATGAAAAAATTTGCATCATAACAGAAAAATATTATTTTTTTAAAAAAACAAGCTGTTTTTATGCCTTTTACAGAACTACATCTCTTCTTCTTCAATCACTTTCCTTCCAGGAAGCACAGTTCCAACGGAGGAGGGCAAGGAGTCAAATGTTGTTAGGAAGAGTTGGCGGGGGTCGGGGGTCACTGGAGCTTTCCGTGGTCCCCTGGTCTCTGTGCCTATTGAATATGTTGAGTGGGGAACTGGCTCTTCCCAGAATAAAAAACTGTTATGTGCCTCCCCAAGAAAAGCCTATGTGCTCTCAAACTAATTAGCATCATGTTCAAATCCTTGAAGAACTGAGAGAGGCAAAGACAGAGCTGTTGAGCATTTCACACCCTGGAAGGCGTGTTAAGCAACTTGGCTCTAGCCTCCAAATCTGGTCGCCACGTGTCACAGCTGGGGTGGAATGTTTGGGGGTGAAGTTGAAAGGGTAAAAGTGATTCAGAGATGAGGCAATCCTCCTGAACGGCGTCTTTGGTATCTTGAGGCTGTTCTGCTTCAAAGCAGCTTAGGCCTCCGGGGGTGGGCATGAACTGAACGTCAAGGGACTGGGTGTGGTCTGAAACCTGGAAGTCTAGGGACTTGTGTGCATGGCACAACAGCAGGGATGCACTGTTCACACAGTGTCAATCTGCCCCTGGGACTGTGACAGCCTTGCCTGAGAGGACAGAAGTCTTGGGCCCCCCATTTAAAATTCCTAGTATTCTGCTTAGGAAAGCTGCTCTATGATGAAATGATAATAGGAATAAAAACAATGTACAAAAGGACACGTTGACTCTGGCTTTGAGAATAGGAATTCAACATTCAACTCTGGAGACAGAGTTCCTTGTGATGGGAGCGCCCATCACTGTCACTGAAAGAAGAGGAAGAAAGTGAGGGATCTGTGGAAGGCCGGGAAGGAAATCTTAAAGAGGTCACAGGGTTGCTGAATTTTCCAAGACCCAGGCATGGATTTCTCAGGGGGCCAGGTTACAGGAAGGTAGAGCTCCAGGTGGTGGTGGGTACTAACTCAATACTTCCTAGCAGGACAGGCAAGGTCTTGTTACAGGAAACTCCAAAGGACCATCCACATTCCTTTCTATGAGGGAATTTTGCTGTATCAAAGGCTGCTTGAAATAAGAGTCTGTTTACATAGAAAGGAGGGGAAAATTGTCTGGTCCTGCAGGCATTTGTTGAAACGGCATTGACTCTCACAGGATTTGATGAGCTGACAGAGTGAGGCTGGCCTCGTTTATAGAAGGCCAAGGTAGTAAAACAGAGAGTAAGCTGGGCTTGGAACTCTATCTCCAAGTCCAAACTATCCTTTGCTGTTTCAAAACCACAGAACCACAGGCATACTGCAAAATTTGAGCTTGGAACTCTTCAATCTGTAACATGGGTATCAGAATGAACATCAAATGTATCTTATGGGACAGTGTTTGTAGAAGAGCCTTGTAAAACAATACAGTATTATGTAGATACATGGTATCATTACTGCAGTATTGCATAATGATTATAACAAGTGGTGACTGTTGGCCAAGATGACTCTCTCCAGCTATAAAATGGCATCTCTCTGTAATACCATGAGGATGCAAACATAGCTTCAGTTCTAAGAAGCTAAGAAGGTTCTAAGAAACTTGTTCCCCTTAACAGAAAAAGAAAAAGAGCAAGGGGTCCTTTGCAGTCATTTGATTAGCAATCCCAGAGCTGGAATTGCCCCTTGGTTTGAGCTCTCCCGCTTCAGCAGTCCTGAGAATGGCTCACCGTCACCACCACGTAGAAGCACCAAATCACCGAGGTGAAATGAAAGACGACCAGCTGTCCAGATTCATTGAACTTGCTGTGTTTGACTTTGGAGAGATGAAGCCGTTTGCTGATTTTCTAAAGAATAAAGAAAACCCCTCATATTAATATACAAATGTATCCATATTGGGCAGGTTTCAAACTCTTGTATTCTCCCCACAGAAGGGTTGAACATCGTTAGAAGTTTGCAGCTGGCCATAATCCAAGTCATTTGGTGTAAGCCTACTGCGTGCATACAGTGCTTGGTCTAAGGCAAGCATTTTGAGAAAGTGGCAAGATGAATGTCTCTAGCCTATGTGTAAAGAAAATAACCCCAATTACTCAATGTGCCCCAGACCCATAAGGACACCATCTCCAGACAGCTTTCTCTCTGTGTAATAAATACTGCTGTCCCATGTGCTGATTAAAGGAGGCTGTGAACAGAAACCAAAGTGTGGTGAAGGAAGCCCAGGCAATAGACCCAACCAGTGCAAGCAAGTTGGAGGATGAATGGGTGCAGAGCTGCAGTTTCCTCCAAGGCCAGGTCCTCCACCCCAAGGCACCTCCCCAGCTTCTGATCTCAGAATCCAGACATGTCACTTACATCTAAAATGTACTCCTGAACCACAGCATGCAAGATGATGGTGATGAAGATGTAGAACAAGATTGTGACCAGGTCCTTAGGGCCATAGTGGTAGTGCACGGTCTCACTGTCTGTGGAGGTAATAAAAGTCCCATCAGCATCCCTGGGGGAAGGAAATACTCTGGGACCCAAAACTGAAATGAGATGGGAGGCGAAATGCGCCATCAAATGCTACCCGTTTGCTATAGCCTCAGACTCAGAAGAAGGTTTCTGCCCCAGAATCCTGCCCACCCTCTGGTCTTAGCACTTGGAAGCACCAATGGAGATGGCTAAGGAGAACCAAGTGCATGGCTGTATTGTCATAACAGTATCTCCTGAGTCTGTGCAGCAGAGCACAGTGGTTATAACAGAGCCAGGGTTAGAGACCACCAATCCCCATCACTGGCTCTATCACTCCCTAACTGTGTGACTGTGGATAAAGGACTAACCTCTTTGAGCCTCAGTTTCCTCCCCTGTAAAATGGGACTATAGTTATGCTTTCTCAAGAAAGCACCGCGTAAGGGCTAAATGTGGACTCAGAAGCTGGACTCTTCAGTTTGTATTGCAGCTCTGTCCTATGTGACCCAGGGGTATCTCCATGTGTGACTTTTCTGTACCTCAGTTTTCTCATCTGAAAAATGAGGACAACATTTCCTGCATAGTAAGTTTATTATGAGAATTAAATGAATAAATGCGAAGTGCTTAGAACAGTGTCTGGCACATAGTTAAGTGCTATATATGCACTTGCTATTATTTTTGTTGTTGGGCTAGTGCAAGGATCAAATGAGATAATTTGCTTACAACAGTACCAACAATTTACAGTAAGTCTGCAATAAATGGTGGCTTATTAAAATACAATTAAATAGTAATAAATTAGACAACATCCCAGGTATAGAAATCTTGTGAAACTCCGCCATTGCAGCCTGTGGACAGAGGAGAATCTGCATCCTTGCTCCAGTCAGTGGGCAGCAGGCTGCGGGGCTGTGAGCCTGGTGGCCGTGTGCCTGGGTCTGGGCTGCTCTCTGCAACCCCCACCTCCACCAGGCAAATGGCTGCTCTCCAGCTGTGCTGCATTCGCTCTGAGTCACACACACATGAGTCATCTCACTGCTGGGATGCATTTACCAGAAGGTAGCCAGGCTCAGTTTGTTTCAGGGTGGCCAGGGAACAAAGTCAAGCTGATTGGGTCACTCTGGGAGTCCACCCTAATCTCAGCCACCCTAGACTGGGAGAATGTAACGGTGGGCAGTGGTGAGGGGGTGGGAGGAGGTGGCGAGGACAGAGAGAACATGATCTTGGAAATCAGACAAACTTTCCTTTTTCCTCTCCCTCTTCCTTTCCACAAAGACCTATTCTGTGAGAGGCACTGGGCTAACTGTTGAAACATGGAGATAAAAGACACCACCCCCGGTTGGAAAACATACAGTGCAGCAGGGAGACTAACAGACAGATGTACGATTACACTACAGACGGGCAGCGCTCCTGAGAAGCACATACAGTGAGCCACAGCAGGCGAGGGCCCCACTCTGGCTAGGGTGGAGGTTGTGGGTAAACTGTTCACTGGTCAGGGTGAACAGAACGGCATTGGAACTCGGGGACCAGCAGGAGAGGCCGGTATTGGGGACATCCTAGCCAGAGAAAGCAGCATCCACAAAGAATGAAGGGACTGAGGCTGGACTGCTGGGGGCGGAGGGGAGGTCACCGTGGTGAGCGGCGGGCTGCTGTGCGTGGCCTTGTGTGCCATGTAAAAGGGTGTGGACTTTATCCTGAAGGCAACGTGGAAATATTGAAGAATTCAAATTAAACAGGAAAATGATGACATTTGCGTTTTGGAACATTTACTCTGGCAGCAGTGAACATGCCCAGAGGTAAGGACACCGGTTAGAAAGCTGTTCCTGTGATCCAGGTAAGAAGCCACAGGGCCTGAATCAAGGCAGGAGAAGAGAGAGGAAGGGAGAAGGAGGGCTGTCAGTGAGAGAGAGCTGATGAGCCTTGGCCACTGAGGACCGAAGGGCTGGGATCCAGGATGGGGAGTCAGGCACTGAACACCCGAGGAGAAGACACGAAGATGAGGGAGAGGAGACTCATGGCCCAGCCTCTCCACTCTACCACATGTGACGCCAGGATTACATTTTCCTTGCCTTCTTCATAAAGAGACCAATTAGGTGGCCGCATATTTTGAAATTATAAAATAACTAAACATAGTTTCATCATCAAGATCATCCTTACTAGGCATAATGGGATTTATACTCAACCAAACAAGCACAGTCCAAAAATCAGTGAAACAGTACCTGACAAGACCTTAGATTATCCATTTTAAAGCCCTTTACGAGGGTCACCTGCCATTCTTGATACCAAATACTAGGGTTCCAAAGAAATATGACTATAATCTGAAATCCTTCTTGAAACTAGAATGAATGTAGAAATAAACACAGACTCGTGTTCCTCTGCTGTTGAGACCTGCGCACATGCATCCTCATTGGCTGACGAACCACGCACAGGGCTCCATGCTGGGCACTGGGAGACGGCAGTGAGCAAGGTGGGCACAGCCCCTGCCCTCTTGGAGCTTAGCGGGTACACACCACATCCTTGTACACTTAAACACCAGCAGCCAAAGAACTGTAACTCAACAACAAAAACCAAACAACCTGATTCTAAAAGGGACAAAGTTCTTGAAGAGACATTTCTCCAAAGAAGAAATACAAATGGCCAATAAAGACATGAAAGATACTCAACACCACTCATCATTAGGGCACTACAAATCAAAACCACAACAAGGTTATCTCCTCACACCCATAAGGACGGTTACAATGAGGAAAAAACAAACAAGCAAAAAACAGAAAAACAACAAGTATTGGTGAGGATGTGGAGAAACTGGGAACTTTGTACATTGTTGGTGGGAATGTAAAATGGTACAGCCACTGCAGAAAACAGTATAGTGATTCTTCAGAAAGTTAACAATACAATTACCACATATTTCAGTAATTCCACTTCTGAGTGTTGGGGTAATTGAAGGCCAGATTTCAATAAAATATTTGTACATCCATGTCCATAGCAGCACTATTCACAACAGCCAAAAAGATGGAAGCGACGCAGGTGTCCATGGATTGATGAATGAATAAACAACATGTGCTGTATACATACAGTGGAAGATGATTCAGCCTTAAAAAAAAAAAAAGGAAATTCTGACACATGCTACAACATGGGTGGACCTCGAGGACATTAGACTAAGTTGAATAAGTCAGTCACAAAAGGACAAATACTGTATGATTCGATTTATATATGAGTTACCTAGACTAGTCAAATTCAGAGACAGAAAGCAAAATGGTGGTTACCAAGGGCTGGGAGTGAGAGGAATGGGAAGGTGCTATTTAATGGGTACGGGGTTTGTTTTGCAAGATGAAAAGTGTTCTGAAAATTGGTTGTATAATAACGTGAATGTACTTAACAATACTGAACTGTACATTTAGAAATGGTTAAGATGGTAAGTTTTATGTTATGTGTATTTTACAATTTAAAAAACAACAACAGCCAGCTGTGTCAATGCTCTGAAGTGGACTGAAGGCTGGGGGTGTGGAGCAGAAGGTTGGGGACCTGCAGAGGTGGGAGATCAGGAAGCACCCCTTAGAGGTCAGGGCAAGACATGCGGACTGTACCCTAAAGGAATGAGAGCTACTGGAGGATTTTCGTCACATGTTCATAGAGACCTCTCTTCCTGCCACAGGGAGAATGGGTTAGAGTGGCAAGGCTGGAAGCCAGGAGAGCAGTCAGAAGGTGCCCGTGGGAATTCCAGGCAGAGCAATCGGAGAAGAGATGGGCGTCGGATAGAGTCAGTGACGGAATCAAAAGAACCAGCTAACAGCTGGCTACGCGGATGGATTCTCAAGTTCCTTCTGGAACAGTACCTATATTCTATAGCCTCTTTCATGGTTTTAAAATTCTGCAACATGCATTATCTCGTCTGATCATCCTAACTATCTCATGAGATAAGCAAGGAAAGTGAATGAGGAAAGAGTTCACAGAGTTAAGGGACACAGTCCGTTTCTTGGGTTTCCTCACTCCTAGAACCCAGCCACCAAATGCCACCTCAAGGTCAACACAGCCCCCCATCCCACCCCATCACAGCTCCATTTCTGGTAATATACCATTCCTCTGACCTCTTACTCCTACAATCATAAGGAACAGCTTCATACACAAATAATCAAAAGCTATATTCTGATTCGCACAAATTATCTCCATGGTTTCCCTCCTTACCTGCTATCCTCCTACTTTTTGTTTTGTTTTGTTTTTTGAGACAGAGTCACCCAGGCTGGAGTGTAATGGCGCAGTCTTGGCTCACCACAACCTCCCGGGTTCAAGCAATTCTCTTGCCTCAGCCTCCCAAGTAGCTGGGATTACAGGCGCGGGCCACCAGTTCCGGCAAATTTTTTTTTTTTGTATTTTTAGTAGAGATGTGTTTTTGCCATGTTGGCCAGGCTGGTCTTGAACTCTTGACCTAAGATGATCCACCTGCCTTGGCTTCCCAAAGTGCTGGGATTACAGGTGTGAGCCACTGCACCCAGCCCTATCTTCCTACTTTTGATCAGAGGAGGAAAGTAGTAGGTTGGTGCAAACGTAGTAATAAATTGGTTTGGCCCTGTTTTCATAGAACTATAGAGGTTGGACCTTTGTCCCCTTCCAGATGCCTACAAACAAACTGATGTTTTTGATTTTTTTTTCTTTTTAAATTTTGGTTGCCACTAATTCTTATAAAAATCCTCACACAAGGCTGGGCGCGGTGGCTCACACCTGTAATCCCAGCACTTTGGGAGGCCGAGGCAGGCGGATCAAGAGATCAGGAGCTCGAGACCATCCTGGCTAACATGGTGAAACCCCCGTCTCCACTAAAAATACAAAAAAAAATTAGCCGGGCGTGGTGGCGGGCACCTGTAGTCCCAGCTACTCGGGAGGCTGAGGCAGGAGAATGGCGTGAACCCGGGAGGGGAAGCTTGCAGTGAGCCGAGATTGCGCCACTGCACTCTAGCCTGGGAGACAGAGCGAGAGACTCCATCTCAAAAAAATAAAATAAAATAAAATAAAATAAAACAAAACAAAATAAAATAAAATAAAATAAAAATAAATAAATAAAAATCCTCACACGACCCAGGTTAGAGCTCCCACTTCTCATAGACTGCCCCTGTCGTGCATGAGCTCTCAAAAAGAACAGCAATCGTTTGGCAATAATCTATTCTATTTTTTTAGAAGAATAAGTCCAGCACATCTCTGGCCTATGAGGCCAGAGAGGTGACTCTGATTTTGGATCAAAACAAAACGCCTACAGGGACCGGGGGGAGCACAAATGAGCCAGGTGGTCCAGGTGTCTTAAGATAGCTGCTTTCAATACAGAGGCCCACTGCATTAAGCAGGTCATATTCTTCACTTCCACAGAGAAATATGCTTTCCACTGCTTTTCTTTAAACATATCACCCTCTGGTCTATCTTTCACATCTCCACTTTGAGAGAAACAAGTTTAAGAGATATCCACTGACCTTTTAACCTTACTAAAATAAATACACGTTAAAACTGAGATAAACAGTAGTAACTGGCAGCCTCGATGTCAGGAACACACTAGAGAGGAGGGGCACACCCCACACTGTGTCCCACAGGGGTGAGGGAGGCAGTGGCGTAGCTGCATCTCAGCCACTGTGGCTGCAGGAGAGGCGCAACCCAGTGGCTGGAGTCCCAATGTTTCAAAAGCAAAGAAAAATCTTTACGTGAAATCATCTGATTTTAAAATGCTGGTGACTAATTCGAAATTTTTAAAAACACTGCATGGGCCAACACCAGACTGGCCAAAGAAAACACATCTGTAGGCCAACTCTGACTACAGGCCACAGATTTGTAACCTCCAACCTTCATGACCCCTGATACCTTTCCAACACCAATACTCTATGAGCCTTCTTCCTATATAACCCTATGGAGTACGCCAATATGCTCTAGTGTAGGAATTAATCTAGCTTTGGGAAAAAGCACCTTCAATAATGACCTTCCTACTGTAGTGGGTTATCCCACCTCCCATCAAAAATGACACTTACTTTGCTTATCTTTGATTACAGTTTAAAGAGAGACCTGAAATAATCAGAATCTTGGCTGTTTTGACAACCTCTGTGAGCAGCTGTCCCTTTTGGGGAGTCACATTCTGCTTGACCTCCTGCTCCGTTTCCTATGACTAATAGATATTTTCCTGTTTCCTTCTGAGGTCACCTGCAAGCGGCTTCTCCTGCCTGCCTTTACATTTCCCAGTCCTGTCTGGATCCCACTGTGCGGTCTCTGACCTCCTCTGCACAACCTGAGCTGGTGTCCACTTCTTACTGACATCCCATCTGCTTCTGAGAACTCATGTGAGCCAGGGCAGGCATCTGCCCTAGAAGCTTCTTCTTTTGTCTGAAAGCTAGTTGTTTAAAGAGCATCACTGTACTCCTAGTTTCTTTCCGAATCCCTGCAAATCTGGATTTGTAAAATTTTCTTCTATTGGTTGCTGTGCCAAGAGCCAACTCTGTTTTCGTATTATTTTGAATTTTTTACACTATATATAAATCCAGAATTAGATATGGAAACACCACCACAAACAAAATCTGGAGGCAAATGATCACCTGGGGAAAATATTTACAATTCAGATCAGAGACAAAGGGCTAATCTTGCTAATATGTAGTAAGTTGCTATAATTTCACAATAAAAGGATTTTTAAAAATCGAGTAGAAATGAACAAAGGATATAAACAGACAAGCCACAGAAAAAAGAAACAGAAAAGATGGCTGTTATACATTTAAAAAAATGCTCAGCCTTACACAGAAGAGATATGCAAATTAAAGCTACACTAAGATACCATTTCATACCTATCAGATTGGCAAAAATACAAAGCTTGACAATATATTCTTGCTAAGGCTGTGGGGAAACAGACTCTTTCTTACACACTGCCAGCAGGAATGTAAAACGGTACCACCTCTTTGGAGGGCAATTTGGCAATTTCTGTTGAGATTACAAACGCATCAATCCTTCGATGCAGCAATTCTACTTCTGGAAATTTATCCTGCAGCTGGTACCTGCTACAGTCAAAATGACGTGTGTACAAGGTTACACACCACAGCACTGTTTTTAATGGTAAATGAATGGAAACAACCCATGTTGTTTTATCTATAGGGAACTGGTAGATATAGTTATAATACACCAGGGTTACTCAACATGTGGCCATGGGCCAATAGCATCAGTAACACCTGTGAGCTTAAAAACACGCATTCTTGGGCCCTACCCCAGGCCTATTGGCTCAGAAACTTAAAGTAGAAATCTGTATTTAACTACACCTCCAGGTGATGCTGACCCAGCAAAAATTTAAAAAATATTTATGTAAGCAATAGAGCGATTTAAAAACATCAGAGAGAAATGAAATCAAGAGCAGGTAAAACTGTAACTGAGAGATTTATGAATCAGAATACCAGTTACTTTAGGAGGGGTGCTGACTGGAAGGGGCAGAAGGAAGCTGGGGTGCTGTATCTTGATCTAGGCTAGAGCTGCATTAAACCTCAAAACACATTTTTAGAAAGTTGATGACGCTCTCTGCATATTGATATGAAATGATATCTAGGATACATTATTTGGTGGAGAAAAAAGCCAGGTACAGAAGAAGCATATAGTATTCCATCTTTTATGTAAGAAAGGGCAGGAAAGAAAAATATGCATTTGTATTTGCATAAAGCAACTCTGGATTGCCAGTTAAGAAATTCTTGGGGCGGGGGGTGGGTACACAAGACACAACAGGGACTGCCCACAGGGAGTAGGGGTGTGAAAGGGACGGAGGGCAGGGTGGGAACAAGACTCTCTCCCTCTGTAGTCATGGACTGGATGGGGCACAGGGAAGCTAGGAAGTGGGAAATACTCTATCTTGGTCTAGGTTCAATCGGTACAAAAAACCTTGACCTAGGTTAGAGCTGTACAGGAAAGTGTTTTAATACAGATTTATACTTGAACTGTGTGAATGTATTTCTATTCAAAAAACAATTTTTAAGTAAGTCTTCAAATTCTTCCTGCTTTGTACAGATAAAGTGGTGTCTTCTTCTCTACCTTGTTGCTCTATTTTTTTTTTCTTCCATAGGGAGCGAGAATGGGCATGAAAAGACCTGGAGCTCACTTCTGGAGCCATCAGTTGTCTGTCATATGACCCAGGGTCCCTCTGTCTCAGTTAACCCTTCTGAACAATGGGATAAAACCATCTACCTTTTCTCACAGAGCTACACACTGTAAGGTGCTATGCAAATAGATGAAAGTATTATGCCTACTTCCAACAGAAACAATCAGACGCTAAAGGAACAGAAGAGTCACTTGCTCTATCCATGCATGATACTGAGCACCTCTCATGGGAACATTTACTCTTCAGAGTAATCCCGGGATTATCTCCATTTACTGACATGGCAGCTGAGGCATAGAGGTGAGCAGTCGCTGTGCCCCCAGGACCTGCAGCTAGGCAGCAGTGGGGCCAGGACTCAGCTGTGCTACTGACGCCAGGGCCAAATCCATTAGCTCCCCATCAGGCCTCTCTGCCTCCTGATACCCCTTCAAATCACACAGAAGGTGCCCTCATTAAACCCTGAAGGCCTGCCCCACTCCCCCAGGTGGCAGGGAAAAAAGAGGAGCTTAAGACAGGCATGGGGCAAGCAGCCTCCAAGGGCAGCATTGTCCCCACTCTCCAGGCTGCTGGCCTACTCCCTCTGTGGCCTCCCAACCTAGAAGATGTGACCAGTGGTGTTTTAACTACAAGCATCACCATAGTTCTCAGACACATAAGCACAGATACACACACACACAGAGGCTGTTATGGGTTGAATTGTACCTCCATTAAAAAATATTTGGGCCAGGTGCAGTGCCTTAGGCCTGTAATCCCAGCACTTTGGGAGGCCAAGGCGGGTGGATCACGAGATCAGGAGTTCAAGACCAGCCTGGCCAACACAGTGAAACCCCATCTCTACTAAAAATACAAAAATTAGCTGGGCTTGGTGGCAGGTGCCTGTAATCCCAGCTACTCAGGAGGCTGAAGCAGGAGAATAACTTGAACCCAGGAGGTGGAGGTTGCAGTGAGCCGAGATTGTGCCACTGCACTCCAGCCTGGGTGACAGAGCTAGACTCCTGTCCTAATTCAGATTGAGTCTTTACAGAGATAAATTAAAATGAGGTCATTAGGGTGGGACCTGTTTCAATATGACTGGTGGTCTTCTAAAAAGGGAGAAATTTAGACACAGAGACAGACACAAACAGAGGGAGGGTGATGACAAGAGACAGGGAGATGACGACCATTTACAAGCCAAGAGAGACCTAGAACAGATCCTTCCCTCACAGCCCTCAGAAGGAATCAACCCTGCCACCATCTTGATTTCAGACTTCTGGTCTCCAGAACTGTGAGACAATACATTTCTGTTGTTTAAGCCATTCAGTTTGTGGTACTTTGTTATGGCCATCCTAGGAAATACACACAGACAGACACACACACACACACACACACACACACACACACACACACACACACACACACACACGCCAGAGAATTAAAGATCTGACAGATCTTCAGAGTTACCATTTTAACCCCACATTGCATGCTTTGTAATATATTTTCTCCATTTTTATAGTAAGGAAGGAAGATAAAGAAAGGATACTTCCATGACATAAAACAATGTAGCAAAGATGAATGAAGGGCTGAAGAGAAGTTGATAAGATCCCAGGTTTCTGCATTGCTTTTTGTTTTTGTTTTTTTTGGCCCAGGCTGGAGTACAGTGGCACAATCTCAGCTCACTGCAATCTCTGCCTCCCAGGCTCAAGCGATTCTTGTGCCTCGGCCTCCTGAGTAGCTGGAATTACAGGTGTGCCCCACCACACCCAGCTAATTTTTTTGCATTTTTAATAGAGACTGGGTTTCACCATGTTGGCCAGGCTGGTCTCAAACTCCTGACCTCAAGTGATCTGCTCACCTCGGCCTCCCAAAGTGCTGGGATTATAAGCATGAGCCACTGCACCCGGCCTGCATTGCTTTCTTGATGCACCATTCCTTTTTATAAAGCTGTAACCCTCCCTGTAGCTTTCCAGAAAGAAATATACAAGGATTCCTAGGTGCCAGGCACATACTACAGACTCCACTGTACTTCAAAGTTCTGTGGCTTCTGCATACAACATCGCCTGGGCATGACACATGCATTCCATAGGCTGCCTCACGTGAAGAATGCTTACAGCTAGGGGAAGGTGTGAACTTTTTAAAATTCATTGAGAGCTATAAAGAAAAAATAATCTCTCAAGAATCACATACAAAAAAATTTTTTTTAATTAAGGCTTTTTTTTTAAACTTACAGAAAAAATAACAATTTCAACAAACCCACTGTTAAATTGACAAAAATTATTTCAGTCAAAACAACTGATTAGAAAAAAAAATTATCCAGCTGGGCATGGTGGCTCACACCTGTAATCCCAGCACTTTGAGAGGCCGAGGTGGCGGATCACTTGAGGTCAGGGGTTCCAGACCAACCTGGCCAACATGGTGAAACCCATCCCTACTAACAATACAAAAATTAGCCGGGCGTGGTGGCGGGCGCCTGCAGTCCTTGCTACTCGGGAGGCTGAGGCAGGAGAATAGCTTGAACCCAGGAGGTGGAGGATGCAGTGGGAAGAGATTGTGCCACTGTACTCCAGCCTGGGCAACAGAGCAAGACTCTATCTCAAAAAAAAAAAAAGAAAAGAAAAGAAAAGAAAAAAATTATCCTACCTAGGTAGAAGAAACGATTTGATCAGGAGAAATAGGAAAGTGAAATTCAAGTAAAGATGTGGGGTGGGGTCCAGGTCAGAAAGGGTGCGGGGTGGGGTGGGGTGGGAGGAAGAGCAAGATGATTCACTAGGAGAAGACATTTGGGGGCTCAGTGCAGCAGTTCAAAGATGTGGGTCAGCAGGTGCTGGCCACCGTTCCCGCTGACTGCAGGCTTCAGGCTGGTTAACAATCAGCCACAGCCACTCTGTGGTTCTGCTTATTTAAACTGCCACAAGCTCCACATGGAATGGGATAAATTATCAGAGCTACGACAGGGAATTGCATAAAAATCAAGCTGCGTCTGAAGAAGACACTTCTAGGTTGCACGGAGGTGTTCAGTGTGTGAAAATTCATTGAGCTGAACACATGATTTGTCCACCTTTCTGCACAATTGTTACACTTAATAAGTTTTAGTTATTGGAAAAAAAAATCAAGTCCAGGGCTGGCCATAAGACCTGGGTCAGAGGCTCCCCATTCTTTTTCAGATGGCCAACCAATAAGGCCAGGGACACTGGGGGCCGTGGTTTTTCTCTTATTCATACAAACAGAACCTCAGGGCCAGAGAGCTTTGTGGCTGTTTGGCTCAACAGGGCCAGGACAGAGCCAAGTCTCTACCTCCCTGGTTGGGACTGCCTATGCCCACTGCCCCATTTGATAAACCCAGCTTTTCTAAAGCTTTCCAGAACCCTGGTGCTGTACAGGTGTGAGCACCCCAGCCCCTCCTTGGCTCTCGCTGGTGCATCCTTGGGAGCACCAATCAATTCTCTGAGCCTCAGTTTCCTTGGCTATAAAAGGAGCAGGCCAGACTAGATGAGTCTCAAGTCTCCTCCAGGTGTATGGGCCACAGATTAGGTAGCTTTCATCCGTAATCAAGTATGGCTTCCATCTCCAGAGCCACCGCTGCCCACCTGTCTCTTTCCTTTCTTGACCCCCATGAGCTCATCTTACAAAGAGGGGCTCAGCTTGATAAGTGATGTCAATCTTTCAAGTATATGATACAAGCAGGAGACAACACTAATTCCTGCCAACCAGCAAAGGGAACAAGAATCATTTTGAGCCCTGGAAAAAGGCCTTTGGCTGAATGAGGCTTTAAAACCATCTGTCTGAGGTTGTTTTGACTGCAGCAAGTCTCATCCTAGAAGAGGCTGCGAGAACAATGGCCAAGCTATAGTGTAGGAGGTTCTCAGGCCTTTCATCTCTGGCTGCAAAATGCAACAGAGCAGATGGTAGTAATAAAGCCAACTGGGATCCTCAGGGCTCTGGGATGGATTCTTGTTACCTTTGATCACTGTAAAACAAACCTTTCTCTGGAAGAGTTCCCTCAACCTTAGCCTTGGTGTTCTAGGTGTGCAGCAGCAGGCAGGCTGAGCAACATCAAAGCTACCAGAACTTCTGCTCACACTGCCTTACAAACGTGTACATGACTTTTTTTTTTTTTTTTTTTTTTGAGACCGAGTCTCGCTCTGTCACCCAGGCTGGAGTGCAGTGGCGTGGTCTCAGCTCACTGCAACCTCCGCCTCCTGGGTTCAAGTGATTCTCCTGCCTAAGCCTCCCGAGCAGCTGGGACTACAAGTGCCCACCACCACGCCCGGCTAATTTTTTTGTATTTTTAGTAGAGATGGGGTTTCACCGTGTTAGCCAGGATGGTCTCGATCTCCTGACCTCTTGATCCGCCCGCCTCGGCCTCCCGAAGTGCTGGGATTACAGGTGTGAGCCACCGTGCCCAGCCACAAATGTGTACATGACTTCTTAGGAAGCTGTATAGCACCAGCTGGAAACCAACTCCACCAGTGATACTCCCCACCTCCCCCCAGCTTTCCCAGACCAAATATTTATAGAAAAACAAAAACTAGAAAAGGACAGAAAGATGCAAATGAGTTACTGGGTTTAGGGGTTTCCCTATCCTACCTT
Source organism: Homo sapiens (assembly GCF_000001405.40). Classification (NCBI taxonomy): domain Eukaryota; kingdom Metazoa; phylum Chordata; class Mammalia; order Primates; family Hominidae; genus Homo; species Homo sapiens. The sequence continues at coordinate 52,529,373 of NC_000006.12, forward strand.
TGAGGTTAGAAGTGTAGGATTATTTGAAAGCCTAGAGATTTTCGCCCACCTCATTTAAAGCCGTGCTTCTCGGGCTTTACGGGGCACAGGAATCTCCGGAGCTCTTGTTAAAATGTAGGTTTTGATGCAGCAGGTCTGCGGTGGGGCCTGAGAGTGTGTTTTTCTCACAGGTTCCCAGGTGGTGCCGATGGTGTTGGTCTACGGAAAATCTGAGTAGCAAGCCCTTCAGAGGACTCCCAGGGCTTCCTGTCTACAAGAACCACTGGGGCTGAGGGAGTGGTCATCACTCTGGATTTTGCAGATGCAAGATGGAGATCCAGGTGTTAAGTGTTTCACCCAAGACCATTCAGCGTTAAGTGTTTCACCCAAGACAATTCAGCAAATTAGTAGCACAACCCAAGACAACCTTGTGGCTAAATGCTTAGCCCATTTGGGCTCACCTGTTCTAGATCAGAAAGGAAGCCAGCAGGCCTGGAGTCTGCCTGTGGGAAGAATCAAACTTTTCTTTTCTGGCCTTTATAGTCTATACATTTCTGATCACACACTAGATACTTTGTGGTAGTTTAATTAGAAAGAAGACTCAGAGTGTGTAATGGTAAGACCAGAAAACACATATTTTATTCCTTGCCAGAACCGAGCAGGGTGGATGGTTGTGGCCAGTTAAATTTGAATTTCAGATGAATGATGATTAATTTTCTAGTATAATGCTATCTCATACATAATTTGGGACGTAATTATACTTTTAAAAAGATATTTATTGTTTATCTGAAAATTTAACTGGCAGTCCTGAATTTTTATTCGCTAATAGAAAGGCAAGCAGGAATGAGGAGAGCAGAAGTTAGTAAAGGAATATTTCCTGCTTCATCACTGTTGTCCTTAAAGAAAACCTCAAGGACGCCAGGGTGGCAGGGGCTCCACCAGGATGCATAAGATGCATCACTGCCACTACTGTGTGCATCTCTCTGAATGAAGCTTAATCTTTTTAACCAGCTGATTATAATGCACAAAATCATAAATTTATAGCTGGTGTTGTGAGCTAAACTTGTGTCTCCCTCACCTCCACCAAAACTCTTGTTGATGTCCTAACTCCCAGCATCTCAGAATGTGACCTCATTTAGAAACAGGGTCTCTGCAGATGTAGTTAGTTAAGATGAGGTCACCGTGGAGTAGGTTGGGCCTCTAATCCAATACGACTGTGTCCTTATGAAAAAGAGAAATTTGGACACACAGACTGACACGCACACAGGGAGAAGTCCGTGTGAAGACTGACACTTCACACGCGAAGGAACTACCAGAAGCCAGGAGGGAAGCCTGGACTAGATCCTTCCCAGAGCCTTCCAAGGAGCGCGGCCCCTCTGCTGGCCCCGTGGTCTCGGGATTCTAGAATCCAGAACGCTGGGATGGTAAATTTCTATTGTTTCAGCCACTAGGTTTGTGGTACTTTTGTTACACCGGCCCTAGGAAACTAATACTGGGAGCTGGGAAGACGAGAAAGGAGTATAGAAGAAGAGGGAGTTACAGCAAAACAAAACCATCAAGAAAAAGCCTCATCCACATTACTTATTAGCTTTGTTCCTTAGAACTTGAAAACATCCGCTGAGGAAGACACAGGGAGTTGGAAATGATGGACCCCCTTGTATGAAAACAGTTACTGGCTCTACTAAAATTCAGTTTTAAATGTTGAGTTGAGCAAGCTATACACTACTTAAGGAAGAAACCTTAGAAGTCAGAATTTACCCTGGTTATGCAAAAAAAAAAAAAAAAAAAAGGTACATTTCCAAGAGTAGAGTACGATCTAAGGAGATTTTGGGGAGGGTTTTAAAAATCACAACCTTAACAGACTTGTTATTGTAAAGTGTTTTTTCCCATGAGAAGTTTGCTTTCCTCCAGTTCTTACAAACCAAACATTACCATATTGGGTTAGTGATTAAGAAGCTCAAAACAAAATTAAGCAGGCTATCCTGATTTCATTGTCTCTCTTGATTATTTGCTTGTCTTATTTCCAACAGCCCCAAATGGCAAGATTTAAATAAAAGACAGGCTACTTAAAACACTTTATCTTCTCTTGCTAAAGTAACTGAAACCCCCTCCATTTAGCATGTACTTCACTGTACCTTTTCCTCTACCCAGGCCTGTTCTGGGCCTGGAGGAGGATTCCAGGAGCAGAATTCAATAGTGCCACCCTGGGAAAATGCCAAACCCCACTGGTTCCAGTCACGCTGGCCTATGTACAGTTACTAGAACCCCCTGAGGTGTCTGCGCCCTCACTTGAGGGCTTTTGCACATGCTGGTCCATGTGCCCGGAGTGCTTTCTTCTGCCCAGACCTCTCACTCTACTCACAACACAACACAACCCCCACACTCAGAAACATCTTCTGTCGCCACCCCTTTGCTTTTCCTTACCACATAACCTTGTACATTTCCTTCATCACCCTGTTACAACTACAATTTAATTCATTGTTTACTTGTTTATTACCTATCTCTCTCTAATAAATGATGTTTCATGACATCAGAGATCAGATGGGTTCTGGACATTATTTTACACCCAGACCCTGGCTAACAATAGGCACACAAATATTTGCCTAGCTTGATTAATTAATTAAGCAAATGAAGGCATGACATGATCCACAGTGGCACTCCACTACCCCCACTCCGCCTTACTCAAACATTGTAGGAAGCTTTTTCTGCCCAGAGGGTCTGAGTTCAGCTCTAGAGTGTGCTGTCTATGCTTCTCATGCTGTTGTGAGAAGAATGCTTGAGGATATCACTTGTCTGCCAATGTCTCTGGGAAGGTTTCAAACTCAAAAATCAACCCTCTGATCATGATCTGGCTTCACAAATAAGCCCTTCTTATAATAAAAGGATGCCCAATCACATGCACTTCAACTTTTTTGGTCTCCAGGATAATTCTTTCTCATGGTAAATTAGTAAGACAGCTCTGGGTATGTGGGGTATGATCCAGCATCCCCTGTAAGTTGACTTCAGGGAGAAATGTAATGAAAACACCAGCACAATGTTTGATGACTGGCTATCTCTATAGACATTTATAAACTGGTATTCTGATTTTTTTTTAATCCTGTGCATTTTATATTTACAAAACAACTTTAAATTTAGGGTTTATGGGTCATGAGTATTAAATGACAGAAGGTATTTTGGCAATACATACATAAAACCTTTACATACTACTTAACCCAGAAATTCCAGTAATAGGAAGTTATCCTAAGAAAGTCATCACAAATAAATGTAAAAATTTAGCCACAAGAATGTTCACTGTAGTACTATTTACAATAAAAACAGGAAACCTAAATATCCATATGGGGCTGATTGGATAATTTGTGGTAATCCCTATTAAGAAACATCCTGCAGCTTTTCAGAATATCTGGTTAAATGGAATGATAATCGAGGACACACAAAAAGGTTCATCATATTATAAAAACAAAAAATTGTGTTATAAATCAATATTCCAAAACGTTCTAACTTTAGTTTTTTTCTGGGTGATGGGGTCCTGTGTAACTTTTATCTTCTTATGGTTTTCTGTGTTATAATTTTTCTCTAAGAGTTATATATCACTCATATAAATGTATTTTGAAAAAGTGTTTAAGAATAAATTTTAACTAGTCACAAAAGGTCAAATACTATATATGATTTCACTTATATGAGGTACCTAAGGTAGTCAAATTCACAGAGACAGAAAATGGAATGGGGGCTGTTGGGGGCTAGAGGGGGTGGGGAAAGGGGAGTTAGGGTTTGGTGGGCAGAGTTTCAATCTGCAAGATGAAAAGAGTTCTGGAGATAGATGGTGGTGATGGTAGCACAACAATGTGAATGTACCTAATGCCACTAAGTTACACACTTACAAATGGTTACGATAGTACATTTTATGTTATATAGATTTTACAATTTTTTTAAACTAAAAAATAAATCAGTAAATCTTGAGTACAGCCAAGTCTCTGTTATTAGGATTTTCAAGAGGCAAGAGTAAATAAGCCCGGATTTGACTTAGAACACATAGCCCTGAGCCACATCATCCACGTGCCCCCCAGCACTAGAGTGTGCCCTGGGATGAGCGGGCATCTGTCTGCTTCCTGACCACTGGTGCTGGCCACATGTTTCCTGGCCCACTGAGGACAGAGATGCTCTCCAGTCTCTTTAGTAGCATAGAGCTTTCTTCCTCTTTTGCCAATGTCCCTCAGTTTGACTCTCAGATGAAGAAACTGACTTGGTTGCCCCAGAAAAGCATGGCTTCCTTCCAAGCCTGGCCACAGTGACTGCAGGGGATGGTGGGCCCAGGAAAGATTCATGGCTATATCCTCCATGAGCCACAGGTTCAGGAATTTGCCCCCAAAGTCCTTTAGCTAGTAGCTGGCAGAGCCAGACAAGGAAAAGAATCTCACCTTAAAGTCAAGACAAGTCACCTCTCTACTATAAAGAGGAAAAGGCCGGGTGCAGTGGCACATGCCTGTAATCCCAACACTTTGGGAGGCTGAGGCGGGTAGATTACCTGAGGTCAGGAGTACAAGACCAGCCTGACTAACATGCTGAAACCCCTTCTCTACTAAATACAAAAAATTAGCCGGGCGTGGTGGTGCACATCTGTAATTACTTGGGAGGCTGAGGCAGGAGAATCACTTGAACCCGGGAGGTGGAGGTTACAGTGAGCCAAGATCGCGCCATTGTACTCTAGCCTGGGCAACAAGAGGGAAACTCCGTCCAAAAAAAAAAAAAAAGGCTGGGCACGGTGGCTCACGCCTGTAATCCCAGCACTTTGGGAGGCCAAGGTGGGCAGATCACCTGAGGTCGGAAGTTCGAGACCAGCCTGACCAAAATGGAGAAACCCTGTCTCTACTAAAAACATAAAATTAGACTGGCACGGTGGCGCATGCCTGTAACCCCAGCTACTTGGGAGGCTGAGGCGGAAGAATCGCTTCAACCCGGGAGGTGGAGGTTGCAGTGAGTCGAGATCAGGCCATTGCACTCCAGCCTGGGCAACAAGAGTGAAACTCCATCCAAACAAACAAACAAACAACAACAACAAAAAGAATAAAGAGGAAAGAACTAGGTTCAGCAAACAAAAGTCCTTCCTTTGTTCATCAAGAGGCTGCCCAGGACTTTGCCACTGAGAAAGGAGCGATACTCTGGTGCTGGTGGCGGGATCGGAGAACCCCTAAGTTGCAGACCTGTGCCCGAGGGCTGGACTCAGCCTTCAGATGTGTTGGTTTGGTTTACACAATGTTGACCCGCATGGTGTTTGCAGAATTTCTAAATTAGTTGGCAACATTTAAAAATCAGAGTATTTCTACCTAAAAAGAGATTTCTTTGGATTCTTTTGTAGGGGGTGGAAAAGGAAGCTCTTAGGCTCACAGGTTTTACACTCCTATGTGACAATTGGCTGGAAGTGAGCAGCAGCTACTCCTTTAGATAGACCCTCTCCCCTGTCCAGTTCAGCGATTTACCTGCCTGGCCTTGCTGCTCCTTGAGCTGTAGCCCCTCAACTGTACTGGGAACTGCCTGTGAGGCCGCTCTGGTACCTGGCATGATGCTGGCTGGGCTCCCTGTAAGTGCTTGGAAATGCTCAGCCACTATGGGGGAAGCTTGTGATGCAGCAGCTCTAGTCAGTGAGCCTTAACAACAGTCCTGTGACAAGACTTGTGGCTGGGCCTGAGGTTTGGTCCTTACCCCAACCCAGTCAGAGTGCAGCACCCTGGGCCCCAACCATGCTTCCATGCACTATCAAAACGCAACATCCTGCCCATTCTCCTCTGAAAATGTTAAAAGGAAGCCATGCTCTGGAGAACAGATCAATGGTCATGATGCCTCACATCCTGTCTCCAACAGAACTCAATGTTAGATGCTTTGGAGAAAGGAGTAGGAGCTGCACAAAGCACCACGTGGTGCAGCAGGTCCTCTTCTGATGAAGAAGACAGAGAGCAGAAGAGAGGGAAGTTCTTAGCGGTTAATGCTGCACCACTGCAATCTCAGTGGTGGAGGCTGCCAGAGGCTGGTTGAAATATCTAAAAAGATTGTACACAGCTAGGCGTGGTGGCTCATGCCTGTAATCCCAGCACTTTGGGAGGCCAAGGCAGGTAGATCACGAGGTCACGAGTTCGAGACCAGCCTGGCCAACATGGTGAAATTCCTTCACTACTAAGAGTACAAAAATTAGTAGGGCGTGGTGGCACACGCCTGTAATCCCAGCTACTTGTGAGGCTGAGGCAGGAGAACTGCTTGAACCTGGGATGTGGAGGTTGCAGTGAGCCAAGATTGTGCCACTGCACTCCAGTCTGGGTGACAGAGCAGAGACTCCGTCATGGGGGAAAAAAAAAAAATTGTACACAGATGGGGAAAAGGAAGCTTTCCAGGTCCTTCAGGGTTAACAGGGCCAGGAGAAGATGGAGACCAGTGATTCTTACCTGCTGTAGGCACGCTAATGTTATACTGAGGTAAAATAAATAGAAAGGCAGTCTTGGCTGTGACCTGTAAAACAAAGGAAAAGAGTTCCAGTTTAGCTTTTGGCCACATCAAAAGAAACAAGTGGAAGCTGCTAACCGCCCCTTTTACATCTTAGACCCTCAAACCTCTTGACTGAACGGTTCTGCCTAATGCAGAGTTAGCATTAGTTTTTGTTCTATTTTTCTTTAATGACATACCTCTCAATACCTGTACCCTGGGACTCAGATGGTATCTAGACTGGTACTCACTGCAGATGAGATGAAACAAGCTGTGCATGGCAGGACAGGAGCTCACAAGTGAATAGTACAAATTTGTCAGCCATTCGTTCATTCAGATATTTATCAGTTTAGTTCTGTGCATCAGCATTGTGGAAGACAGAAACTAATAAATAAAGTCACAACCTTCAAGAAGGTTAGGACCTAGCTGAGGTTTCCACAGCACTTTGGCTGCCTGTGCATTGGAGAGCAGCCCTGAAAGTCGACACCTGAGCTTCAGAAACAGAGAATTCCAGCTGCTAATTTCACATCTACCTTACTGGGAGGCATGGGGCCAGAAGTAACATCCCACATTCCTGGTTTGTTTATTTCAAAAACTGCCTTTAAAATCTTAGTTGTGCTGTGAAACAAAAAACTGTGGTTGCCACCTAGTTATGAATGGCCAAATCAGTACTGTGACAGTTTAGCCAGCAGGGGAGGGATGACAAAACCTGGGGGTTTGAAGGTTGGACTCAAGAATCGACTACCTGGGTTCAAATGCCAGCTCTGCCATTTTCTTGCTATGTATCTACCAGCAAGTAATCTTATACGCTGAGCCTCAGTCTGCTTGTCCATAAAATCAGGGGTGCTTGTAATACCTCAGCTAGTTTGGGTACTACAGACTGGTGTGGCGCTGGCCCAGCTGCTAGCGTTGTTCAAAGCTCCCCAGAGGTTTCGGATGTGCAGGTGGGCCTGAGAACCACCATCCACACTGTTCTGAAACCTGCAGCAAGGCCAGGTGAGGAGGCAGCCCAGGACCAGGCCTTTCCCAAGGGCCCTCTGGAGACACCTCGTCAATAAAGGGGTGCTGGTTCTTCTCTAACAGAGGTTTGAAGGATGCACATGTGAGGGATAGGGTGGAGGACAAACACACTGGACAGTGGCAAAGGCAGCATGGAAATGAGTGAATGATACATCACAGATGCCCTGTGTTGCCCAGACATGCCAGTGAGAGGTCACTATCCTCAGCTACCTCTAGAGACAACCCTCTCCTTTAAAGAGCAAATCTCCCCACTCCCCTGGTCAACAAGACCCATCCCATTCAGTGGGTGTCATTTACTCTGTACACAGAGATGCAGGACAAGACTTCTCGTGTCTTTGTGCTGCAGCCTTAGACATGTCCTATCAGGCTTGCAGGGAAAAACCCAAATGAGATTAGCTAAGAGGAGTGATAGAAAACACCAAGCCCTATCCGAATATACAGGTCTTCCTAATCCCCACCCTAAAACCTTATTACCTTTGGTCAAGACCTTTTTCAGTGTTCTCGACCTACCTTCCTGTCCAACTGCCTGTATTTTCTTTAGAACAGATGTGCTGGGTTTCAGCCAATATATTCTACTCACCACTTCCTTTGGGGAGTTTTAGCCACTCTCAGTTTGCGTCCTACCTTTCCTATACCCACCACCACACACACACAGCTCTCCTGATTAGAATCTCACACATCCCTTCATGACCCACCTCAATTGTAACCTCTGTGAAGCCATTCCCAGCTGTTCAAGGGGCATGATCTCTGCTTGCCGGATGCACTCTGTGTCATGCTCTGCTGTATTTATCATTTCCATACCCTTGTTCATAGTTCTCATCAGGCTCTCACCTCCTCCACAGTTCTCATCAGACTCCTCACAGTCCCACAGGCAGGGACTGTGCCGTCCCGTTCCCATTTATCCTCGCAGCCCCTCTTACGTAAGGAGCCCAGATGCACACAGTAAGTGCTCAGTAACGGCTCATTGCTTAAGATGAAAAATCAAAAGCCAAGTCAGCTTCACTCAGCTGTACTTATTCCCCCTCTGTCGTGGGAGCTGCCCCCAGTGCCATCATCCAGGCTGTCCTCTACCATCAACGGCCTTCTCTGTGAGACCTTTCCAGGCACTAAGCCACCTGAATCCAGCTCTGCCACAGAGCCCCTCCTGCCCACGCTAGCCATGTTGGCTCTCCCTCTCTGAACTCCACTCATATAGGTCATTCCTGGCCCAACCACCTAACACTTCATATTGTCTGACATGACTCCTCTGAAAATAAACCTCATCTTCTCAGCCTGAAATCCCTGTGAAGGAAGATCAGAGGAGTTGGAAGAAATGAGAGAAAGGAGGAGCCAGGAGAAAGCAGGCAGGCATAAACCAAACACTCTACCCTGCCTAGGCACATATCTCCCACTTGATTTCATTCAAGAAATGCACATGTCTTTTAGAGCACAGGGTGGAGACCTCTGTGGGGCTTGGGTTGTCTGCCATCCATTCTCCTCTCTTAATGGCACCAGGGTTTCCTGAGGGAAGCCTCTCTCCAGCTGTGTGTGGGCATAGGATGTGTGTGGGGTCACTACGGGGGATGGGAGGATGGAGGGGATAGACCCTCTCCTCAGGGCAGGAGCTGGGCCAACCGGACACCCTGCCCTGGGCTCTGGGTCTTGGGCGGGTATGAGGAGGTGCTGCTGGCCCCCACAGAGCCTCCTTCAGTTGGCCAGGGTCCACTTCTAGGACACATTATCATTCAATGGGAAGAGCACTGGTGTTCAACTCCGGCTGCACATTAGAATCCCTGGGGGAGCTTCTAAAATCTCTGTGCCTGAGCCACACCCCAGCCAATTAAACCAGACTCTTTGGGGCATGGGCATTTTGTCAAACTCCCCAGAGCATTCCAATGCGCTGCCAAGTCTGAGAACTTTTGCATTTTTTTTAAAGGAAGATAGACATCTGGTATGTGGGCTCTACATATATTCTTGCCCTCACCCAACATATACAGTTAACTGTCATCATTCACATGAATTATGTTCTCTCAAGTCACTGCAAACACTGAATTAGTGAACACTGAAACCTTGTTCCTGGGAGAAATACAGGGTTAGGTTCCTGCAAGCCTCTGGTCCCATTTTTGTCAACAGATCAATTCATAACCTTGTTTTATGTGTGTTTCTGTTTAAAGACACCTAATTTAACATATATTGTTGATTCATTAACATTGAATTCATGGCCAACAGCGCCATAACTCATGCCAGAATAAAGCTTGTCTAACCACATATGCTATCTCCATGAGGCACATCATAGTCATCCTACGCTTAGGATGCTAGACAGCACTTCTGCATGACAGTTGGGGGCCATTTTTAAATAGTGAAATCACCAAAAAGCAGCAGAAAAATGCAAAAAATGTGGCACTAAAGAGACTACGAAAAGGACATCTGTCTACAGGATGAGAGCCGGAACTGGAGGCAGAGTGTCGCCTTGTTTGGCCTCAACTGGGAATGTGAGTGTTGGGCAACCCAAAAGTGTTTGCAGCTCTGCACATCTCTGTGAATGACCAAAGAAGCTGATTTGGGGGTTACAAATAAATCTCAGCAAGTAAGCGAATTTGCAAAAACAAAATCCACAAATAATAAGGATCAAACGTATCAGGGAAAACCTGAACGTCAGCACCATGAGGGCCAAGATTTTTTTTCTTTTTTAACAACTGTATTCAGGTATAATTTACACAACAAAAAAAAAAAATCACCCATTTTAAGTGTACAGCTCTAAAGCATTTATCTTTATTTTTAAACTGTCTCTTCCTTGGGGAAACATAAGCTGTAGGAGCGTGGGGATCTGACCTGCCTTGATGATCTGACTTGCCTTGTTTGAGGTGCACATCCATGGATGGCTTCAAACTGCCCCAGAACAGAGCGGCACTCAGCAAATGCTTAAATGAACACAGTGACTAAGCAGGAGAGAGTCGGTGCTGTGCTCAGCTATCTGACCCTCATCCTGTCATCTGTCCACGATTATTCTTCTCTGTATGTCTTCTCTCTCTCGGTCTGTCCCAGAGCTGGGTGAATAGTAGGTTTCTCATAAATTCCTATTTGACAAACTCATACTGTAAGCAGCTATAATATTTAGTGACTACAGATGAATGCTTAACATGTTTTCTGAACATGATTCTGAGAGAACAGGATCTACGGCCATAATCATGACAAAAATACTAGATCCCAGTATTTTTCCATCCCTAGCCCCCCTGGTAGTAGCAGCAGAAACCATTCTAAAAAGTGCAACTTTCTCTGTAAACAGCCATGCTTGCTCCCACATTACCATATCTCAACAAGATGGTGTCAGTTTCCCTGGTTTATAGATGAAAAAGCCAAATTTGGGGCACAGAGAGATAAAGTAGCCTCCCGAGACCTCACAACTATACAAGCAGAAAAGGCAACATTCAACTTGATTTTTTAAAAACCTTGTCCCAAAAACAAACTTAGGAGGCACACAATACTGCACATAGAATAGAATGGTAATGTAAAATGGAAGCAGGAAAGAACACAAAAAATATGCATTTTAGGCAAAGAAAAGAAGCAAGGAATGAGGCTGATCCACAAAAATGCATTCCAGGAAGTCCTACTCATTGGCTAAAGGTGGCCAGAAATTTGGCTCCAAGCTTTTCTGCAGCCACCTGAAGGAGTGATCAGCTTCTAGATTGACCACATCCATCCATTAAAAAAGCAAAAAGCACTAGTCAAGAGCAGACTTACTTCTTCAGCCTTCTTCTGTGCCTTAAAAGGTCCTTTAGCACCCCAAGTCTTCACTCCATGACCCTCTCCCGACCTCAGACTAGGGATGAAACCACTAACAAGTCCCTCTCCGCAAGCACCAGCTGAGTTCCTGTAGCACACAGGGCTGAGAACCAGGAGCCTATTAAAAATGTCATTCCAATTATTTCTCATCCCTCTAAGGCTGTTTATAGGAAACATTATTGAGTTTAATAGCATTTTAAATGCCAAGCTCAGTGGGTAAAAGGTTAAAAGTGACAACGTGCTAATACACTAATGTAAAAGGAGAACACTGAATTATGTAGGAAGGGTCACATCACACACACACATATACACAGAGAGAAAGAGAGAGTGAGAAAGAGAGAAAGTTTCATTAAATTTTTAACTAAAACAGGGCATCAAACACAAAGGCAAAGGCCTTGAGCATGCTTGTGTAGCCATAACAAACCAAAACTGTTTCACATGCCATGCTGTATTAGGGGCACATGAACCTGAGCTCTTGGCTGCAACTAGACCAAGGATGCTGGTGAAATAGCTGCTTCCAGCTAAGCATAGTGGATGTGGATTCCAGTCCCAAGTCTGCTGTGGGCCAGCTGGGTGACCTTGGGCAGGACATTTCACCTCTCTAGACCCCAGTTTACTCATCTATTAATAACGACAACAACAGTTAATGTTATCGAGTGCTTATTTGGTGCCATGCATGAGTCCAAGGGCTTCACATAAATCTATCTCATGTCATCCCCACAATGACCCTACAAGATAGGTACTAATCATGTCCCCATTTCACAGATAAGCACGGGAAGGATAAAGCCAAAGGAGCAGCTCAGAACGAATGTCCTTAAAGGTCCTTCTCACCCTCAGCTCGAAAAGGTAAACTTTACCTGATTCTACTTACTTTCCAATGCCCAAAACGCAACCTTACACTGACAAACTTTCTAAGAGGTCTTTCCAGAAGTTTAAAATATATTGTTGCTTCTTCACTTTGTGAAGATAAGGTCTGGGTATCACCTATGTCTGACAGAGCAAGAAAATAAGGCCTCTCGGGTTAATCCACCACCTGCCAGCCACAGGCACTGGGTACACCTAGGCTTCCAGATGCCCAGATAGGTTCTCCTTTCACTGCAAGTTGTTAGCTGGTCACCAAAGATAAAAGAGAAGAACTGTGATGAAAGCAGTTTCATGGCTTCTCTTTTAAAGTATTAAATCCTTTGGTTCAGTTTATTCTGTTTTTTTTTTTTTTGGCAGACACATCCATGCATTGGCACTTGGAAGGGGCTGTGTGGGCAGACCAGCCCCCGGGGGCAGACAGGGTACAGAAGGCCTTATTTTACAGGAGCAGCTCTGCTCTTAATGACTTCTGTCCCACGGACACCACACCTCCCACCTAAAGGACAAAACACAGAGACACATATGTCCCACGACTGACAGTGAGGACCCTCATTTTTTCTTCCTGAGAAACACAGGGTAAAGCCAAGTGACAGGTCCTGCTGAGGCTGGGAAATTAGGTACCTAAAACTTCCCTTCTTCTCCCAGCTCGGCCTGTTTTTGGAAGCCAAAGGGTCTTCACTAAGGCTTTCCCCAGATTGATTTTGCATCTTTCTGCGGAGGAAGTGAATAGGAAAATTTCAGGCAGACAAGAAAACCTTGGAAAGTTACGCCCAATTGGTGGGGAAGAGATTTTTGGGTTTTTTTTTTTTTTAAAAAAAATAGTCTTTTAGCCTTTTTTCCTGGAGTGTTTATGTCCCAAGCCCACTGATCACCTGCATGCGCCAGGTATGTGGTCGGGGTGTGATGGACGTGGGTTTGCAGCCCCTCCACTGCTCGATAAAAGGCAGATACAGCTGAAACAAAGATGCTTTTCACTTGTGCTTTCTGAAAATCTCCGTTTTGAAGGGCCAGAGGCTGTCTGTGAGGGCTGAGCGCCTGAATCACAGGGGGCAGAGTTATGACAGTACCTTTCTGTGTGGCTTTTAGCAACGCCTAGAGATTCTGGTTTTTCACCTGAAAAACTGCCTTGATACAAAAATCAGGCAAAGCTAAACAAACACGCACACAACAGATTCTCTACAAGCCTGTGATCACGATGTTGAATAGACTCACTATTAACAGTTTTGATAGCAGTTTTAGATTAAAAGTGACATTGTGTATTTATGAAAAAAACTCGAAATTTGAATAGCCACAATAAAATTATATTACTTGGTTTGTTACAGTCATTGATTTAAAAGTCTAAACTTTATATTGGGATACAGAGGAATGTAGAAAGAGTCACAATAAAGGGTTTAAAAAATCTTTGAAGTTGGGCTTTTTAAAAAAGAGAATAAAGCTTGAACTTGCCATAATATACATCCCCAATTTGGGAAATTAATCGGGTACTGAAAAACAGAGGGTGGCCTAGGGAAAGCCCTTCCCCACTGCCTTTATATCCACAAGTTAATTATAACTTTAAGAAGACTGTGTATTTATGCAATTTATGCTGGTATAGCTTGAACTTGGCCTTCTACGTGCTTTATAGATAGCCTTATATAAAACATACGAATTTGCTGAAGTAAATGTATTACTTCTTTGAGAGCCTTAATATATATATTCTCATCCTCCCCTAAAAAAAAGCACTGACTAGGTATTTCTAATACTTACCACTTGATTATATACTTCACTCTCACTCACACCCACCTGCCCCCACCAAGTAGCTTTTCCCCTTATCTGGATAGCATAGCATACTCATAAACCATTCCTTATGGAAGCTAAAAACTACATAAAAAATTTTAAATGCTCAGGCAAAATAATTTTCCAGAATAGTGACATTCTTAATATTTATTTCTCCTGCATCATGGGGCAGAGTTCATATTACTGGTTGTGTTTGGATATGAGTAAAACACACATTGGTCAGAACAAAATGTTTTTACTTTTGGCCAAAAGCCACCTGTTCTGATGCAGTATCATTGATACATTAAAAATAATAACATAAAAAAGAAAGGATTATGGAGTGAAAAATTTTAGGTTGTGAGTTATTTTTGGAGAGTTCAGATTAGGTAATATTTTAGACTTGACTACAGAAAAGAAACCCCTCACCGGTGTAGCACAGTGTCATTTCAGCTGTAGTTTTTAAAGATGTTTTCGCTCCGTAAGACAGAAAGCAAAAAGAGAGGAGGGTCATTCTAATCAGTATAGATGTGTCTGCGACATCCTGTCTGTCACTAATCTTCAGCAAGCAACAAGAGTGGGTGCCAGGGAGAATCATCCCCAAGGAACTTCTGGCATTTCCTGGTATTCAGGGAAATAAAAGGATTATTCAAGGTCTCCACATACTCAGGGTAGCTGGACCAGGCAGGACCCAGGTATATTTGCCTTCATTTGCTTGTTTGCTCTTAGAGAAAGCCAGAGTTGGCAGACAGTGACCTGCTGCAACCATTTCAAATTATTCTCCACCACCTTGAAAGTTTCAAACATCAGCATGTTGACCCCCACATTTTGACTGAAGAGCTAGGCACGTGGATTAGAGCCTGCTAAGAAAATGAACCATGAGTTCACACAGCGATGGAGCAGGGTGAAGCCATCTCCGGGGGCCATAAACCAGGCCCGTCAGCAGGGCTGCAGGCCAATTCTCACAGGAAGCCTTCAAATTCCTCTGGGTATTTGTGTAGGGGCACATAAAGACAGGCCTTGACCCTGGATGTCAACCTCCGCCTATCATTAAACTAAGCAAACTGAGGCCGGAAAGTGAAAATATGAGTTTTTTAAATGTTAGATGTGTGATCTCTGTGTCCTAGTTTCCATACTACCCCTACTCCATGGAGGAGTGTGTCAGTAAAAGAGCTTAAATGAGGGGTCCCAAGGAGTTGGCCATGGTACCATTCCAGTAGCTTTAGAAGTCAAGGTCAGGCTGGGGACCTCTGCTATGTGTGTCTCACTTCTGAATCACCTTGGTTTCCTGTCACTCTCTGTTACAGCAGTGCATCCTCCTCCTGTGGGAAATGCATCCTAACACACTCGGCACTGGCGTTTGAGTCCATCTTGCTCGAGTCTACAAAGACCGGCCAATGACCACCTACGTGAGGGAACCCGATAAGCAGAACTTCATGATGATGATTTGATTCCAGCGTCTTAAACCAAGGCCAAGAACATTAATGAAAAACATCCAGCACTCAAATGTCTCTGTTTGTCAGCAAATAATATTCACAAGGGGATATTCAGAATCATCTTCAAAGTGGAGAAGGAAAATAACAACATAAAAGGCAAGAGTTCCCAGGAAAATGTGCTACAGATGAACAGGAGATACAAATATAACACCAAAGGCAGGGCCTCAGGTAAACACTCCCCACACTTTGCCACAAACCAGTCTCCGCATACCCCTAAGCCAAATAAACAAAGCCTGGGCAAATGTCAATATTTAAATACCATATCCCAAGGTTTCTCTCTCACATACACAGTTATATACGTATAAAATCTCATTAGACTAACTTGAAAGTGGGTTTTAACTAAAATATAAAAAGACTTGGGGATTTTTTCTCAGTCCTGCTAGGCTAGTCTCCATTCCAAGCTCTAGCATCCCAGGAATCTGATGGTGACTTCATGCAGGGCAAAGGTGGCCCAGGAAGAAAACCAAAAATTAGACGGAGAGGCTGGACCCCCATCTGAACTCACAGCTGGGTCTCAGAGGTTGACAGGAGGCATCAGACACCCTCGGCCATGGCTCAATGTGCAAAACCCCACTTGGGGCTGAATGCAGGCCTTGGAGCAAGGTCCAGGAGGCCAGGTGTCCCCCACCCGAGGCCCATTAAGTAAGTCTCTTTCAGGGGGCTACAAGAAGGGACAGGAACTGCCTGGGACACGAATGACCTTAAGCTTTTGCCAAGAAGCACAGATAATCTCTCTGTAAGAAAATCACAGGGTAAGAGCATAAGAAGGGGCGGACACACACAAAGAGAAGGAAAGAGGAAAGCAGCTCTCCTGCCAAGGCCTTGCAGGAGTAGGGGAGGAATTGGGAGCATGGTTCTCTTCCTTCATTCTCCTAGTCACTGCTATGAACCCCACCCCCACCTATTGCACACATACCCAAGGCCACACAAGGAACCAAGGCCATGGCCTTGCCAAGGGCAGCTGGAAGAACCAACCCCAAGTGCTGTTTCTGCCATCTCCCTCTGACCAAGCTCCGGAAAAGACAACAGATCCATCTTAAAATTCCACAGGCCCTGTTCCATAGTCCTCCATGGCTCCCTATTGCTCAGGAGAGAATCAGGACCTATGCTGACATTCCAACTCCAAGGTGGCCCTACCTTGCTTTTCATGTTTTGCCCCCACTCCCACACTCAGGAATTTTGCTCCAACCCCACACCCAGCACCACCATCCCAGGTAGGAATGGTACCACCGCTCAAATGTGCAGCCCAGACAGATAAATCAGTATGCAAAAAAGTCATTTACAACACAACAGAATCATCATTCTCACAGGGCAAGTACAGGCGGTTCAGGATGGAGAGGCTCCTGACTGTGAGAACTGAGGCTGCCCCACCCCAGGGAAAACTTCACCAGCAACGTTCTACCTGATCTGCACTCTGAAGGGCTGAAGAGGCAAACAGGAGGCAGGAAGGGTGCTACAGGCTGAGGGAACTGCATGCACTAAAGCAGAGAGAAGGGAGAAATGTGACTCCCTGGGAAAATGAGGGGCCTGTGTATGGATGGTAGTGAGGCTGGAAGGTTGGCAGAAGGCAGGTCCTATGAAGGACCCTTTACAGCAGCAGATATAAAAATAGAACTTCATCCTACACATGAGAGGTAGCCACTGATGGTTTTCAAGCAGGGGACAACCCAAGGTGATTTCCATTGCACAAATCTCATTCTTCTCACAGTGTAGAGAAAGGGCTGGAGACGGGAGGTGAGCTAGGCAGCACAGAGACTTAGGTTACTGCAAGAAGAGATCATCCAGGCCTGGACTTAGGTAGTGGCAACAGACCTGGGGTGGTGCTAGGCAATTTTCAAAAGACTTGATGGCACAATTAATTAAGGTGAGGGAATGGCCAAAAGTGGTGCTCAGGTCTTGTTCAGGAAACAGACACACAAATGTCCAATTTAAATAAAATGTGCTAGGGGTGATGACAGATATTCACAGGGTGTTGTGGATGGCTGGGGGTGTGAGAGGGGAGAAGGGCGCTGAGAAGGCACAGTCAGAGGGGCCAGAGGAAACCCAGAAGGAGCCCAGCAGCCCAGGCAGGAGACCATTGTAAGGAGTCAGCTGCACACCTGCAGATGCCCCAGGGAGGACCAGTCAACTCAGGACTGAAATGTGAGCAGCCCGTGACCAGGTTTTTGTTTTGTTTTCTGATGGGTCCCAAGTGCCTACAACAGCGCTTGGCACATAGTGGGGATTAATAAATATTTATGTAATGAATGTGTGAAGTGTCCATCAGATTTGTAAACCAGAGGTCACTGGTAAATGCTGCCAAAGCTGGAGGAAAGGAGGGGCAGAGCTGGTGTGTATGGGTGAGCATGGAGTGGGAGTGTGGAGACAGAAGTGTGGACTGCTCGGTCTAGCAGCTCAACTCTGAAGGAAAGCAAAGAGCTCGGGAGCTAGAGAGGAGTGGACAGTCAGGGAGGTGCGGGAGAAGCTTAGACCACGTGTGGTGACAAGAAGGACCATGGAGAGAAATGTGGTTGGACATGCAGAAAAACAAGGGGGCCTAGAGAGGATGATCTCCTGGGAATTACACCAATCCAACGGGTATTTCTTCAGGAACTGAGATCCAGTGCTGCAGAGAGGGATGCCCAAGAGGGTGCACTGGGCCTGGGCAGCTTTTGTTAAGACCACGCCCTTTCTCAGTTCCCCAAGACCCCTGCTGCTTGTGCAGTTCGGACACCTTGTCTTGATACACACACCAGCTATGGAGAAGACGCTCAATAAACACCCCATGAATTAATGTACTTTCAGAGGAGCTAGAGGGGAGAGAGGCAAAAACAAAATGAACATCCTTCCTCCACTATATTCGCAAAGGGGCTGGGAAATTTTCTGCTATTTAATCAATTCTTTTGAACCGATGCTACACTGCCACTCTCAGCAGCTGTGACTTTACTTTCATTCATTTCTCTAGAGGGACAGGCAGGGCCACCTAGATGGATTTACAAGGGATGACTGTTCTGCACGTTCCCAGGGGGAGAACTGTCAGGGTGCCAAAGGGGTGGAGGGCCACGGGAGGCCTCCGGTCTCCTCTCAGCCTGTCAGCCTTTATTGCGTCGGCTGGACTGACAGAGTTCAGAATCAGAACCCACAGATATGCAGATAAGCACCTGGCCATGGGCCAGGATCCATATTCACACTCTACAGCCACAGTGACTGCTGCCATAACCATGGGGCAATTCCAGATCTGACAATGGCCACACAGGGTTTTCTAAACAGATATGTCATGGAAAGCATTAGAAGTATGGTGTGTTTGTGTGCTTATGTTCATGTGCACAAAGCTGGCTGGTAAGGCACTTTCACACCCTAGTAATATGTCTTTGTTTAGCACTGTCCCTACAAAACAAAATATAAACATTTTTAAAAATCAATTCTTCAATCACAAAATATTGAGCACATGCTCTGGGCAAGGCACAATGCTACTGGAGATGAAAGCAATTACGAGACCCGCTTCCTTCTCTCAAAGGCTCAGGACCAGAATCCAGAGTCAGGCTATACATCTATCTACTCCAACTCCATTATCACGAAGACGATAAAACCAACCACTCTTCTTTGAATATTTACTGCAAGCCAGGCAAGGTAAAGGCATTTTACACAATCACATCAAATAATCCTCAGCAACCCTGCAAGGAGCGACAATGACATCTAACGTGTGAGATCTTATGAAATGCCAGGCACTGTGCTAAACGCCAAACAGGATTACCTCATCTAACCTCCAACTCTATAAGGAACTGCTACATTACTACTATTCACTGAACTTCTATCACCTGCCAGGAACTGCTCTGAACACTTACAGAAATGATCTCACTTAATGCTCCCAGAGGCCCTAATGTGCAGAAAAGTGAGGCCCAAAAAGCTTAAGCAACACGCCCCAAGGCACACAGTTAATAAGCCCCAGAAGCGGGACTAGAATCCAAGATCCATCTGACCGTGACATCTGGACTGTTAATCACCATGCTACCTGAACGATGTGCCTAAGATCTAATGATCAAAATGAGACCTTGATGCATAAAGGGTTCATTTTAAGACAAGAGATGTCATAGATCAGGACAGCGTTAGGCAAAGGGCAAGTGGAAGCTCCTTTGCTTTCTCCAGGGCAAAGACCATGTCTTTATTTATCTCCATACCCACAGTGTTCTTGGCACAAAGGAGAGACCCAAAAAACATCTGTTAGTGCCCTGGGTTTGGAGATTTCTGGACCTTCTCTGAGAAGATTTCTGCGAGGCGGTGATTTGAGCCAGAAACATGTACAGAAAGTGGATAAAAGGGGGCAGGTGAGGGTTAGAACAGAATCATGATGGCACTGAGAAAGGACTGGAGAAGGCCTAGAGATACAATGGTTTAGCTTAGGATAGTCATAACGGCTTTACGGGGGCTGTCCACCGTGTGGTCCAACTTCAGATCTCAGCTGTGCCCATTTGTTTCAAATGAACTAGTCTAAAATGGAAGAAACGATATCTGGCCCTCAGACCCCTTAAAGCTTTCCTTCCCTTCCTTCCCTCCTTCCCTCCCTTCCCTCCTTCCCTCCCTCCCTCCCTTCCTTCCAAAAGCTGCCCAAAATCAACTGTCTGTCTCCTGAGTTCATCAGTGGGGATACCATCTATTCCAGCATGGTGCGCATTTCAAAGCTTTGCTTCCCACAATGATTCAAGCCAAGATAAAGAAATGATTGTCTCCCTCAAAGTATAAAGGAGGCAACATCGTAACATAAAATTTGAAAGTCTCTTCAGCCACAAAACTCTAAAAAACCATCTCATATTTCATAATTAAACAATTAAATTTCATCAGTTACCTAACAAATACGGGAGTCCAAGCTCCTGCATGTGAAACAGTCAAGAAAGCCATTTCCTGTTGGATACAGATACTCAAAGACTAGTAGTAATTAGACACGGTGATTAGAATTCCATTTATGCTGCACCAGAAACTCCTCTTGGTCCCTGAGGGCTAGGGTGCAAATCACTGGGGCAAGAGAAGGAAATGGGTTTAAGTGGTGCTTGAGTATTATCTGAACCAGCCAAAAGATGGAAGTGGAAGCATTTAATGCGCCATCACTTTAAGAAGCAATGGTGATTCTAAATCTCACCAGAAATCAGGGCAAGAGTAGCTTAAAGTTAGATGTGTTGCACTATTTGGCTTATTACAATCAGGAAACGTCTGTCCAAAAGTCCTATTCTCAGAGATGGTAGTATTTCAGGGACATCAGTTTAGCTTTGCCACCCTTTGATTGCCTGTTGTCATATATGAGGTAGGAGTCAAACAGAAGGCAGAATAGCATCTGTAAGTTCTACTGGGCTGCACAATGCTCCATCCTACCCTGTGTCCCAGAACAGACAGCTTCACCTTTATGGAGTACTTCAGTGGGCTTCCGATGGAATCTGCAGAACATGAGAGAGCATGAAAGGGGTATTCATCACCTGGCTCCTTTCCTGCTGGACAGTTCTGGCAGTCACTGCAACCCTCCACCAAAACTCCAGCCCCTCCCCTTCAACCACAGCTCTCAATGGTATTTCCTCTCTCCCTTCCTTCTTAGTTCTAGATCCATGCTATCCTCAGCCCCTTCAAGCTTAGGGATAGCTCCCCACGTTCGCAAGCCTTAGAATGCTTTACTGTTCCTTATCTGTTTCCCCTGAGCCAGTCCACGCCCTTGTTAATAGTGCCTACATAACCATTCCTCAATTACCCCACCTGTTTCCTGTTGGGACTCTGACTGATGGAGATATGCTACTCAAATAAAAGAATACTAACACCATATGATAATAATTAACCTCATCAACGTAACTGCTGGCAATGGGACACTATTTTTATTTTTTATTTTTATTTTTTTTGCGACAGGGTTTCACTCCCGTCATCCAGACTGGAGTGCAGTGGCAAGATCTTAGTTCACTGCAGCCTCTGCCTCCCAGGCTCACGTGATTCTCCTGCCTCAGCCTCCCGAATAGCTAGGATTACAGGAATGCACCACCACACCCGGCTAATTTTTGTACTTTTAGTAGAGATGGGGTTTCATCATGTTGGCCAGGCTGTTCTTGAACTCCTGGCCTCAAGAGATCCACCTGCCTTGGCCTCCCACCTGCCTTGGCCTCCCAAAGTGCTGGGATTACAGGAGTGTGCCACCATGCCCAACCGAATAGGACACTTTAAACCAGCAAAATTATCCTCCACACACATCCTGGTACTACCCCTCATGAAACGCATGGGAGGCAGACAAATCGCCACTCTTTATGGGCCATCTAATTTCCAAAGGACCAACAGTGTTGATAACCCACTTCAGAAATGGTTTTCTTTAGGCATGACACCCTGGGACTGGCTTCTCACAAACTCAGATCAAGATAAACCACTGTGGTGGACGAACAGTTTCCTGCCTGAGTTTTTCAAGGGGGCCTTTACTGAGGCAGGAGGAGGTGAATATAGGATTTTGAGGACACCACTGGCCTCAGGCTGCAGTGACAAATATGAGTCCTGGCTTCATGAACACTCGATCACATAGCTTTATTATTTTGGAAAAACATATCCGTTATGAATGGGGACTGGCTCTACACTAACCAATAATGTCTCCTAATTAATATCTGATCTGTTTCAGCCCGGAAGGCAAAGGATCTTTTACCTTTATGTGCTCAGAGTGCCACACAGGGTTGCTTGGATGTAGGGATTACGCTGCTAGTCCCTAGCCATTTACCTCCCTTTCACAAAGGGATTCTTTCTAACGTTTTCAGGATAGAGCAGCAACTGGAGTGAGGGTGGGCATGCAGGGGAGGGTGAATGAGGGAGGAGAGAAAGTCTGCAAACAAACGGGCCACTTATCTCCAGGAGTCTTTCTACCTTTTCCTACAGCTGAGTAGCTTGGGGGCAGGTTGTCTGCCAAGCTTCCCTGGCCCGTGTAAACACTCTGGCACCAGCTGGGGTTTGGAATCTGCTGAGTCTCTGCCAGCTGGCAACCTGGAGATGGGTCAGATTAAAGGAATGCATAATGAAGAAGTGGGTGGGAGACAGAGGCTGTATTTACACAGAGGGGGTCTGCAGGGGTCAGTACGGCGCTAGCCAAAGGGGCCTCTGGAAGTGGAAAAATAGGAAGGGAAGAGGAAGGGGTTTCAATGTGCCCAAGCACCATGCCCCACCCAACTGGCCCAAGACTGTTATGTTCATTTATTTTTTTCCTTTTAAAAACTGACTTCTTTGTCCCCTTCTCAGTCCCCCACAGCATCTCCCAAGCCAATTACACACAGCCCTTTGAAAGGTTTGCAGCTGGCCGCTCGAGAAGGCTCAGCGTGATCAGACAACACGGACACTTGATCTTCTGAGATCCCAATTTGGGAACGTTAACACGGAAACCCTAGCCACGTGCTGACAAGCAGGCCCTGGGCCACATTCTGCCCCAGACTGAGCCCTGGCAAGAGGAGAGGGCACAGATAGCCAGCAGTCTCAGGCAGCCATCCTGGCTTCCAGCCTTAAAGAGAGCGAGATTCCAGGCTCCTCCCCCATGCAAAGCCCAGGGGGCACGGATGCAGAGAGGACAGCCCTGGGACAGGACCAACAGGCTCCCCAGCCCTTTCACTACCCCGAGGAGGCAACGAAGACAAGAACAGACTGAAATCTGTTGGGTACTTGGTGGCCACACCTGCTAGGAAGGCCACCTGCAGCTCTACTGAAGCCCATGCAAATAGGTAAAGCTCAAATGGCTGTACATATATTACTAAGAGGAAGCAGAAGGGAGAAAAGTGCAGTGAGGAGGCAAGAGACCTGTTCCCTGACAGCTCAGCCACAAACCCGACGGGCTGCTTCCAGCTGCTCCCATCCACCTCACTGGGCCTCAGAGTTCTCATGTTTTAAGGGTGTTCTCTGAAGTCCCTTTGTATCCACGGATTCTTCCCCATGCTTCTGTGACACGGCTTCACTTCCAGGCTCCCAGTGCAAGCCTCAGCTCTTCTTGCTTTCTTGGAAATCTCTGCTGTAGCAGCCACTTCTATTCCGGCGACACTCAGATCTACTTTTCCTGCTGAAATCTTTCTCCCCAGGATGGGAGGTGGGAGGCTGCATCTTTACCTACATAGTGCATGATTAACTCCCGTTCAACATGCCAAACCTGGTGCCCAGGAGAAAGCTCTATACTTGCCTATGTCCCAGGCTGCAGTCAAAGACTCCCCACCTTTCCTTATAGCCCCTTGTTGGCTTTTTCCTTTACTATTTTATTAAATCCATCATTTCTACTCCCAATGCTGCTAAGAGCTTCATATTCTCATTTGCCACCAGCCTGTAGGAGAGACTTCTAACTGGATCCTCAGCCTCAAGACTCAAAACCCCTTCCTCCCCTCCCACTATCCATAGCTAGAATAGCCAGGCATATACACACAAACATACACGCACACACCACAGCCCCTCCATTGCCTTCTGCTGCTTAAAGGATAATGTCTAACTCTTTAATCTGGCATTCCTAATCCTCCCTGCCTCTCCACATTTGATTATCACAACTTTCCAAACTAATATGATAGTCCTGGATGTCCTAAAGGATATATTAAGGATATTATTCCATTAAATACTCTCCAAGATCAACAAATGTATTTGGTAGAGAAATATGTAACTCATTAATACTATATGAAGGCTCTGACAAGTCCTGCAATAAAGAAACAGTAAAGAAACAGCCTAGCATTTCCCAGGGCAATCTGGCCCAGGAACCCTTGTGTAGCAGCATGTGTAGTAGCCGCTTTCTTTGATTCTCTGAATGTCCTTTCTTGCCTGCACTCCAGCCATCTGCTCTGCCTTCCATTTGTTCATCTGCCTTGGCTTTCCTTTGAGAGCCTGCTCCAGCCTCACCTCCTCCTTCCTCCTCCCCATTCTACCATCACTCCTCTTGGCTGCTTCCTCCTCACACCTGAAGCACTCACTGCCTGTACCTCTTTGTTGAGAGATAGTAGAGCACAATAGTTAAGAGCCCAGATTTTGGATTCAGAAAGACCTGTGTCAAAATCCCAATTCTGCCCTCACTAACTCTGAAATGGAGTTGTTCAGTTGCTTGGTGTAGACAGAGATAGAATCCATAAAGAGGACTATGGAGGGGACTAGTGGGATTAGAAGGTCAAATGTAGCACAAGGCCTAGCACATCACAGGTATTCAATAAATAACAATTAGTCATTCTTCCTCTTGTTTTTTATCATTGCTTTGTCATTTATCATTTTCTGGGTTCTCCTGCCCCTACCCTTTGCATAAATCAAGCTTAACAAATACGTGCTGATAAGCCACCAGCAGCAACAGCTCCATCTTCCATGGGACAGCAGGAAGACACCCCAACCTGCCAGCCCTGAGCACACCATCCGCCCCAGCACACCATCTGCCCCAGCCTACCAGCCCTGAGCAAGAGGCTCTCCCAGGCAATCAAGTCCTAGAACTTCACAGAACCCCTCAATGTTACCACCCAGCCCTGTCCCCACCGCCTGTTTGCTTACTGCACCCCTGGGAAGGGATGCGGAGGCAGGGCATCCCACTTTGGTTTTGAAAACCAAAGTGGGCCAGGCGCGGTGACTCCCACCTCTAATCCCAGCACTTTGGGAAGTAGAGGCAGATGGATCACCTGAGGTCAGGAGTTCGAGACCAGCCTGGCCAACATGGTGAAAACCTGTCTCTACTAAAAATACAAAATTAGGCGTGGTGGTGCGTGTCTGTAATCCCAGCTACTCGGGTGGCTGAGGCAAGAGAATCGCTTGAATCCAGGAGGCAGAGGTTGCAGTGAGCAGATATCATGTCACTGCACTCCAGCCTGGGCAACAGAGTGAGACCCCATCTCAAAAAAAAAAAAAAAAAAAGAAAGAAAGAAAACCAAAGTGAACAGATCTCACCCAAACCCAAAAGCTGACTGGGTAACTTATTTCCACAGCCTCTCAATGGGGCAGCAATGGGCTACTGTGTTGGGGTTTAAATTTTTCAAATTTTCACCATTTCAACAACCATTTCACCAAAGGCCATTTCATCCATGTGCCTTGTGTAGTTAATGTCTAGAAGTAAGAAGTTACATTTCCACTTAGAGTCAATCCTTTTTTTTTTTTTTTTTTAACAGAGGGTCTTGCTCTGTGGGCCAGGCTGGAGTGCAGTGGGGTGCAACCACAGCTCACCACAGCCTCAACCTCCCAGCCTCAAATGATCCTCCTACCTCAGCCTCTTCAGTAGCTGAGGTACACGCCACCATGCCGAGGCTGGTCTCGAACTCCTGGCCTCAAGGGATCCTCCTGCCTCAGCCTCCCGAAGTGCTGAGATAACAAGTGTGAGCCACTGTGCCTGGCCAACTTCTAGTCAATCCTGACTTGAGTTTTTCTTGATGCTTTTGTATCCTTCTCTGACTGGTCTAATACCCTCACTTTCACCTTCTGAGTCACTGTTCAAAAGGCTTCTGAAAAGTAACACTTTGATTTATGTTAGATGGGAATGGTATCTGTAAGATCCAGGGTGCGGGCTTCTCTTTCCAGCATCCCTTGGCTGTCAAGCCCCCTCCTCCTGCCCTCTTCGCTCTCCCACTTCCACCCCCACCCTCCACCTGTGCCCTGGCTTCTACCCCCAACCCACCACCTCTCCCCCAGCAGCAGGCTTATCACTAATCCAAACTTTCTATTTTTCCATTCCCAAAACAAAACCACTTTAACATTGCCTTTTTCTGATCATCAAAATAATATGCATTTCATTAAAACAAATATATATATATGAATAGACAGATATAAGCGTGGAGAAAAAAAGTAAAATTACTTGAAATCCTACGACAGAGAAAAACACTGGTGCTATTTTGATGATCATCCTTACAGGTATTTTTCTATAAAAATAAAACACATCCAAACGTTTACAGAAAAAGGCCCACACCAATATGGTATTCTGTAAGCTGCTTTTAAAAAAACCATAACCATATGTTTTGGACATCATTCTATGACACTGCATACAGATTTATGTCACCATTTTAAATTGATCTAACCAATCCCTTACTGGTAGGCATTTAGGACAACCTCATCTTTAAAAAATGCTAACATCTCAAAATATTTGGATATACTATTGAGTGGGAAAAAAATCAGAATTCAGCCTGTGCATTCTTATTACAACCATAAAAAATCATAGTGTCCAGGCACAAAAACAGAGTAAAAATTAAGTCAATTTTTTAAAGTGGAAGAGCTATAGGAGATCTGCTTATAAAAGTGGTATTTACACAGAAAAGAAAGTCCTTCAACAAAAACAACATGTAAAACGCAAAATCTCTGTTATTTTTAAACATGTTATGATGGTTAGGTCACGCCTCAGTATAAAATATTTCAAGCAGCTGATCTCCATTTAATTTAACCTCATAGTTTTCTTCCCAGTGGGAGAGGGAGACAGCACTAAGCAGTGCTGAAGCCATATGATCTTTGAGAAGGGACAAGGTGAGGGGTAATTCTGGAGCTTGTGGCTCTTGGGGGAGGGCATTCATGGGCAGAGCCGGGGGCTGGGGGCTCAGGCACGCAGGGAGAAGTGGGGCTCAGAGGTCACCGAGAAGCCCTCCGCAAACCCACTCAATCTGTACTTTTTGTTTTGTTTGGCTTTTTTTTTTTTTGAGACAAAGTCTTGCTGTCTCGCCCAGACTGGAGTGCAGTGGCACAATCTCAGCTCACTGAAACCTACACCTCCCGGGTTCAAGTGATTCTCCTGTCTCAGCCTCCCAAGTAGCTGGAAGTACAGGCATGTGCCACAACACCCAGCTAATTTGTTGTATTTTTAGTAGAGATGGGGTTTCACCATGTTGGCCAGCCTGGTCTCAAACCCCTGACCTCAAGTGATCCACTCGCCTTGCCCCCACAGAGTGTTGGGATTACAGGCATAAGTCACTGTGCCTGGCCCAATCTGTAAATTTCTTAACAGTCTTCGTGGGTCAGGCAGCAATGTTTGAGTGTAAAAGGTATAGGCCAGGCACAGTGGCTCATGCCTGTAATCCCAGCTCTTTGGGAGGCTAAGACAGGCAGATCACTTGAGGTCAGGAGTTTGAGACCGGCCTGGCCAACATGGCAAAACCCCATCTCTACTAAAAATACAAAAATTAGCTGGGTGTGATGGTGCATGCCTGTAGTCCCAGCTACTCGGGAGGCCGAGGCAGGGGAATTGCTTGAACCCAGGAGGCGGAGGTTGCAGTGAGCCAATATCGTGCCACTGCACTTCAGCCTGGATGACAGAGTGAGACTCCATCTCAAAAAAAAAAAAAAAAATCATTTTGGGAGGCCGAGGTGGGCAGATCACCTGAGGTCAGGAGTTCGAGACCACCCTGGCCAACATGGCAAAACCCTGTCTCTACTAAAAATACAAAAGTTAGCCAGTGTGGTGGCGGGCACCTGTAATCCCAACTACTTAGGAGGCTGAGGCAGGAGAATCGCATGGGCCTGGGAGGCGGAGGCTGCAGTGAGCCAAGATCACACCGTTGCACTCCAGCCTGGGAGACAAAGCAAAACTCTGTCTCAAAAAAAAAAGATATGTCTGGTGAGGAACGGATGCACCAGGATGTACAGACTGTACATAACCTATAATATGAAAATTAGAGGCACATAAAATGGCTGCTTAATGACAGAGACAATACTCATGGAATTAATTAATTAATATTCAGGTACTCTGAACAAATACATTGAGTCCTTACTGTATATCAGGTTCTATAAGGATGCCATGCATGCATTATTCACTTATTTGGTCCTTTCAAAAACTCACTGAAGTAGGTACAAGAATTTTCAACCCCATTTTACTGACAAGGAAACGGCCACAGTTAAGTAACTTCATCATGTTATCTAGTTAAGTACAGGAGTCGGTAAAGAATCAGACAATCTAAATCAAAGCCTGCACTCACCACGCATGCATAACACCGTATTTATAAGCCCCATGTGACATGGCAATGAGAAATGGAGAATCAGGGTGTATGTCCTGATAAGGCAACTGAGCCTCAAATCTGCAGCCTATTTTTCCAGGGAAGAAGAGCCTGTGAGTTAATCATCATAATAAACCTTTTCCAAAAGGAGCTCTATATACTATATAAGAATGCCCTATCTTTCACTTTCAAGAGGTCTCCATGGAAATGAACAAAATCAAATGTGACCTGGAGCCAGTTCTCTGCAATCTGTTTAGTTTTACACATACCCCTAATCTGGGACTTCGGCCACGTCACCATGGCCATTTTTTAGACACAAAATGAAGAAAAGGCACTTAGGAGTAATCACAGAAGTCACTCCTAGAGGAAGCTGAGCTTGCAAGCTGAAGGACAGTATATTTAGCTTAAATATGATGACTGGAAAGTCTAGGATACTATATTTGGGCAAACTGTTGATTTGGGGTTTGGTGAAGTTCTGGTTTTGGCAGCAGCGCCCTTCTCCTGCCCTACCCCCACCTCAGGCCACGTGGGCTCAGCTATAGAGCACAGCTCTCGCACAAGCAAAACCTGCAGACTTGGCCTCCCCGGGGTTCTGGGGAGCAGAGAAATTCCTTCAGGGATTGACAGGGTGAGAAACTACTTGCAATCAGCAAGTAGCCAAACCGGATGCCAGAAGAGAAGGAGCCCGGGAGCACCAGGTGGGAGCAGGCCCAAAAGCCCCCCACGTCCAGTCCCATAAGGAGTACCTCACCACTCTGGCCATCCTGAACTGTAACCACTGGTTTTCCTATCTGTCTTCCCCATTAGACTGAGCAGGGAGTGTATCTTGATAATCTCAGAGCAGCTGCTCAATAACTGTGGAATGAACTGAAGAGTTCTGGAGATTGGTTGCACAATGTGGATGTGCTTAACACTACTTAACGGCACACTTAAAAATGGTTAAGATGGCAGATTTAATGTTACATGTATTTTACATAATTTTTAAGAAAACACAATAGTGACACTATTACAGCAAACAAAAGGTAATAGCACTTGGATCCTTCTAACACTCACTGTATGAAATCTGGTAGCGTGTAGGTGGAGTAATTTGAGTTTAGGAAGTATGGGAGGGTTAATTAGGTGACCTCCCATACACCCTGTTAATGGTGAATCATGATTTGCTGCAACAAAAAGTCACAGAGCAATGGCAAATACGATCCCTCTATTAGGCTTTTCCATGTGTCCTAAAGAAGGAAGATTCAGAAAAATGTGTCAGTGGCTAGAGATGTGGCCCCAAACCCAACCACGAAATCACACACCATTAATTCCAACAAATATTTTTCCTCACACCCTTCTAGCCTCAGACCTTGGAGCTGGCACTCTTATTTATTAACAGAGAGAGAGAGAAATGGAAAGCTGTTCAAGAACCTGTGCCTTCCTTATAGGACAAGAAGATGGCATTTCACAAAGTGGGATCTGTGGAATGTTACTATACACTACTTGGAAAGAGATGATCACAGACTTGAGAAATGGTGGATGGTACTTTAGTAAGTTTATATGCTCTGTGAATCTCCAAGAAAGGGGGCATGGTAGAAAGAGTTCTGCACACTTCTCTGGCCCAGAACCCCCAGCCCCCACTGTCATCCCCAGGGGTTTCAACAGCTTGGACTCCACATCAGGAAAGATCAGTGTAACAGACGCGACGGATTACTTGGAATATCCTGAGTTCAGATCCTGGCTCACCAATTTACTAGCTGTATCATCTAGGGCGAGTGACTTGAATTATCTTGGCCTCCATCTCCTTCTCTTTAAAATAGAGTAAAGGACTCAGGCTGTGAAGTCAGACACACGGACCTTGAATTGTGGCTCTGGCATTGATGAGCAACGAGAGTCCTTAGTCTTTCTAAACTTCAGTTCACTCATCTGTAAAAAGGGAGGCACCACAGTATCTGCCACACAGGCTGATTGTGGGGGCTGAATGACAGAATACAGGTAGAGTGCTTTTTACAAGACTGAGCACAAAGCAGGTAGTAAATACAGAAGACACGCTTGTTATCTTTGATTCTATAAACTGTGAAGTGCTCTATAAATGCTACCTATTCTTTAAGGCCCAAGTCAAGTCCCATTCTTCATGAAGATTCCCTGATTGCTAGAACCTAAACACTCTCTCACCTCTGGGCTTACCCCATTTTTAAACTATGTTCACAACAAATGTATCTGCACTGAATCATATGCCAATATGTGGTATTATATCCTACATTACTATCTAGTGGTTCAGACATAATTCTTATCTCAAGTTTTTTTTTCCCCCAAAACAGAATTGTGGGAAGTTAACTGAATTTAAAAGCAATACACACCTACTGTAAGAAAATTTTAACAAAGAAACATATAGGCCGGGTGCGGTGGCTCATGCCTGTAATCCTAACACTTTGGGAAGCCGAGGCAGGTGGATCACCTGAGGTCAGGAGTTCCAGACCAGCCTGGCCAATGTGGTGAAACCCCGTCTCTATTAAAAATACAAAAAAATTAGCTGGGTGTGGTGGTGGGCGCCTGTAATCCCAGCTACTTCGGGAGGCTGAGGCAGGAGAATGACTTGAACCTGGGAGGCGAAGGAGGTTGCAGTGAGCCGAGATCATGCCATTGCACTCCAGCCTGAGTGACAAGAGCGAAACTGTCTCAAATAAAAAAAAAAAAAGAGAGAGAGAGAAACATATAAAGTTGAAAGCTGAAGTCTTCCATAAACTATCTCCTAGAGAGATACCAATGTTGACAGTCTGCTGTGTATGATCTTTCCAGGTGTTGCCTGTGCATATATAAACATAAAGTTTCTTTAATTAAAATAGGCTCATCCTATACATACTAATTTGTAATCTATTTTTTTTGTCAGATATCAGTCCATGTCAACACAGAAAGATTGATCTCATCCTCTTTTAAACAGCTAGAGTATTCCATTGTATGGCTATACCACAATTTACCTAATCTGTTCATTGTAGGTGGATATTTGGGTTATTTCAAACGAAGTCTGCCGTTAGAGCAGGAGCTGTGTCCTGTGTCCCGTGTGTTTTGGCATCTCCATGGAGTTCACACTGTCGTATGAACTCTAACAACATTTGCTCTGAGTCACAGAGGATTACTGGCTCACAGTTTATCAAATATAACTCTCAATAACCAGCACTGCTGGGTCAAGCCAGAATAATGGGCAATATTCATAATACTGGCCCTGAGCTATCACTCTCAGATCAAAATACAAGCTGTTCAATATCGTTTTGATGCTGGCTCCTTGCCTATATTAAAATTAATTAATGACCCAGCAATTCCACCCCCAAGGTATATATCCAAGACAACTGAACACGACATCCACACAAAAACTTGCACACGCGTGTTCAGAGCAGCATTATTCATAATCGCCAAAAGAGACAAACGTCCATCAACTGATGAATGCATAAACAAAATGCACTTCGCAGTACAATAAAATGATTCAGTCATAAAAAGAAATGAAATACTGATACATGCTACAGCATAGATGAACCCTGAAAACATGCTACGTGAAAGAAGCCAGGTACAAAAAACCACATATGGTATGATCCCATGTATATTAAATGCCCATTTGCGAGTCCAGAGACACAAAGTAGAGAGTTGTTGCTGGGGTGGAGATGCAAGTGGATATTAAGGTGGGATGGGGAGCAATGGGAAATGAATGCGAACAGTTTTTTGTTCGTCTGTTTGTTTTGTAGAGACGGAGCCTCGCTCTGTCACCCAGGCTGAAGTGCAGTGGCGCAATCTTGGCTCACTGCAACTTCTGCCTCCCAGACTCAAATGATTCTCCTGCCTCAGCCTCCCAAGTAGCTGGTACTACAGGTATATGCCGCCATGCCTGGCTAATTTCTTTTATACTTTAGTAGAGATGGAGTTTCTTTTTCTTTTTTTTTTTTTTTTGAGACGGAGTCTCGCTCTGTCGCCCAGGCTGGAGTGCAGTGGCGGAATCTGGGCTCACTGCAAGCTCCGCCTCCCGGGTTCACACCATTCTCCTGTCTCAGCCTCCCGAGTAGCTGGGACTACAGGCGCCCACCACCACGCCCGGCTAATTTTTTTTTTTGTACTTTTAGTAGAGATGGGGTTTCACCATGTTAGCCAGGATGGTCTCATCTCCTGACCTCGTGATCCACCCGCCTCGGCCTCCCAAAGTGCTGGGATTACAGGCGTGTGCCACCACGCCTGGTCCTAGAGACGGAGTTTCACTGTTTTGCCCAGGCTGGTCTCGAACTCCCAAGCTCAGGCAATCCACCCGCCTTGGCCTCCCAAAGTGCTAGGATTACAGGCGTGAGCCACCAGGCCAGCCAAACAGGTTTCTTTTGAAGATGATGGAAATGTTTTGAAATTAGATAATGGCGATGTTGTAAAGCATGGTGAATACACTAAAAATCACTGTATCATACACTTTAAAAATCACTGTATCATACACTTTAAAATGGTAAATTTCATGGTACATGAATTCTATCTCAATTTAAAAATGCAAAAAAAAAAACTTTAAAAAGGGATTATCAACTGGTAATTCCACTTTACCACTCATGTATTGAAAATATATGAGATCCGACAGAATGTCAAGTGCTGTGCTGGGTACTACAGATACTATGGTAAGCAATGCCTCCTGCCCTCAAAGAATGCACAGCGAGGTTATGGAGTATGACGGGCTGCACATGATAAACTTGGGGGTCATCAGAACCATGATAAGGGAAGCACAGGGAGAAAGGAGGGCTTTCCAGAAAAAGTGGGCTGCAGTTTGAGGAATGAGGAACAGCTGGCCAAGTGAAAATAGGAAGCATGTCCCGAGTAACTTGTATGAGGTGCCAGAGGCAACAGAAACGTCACAGAGGAGCTGAAATATAATCAATAGGAGAGAGCCCCATGATCCAAATGTGCCCAACAGAGTAACTTTAAAACTCCAACATGTATTTTGCC
The DNA here is from genome assembly GCF_000001405.40 of Homo sapiens. Classification (NCBI taxonomy): domain Eukaryota; kingdom Metazoa; phylum Chordata; class Mammalia; order Primates; family Hominidae; genus Homo; species Homo sapiens. Next base: position 52,562,527 of record NC_000006.12, read on the forward strand.
TCCTGTTACATACCAGGCACTTGCTAGATGCTGAGAATTTTTTTAAATTATACTTTAAGTTCTAGGGTACATGTGCAGAACGTGCAGTTTTGTTACATAGGTGTACACATGCCATGGTGGTTTGCTGCACCCATCAACCTGTCACCTACATTAGGTATTTCTCCTAATGTTATCCCTCCCTTAGCCCCCCACCCCACCACAGGCCCTGGTGTATGATGTTCCCCTCCCTATGTCAACGTGTTCTCATTGTTCAACTCCAACTTATGAGAACATGTGGTGTTTGGTTTTGTGATGCTGAGAATTTAGCAGGGAGCAAGATCAATGAAGGCACTGGTAGAACTTTTAGTATGTAACCATACATTTTCATGGGTATACAGTAAACAGTCTATGGCTAATTGATTCACTGACCTGGACGTGGTATTTTAAAAGGACCAGTACAATTTGTCAATATCTATCAAAAATACAAATGCAGTTAACGCTTTGACCTTATCATCCCACTTCTGGGAAAATATCCAACAAGATATGCCTGTATACGTACAAAATGACATATGTGCCAAGATATTCACTGCTGCATTGTTTATAAGAGCAAAACACTGGAAATGACCCAAGTGTCCATCAAAAGGGGACTGGTTAAATGAATTAAGGTGACCCTGCACAATGGAAGACTGTGCAACCTTCCATATAAATGAGGAAATTCTCTGTGTACTGACATGGAAAGATCCCCCAGATATTCTGTTAACTGAAAAGGCAAGGTGCAAAAGTATAAATAATACACTTCATTTTGTATAGGAAAGGAAACAGACAGATAGACAGACAGATATAAGGATGTATCTTATTTATAGCTTCTTGTATTTGCTTAAATAAACCCAACAAGACAAATACATAAAAGCCAATAAAAAGTGGTTACTTGGGGCCGGGCGTGGTGGCTCACATCTGTAACCCCAGGACTTTGGGAGACTGAGGTGGGCGGATCACGAGGTCAGGAGATCGAGACCATCCTGGCTAACACGGTGAAACCCCGTCTCTACTAAAAATACAAAAAATTAGCCAGGCGTGGTGGTTGGCGCCTCTAGTCCCAGCTACTCAGGAGGCTGAGGCAGGAGAATGGCGTGAACCCAGGAGGCAGAGCTTGCACTCCAGCCTGGGGGACAGAGCGAGACTCAGCCTCAAAAAAAAAAAAAAAAAAAAAAAGTGGTTACTTGGGGACAGGGGAGCTAGATGAGAACAGGTGGGGAGGGACAGTTCTCAATGAATTCCTTTTTTATGTTTTTTATTTTTGAGTCATGTGAATGTATCACCTAATGGTACCTAATCAAAAACACTTATTTTTTTTTTTTTTGCCACATGAATGTATCTCCTAATGGTACCTATTCCAAAAAAAAAAAATTTAAGCTTTAAAAGGCTAAGATTATAGGCTCTCTTATCTGCATGCACATGCTAAAGTAGCCAGCATTCCTAATGTGCTCAAAAGCATCTCTTACTGGTTACCCGAGAACCCAAAAGAGACAGCAGGGATAGAAAAGCTTCAAATGACCACCAGCAGCAGAAAGGCAACTCACACACACACCATCCTGTGTGTGCATGGGACCATACCTGACAAACTCATACTGACTACGTGGTAGGTACAGAGGTGCTAGGGATACTGAGAAAATGTGAAACACCTCTTTCCTTGGGTCATGGAGGGATGGCTCACAGCAAGTGCAAGGAGCCATGCCCAGCCCTACTGCCAGTGACCTTGCTAGTACAAATTGGAGTCACTCTCACACTGAAAAATCTTCAATGGCTCCCTATTACCTAAGCTGAGGACCAAACCCCAATTTTTAAACACCTCCATGGCCAGAACCCTGCCTGCCAGTCCGGTGTCACCTTTCACCACTTCAACCCTTAACCAGCCCCTACCCAGCCCACTCTGGCAATACAGAGACACTTGCCATATTCCCCCTGCGCCCAAGCCTTCTCTCTGCCTGGAACTCCCTCTCCCCAGCACATCTGCCTGCCCCATGCCCCTTGAGCCTCAAGGAACAGCCCAAACATCTCCTTTTTAAAATGAACAGTCCCTACCCTTCCCAGAGGGTTTATGCTCTCTTCCCTGACACACACACTGTACCCACCACACACAAGAGCAGCAGTGACACCACCACTCCCTAAGGACTCTCAACTCAATGGAAGCAGAATCTACACCTCTTCATCCTTTATCCCTAGCCCCAAGAACAGGGCTTGGCAGAGAGCAAATGCTTGGTCCAAGTCTGGCTGAATGAATAAACAAGAGAAAGACAGAGGTGGGGAGAAAGGAAGAATTAACCCTCTCAGGGCAGAGGGGCTGGAAAGCGCGTTCTGAGCAGGTGGTGCTTTTGCCATATTTGAGGTGGGCCTCAAAAAAGAAATAGCAGTTATAGGATGAAATGGAGAATGAGATGACTTGGAGTGCAGGGTGCATGAAAAAAAGCAGAGAAGCATGAAGGAGGAGGGAATGTTCAGGGAACACAGGTAGGTTGGTCTGCAATGAGGGTCAGGGCAGGGACGAGGCCTGAGGGAGGTGCAGAGTCCAGGACAAAGGCTGATCAGATTGTGGGGAAGCTTTGAAGCCAAGCTAATTGCTCAGCCTTTAGGCGGGCATCTTGGAAGGAGTCTAAGTAGGGAGACCCATGTTCAGCTCTGTGTTTGAAGACAATCTGTGACAGCTATGAGGAGAAAGGATCAGAAAAGATGAGAGTGTGGGGTCCAAGTTAGGACCAACCATGGCCATTTAGGTGAGGAATATCAAATGCCCAAGCTAAAACAAAAGATCATTAGGGCGAGAGGAGACCTGGGGGCAATTCAGGAGGTAAAACCACTGGACTCAGTGAACAGACACTGGGGGCAAGGCAGGGGAGGGCAAGTGACGGCTGCGGGCTTCGGTTCCGGTATAAACACTTGTTGAATTTCCCTCTCCTAGAGACCATGCAAACTACAGTCATGCATGGGGATGGTGGTATGGGAGCTAATACAATTGTGGTGTCACCAACAGGCCTTGGTAAGAAGACCCCTAGATACTAAACTAATCTGCTAGAAATCAGACAAAGGGAAAATCTCACTGCATCTATTTCTAGGGGGTCTGGCAAAAGTTTAGAGATGAACAGCACACAATGGATCCACCAGTCCTCTTCATGTTATCACATGCACTTCAAAAAATTACTTACTGACACCTTCATCAGGAACTTCCAGGTGCAAACTATAGGTAGATCTCAGTACATAGCGAGTGCTAAGTAACTTTTCTGAATAAATGTTACATACAGGCTGTGCCTACTTCTTCTGTCCACTGAACACGCCACGTCCCTCCCAACCTCCACTATCTCTGGAAAAGCCTCCACAAAGGAAGTTCCCACCCTCTGTGCCTCCACTGAACACTGGAACAAAACCAGTTTCCTTAGGTAAGTCCACGGTATTTGCATGCAAGCATCATTATGGCTTATTTAGCTAACAAAACAAAAGATAGAGGGAAAAGATGTTCTAACTGACTGGGTCCCTACCTTTTAAGAAATTAGAAGTTACATGAGATGCAAACAAATACCTTTTTATTATAATAAGTCCATAGGACACTTCAGTGATAAAGCCATACGAAGGCAATGCAAGAAGGTGAAACGGAATGATATGCACGTTCAGGAGCACCACTGGCATCACTGCACACGTCAGGGTTATAAGAAGGTCTAGAGAAAAGCCCTTTCTCTCTCCCAACTTTCACTGTCCTTGCCCGCCCCACCACTGTCCTGCTGCTTGCCTGTGTCACATGAAACATATGAGAAAGAGAGCTGAGAATGGCCTTGCAGTTTCTGAAGTCTCTGAATCAACACCAGAGACAGTTCAGCTGCTTTGGGGGCTTGCTTCCTGGTTGGGGGTTGAGACTGAAATTTCCCCAGGTGGAAGTCCTAACCTGGACCAGTGCCCCAGCCTCCTAACCAGACTTCCTGTCTCTAATCTCTCATCTCATCCCCTAAACCACTCTAGTAGTCTCCAGAGCAACCTCATCACACTGCTGTCTTTCCTAACAGTCTTTAAAGGCTCCCATTACCTCCAGGACAGTCTCAACTCCACGGCAGGACCTAAGGGGCCCTGGGTGATCTGGCCCCACCTCCACCCTTGTCCCCACTGCATCCCACCTCCAGAGCATCCTATGACACCAGTGTGCTGAGTGTCCAATGCTTCACACCAGCTCATCTGTCTACAAAGGACGGACTATTCTATTGCCCTCCCATATCTCCTTCTTTCTCTGGCCTTATCTAGCATCCATCTATCCCTATTCTGAGCTAGGAGACCCCCCTCCATGTTCCCAAAGCATCCCCTCTAGTACACTACACTTACTGAGTGAGCACCACTGTGTGTGCTAGACCAGAAGACCCATATGGCAGCTCAACTGGGGTAGTCATCATCAAGTGACTGTACTTGCCTCCTTTTATCTATCTCCCTTATGAGATGGTAAATTCCTTGTGATTAAGCAATGTGTCCTTTTTCTCTGTGTTCCCAGCATCTAGAATGATGGTTCACACAAAAGCACTGCTTAATCAACATTTGCAGAACAAGGGGCAAGAGGTCAAAACCAGCTCAGTTCAGACTCACGTCCCTTAGGCCATGTGAGCAGCAACCCAACTGGTAGGGCTGAGAAACCAACAACATTGGTCAAGTTACACTTAGCTATGACACAGCTGCAGGCTAAAGGCGTGGTAAGTGGTCAGTGAAAATCTGGCGAGGCCATAGTTGTCATGCCTGAAGTTATCTGGACCCAGGAAATGCAGGGAAGAGTAGCTGAGAAGTGTCACATTCTCTTCTTTCTGAAGCTCCAAAAATGAGCACAGTAGAGAGAGTTGTATCAACAAATATGTTAGCTGGCTTGAATTTCAATTTCAGCGTTTTGTACAGAGTAGGTGTATGTGCTGAATGATTATAAATAAAATAAAACTCAATGGCCAAATGGTTGAATAGTGTTGAATGTAGATATTTCCCAGGCTGGGCAAAGAATGACAGAAATGTTTCTTTTACATTTCTTGGGTAATAAAATGTACTATGCAGCAGACCAACTTTGCTTTTTACTTCAGCGCTATAAAACTGTAGCTTTCCAGAAATTTCTGCGGATGAATCAGTCTGGATAGCCAAATTCTCCATATTGCCACAGATTTAGTTTTGAAACTTCAACATTGTTCATTATGGATGGCAATCTTAAAGTCTCAAAGCCAAACCCAGATTCCTTTCCAATATACAGATTTTCTCCTTCTCCACCATGGGTTCTGCTAAGACATATTTCATGCCAACCCCAAATTTGTGCTAGAATCTGGTTTCAACTCAAATAATAAATGAAACCAAGATTAGAAGTGAGCCCACTAACCTAATGGAGCACAATGTTTGCCTAGCTACTACTCCTAAATCTATAGGATTGGGGAAAGGTGCCTCTCTCCTTCTCCTCCCAATTTCTGACTCGCAATTTGAGTTTTATACACATTTTCCAGTCCTGTTCTACATGTCCATGTTAAGAAGGCACAACCAGGCCGCCGGACATTTGACACATCCATGAAGCAGGTGAGCCCCAGAGAGGTGAAGGGCCTTGCATGGGCCACAAGGCTATTTAATGGAAGAATCCAGGCCCCTGTCCTCGCCCCTTTCACTGCACGCTTCCCTGCTGCAGGCCCTCCATTGGCACCAGCCATAATTCATTCCTCAAGAACCCTGAAAGAAGGGCACACGTTCCAGCCATCATAACCAAACCAGAACCCTGCTATTCTTTTAAAAAATCAACTACCACCTGTTCCTTTCTACTTCAACATTCCTCCTCCAGTCACAAAATCCATACAAACAAGTTATTCCTTGCCTGTTGAGGTCACAAGTTGATCAAGTACAAAGTTGGACTACAAACTAAAAACACAGTCTCAACTCCAAAACCATGGGTCTGAAAAGTTCCAATTCTGCTCTAAGTTCTGAGGAATTCTTCTCAGCCGGAAACCAGGCATTGTGAGGCTCGCCCTGTGATTTCCTGCAGGACTCCAGGAATTGCTGGAGGGAAAGCCTGTTCATCCTGGGATTGCTCCTCCAGGTCAGGAGCTCCCAGACTGCTCTTAACCTTCATGAAAGGAGCTGATAAATAATTATGTAAATTCTGTCTCTATCCTTTGTCTTGAGGTAGGTACGTCCTTCTCCCTCTCCAATAGCCACAGACGTCTTCATAACAGTGCTGGGCCCCTCAACAGCCTCTTTTTAAAAGTCTCTATAAAAAGAAAAATTAAATACCCTCTAAGACAGAATATCTACACTTATATAATAAAGATGAAGGAACAAACTGATTAAACTAACAATACTCTGTCCCTGCAAAATTCAGGGGCTTTATTAAGAAGTCCTCTTTCCATTTCAAAGGCAGGGCAACTGAGGCTCAGACAGCTCTGTCCTTCCCACCAGAGGTACAATCATCAGCTCCACCAACCCAAAAAAGACATTAGAGATCATGTTTGGGTTTGATGTTTAAAGTCTTAAGAAACCATATGGAAGAGTTCTCCTAACTCCAGCCAGGGTTTCAATCAATACAGGCCAGCACCTTGATCTTCAGAACTATGAGAAATAAATGCAGGGCCAGGCACGGTGGCTCATGCCTGTAATCCCAACACTTTGGGAGGCCAAGGCAGGCAGATCACCTGAGGTCAGGAGTTCGAGACCAGCCTGGCCAAAATAGTGAAACCCCATCTCCACAAAAATACAAAAATTAGGCATAGTGGCAGGCACCTGTAGTCCCAGCCACTTGGGAGGCTGAAGTGGGAGAATCGCTTGAACCCGGGAAGTGGAGGTTGCAGCAAGCCAAGATTGCACCACTGTACTCCAGCCTGGGCGACAAAGCAAGACTCCATTTAAAAAAAAAAAAAAAAAAAGAAAGAAATGCAGGTTGTTTAAACCACCAAATCTATGGCATTTTTGTCATAGCAGCCCAAACAGACTGCCTTTATGCAATAACGTATGTATAAGGGTACAAACTGTGCCTCACAAGGTATCTAAAAGTGACCACCACTCTTCTGCTTGAATACTAACCACACTACACCCAGGGCATTAGTTCTTAATTTAATAAACCACCCTTTCCATCAACAGCAATGGCTCGAGGTTGAGGCCCAATAGTTTGAGGACACACCTGCCACTCACATCAAGTTTAAGACCTGACTCCTATCCACAAATAATCTATCAGCTTTAAGCTACCATACTAAGACCTCTTTGAGAAGAGGGACCCCACCTATTCATCTCTGCATTCCCAGAGCTCAGCACAGGCCCAGAACAGGCACTTAAGCACTCAATAAAAAGCTGCCAAATAAATGAGCAAAGCACTCAATTTCAAGACTTCTACACAAATATTGGCATTCAAATATTGGAATTCAAATTCACTAGAATTCCAGTGGGCAGAGCTGTAGAAGACCACCAGAGATGAGTCAGAAGACTTGGATTCTAGCCCCCGTTTTGCCAAAAATTCACTCTACTATCCTGGGCAAATCTCCCAGCCAATGAGGGTCTTATTTTGTTTTTCTGTAAACACAGTAGAAGACTTCTTAGGTTTCCCTCTAAGATCTTAAACTTATAAAATACAAAGCAAAGATGTGCCCTTGAGCTACAGCTACAATGTTAACTTGATGATAAGGGCAGTAAAAATATAACAGCCAGAGTCATCTTTTCTTACACAGATGCTAGGTAGCAGCAGGCAGTAACTTTACTAGCAGGTAAAGCTCCTGTGTGTTTGCTTATGTTCACACGTTTGGGTCACTCCCTGTAGTCTCTTTCAGGGAGATGCAAATTTCAATAATTGTTCCAGGCAGAAAAGCCTCCAAGTGGAACAAAGACCTACAGACATTACTTCCAGGTAATAAACAGATTCCACTCAGACAAAGAAAAATAAAGCAGCCGGTGGCTACATTCCACAGACACCCCATTTGTGGAAGCATTGGGGCTGAGCTCTAAATGTGAGCCAGACGTTGCTGAGTTCTTATTTTGGCTCCGACTCTAACTTGGAGTGGATGGTCCTTGGCCAAGTCTGTGCTCTAGAAGCCAGGCTCTGGATGAGTATGGCAACCCCCATAAACCATCCCGATTACAGGGTGAGGCGAGTGAAGCATTTCACAGATGTAAAGTGCTGCCAGCCCCTCCAGACAAATGAGGAAAGCCGTCACGAGGCAACGTGGCTTGGTGGAGAGCCACAGAGCAGCCCCTCTCCTAACCTTGGGCTCCTACAAACTCACCAGAGGCCTCAGAGATCTGCCCCAATCCTCCCTGCCCACCACCCCCCCCCCCACACGCACACACACTCTGCCTCCATTTCCCCTGCTGAAAAGCAAGGACTTTTTGCAAGAGTTACTTGCAAAGCTCTTTAAACCACACAGTTAACTCACAATGTTAACCAGCTGCGACCAAGTTAGGTGTCGTTCTCCTCTACTATGGGACATCTGAGACAGTAGAGGTATACCAAGTCTAAGTAATAGAATGTATAAAAGATAAAGGTCTGTTTGTGAGATAAGAAGGGCTGTTCAGGAACCATGTTAGTACTTTTACTGTTTCCCCCCCACCCCTTTCTTTAACCATTAGGTACCAATGGATACCAGATACACAGAGCTGGATAAAAAGGTTAAGAGATACTATCAGTAAAGTTTCCCACCAAAGCCTGCTAATAGCGCTCTCGCTGATTAGAAAGCACTTCTGTCATTTGGGAACTCTAATCCGCTCTTATCAACCCTCTGGCTTTGCCATTTATAAGGGTAGGAATGAGAGGTACATCAGCTATGCCACAGAGTGATTTCTGGGGCCCCTGCCCATGAAGAAGCAGATCAAAAAGGAGCTCATGCCTGCCAGAGTGAAGCTTTCACCATAGCAACACATGTTATTCTACAAACAGTCGGGACTAAGGCACTCTGTTGTGACCGGTCCGGACAGCGCCCTCGAGAAACGAGTGACTGAGGGTTCAGACAACAGAGCAGGCAAGAGAAAAGTGATACCTATTTAACTTGCAGGGCAGTCTCCCTGTGGTTTTTACTTCTCCACAAAGTAAATAGTGGCAGCCCTAAGACCCTCCAGTACCCACGGACTGTGTTCTAATAAGATAGATGTCAAAGAGAAAACAGGTGTTCTCCATGGAGCAGCTGCACCACCAGGCTCCCTGGGGAAAAGAAGTTCTGGGGTAGAGAGATTGGTCTGTTTGGAGATTAGATGGCTAGCAGTGGAGAACTTGGGGGAAAAGTCTCCATCTCAAAACATATCATCTCTAAAATGAAATACAGCCAAGATGCTCAATGAGCCACCTGAGGATGAAACGTGGACTCCCAGACCCACCAATGAAGTCAGTACCAATAGTCATCCGTGTACTTGTTGAGACCATTAAGTGCCCATGTGCCAGGTACAGTGCTGGGTATTTTTACACATATTAGCCTTCACTGGGTAGTTAGGGTTAAAATGTCATTAACCAATCAATGTCACTCTTCTGGATATCACATTTGTGCCAAGGAAAGAAACAGGAAAAATCAGTATGCCCTTACATCCCATAGGATAGGATTACACTTGAGGCTTGACCAGTAGAAAATCTAGCTCCAAATTTCTGCTCTGTTGCTCATATCATGGAGACATCTGTACAGAAATCCAACCACAGAACAAGAGCGCTCAAGAGAGTACGTGACCCTCCTTGGTTTCCTCTGTCTAACTTCTCTAGAACACCATGGATAGAGTAAGTAAAAGGCTAAAAGGGAGATGCATAAAGTTAGGAACTAGAAAAGCTGGCAAAGGAACTTCTTCGAAAGTGCATTAGAAGTTAGTCAAAGAGGCCAGGCGCAGTGGCTCAGGCCTATAATCCTAGCACTTTGGGAGGCCAAGGTGGGCGGATCACCTGAAGTCAGGAGTTCAAGACCAGCCTAGCCAACATGGTGAAACCCCGTCTCTACTAAAAATACAAAAATTAGCAGGGTGTGTGGCATGTGCCTGTAATCTCAGCTACCTGGAAGGCTAAGGCAAGAGAATCGCTGGAACCTGGGAGGCGGAGGCTGCAGTGAGCTGAGATTGCACCACTGCACTCCAGCCTGTGTGACAGAGCGAGACTCCTTCTCAAGTTGATCCGTGTCCACAGATGTATTATGTGTGCCATTTGCACACGTCTTTCTATGAACACAATAGAAGCAGGATTGTTTTATGATGCTGCTAACATTCACAGACAGGACCCGCAGCCACATTTCAGGTTATGATGCCTACAGGTATGTCTGGGAGGATATGAACCAGTGCCATGGAAGCCATGTACTAGCAGGTGGTGACACAATGGGCTCCCATTGTATATGCTACAAACATTTCACCCTGACAAGTCAATCAGTGTCAGGAGCAGGGAAGAAGGTGGTTCCTGAAGAAAAGGTAAATCTGCCAAATCTGCCTCTAAAACAATCAAAAAGCAAAAACCAGCCATCACCAAGAACTCCTCTGGGTCCCTCAACCTTTAAGTCATCACAGACCAAAAAGAAACCAAACCTACAAATGATAGGCTCAGAATTGTGGAAACATTTCTTTGCAGCTTTAGAGCCTGTAAATGAGCTTAAAAAAAAAGTTTCAGTCCTGAACTGACATTTTAAAGGTAGTATATAAATTGCTTCCTCTCTCTTCGGTGCACCCCCTTTTTCCTCATTCTCCATTCGCTAATCAAAGACTTTTCCTCTTCCCCTGCCTGTTTCAATTTGAAACGTGGCACAGAACAGGACACTGGAAGGAGAAGGGAAGGTGGAGGGGGAGGAGGCTACTTTCAAATCTGATACACATACCCCCCAACCAGCTGTCCACACCCTGGTTGATGGTCAGGCCAGACTCCACCTAAGACAGGACTGAAGGACCAAAGAGTTGAGTAGAAAACTCCCCCTGTGCCACCTCTCCCAAAAGCAGACTTAACGGTGGAAAGGAAGGAGGGGGAAAATAAAGTTCCACATTCCTGACATTTTTTAGCCAAGTGCTGTGGCTGCACAGAGCAGCTTCTCTATTCCAAGCAGCCTGTAGGACTGGGAGAAAACCTGGGTTCAGGGGGGAAAAGCTGCCCCCTGCCTTCGAAACAGGATGGCTCAACACTAAACCAAAATTGGGGTAGCAATAGGGGTGAGTGGTGAGGGGAGAGACAGCCTTTCATATGTGTTCCCAAAAGGAAATTATCCCAAGGGAAAGAATTTAGAGTCATCATCTCCCTGGGGACAGAGAACTAAAGCCCTGGGGTCCCTAACGGGGAAACAGAAGCCCCCTGAATGCAGAAGAGGTGACCAGTGAGTGGGGGAAAGAGCAACGCAGGGATGCAATGCAGACACAAGGGCTGTGGCTGCCTGGCGCGTGGGCTGATGGGGGAGAGGGACCCAGCCCATTGGCAGAGGCACGACAGAGGTCCCCAGAAGGAGGAATGGCCAAGAGAGTCGCTCTTTGTGGGAAGAATTATAATTGAGTTTTCCTGGCTCAGCTTCCGAATGAAGGAATCCTAGCCAGGGCCAAGTCAGAACCCCAAAAGCCTATGTCCTCTCACCCCTTTCTCCCATTCCCCTTGCACCTCTTCCTGCCGTCACTTCTAGGAAAAGGGTGGTGAGTCCCCAGTTGCACCTACCATCGCACCATATGCATCCCTACATACCCACACATGCACACCACACACTTCCAGAGAGAAACCCAGAAGATCCTAAGTGATATCCAGCCAGTCCTGTGCTTGGTTATGAGGCGTCTCCCCAGGCTTTACTCTGAGTGTGAAGATGCCCACATTTGTTTCTCTGTGGTACCTACAGTATCCAGGACGCTTCTGCTCTCATTTGATAGAGGCAGCAGTTCCAAACTCCCCCTCCCCACCCCCAGGAATACTTATCTCTGTGGAGAGTTAGTTAGTCGGTGGGTAAAGACAGTGAGGCCCCCACCATGTGCCCAGCACAGAAGAACACAAGACCTTCTTACTGGAGGCTTAGGGCAAAGCCCTCTTTCTCCCAGAGAAGCACAGACTGATGATCTCACAAAGTACCTCCAAAAGAAGGAGACACCTGCCCTGTAGGTCCTGTAGGTTCAAGGTGCTATGGGAAGAAGTGATGGGCTTGGCAGGAAAAGGGGGCCTGTAGGCATTTCAACCAGGGGCCTTGCTACACTCCCCAATACAAGCCTAAGGGGGAGGAAGAGTAGTTTTGTTTGTTGTTTTTCTCGTCTTGGGCCTTTCTCTTTCACCAGATACTGGAAGTAACAGCTCTTAACACCTTTCAACTTTTAGAGTGGCAGGTTTAATGCACAGGACTTTCCATAAGACTAGAGACCCAGGGAAGGAGGTAGGTACCAAACTCAAATGCTGGCAGCCCTTTCTGAGCAAAGATAAAACAGGGAGGGCCACAAACCCTAACAAATGCTAGAAATATGACGGAGAGAGCCACAGGCTATGCGAGAAACTTCGTCGCTGCAGCCTGTGGCTTTGAGGTTTACAGCTGTCACGTGTATCTTTCCAGCCACACCCTCCAAGGCTGGGGACACGCACTTGGAGGCCTCTTAGAATGGAGGACAGCAAACAGACAGCAGAGAATGCGCTGGGCAAAGGAAATTCTGTTATTTTGTTAAGCTATTATTATGATAAATAATCACAGGGCTCCAGGCGCAAGAGACTTTTTCATGTTGGTAGGAGATGTTATGGCTTTTGTTGCTGATATGATCTCAGTTAAACCTTACAACCACCCTGTGACGAAGACCAGTTTTATGAACGTCTTTAATGATGGGGAAACTGAGGCTGCAGTCAGTTTTCAGTCAGACTAGTCACAGAACAGGGACTGAGACACACGGATATGACTCTGTGTGACACCACACACTTCCAGGGGAGAACCCAGAACAAGGTGGAGCAAGCCCGACCCAATATACCACTAGAGAGAGCTGTGAGAGGGAGAGGAAGGAGAGAGGGACTGAACTAAAGGAGCACTATCAAAAAGTGGAGTGGAGACCCCAGTCCTAGCACCACCGTTTATTTCCTACAGACCCTAAAGCTCAGCCACGGACACATTCATTCATCCAACCCTGACTTGGCCACCACAAGAACGTTCCCAGCTTGAGGGCAGCTTCGCCAGCCAATTAGGGCCCTTGTCATTCGTAGAGATACAGGGAACCCGAGACAGAGGGACAGGGAAGGAAATTTAGCCAGGCAAGCCATCCTCCATCTCCAAGGAAGTTTGTAAATGATCACAGCTTCCTAACCCAACCGTGAGAATGCAATAAGCAAGCTGACGCAGAAGGGAGGACAAGGAGTCTCAGGAACCAGAGGAGACCACGGTGAGAGTGAGGGGAATGTCGCTCACATATCTCACTTCTGAGACAAGATATACCGCAACAAACCCATGCCAAGCTTCCTCCAGTTCTTCCCACTTTTGAATATCACATTTTTCTTGCTCTGCAAGAGTAGGGAATCCTTCCCATCAGTCTTGTGAATTCTGACCCCTTGCTGGCTTTCTACAACTCCCTGCCTGGGAGGCCGACACCAGGACATTGCTGTTGGGGGTGGGATCCCCATCCTCTGCCCCCCACTCCTACACTATAAGAGAATCAACTTTCCCCAAAAAGTGGAGGGTATCCCTGTCTCTCTTCTTGTCTCTGTAAAGGGGGTGAAGCTCTGGGTCGCCGCAGATGGATCTAAAGGGACAGTTCACGGAGTGGTAAAGGATATCCAAAAATTGGCCTTCTAGAGCACAGCAAAAAAGTGGGAGCGAGACGAGAGCAGAAGGCCACTGCTGGGATGGGGCCAGGGCCACACGTGAACATCCGAGCACGTTCCAGAGCTGAGATGCAAAACACCCAGAAAATCACATAGGAAGTGGAAAAGGTTCTGGGTCTCTCCCACTGGAAAAGCCCAGAAGAGCTAGTGGCCACCCCTTGGGGCAAGAGGGGGTTGTGCAATGACTGCGGGTCTGGGAGTCTCTGGGCTTGGCTCCTGGACGCCAGAAAGGGAACCCCACGCGTCAAGCCATGGTGGCAGCGCGGCGGTTGGTTCGAGGCCAGGCTGGGGTTTCAGGGCTGCAGACAGAGCTGCAGGATACGATGAGTGCCCAAGGGGGCGGCAGAGCATGGCATGGCTGGCACGGCGCGGAGCTGGGGGTGCTGTCTGGGCTGGCCGGGGTACAGGCCGGAGGGGTACAGTGCACAAAGCCGGGGTGCAGATAACGTACACGGCAGCCAGGAGCCTCCGATCAGAGGAGGGCCCGCTGACCTGCAGGGGTGTGCCGGGCGGTGCACGACAGGGGGCACTGTCCCTCCAGCTCCCTCCTCCCCAGGCTCTCACCTCGAACATAAGCCCGATGAGGACGCAGAGCACCAGGCAGAAGCCGATGTCCGCATGGTTGTGGATGACGAACTCCTGGCTGAAGAGCGGGTAACTTTTCGTCCTCCTGCGGAAAGCCATGGCAGCGGGCGCGCAGCGGCCGGCGGGGCCCGCACCCTGCGCTCACGAACCGCAGCGCAAACTTCTCCAGCACCGGCCCGGTCCGCCCGCCGGCCCGCCGCCCGCTCTCCCACAGCCGCTCGCCCGCCCAGCGCGGAACAACTTCGGGGCCCGCCCCCTTCCTCCGCCCGCCCCCGGCCGCCCGTAACCGCCCCCGGCCGCAGCCCCCGCCCAGCCCCCGCCCAGCCCGCGGCCCGCACTCGGCGCGCCTGGCCCCGCCCCCCGCGGGCTTAACCCTCTAGCCGCTGGGCACGCGCGGGCTACCGGGGCGGAGGCGTACGGGGGCGGCGAGCGGGGCTCGGCTCCTCCTCGTCCCGCGCCAGCGCCGCGCCCGGCCGCATTCTCGGGGCCCGAGGCTCAGCCGCTCGCGGTGGAGAAAGCAGGCCGCGGAGGAGGCGGGCGCCCAGGCCTGCCCGGACAGGAAGTGGGCCCAGCTTTCCCACTCCTCGCTCCGCTCCTTCCTCCGCGGGAAGGGCAGGCCCCGGAGGCAGCGAGCGCCCCGGGGGTGGCCGGGCAGCCGGATGCTCCCGGGGTTGCGGGCTGTGGCCCCGGGGGCTGAGGGCGGCGCGGGTGCGGCGGAAGCAGGGAAGCCGCGAACCGGCCTTCTGGCTGGCCACAGCGCCCTGCACGGACGATCAGTGAATGGAGATTACTCAAGTATTTATCGAGAACTTGCAGTGGGCTAGGCACAGTTCAGGTAGATCAACAAACCGAAAGACCCTGCCCTAGGGGAGCTTTCGCTCCAATGCGGGGAGAGGGTGGATGATTGCAGTTTTGCCCAGTAATTTTTGGGACCCTCATGCCACCATTAATTAGCTACACACATTTCACCGAAAGTCTACCTTACATATTAATCAGAAGAAGTGGAAGAATAAACACAGAAGAAGCAAAAAAGGAAGGAACTTTCTCACTGAAAGTTTCTATTTAATATTAAGTCTTAAAAGTACTCCTGGAAGGACAAAAGGTGTTCTTAATAAATTATATTCGCAAATATTGGATTTAATCCTACCAGTAATGAAGCAGTCAGTTACTTTCTAGATGTGCAGAAATACGTAATGAACAAAAAAAACTAATTCCTATTCCATTTTTTATTAGGTCCACAGTTATTTCACTTCTAAATAAATATGGTTTTTTAAAAGTGGCACGCGGTGGAATGTAATTGAGACAGGATGGAGTTCCTAGAGAAATTTTACTTCCTCAATCTGCACTCCACCTTACTTAAAATACAGTCTTGGGTCTGTAATTCCCTTATCTGACTCTCAAGGAAATGACAAAGTAATGCCTAGATTGGACTAAACCTCATTTAACTTCAAGGCTGACCTTTCTCAAAGTTGAACCTTCGTCTTGTGAGGAACAGAAAGATCAAGAACTCTGAAGCACCTCGACTTTCCACCTGTGAAGATGTGTTCAAATTTGCAACGTGCGGCCACACCTATGAGGTTGAACTTTATACAATTGGTTTCTTTATAGGTTTAGATGGTTGAATTTAAGTTACCCCCACTGCTATTATTATTATTTTGAGACAGAGTCTTAACTCTGTTGCCCAGGCAGGAGTGCAGTGGCGAGATCTGGACTCACTGCAACCTCTGCCTCCTGGCTTCAAGCAATTCTCATGCTTCAGCCTGTAGCTGGAACTACAGGTATGTGCCACCACACCTGGCTAATTTTCGTATTTTTTAGTAGAGGTGGGGGTTTCACCATGTTGACCAGGCTGGTCTCGAACTCCTGACCGCAAGTGATCCGCCATTTTTTGAGACGGATTCTCTGTTGCCCAAGCTGGAGTGCAGTGACGCCATCTCGGCTCACTGGAACCTCCTCCTTCCAGGTTCAAGCAATTCTCCTGCCTCAGCCTCCTGAGTAGCTGAGATTACAGGTGCCCTCCACCCCCTGCTAATTTTTGTATTTTTAGTAGAGACAGGGTTTCACCATGTTGGCCAGGCTAGTGTTGAACTCCTGATCTTCAGTGATCCACCCGTCTTGGCCTCCCAAAGTGCTGAGATTACAGGCCACTGCACCCAGCCTTTTGCTACACATTTATACTAAACTATATTATGGGGCAGCACAGTAGGTTTGTTTACACCAGCATCACCAGAAACACGTGGTTAATGCATTGCGCTACAATGTTACAGTGGCTACGACATCACTATGTGATAGGAAATTTTCAGCTCCATTAAGATCTTATGAAACAACTGTTTTATATGTTGTTTGACCTGAATATCATTACGTGGCATATGGGTATATGTCCTCCAGTTTTTCAACATTCCTTCCTTCAAAAAGAGGCAATTCGTTCCCCCACCTTGAGTGTGGGCTGGACTTAGTGGCTCACTCCTAATAAATAGAAGGTAGCATAAGTGATGGTATGTGACTTCCAAGACTAGGCCAGAAGAGGCATTTGAGGGTTTCTGCTTTCTTTCTCTCAGGTCACTCCCTCTGGAGGAAACCAGCTGCCACTTTGTGAGGATACTCATAGTCCTGTGGAGGCATATCCTCCATATGGCTGAGACCTCCTGCGAACAACCATCACTGACTTGCCAGACATGAGTGTGCCACCTTGGAAGCAGATTTTCCAGCCCCAGTTAAGCCTTCAGATGACATCAGCCCCTGCTAATCTCTTGACTACAACCTCATGAGAGACCCTGAGCCAGAACTAGCCAGGTAAGCCACTCCTGAATTCCTGACCCACTGCACCTGGGAGAGAATAAATATTTGCTGTTTTAAACCACTAAATTTTATTGTAATTTGTTATACAGCAAGAGATAGCTAATACACACTGCTAAAGCTTACAATCTTTTAGAATTGACTGAGACATCATTACAATTCAGTGTGATGATGGTGACTCTAAGAACAACCTGAAATATGCACACTCTGAGTACAAGGAAAAGGTAACCTAATTCTCTCTGGGGTGTAAGGGAGGAGGTCATTTGGGCTGGGCCTTTACCTGACAAATGGTACTGACAGAGAATGCAGAAAAGGAGTGATAGATGAATTTGGAGAGTTAAGATAGAACTGGATTGTGGCAGGTTTTGTATGCTGTGATAAAGAATTGTGACTTTATTCTGCAAACAATGGGAAGGAATGGAAAGTTGGTGTTTTTTGTTTATTTGTTTTTGAGATGGAGTTTCCCTCTTGTTGCCCAGGCTGGAGTGCAATGGCACCATCTCAGCTCACTGCAACCTCCACCTCCCGGGTTCAAGAGATTCTCCTGCCTCAGTCTCCCAAGTAGCTGGGATTACAGGCATGTGCCACCATGCCCAACTAATTTTGTATTTTTAGTAGAGACAGGGTTTCTCCATGTTGGTCAGGCTTGTCTTGAACTCCCAACTTCAGGTGATCCACCCACCTCAGCCTCCCAAAGTTCTGGGATTACAGGCGTGAGCCACTGTGCCTGGCAAGAAATGGAAAGCTTTTAAGCATGACCAGATCTGTCTTTAGAGGAGAACTATCAGGAGTATGGAAGACCATCCTGATTTAAACAGGAAGACCACTTTGGAAACTATTATAACAGTCCAGTAAAGAAATGGACACTTCTCTCTTCTTTTTGAGACAGGGTCTCTGTCACCCAGGCTGGAATGCAATGGTGCAATCACAGCTCACTGCAGCCCCAACCTCCTGGGCTTAAGTGATCTTCTTGCCTCAGCTTCCGAGTAGCTGCGACTACAAGCACACACCACCATGCCTGGCTAATTTATTTCTATTTTTTGTAGAGACAGGGTCTCCCTCTGTTGCCCAGACTGGTCTCGAACTCCTAGGCTCAAGTGATCCTCCTGCCTCTACCTCCCAAAGTACTAGGATTATAGGCATGATCCACTGCGTCTGGCTAGCACTCCTCAAAGAACAGTAGCAGTAAGAATAAAAGGGAGTTGAATGAGTCAGAACTTGCATCTGGGATAACATAAATGATGGTGGGACCATTAAAAAATTTATTTGGAATAACAGATAAAGAGCATGTTTAAGGGAGGAGAAGAAGATGGCCTCTGCTTTGAACAAGCTGAGGTTGAGGAGCCATGGAACACTTTGACAGCTCAGTTGGAAACTGTTGGATTGGACTTGGGGAGGGAAAATCACAACTAAAGTATTTTCAGTTCATCTTCAGTAGGACTGTTGAGGTCATCAGGTTATATAAGTGTTCTGAGAGAATGAGAAAAAGTCTGAGGTCAGCAGAATCCTAGTGAACCCCGACACTCGGAATGGGGGAAGATGAGGAAAAGGAAAGCGTGGCGTAGAGGAAGCCACGACATAAGAATTTCGTTAAGGACAGGTTGAATCAGGCAGAACAAGAATGAGATGAAACTCCCAGATTCAGCCATCGTGGCTTTTAGAGACCACTTAATTGAACATTAGAGTGGGCTTAACAGTAGGTAGAAGTTGAGAAAAGGAGGTGGGTAAAAACGTCTGTTTGTAAAAAAATGTTTTGTGAGAAAAAGAGAAATGGATGGTGTTTTGAGGGCTATGGAAGATCTAAGGAAGGACCTTTAAATTATATTTAATTTTTGAGATTGGAGCATATTTGGAGACAGAGAGGAAAAACCCAGGAGAGAGGGAAATACTGAAAATACTTGAGCTACGGGAGATCAGTGATGAAACTGAGGAGGAGGCTAGAGGGTGGCTCCAGCAATAGGAACAAAAGGGAAAACTCTCCTGAGATGGATCAGGGACCTAAAAATGGGTGAATACAGTTCCATCTGGATGTGGAGGAAATAACAACCCCTTACGTTTATATTGCACTTTCCAGTCACCCTGTGAGGGAGGCAAGACAGTTATTACCAGCCCTTTCTTGTAGCTGTTCTGAGACATGAATGACCAAGGGCCACATAATGAGTGGGTAGCTGAAGCTGGGCTCAGACCAGCCAGTCAGGCTCTCAGCACAGGGTTCCCTTTGCTGGACCATACTTCAGCTTGCTCAGGCTTCCTAAAGCACAGCACTGTCAGGCAGGCACCACCTGTGTCCCTCTCTGCCTGCCTAGTCATGGCTGCCAACAATTCGGCTGTATCAACTTTTTTTTTTTTTTTTTTTTTTTTTTTTGAGACGGAGCCTTGCTCTGTCACCCAGGCTAGAATGCAGTGGCATGATCTTGGCTCACTGCAACCTCTGCCTCCTGGGTTCAAGTCTCCCAAAATTACCTGGGATTACAGGCATGTGCCACCATGCCTGGCTAATTTTTATACTTTTAGTAGAGATAGGGTTTTGCCAGGTTGGCCAGGCTGGTCTTGAACTCCTGGCATCAAGGGATCTGCCCACCTTGGCCTACCAGAGCGCTGGGATTACAGACATGGGCCACTGCAATTGGCCTCAACTCTTAACTAAATTAGATTACTCCCTCTTTACAAAACAGAACTTATGGTTTCCAATCTCTATGTCTGTGTGTTTTTGTTCACCTCTCAATGTTAACCATCTTTCAAGATAAAGAGTGTGCACCTCTTCTATCACTAAGCTTCATGGCATTAGTCTGGGGGCATCGACACAGCAATTTGTGTGTAGCTCTCAGCTAGCACCAGGTCCTCCTGCAATCGGTGTGTTTGTCTATGAATTTTACCCCTCATTACATGGTGCAATCCTTCAAGGCATGAATTCTGCCATGGAATACTGTCATAGTCTAACAGCATAAAGCACAAGAGTCCCGCATCTTATGTTCTCATCAGATATTGGTTGAATGCATGATTGAATGAGAGACGCTGTTGCTGTAGGCTGTGTAAGAATGACCACTATCCCCAGCCTTATCTACATGGAGCACAGCATGCTTTTGTGTTGATGAATTCTTTCCAGTAGCTGTCCTTTCCCCAAAGTGGAAAATTTATTTTTTCACATAACAAGAAGCCCAGAGTTAGTTTATTCCTAGGGATAAGTAATGCACCCAAGACCAGGGTCTTCCTATCCTCCCACTTTGAAACTTGTTTGCTTTTGTTGCAGGCTTACCCCTCATGGTTACAAAGTGGCTGCAACAGCTCCAGGTGTTCTATCCTTTAACACAGAATAACTCAAACAACAAGACCCAATATTCAGACAAGAAGGAAAGGGACTTTTGGAGAGTGAAGAAAACTTTCCTAGAAACCTCAAACTTCTCCCCATGCCTTATTGGCCAGATTGTATCCCATGCCCATTTCTAAACCAATCATTGGCAAAGTGAGTGGAATTGACGTGATTAGATTAACTTTACCAAGAATGCATCCTCAGAGAGGCTGAGAAAAAGTCCAGCCTCCTTTGAAGAGCCTGGCTACCTTTCACCTGAACAAAACAAGAATTCTGATGAAAAATGGAGAATGTATGTGGAGCAGGCACCCGGAGTGTCTATGCCAGGATTTTTTTTCAGTGCGTTTCACCGGTTATATTTTTGTCTCTTTACCTTACAAGATATGTGGCACGTTTGCCTAAAACAAGCCTTGCTTTCTGATTTCTGTGCACTAGGCACTTAAACCTTGCAAATGTCGCTTACCTAACAGTCACTGTCAAGGAGTACCTGGCTAAAGAATCTCCAGCTAGACAAAGTAGAAGTGTCTGTGCTCTGGCAGTTGAATATATTGTATCAGGCTCAACAGCACCTTTCACCAAAGGATGAGACTTCACAACCATTAGATCTTCTTTTATTTTGTTTTTATTAAAAAAAAAAATTTTAACACACCATTGCTAACTTGAAGCCATTAGATCTTCTTACCCCCAATACCACAAAAGTTTAGTGGAATCAGGGGTATACCAAGGCAGGTGGAGTAGGGGAGCTGGGAGTGGTCAGCCCCCAGGGCAGGCAATGAGGGATTGTGAATCTGTGAAGAATTTTAAAGCAATGATACAGCTCTAAATGCAATGTACTATCCTGGACTTAGCCCTGGAAAAGAAAAAAGATATTAGTGGAAAAACTGGTAAAATTCAAATAATGTCTGTAGTTTGGTTAATAGTATTATACCAATGTTAATTTCTGTGTTTTGATAAATGTACCATGGTTATGTAAGCTGGATGAAAGATATGTGGGAAATCTCTCTACTATTTCTGCAACTCTCCTGTAAACCTAAAAATGTTTCAAAATAAAAGATTTAATGCTAAAATTGACTGAAAATTGATCTGCTTTTTTATTATCACCATGCACTGCACATGCTAAACGTTAGGAATAAAATACTTCCTCCCCTCCTCCAAATCTTTTGGTCTAAGTTCTAAACAATTGCTGTAGATGCTGTTGAATCTTAATAATATATATGTAAATTTCAACTTAGCATATTTTTATTATTTGTTAATGAACTTTGCAGGCTGGGTGCAGTGACTCATGCCTGCAATCCCAGCACACTGGGAGGCCAAGGACAGAGGATTGCTTGAGCTCAAGATTTCAAGACCAGCCTGGGCAACATAGCAAGACCTCATCTCTACTAAAAAAAAAAAAAAAAAAAAAAAAAAAATTAGCCGGGCATGGTGGCTTGCACCTGTAGTTCCAGCTACTGGAGGCGCTGAGTCAGGAGGATAGCTTGACCCAGGTGGTTGAGGCTACAGTGAGCCATCACTGCACCTCTGCACTCCATTCCGGGTGACAAAGTGAGACCCTGTCTCAAAAAACTAAAAAAAAATTAAACATTGCATTCTACATGCAAGTTAATCCTAGAAACTCATCTACCCAAACAGCCCCTGATGTGTGCAGCCTCAGGTGAACATATTTGTTCATACCCTATTGGAATCATCTGAGTTTGTTTGGGGCACAGTTCACATCTCCAATCTGGTACTACAGATTCTTGTGTTTAAACTAAAAATTTGAAAAGTGATAGCATGGTGATTGTAAAAACAAAGAAACAGGACTGGTTACTTTAATTCTGTCATTCTACATGACCACTTGAGCCTTTTATTTGTGTTTAAAACTTAAGTTAGTGAAATAGAGGACACAATGCCAGTACTATCATTTGTTTCATAGAATGATTTGTGTGTGTGTGTGTGTGTGTGTGTGTGTGTCATTCTTTTCACTTTCATTGAGAGGAGCAGGGGGTTAAAAATGATCTGCTCCAGGGCTGGGCATGTTGGCTTGTGCCTGTAATCCCAGCACTTTGGAAGGCCAAGGCAGGAGGGTCACTTGAGCCCAGGAGTTTGAGAACCACCTGGGCCACATAGGGAGACCCTACAAAAAAAATTAAGAAAAAAAGATCTCCTCCTGGTATCAGATATGCTAAATATAAGAGTGAGTGGAATTGAGATTCGAGGTATTAGTAACTACCTTAGGGCTGGGCACGGTGGCTCATACCTGTAATCCCAGCATTTTGGGAGGCCGAGGCAGGTGGATCACCTGAGGTTTGAGACCAGCCTGGCCAACATGTAGTGAAACCCTGTCTCTACTAAAAATACAAAAAGTAGCTGAGTGTGGTGGTGCACACTTGTAGTCCCAGCTACTTGGGAAGGTGAGGCAGGAGAATTGCTTGAACTCGGGAGATGGAGGTTTGCAGGGAGCTGAGATGGTTCCACTGAGCTCCAGCCTGAGCGACAGGGCAAGACTCTTGTCTCTCAAAAAAAAAAAAAAACTACCTTAAACATTATATAGATCCACTTTCTCACTTTAGAAGCAAAGAAAGGAAGGCTCAGAACTTGCTGCCATTAGTAAGGATTTCGTGAGTGGGGTTGAAAACAGGCCCCCTCCCTCCTGGTCTGTTGTTGCCAGCACTGCCTCTGAACCCTACGCCTGTTCTCCTTTAGCAGACAGGTGATAACTCAGAAAAACCAAGTCCCTTGTCCAACGGCCGCTAGTGACTCAGTGGCAGAGTAGGCACGGGAACCGGCACTCCTGACAGCTCCAGGGCTCTGACCACTGTGCCCAGTTTCCCCTTTCCAGCTCTCAATCAGCTAGAGACAGATAAATTCCAGGCAACTAGTGAATGTGCCACCTGACTTTCAGATGGGAAGAGGGGAGCATTATTAAAAACAGACTTAAAAAAAAAGACACAACTTGACACTAGACAGGAGTAAACTTCAGCCAGAATTCCCATCACCAGAAAAATACTGGGATATGACATTTGGGAAGCAAGGGAACAATTTCAGGCACTGTTTTCCTCTAATTTGGGAGACATCTTTGTTGTTGTTGTTGTTGTTGTTTGTCTCACTCTGTCACCCAGGCTGGAGTGCAGTGGCACAATCTCGGCTCACTGAAACCTCCACCTCCCAGGTTCAGGTGATTCTCCTGTCCCAGCTTCCTGAGTAGCTGGGATCACAGGTGTGTGCCACCACGCCTGGCTAATTTTTGTATTTTTAGTAGACCTGGGGTTTCACCATGTTGGCCAGGCTGATCTCGAACTCCTGACCTCAGGTGATCTGCCGCCTTCAGTTTCCCAAAGTGCTGGGATTACAGGTGTGAGCCACCATGCCCGGCCTAATTTGGGAGGCATGTTTGGATGAAAAGTATATTAGAAACTTAAGCTGCTCACAAATATGTTTATTCCTTAGTTTTTCTTTTTTCTTTTTTTTTTTTTTTTTGAGATGGGGTCTCACTCTGTTGTGCAGGCTGGAGTGCTGTGACACGATCGCGACTCACTGCAGTCTTGGTCTCCCAGGCTCAAGTGATCCTCCCACTTCAGCCTTCCCAGTAGCTGGAGCCACAGGCGCATGCCACCGTGCCCAGCTAATTTTAAAAATTTTTTTGTAGAGACAAGGTTTCACTATGTTGCTCAGGCTGGTCTCAAACTCCTGGGCTCAAGCGATCCTCCCACCTCAGCCTCCCAAAGTGCTGGAATTAACAGGTGTGAGCCACTGTGCTGGCCCTTAGTTGTTATACATACACAGAGAAAGCAATAATTATCAGAGGGACACTGTTATGTTGTAGTATGCCATCACACTGAGGAAAAGTTCAATAGAAAGAACTCTGTGGAAAGAAGATTTTCATGAGCCAAAACACAACTCATGAACCCCTGTTACTCAACTGCCATGCCTGCCTTCTCTGAGCAGTTGTCTCCTAGGCTGCAGAGAAACTCAGAAACTATCTTGTTTAAATTTAGGTATCTCTCTATGAACCTTGTTACCAGCCCTTGCAATTTATCCCATCTCTGCTTCTCAGATCACAGCCCAGTGTTCAGGAACCATTTGCTTGTTAATTATCAGGCACAGACAATGCATGCAACTACCAGTGTTCTGTCTTTACACAACTCTCTACCACAGTAATTGGTTATGTATGCCCTGCTCCCTGCTGGACCAATAAATGAACTCTTACTACGTGCTTGGAAGGATGATGGATGAGTGAGCAGAAGATAGATGGATGGATAGGTAAATGGATGAGTGATGGATGTGTGGGTGGATGGATGCATGCATGGATGAGTGGATCGATGGGTGGTAGGTAGATGGATGAATGGGTGAATGGATGGTTGCTTGTGTAGAAAGGTGGCTGGGTGGATGGATTAATGGACCAAAGTGTGGAAATCTGTATCATTCCATTTTTATGTTGATACCTGAGGTAATTACACAGTGAAGATGCCCCAAGTGGATTCTGCTTCCACGTAAAAGATATGTTCAGGACGAAAGTTATGTTTAGATTTGGTAGAAGTTTGCCTTGGGGTAGACTTTAAGACCCTGAAAGGCAGGGATCATAGCTTTCCATCTATGAGAGAGTAACCATCATTGCCTGCCACATAGTAGGTACTGAGTAAATATTTGTTGACAAACATGTATGAATGAATTATTTGGGAAACACAAGGATGGCTCTCCTTGACTCTGAAGTTCAACCCCACATTCTGATTCTTCATGCTTATACAGTTTTAAAATTGCATTTCTTTATAAATCGGTTAGGCATCCAGAAGTGTCCTGTTATGATGCAAAACATTCTTAGATGTTAAAAATATTAAACCCTTTGCATCTGTTGTCCCTTTGTCAGGAATTAGCTGGTCACATTACTGTCTCCTTGATTCTTTGCTGATGATGTTGGGCATGGGGCAGGTCTGGTGGTTTCTCTGACTGGGCTGAAGGACTTTTGCTGACAAATAGGAGAGGGTCCTTTACAGTAGGAATCACCAAGCCTGCAAGGAAGGACCCAAAGACTCCCCTCTCTCATGATCTCAGCAGCCAACCCCTGCCCATAGTGCCTTCTTGGCAGCCGTGCTCCTGATTTGAAGGGAATTCCTCACTTTGTCCCATGGGTTTCTGCAAGCTGAGCAGGACACCTAGGTGAGGACAGAAGTAAAAAGAGAAGAGGAAAGGTGAGAGCGAGAAAGAAAACATGAGAAGGGAGACACACAACAGTAAGAAGAGAAGAGAGGAAAGAGAGGGATATGAGCAGGGGGTAGGAGAGACAAAAAATAGATTGTATTTGCAGCACAATGCCTCTAGTAATAATATTACCATTATCTTGCCTGAACAGATGTGCAAGGACTCCCGTCTACTCATTATCCAACATGACAATGGAACACGTTTCTATCAGCCTCATCGGAAATCTTGGCAGATGCTGTCAGAAAGTGTGTGCTGTTCCTGAGATGTGATTTTTCAACAGTGTAGACTGTACTATTTGACTAGGGGTGGGAAAAAGAGGAGCGGGAGTTGATTGTGCTTTCTTTTGGTTTTGTTTTTAATTTTGAAATTCTTCTCTCCAAGGGGGCCTTGCCTTGGACTATGTCCAGCTTTGCTGAATAGCCATGTCTGCATGACCAGTGGACTGGGGCTGGCCAGCAATCCCAGGGCCACACCAAAGCCCAGTGCCGAGGGCCCATTTCTTTGAAATAGTTCCCTCATGGCTCTCACTTCCCCTTACTCCAACATTATTCGTACCTACCATGCCCCGCTATTCCACTTCTGCCCTGACCTCAGTGTCTTGCATTGAGACATTTGAAGAGTGTGGTTCAAGGAAAGAGCATGTTTGTTCCCAGCTGAACAAGGCTCAGGGAGACTAGCAGTGCCAGAGACAGGAGTGGGCAACATTTCTGTGTGAATTAAGCCATGCAGTGTGCAAGTTCCCCATGGCAAACACCACCTTTCCCTGGGAAGACAGCCAAGGCCTGGAGCCCCATGTAGGAAATCTCCTGTGAGAGGCCCTTCCTGAGCTCCACAGAAAATGATTCTTTTCATAGGCACTGAGTCCCCTTTTTTTCTAGCCATAAATGCCCACATCACAGTCCCCCTTCCTGGCCTTCTACACTCTGCTCCCGTGCCAAGTGCCCTCACCCAGGCCCCCTCATAGCTCATGCACCCCTTTCCCTTCCTTTCCACACTCAACTGGCCTCCCCAAGCCCTCAGAAAGCCTATTCCTTTCCCCTGCTGTGCTGTTGACTCTCCCTCCATCCTGCACTCTATGCCTCTCACTTGAAACTGCTCCATGCCGTGACCTAACATCTCCAGAGGCTCCTCTCGGGTTGAACAGACATGATTTGTTGACTTTGCCAGATTAGCAAAGGGAGCAAATTCCATAGATTCCTCTGCCCCTAAGTCTCAAAGTGCAGACCTTCATCTTGATAGCAGGAGCGAGGTGATGGAGGCAGCCTGGGATTGCATAAAACAGTAACAGCAATATGATGACTCTGTAGGGACAATTACTCCCTGGCAGGTCTAAGGGCTAAGCCTTAATCTTTCCAACAAGGCTCTGCAGTAGGTATTATTACTAGCCTCATTTTGTAGTCGAGAGAATGGAAGGCCGGGTGCTGTGGCTCATGCCTGTAATCCCAGCTCTTTGGGAGATGGGCAGATCACTTGAAGTCAGGAGTTCAAGACCAGCCTGGCCAACATGGTGAAATCCCGTCATTATTAAAAACACAAAAATTAGCCGGGTGTGGTGTAAACCCAGCTACTCCAAAGGTTGAGGCACAAGAATCGCTTGAACCTGGGAGGCAGACGTTGCAGTGAGCCAAGATTGCACCACTGCACTCCAGCCTGGGCAACAGAGCAAGACTCTGTCTCAAAAAACAAAACAAAACAAAAGGCCCGGCAAGGTGGCTCACGCCTGTAATTCTAGCACTTTGGGAGGCCAAGGTGGGTGGATCACCTGAGGTCAGTAGTTCAAGACCAGCCTGGCCAACATGGTGAAACCCCGTCTCTACCAAAAATACAAAAATCAGCCAGGCATGGTTGTGGGTGCCTGTAATCTCAGCTACTCGGGAGGCTGAGGCAGGAGAATCACTTGACCAACACTCTCGCCTTAACCTGGGAGGCAGAGGTTGCAGTGAGCTGAGATTGTGCCACTGCACTCCAGCCTAGGCAACAAGAATGAGACTCTGTCTCAAAAATAAATAAATAAATAAAAGGAAAAAGAAAGATGTTAAGTGACTTTTTCAAGGCCCTGAGTTTGCAAAAGACAGACCCCTAGCATGCCTGGGGAGGGGCTTTGTGCACTCATCCGGCTGCCTTTCCTGGCATGCCCTGGGGATGGCAGGAAACCTGGATCCCTGCCCAGCTCTGCTGTTTCTAGGTAGGTTACCTCAGGTCAGACACATTCATTTCCCAAGTTTCTGTTTTCTAATCAGAAAAACTGTGGGATTTGAGGTGATTTCTTAGGGCCTTTTCCATATGGTGATGCTGTCATTTTTTTTCCTAATGATAAAAGTATTCAGAAAGCTCTTCAAATTTTCTGGACTCAGGGTCAGTCCTAGGCAAAGAGAAGAAATAGGAGGCAACATTGATCTTTGGTGACACCTAAAGGCTCTGTGCAACCTTTTCCTCTGTCCAGAGTAAGCCTTTGGTGTAATCCCTGCTGCCTCTGGGGACCCCAGGGCAAAGTCTTGGGGAGGGCGCAAAGAGGGCTTGTCCATCACTTGAGGACGCAGAGGACGCATGTGCCCTGCACATCAGGATGAGTAAACCTGAGCTCCTTACTAAAATAAAGCTGTCTTTTGAGTGTGTCCTCACTTGTAACCGGGGTAAATGCACTGACCAGTGCTAGTCAAAGATGACCTCAACAACTGCTCCATTCCAACTGTCTTGGGCAAGAGGGGAGTGACTGTTTATGCTTTGATATGAGATGGAGTCATAAATACTGTTTCAGATGTTTCAGATGCCAGGGGAACATATGATCAGAGACACCAGCATCATACTGTCATGCCAGGAAACCTTCAGTGACTGCCTGCTAGAGGAAGTTCACATCCCTTAGCTTGGCTTCAAGGAACTCCAGGAGCAACACTCTCGCCTTCCCACCTTGGCCTCTGCCTTCCCTAGCTAGACACCCATGAGTATACATTCCCCCAATTCCCCGACCAATTTTGACTGAGCCAGCAGCACATCAAGGGTTAACCCTTACCATTTGTGAAAATTTTGTATCATCATATTTGGTTGATTCTAAGATGCACACTTTTTCTCATATTAACCTCTTACTCATTTAACATTGATGTTACAATCAATGACATGTCATTGTTTTGTGGCACTTTTTCTTTCTTAGTGGTTTGTAAAATAATGGTGCATCGTGACTGAAGGCCTCTTGGATTTGCTGAAATACTGGAAGTAGCATTCTCCAGATTTGAGCTCTAGCAGCTCTGCCAGAAGCCGGGAACCTGTGTGCCCATACTCTGAGTTTGTTTTCCCAGTTAGGACTGGGTCCTAGTGTAATGGGGTGATATCTGGGAACCTATATAGCTCCCTAGATATAACCAAGGGTGATATTCAAAGTGTTTAATGACCATACCAGGCCAGGTGCATTGGCTCATACCTGTAATCCCAACACTTTGAGAGGCTGAGGCGGGCAGAACATTGAGGTCATGAGTTTGAGACGAGCCTGGCCATTGTTGTGAAACCCTGTCTCTACTGAAAATACAAAAATTAGCCAGGCATTGTGGCAGGTGCCTGTATTCCCAGCTACTCAGGAGGCTGAAGCAGGAGACTCGCTTGAACCTGGGAGGCAGAGGTTGCTGTGAGCTGAAATTGTGCCACTGTACTCCAGCCTGGGTGATAGAGCAAGGCTCCGTCTCAAAAGAAAAAAAAAAAAAAAGAATTACCATACCAATTAGAAGAGAAGATGACTGAAAACAACTGGCTTGTGTATCCTGGAGCTTACCTGCTGAACCCCAGGCCTACTACCGTGCTCCTTACCTGTTTGTTCTCCACTCATCTCATTCCTTATTTTATGGATACTTGACAGCACACTCAGGGAACATGGCCTGTTGCCCATTCCCAGGAGACATTCCCTAATCAGGGTGAGCCAAGCATGGTTACCCCAGGCTACTTTAGGGGAGGGTATGTGTACTAGTTTTCTGTTGCTGTTGTAACAAATTACTACAACTTTAGCTCAAAACCACACACATTTATTTTCTTACAGTGATATAGGCCAGAAGTCTGGTTCATGTCTCACTGGGCTAAAATCAAGGTGTCCACAGGGCTGTGTTCCTTTCTGGAGGCTTGAGGGTAGAATCTGTTTCCTTGCTGTATCAGGTGTTGGCTGATTTTAGTTCCTTGCAGCTGCAGGACTGGGGTCCCTGTTTCCTTGCTATCTGTTATCTGGGGGTCTCTATTAGCTTCTAGCAGCCTCTCTTTTTTTTTTGTTTTTTGTGGTTTTTTTGTTTTTTTTTTAATGATTAAGTATAGAGTTTTTTTTAGGCTAAAGCTTGAGGATAGCCACCTGAGGGCATACATTCAAGTTGCCCTGAGTGCACATTCCTATTAGCAGTAGTTACAGGTGGCACTTGTTTGTTTTTATTGCTACATTATATTTATACATATTTAAGGGATCTCTCTCCTGTTCTTATACATCACCTCCTACATCTCATCCCCAAATACTTCCCACGCTGCCATCTCCCTTACTCCCCTGGGCTAATGTGATTAGATGGGGCGCACTGGTAATCCAGCATAGCCTCCCCATCTCAAGATTCATGCCCTTAATCATATCTGCAAAGTCCCTTTTGCCATGTAAGGTAACATAGTCACAGGTTCCAGGGGACTAGAATTTGAACATCTTTGACAGCATTATTCTGCCTATTACAGTATGTAAACCATCCTTGCCAATGAAATGTAGAGAGAAATCTGCTGAGGCTTGCAGGGAGGATTTTGCTCTCTGATTAAAAAGAGAGACATTAAGGAGGTCTGCTTTGATTGAGGTGATGTGAGCTTGGCAGCTATCTAATGACCATAAGGCCCTAACATCAAGAATAAAAGCAGACACACTGAGAACAGCAGTAAGAGTATCAAAGTGAAAAAGTAGAAAGAGCTTGGCCTTTTGATAACAATGTTTAGCCACCAAGCCAATCCTAAAGCACCTACTTCCAGACTTCTTGAGAGATACTTTGCTATCTTTATTGCTTAAGCCACTGTTAGTTAAATATTGTTACTTGTAGCTAAAATCATCCCAATAGTCTGTTACTTATAGCTAAATCATCCCAGATCATCCCAATATTCTGTTATTTGTAGTTAAGTCATCCCAGATAAAATTTAACACCTTTATTATTGGTCCATTTCAATAATACCTTGATTTACTGCTTGGTAATTAATTTGTCTGTCCTACCTATTAGTAGTATCTTGGTCCTACTATAGTACTCATACTACCCACCTCCTCCCTAAACTTTTGCCTATTTAACTAAGGTCCTGGCCTCCTGCCTAGTTTCTCCTGACACCCTCTTTAGGGGCTAGGCAAGGCCCCTATATTTCCAGTTATGGCTGGGGATTAGTCTTGGATGAACAGATCTCCCCAGCCCATGACACTGCCTATAGATTGTACCTCCTAATTGAGATGATTGTCTGAATTATACCTGACTTTGCTGCCTTTAAAACATGATTACTTGGAAAGCTGACTGACTTCACAGTGGCTCCATCTCCCCAGCCCTGACCCATCCAGTTTCACTGTTTAATCCTGCATTTCCAGGGTCACATCATAATACACTCTGTCCATCTTGATATCTCTGGTGTCTCTCCTTTTGTTTTTTTGAGACAGGATCTCGCTTTGTCACCCAAGTTGGAGTACAGTGATACAGTCTTGGCTCACTGCAGCCTTAACCTGCTAGGCTCAAGTGATTCTCCTGCCTCGGCCTCCCGAGTAGCCGGGACTACAGGTATGCACCACCATACCTGGTATTTTTTTTGTAGACATGGGGTTTCGCCGTATTGCCCAGGCTAGTCTCAAACTCCTGGGCTCAACTGATCTGTCTTAATATCCAGGCATACTAGACCACTGGCCATTCTTTGACTAGTCTTTTCACTTTTATGCTTTTACTCAACTTCTCATGCTGGTCCTGTAATCAGAAATGCCCTTTCTAGACTCTTATATCTTTACCACTAAATCCTCATGACAATCTTGTGAGGAGGTGCTATTATTCCCATTTTGCCAATGATTAAAAAAAATTAGGTAACTTATTTAGGGTCATACAGAGTGGCAGACTGGGATGCTAATGCAGGTATCTCTTACTTCAAAGCTCATGTCCTTTCATTCCCATGTTTGGCATTTTAGAGATAGATAGTGCCCAACCCAAGACTTGAAGGACTTATTTCCCTCAATGTGTTATAAGCACCCTGTGGGCAGGTCTGATTATTTATTGACCACTAGAGTCAGTGGCGTGCTTGTAAAGGGTTAACAACTGACTCTCCAAGGGGCATGGGGGAGGCCCTGATTTACAGAGGTTTTCTGAGTCCTGTGGAGTAAATACTCCCATCTGTCTGATTCCGAGCTACTAGCATGACGTATGTCACTGAACAAGGGGTAGGGAACAGGTGCGCAGTAGCACACGTTAGAGGGTATTTCCACTACACAGACATCATTCATCTGAGCAGCCTCAAGGGCACAGTTAATAGTAAAATGGGAAATAATTAAGAAATGATGAGTTTGTATCTTTATTAACTTCATTTTAAATCTGATTTATTCAACAGTTATTTTATGTAATTTAATCTTTAATAATCATTACATTTAACAATCAGTTTGCAAATTTCCTAAAAATTTAACAATTAGACTCATAAACTGGTTTGAACTAGCTCCAGCTCACCACTGCTAGAGTCTATTATA
This sequence comes from Homo sapiens, assembly GCF_000001405.40. Classification (NCBI taxonomy): domain Eukaryota; kingdom Metazoa; phylum Chordata; class Mammalia; order Primates; family Hominidae; genus Homo; species Homo sapiens. Next base: position 52,594,789 of record NC_000006.12, read on the forward strand.
ATACTTTGCTTTTAGTAGACACGGAATGGTGGTAAGGATGCTAATAAAAAGAACATGATTCTCCACTTATGAGCTTTGAATGCAACTGGTAACCCAGATTTCAATATTCTTTCCTACATCTGAGACTTTCTTAGTTCTATCTCTCACACTTAACAGAAGGCCAAACAAAAAATAGTTGAGGGTGGATACCAAAGAATAGCCAAAGCTCCAACTAAGGACTGTGAATACTGAACTCTGCCCAGGGTCAGGGTGGGGCCCGATGCCTGCTTGCAGTTGAAAACAGTCCTCTACAATTGGGCTTGAGCAAGCCTCTGAGCTATAACTGTCTTTCCTCCTCGCCTCTTCCTGACCACACCCACAACAAGAGAAGCACTGAAGAAAAAGCACCAGTCATAATATTCTATTACATTCCAGAAAGGACAACCTCCCAGGAAGTGGGGAGCCTAGAAAGAAGTAAAACCTAAATTGCATCCTCCCAAAGGAGGCGAAGTCCTGAACTTCAGCTATCTTAACCTTTTGTTATGGGTGCAGTGCTGATCTTAATGGAAACTGGAGTGGGCAGGCACAGCTTAGGGAGAGAGGGACAGCTGGTGAATCAGCTGTGTTGCATTACAGTCAGCACTATCCCTGTCATGGTTCAGGGATTATACCATATATGGACTCAGGCTCAGGACAGGCGAGCCCACTGATTTGCTTCAGGACTCCCCTAGAATTGCATCTTGGGATTAGGTCATCATTACTAGAAAAGGGAGACCCCAGAGAGGTTGTCAGTATGAAGAAATCAGGACCAACTGTGGTCTGGTAAGGCAAAGATGAAAGAAGGAGGGTGCAGCCGAGCTGTGCTTGGGAATGAAGTCCAGAGCCTGAGAAAGCTGTGGGAGTGATTCTGAGAGTGGTTGCAAAGGGAGTGAGGGTTACAGCAGAGGACCGGCCCCCTTCTGCAGACTCCATCCTGCCTCTCACCCGCCTGGGGCTGCAGGAGCTGTATCCTGAGGCAGACTCAGTCCAGTTTAATAGGGATCAAGGGGAATAGCTCCCAAATTTTAAACATGAGAGGCAGTTTCTCTTACTGTGGGTGAGGGTGGCTGTGATGCTGCTGAAGATGCAGAAACCCTACTGGCCAAGTTGGAGACAGTCCAGGCTCTGAGTTATTCTAAGGTCAAGGTGGGTTCACCCAAGCAGAACACAGCTCATTAACCTCCATCCCCCAACTCTCTGTTCAGGCTGGGTGATACAGCCATGTGGGGCTATGGGCATCTAGGGGGAAAGAGAGGAGAGAGGGATGGGGGAGTGATCTGGGAAAGCAGCTTTTAAGAGATGGCCAATAAGTTGTATCTAATTTGTAAAGATTAAACTACTTTTTTTTGGTGTTTGACCAATTTCATTGCTTTAACTTTTTTTTTTGTTTTTAAGGACCAGCTTGAAGTGTTTCAGGACACTTCTCTCTGTGTGTGCCTCTTGATTTTGTTCAGAAGCCCAGTACTATGGAATACTCTATCGCAGTGATAATTAACTACTCGATATGCAAAACACAGACAAATCTCACAAACATAATGTGGAGCAAAAGAAGCCAGAAACAGAAGAGTACTGTGAAATCCCATTTATGTCAAGCTCAAAACCAGGCAAGACCAATCTGTGATGTTAGAAGTCAGGATAGTGGTCCCTTTGTTGGTGGTTGTGGCTGGGAGGGGCTAGAGGGCTCCAGGAGTGCTGGTAATGCACTAATTCTTTGTCTGGGTGCTGTTTACACAATGTGGACATACTGGGCTGTCCATTTATGATCTGTGCACATTTCTGTACGTATGCTGTATTTCAATCAAAAGTCTCAAAAAAAAAAAAAAAAAAGAGAGAGAAAGAGAGAAACCAGAATGTAATCTTGTGAAATAAGTAGTCACAGGAAGTATGAACTATGTGCCAACCAAAATAAGCCTCTGAGGATTGGTGAGGCTGGAGAACAGTATCATAGGGCTAAGAGTCAGAGAACCTGATTTCCAGTCCCACTTCTGTTATTCACTGGCAAAAGGATGCTGGAAACTTAGCTCCCCTCAACTCATAACAGCCAGTGATTAAATGAAGGCCTTCAGGAAAATCTAAAGATGTTCCCCATTCCATGCCTTGCCAGGAAAGGTTAAGGATCCCAGCTGAAGACCAAACACGAAGAAACTTGGATGACTAGTAACAATCTCATGTTTGTATAATGCTTCCCACTCCCAAAGCACTTTCATAATCATTATGCCATTTGATTTTTCATAATAAGATCAGGAACGCAGGCTCTAGGGCCAGACTGGCTGGGTTGGAATCCTAGCTCCATCTGTTGCTAGCTGCTTGACCTTGGGCACATCGTCCCTCTGCCTCAGTTTCCTTATCTGCAAAACAGGGACATGAGGGGATTCAATGAATTTAACATGAAAAACATTTACAATGATGCCTACCACAAAGTTATCATTTGATAAATGTTAGTTAAAACAGGAACAAAAGTCCAGATAGTGTTATCTAGATTTTATAGCTGAAGAAACTGAGGCTCACAGGTTATCACAAGACTAATTCACAGCAGATCCAGAACTGAAACCCAGGCCTTCTGGGTTACAACACTGACTTGTTAGGTTATCTGGAATAATCTAAATGGACTTGTCTATTTTTATGTGATAATAATAATAACAATAATAACAATAACACTACCTTTTACTGAGTACTCACTAAGTGTTTTACATACTATGTCTCATTTAATCCTCATAAGAATCTATGAGGCACGTGTTGTTATCCCCATTTTAAAAAGGGACAAACTGAGGACTAAACATTGAGAAAGCAAACCTGGATCACCCAGCTAGTGACAGGGAAGGCCAGATTCTGAATGCAGGTCTCTGCAAACCCAGGACCTGCGTTTTCAACCACTTACATTCCATAACCTCTGGATAGAAAAAGACCACCATGGTTACTGCTTTATAAACATTTGGGGGTTTCTGGGACAAATTGGGTGATTTTTGTAAGTTCCCCAAGGTCAGAAAGAGCCCTTCTTATCCATCTTTCATCCTTCTCCTGTGCATCAGGTACTGGACCTCCATAGGTGTCCCAGAGGCTCCCATGGAAGGATTTGCAAATCAGGTTCCAAGAGCTTAAAAAGCCAGGCTTAGTAGTGGAGAGGCACCAGATGAACTCTTGATAGCCCAGGCAAGAACTGGGCACCAGCAGCATTACTTGATGGTGTCAAAGAGGTAGAGGACCAAATGCCAGGATGCAGAGGGAGCCATGGTGCCTGGACACAGAGACTTTGCCACAGCTATCAAGTTTGCAAAATGAAAACAAAGGGAGAGATTAATGAGACTCCACCTAGAAGCAGCCACTCCTGGACAGGCTGCCCTTCCTAGATGGCTTCAGATGGCTGCCAGGGAACATCTGCCTGGTTAAGATTTCAAGTGAAGACCTAATCGAAGCAGCCCTTTGGCAGGCTTTGCACTGGCCGGCCTGACTCTGACATACGCTCCGATGCCCACACATGGTTGTGGCTGGCAGCTCAGACAGACACGACTGTTTTGGCTTCTGTCATTTCTTTTTCTTCCTCCAGGCGCTCAAGTTCTTGATCCCAGCTCGCCTGATTAGGGGTCGTCATCAGTCCGCGCACCCTGCCTGTACTTCCTGGGGCCCCCTGGTGGATGATCAAAGGATAAAGGGATAGTTGGAGGCAGGAAAGAGAGAGTTGGGGATGATAGTGCAGTGGACTGTGTGGATCTTTCCCCATAGGCTTCTAAGAAGTCTTTTGTGAATATCTCTCTCGTCCCCCACTGGGTGAATGATTTACTATGACTAAAGGGGCCACACACACAACAGCTCTCACCCTGGAATGGACTTTGAGAGGGAAGCAAAAGGAAGCATTGCCTTCTTTCCTGGACTTCCCTTTGGAGCACCCCACAACTCTCAGGGGATTTAGAAGGTAACACATTTAGAGCTTTCCCAAAAGAATGTGCAGCTGTGGCTTGAGCAAAAGGTGTTTACTCCCACGGAGGTGGGATTTTTATTGCTAGTTTCAACATCAAGTAGGTGTGAAAGTTATATACAAATCCTGACAATCAATACCACCTGAGAAAGGCGAGAAAGAGGGCTGCATGGGCCAATGCTTCACAAACTTAAGGTGCACAGCTTGGAAGCATTGAATTGTGGGGGGTGGGGATCTTGTAAAGTGAAGATTCTGAATGAGTAGGTGTGGGGTATGGCCCACAGTCTGTGTTTCCAACATGCTTCTGCCACAGGAAGACTGCTCTGGACTAAGAAATAGTCCTGTGCATTTCTTAGCACCAACGCTCACCTCCCCCCACCAAAAACATGAAATAAAACAAAACAGGGACATTGCATTTCCTGGAAGTGTCTTACATGACACCAATTAAAACTATCTTTTTTTCTTGCTCATAAATATATTCTTTTTCCTTTTTTTTGAGACGGAGTCTCTCTTTTTTGCCCAGGCTGGAGTGCAGTGGTGTGATCTCAGCTCACTGCAACCTCCGCCTTCCAGGTTCAAGCAATTCTCCTGCCTCAGCCTCCTGAGTAGCTGGGATTACAGGAGTGTGCCACCACACTCGGCTAATTTTTTGTATTTTTAGTAGAGATGGGGTTTCACTATGTTGGCCAGACTGGTCTTGAACTCTTGACCTCAAGTGATCCACCTGCCTCGGCCTCCCAAAGTGCTAAGATTATAGGCGTGAGCCACTGTGTCTAGCCTAGAAATGTATTCTTTTTTTTTTTTTTGAGATGGAGTTTCGCTCTGTCGCCCTGGCTGGAGTGCAGTGGTGCCATCTCGGCTCACTGCAACCTCTGCCTCCTGGGTTCAAGTGATTCTCCTGCCTCAGCCTCCCGAGTAGCTGGGACTACAGGCGTGCACCACTACACCCAGCTAATTTTTGTATTTTTAGTAGAGATGGGGTTTCTCCCAGCTAATTTTTGTATTTTTAGTAAAGATGGAGTTTCACCATGTTGGTTGGCCAGGATGGTCTCGATCTCTTGACCTCGTGATCCACCCGCCTCAGCCTCCCAAAGTGCTGGGATTACAGACATGAGCCACCGCGCCCAGCCAAAACTTATTCTAAAAGGTTTGACTGATGTACATAAAAATCACTGGAAAACATAGTTATAGGTAAATTTTATTATTTCTTTGTGTTTTTCTACATTTCCCAAACTTTCTACAAATGAACCTATATTGTTTTTATTTTTCTCGAAGGCTAAGTTTGAAACATCTTGTGTTGTTTCAAGACCTTTCTTTTCCCCCGGTGCTAGCTAGACCAGAATGGATTGTTTAACATCTCAGGGCAGATGTCTGAACCTTTGCAGGTGTTGGGAGACTCAGAATCTTCTGGTGTTGAGGAGACCAAGCTTGGTCAGGTCGGGACCATGTTGAATCACTGTTTAACACTGAAGGAAGGCCAGGGAAGGCCTGTGAGGGACACGCAGTCTCTGCCTCCTGAGGTCATGCTGATCGCTTGCTGGCCCAAGTCTAATTTATTTTAGTTTCTATGTCTGTGAACAAGGCCAATGTGCATGAATGATGGTCTGGCATCTCGATCCATGTTTACAAATCAATGAGCAGACCACCTAAATCAGTGAACTGTGCATTTTATAGATGAGAAAAGGCAAGTTGGGGGAAAGAGACTGGAGAGGGTGGTGGTAATTATAGAAATGAGACTTTCATAACTCAAGTTTCCATCCCATGGCGTTTTCTTTAAATAAGGGATTCCCAATCTTCAGAAGCACTAGTGCAGTATAACTTTGGATAAACACAGTTCTGTCTTATCAGCACATTGTTTTGTATTCAATAGGTACTCAATGTTTAATATGTTATAAAATATAATTTTTGAATACATTTTTTTTCTGTGATGGTCGGAGCACACAGCACAGAGCAATTTTAGGAAATTGCCATGCTTTCCAATAGTAGCTATAAGCTTTGTGTATCCAGTCACCCAGGACCTATTTGTTAGATAGGATAAAAGAACATTGAAGTGACAAGATTTGACAGAAAATCTAGGCAATACCATTCAGGACATAGGCATGGGCAAAGACTTCATGACTAAAACACCAAAAGCAATTGCAACAAAAGCAAAAATTGACAAATGGGATCTAATTAAACTAAAGAGCTTCTGCTCAGCAAAAGAAACTATCAGAGTAAACAGGGAACCTACAAAATAGGAGAAAATATTTGCAATCTGACCAAGGTCTAGTACCCAGAATCTACAAGGAACTTAAACAAATTTACAGGAAAAAAACAAGCAAGCCCATCAAAAAGTGGGCGAAGGATATGAACAGATACTTTTCAAAGGAAGAAATTTATGCAGCCAACAAATATATAAAGAAAAACTCATCATCACTGGTCATTAGAGAAATGCAAATCAAAACAACAATGAGATATCATCTCGTGCCAGATAGAATGGCGATCATTAAAAAGTCTGGAAACAATAGATGCTGGTGAGGCTGTGGAGAAATAGGAACACTTTTACACTGTTGGTGGGAGTGTAAATTAGTTCACCCATTGTGGAAGACAGCGTGGCAATTCCTCAAGGATCTAGGACCAGAAATACCATTTGACCCAGCAATCTCATTACTGGGTATATACCCAAAGGATTAAAAATCATTCTACTATAAAGACACATGCACACGTAATGTTTATTGCAGCACTATTTACAATAGCAAAGACTTGGAACCAACCCAAATGCCCATCAATGATAGACTGGATAAAGAAAATGTGGCACATACATACCATGGAATACTATGCAGCCGTAAGAAAGAATGAGTTCATGTCCTTTGCAGGGACATGGATGAAGCTGGAAACCGTCATCCTCAGCAAACTAACACAGGAACGGAAAACCAAACACCACGTGTTCTCACTCATAAGTGAGAGTTGAACAATGAGAACACATGGACACAGGGAGGGGAACATCACACACCGGGGTCTGTTGGGGAGCGGTGGACAAGGGGAGAGAGAGCATTAGGACAAATACCTAATGCATGCTGGGCTTAAAACCTGGATTATGGGTTGATAGGTGCAGCAAACCACCACGGCACATGTATACCTAGGTGACAAAGCTGCACGTTCAGCACATGTATCCCAGAACTTAAAGTAAAATTAAAAAAAAAAAAAAAAGAACATTGAAGTGACAAGATTTGGGAGGACTGAAACAAAACAGACTACAAGGAACAGGAGAAAAGGGACAATTGTAAGAGTGGTAATATTCTTTTATATTTATGCACGTAAGATGGCTGTACTGGTTTCAAGCATCTGACTTTTAATATTTGAAGAAATAAAATTCTTGCTTAGGTCCTTCCACCCGCTGTTCAAGATTGAAGATTGACCTTCTGTTACCATCTTAGCTGATCTGTCTGCTGCTGCCTTTTTGCTTGTCCTACTCAGTTTTAAGTAATTTTCATCCTTCATGCTCTGGGCTGCAAAAATAAATATAAGCAACATTTGCTGTCTTCATCTCCAGTCTTCATTCTTCTAGGTCCTTTATTCCCTCAACCATGACCTTTCCCACCGGTGTTCAATATTTCCGTGGCTTCCTCTTAGAAAAAAGGAGAAATTCCTTTATACAGAGGTACAAACAACTGATAACGGTTTAGAGTAGCATAAATAAGTTCTATTTCAGGCCAAACTGGCAGACAAAATTCTTCTCCTAAGGATCTCCTTGCCTGGTTTTGATCCTTTGTTTACGGTGTTAGGATGTCTCTTGGTCTAGGAGTACCTCCCTAAGGCTCTCTATCCGCTAGGGAAAGGCTCCCTATTTGCAACCTTGCCCTAACCACCACACCTCTCCCACTCTCACCATCCCAACAAAACCTTCCAAACTTGTCCCAGCTTTCAGTGTCTTCATCATAAATGTACCAATAAGTCCCCTTAATAGTGAGATCAGGGGTAAGTGCATTTTTGAGAAAAGAGAACTTTAAATCATCAAATGTAAGTGGACCTGCTCTTTTGTCCAGGGGTCAGATAAAGGTTGATGGCAGATGAGTTGGGCTGTGGCCTAGTGCTTTTCTTCCCTCCATTCCAAAGCACCTTCCTCAGGCCTTGTAGGTGTCAGTGACTTACTGGTAGCCTGGGAGGCTCAAAATGCCCCAAAAGTAAATCAGATAAGATGAAATCACAAGGTGGTGTTTGCTGAGGTGGATTGTCGCCATTTAGGCAGGTTTCCATTGGCTGTTTCTGATCTGAGGTCCCTGGCTGAGTAGACTGAGACTTGACCAATTCAATTTCCCTTGTAGCAGATGTAGCACATGTCCAAAGCCTCAGTCATCATGAAGTACATTTCCTGAGCACTTGGCTAACGGAAGGGGGCTCTGCATCATATGGAAGAACCAGAAGACCAGATGTGGGGCTTGGACACCCATGTCTCTTGGCAAGAACCAGCCCTGAGTTCCCCATAAACCTGCCATGCCTCACCACTGTCCTACAGTGGAGCTCTGTGATTGATCATGGAAAGCAGTCTGCCATAGAGAAAAACAGCTGGGAAGACTCCAGGACATCCTGACTTCTGGGGAGTTCTAGGATCAGTGGCTAATAAAAACAGTGCTTCATTCATTTGCTGTTAGGGGAGCATGAGCTGGAGTTCTCAGACCCAGGTCAAGCCCGCATAAACTTGAGAAGGGAGCCCTCTGTACTTAGGGGAAGAGTCTGGCATCTTTGATTTGCTAGGCTGCAGGGGTATCTGGGTCAGCATGTCAAGACCCTAGTTTAGAGTATGGGTTGGACACCTTGTCAGGAGCTTGAGCTAGGGTGGGTCACATACTCCCTGGAACTCTCCAGGGGACCTTTTTAACCAACAGTCATCCAGCTCTGACTCATTCTTAGTCCACTTAAGACTGCTGACAGGAAGGGGCCTCTCAACTTAACTGAGGATGTTAGATTGGGGCAATTGGAGAAATATGTTCCAGGATGTGTATGTTTGGGGGACAGGATGTACCACTTATTTTCTGATCTGAGAACAGATGTGATTCGATTAAAAAAGACTCCAGGAAGGGTAAGTTACATGCAAACACAAATGTTACCAGTTTACCTATCTTGAGAGGCTTTATAACATAGTGTTAAATCCACAGACTTTAGCATCAGACAGATCTGGGTTCAGATTCCAGCTGTACTTGCTGTGTGGACTGCGACAAGTTACTTAACTTCTCTGGACCTCAGTTTCCTTATCTAAAACATAGAGATGATGATAATAATAGTCCCTTCTAAATAAAATTATTGTGAGGATTAAATGAGTGAATCTAATCAAAGTGGTTAGAGCAGTGCATTATTTCATAAGCACTCAATAAGTGTCATGTATAATGTTGGGTATGTGAAAGCCCATCATTTTTTAAAAATAAAAGTCAGGTTTATGGAGGTCCCTTTTATGTACAATAAAATCCATTGCTTTTAGTGTACGGCCCTGTGAATTTTAACAAACACAATCGTGTGACCACCACCACAATCAAGACGCAGAATAGTTCTATCGTCTCAAAAAGCTCCTTGGTGCCACTTTGTCATCAAACCCTCTACCCATCCTTAGCCCTGGGTAACCACAGACCTGTTTTCTGTCCCTGTAGTTCTGTCTTTTCCAGAATATCATATAAATGGAACCATACAGTACCTAGCAGAAAGCTCATCATGTTTAAAGGCTGGCCTATATTTGGTATCCAATAAATTTCTAAATGCATTTAGAGAATCAAGTCAGAATTTTTACTCCAGATCAGATTATATATTTTTTGTTGGCGTATTGAAGAGGTATAGTATTTTTGGAATGGTTCCTGATTTCATTTCTTTATTGGTGTGTCTTCCCCATATGCTGTGGCTACCTGTCAGCCATTGAGTCTCAACCTTGAGGCTAAATAGTTGGTAAGGAGGAGGATAGGGCATCATGAAAATCTCAGATATTCAAAAAGTGGGGAAAAAAAGAAACTTTCCCCTTCTTACCTGAATGGACAGAGGGAAAGGAACTAGAGTCACGTGAGGAAGTGAATTATATGGTTCCCCATCTCTTCATTTTGGGAGAAACCTGGAGAGCTATGGAGAAGAATGCCAAAAGCAGGGGCATTTTTTTAATTTGTTTGTTTTTCCAATTCATAGCTTGCACTCTTAGAGGATATTGCCTTGTAGCCTGCCTTGCATCAGACCTAGGAGATGGCCATTTCAAAGTCAATTTGGTGGCACAGTGACTATCTCAGCTCCCATATGGTATGGAGGAGGCTCAGAAGTGCCTTCATGAAGTGGGAGGAGAGAAAGTAGCTGTTGAGAGTGGCCCACTGTGACAAGCGGAGATGCCTCTGCAAACATGGGCTAACCACCTAGACAAGGCACTAGACCGAGATGGCAGTTGAGAGGGACTTCACATGAAATCCTGTCAAGAGGCCAGGAAGACCCAAGCAGCCAGGATCACCCCCAAACTCTGGCTGAGAGACCAGATGTTGGAGCAAACCTACAACTGACTTAGCTGCAAGGGTCAGCAGGGAGGGCAGTGCCCAGACTAGCTGCTGGGGATCAGTGGGCAGGGGCAGGGGAGGGTAGGAGGGATGAGTAGAGCATCCTCGGACACTTCTTGGATTCCAGAAGCTCTTTAGTCTTATGACGATTCAGTTAACACACCCCTCTCCCCCTATCCCATTTTATGGAAGCAGAGGAGAAGGTGATAAGATTGGGAAGATTGAGCGTCTTACCTCAAGTACTGGTTTCATTATTGCAGCAGACTAAGATGATTCAGTGGGCCAGGGCTCATGAGAAAGTCAGGCCAATTAGAGATTTAAAAAAAAAAGGAGCTATGTTTTCTCAGCCCTCCTGAGCATAACGTGTGTAAATCAACAGCCCCACTATAGTCTCATTACAACTTCACAGCTGCTTTACCTTAATTTCTGGGCTATTACGTCTTGACAGTGCCCTCTAATAGTGTAGCTTTAAGAATTTTGGTCTAGCAACTTCTGCGAGAGCTGGACATTTTAAGAAGTAGTGCAATGCATATATACCTCTTCAAATAATGATTTAGAAAAGTTTTGTAACTAAAGTAGGTGTTCCATAACTCATGTTTCAGTTCAGGATTTTACCCTTCTTCCCTCCTCTCCCCTCCCTTCCCCTCCCCTCCCTTTTGTTCCCCTCCCCTCCCCTTTGTTTCCCTCCCCTCCTTTGTTCCCCTCCCCTTTGTTCCCCTCCCCTTTGTTCCCCTCCCCTTTGTTCCCCTCCCCTTTGTTCCCCTCCCCTTTGTTCCCCTCCCTTCTCTTTGCTTCCGTTCTCTTTTTTTTTTTTTGAGGCAGAGTCTCCCTCTGTTGCCCAGGCTGGAGTACAGTGGTGCAATCTCAGCTCACTGCAACTTCCACTTCCTGGGCTCAAGCAATTCTCATGTCTCAACCTCCCAAGCAGCTGGGATTACAGGTGTGCGCCACCACCCCCGGCTAATTTTTGTACTTTTAGCAGAGACAGGGTTTCACCATGTTGGTCAGGCTTGTTTCGAACTCCTGAGCTCAAGCATTCCACCCGCCTCGATCTCCCAAAGTGTTACCCTTCATACTTCTTCAAATGGGCCCCTTCTCTTTCTTTTTGGATACACATAAAGGCACATTAGACTGTTAGATGTGTTTATGCATTTCCATAGGCAAACATGAGCTTTTAATAATGAGCAATCAGAATGAAATTTTACTGCCAGGAAAAGATTAAGAAAATGATTATAAATAGCAGGAAGAACAAATGCTCTTTATTTGGGAACAAATAAACTTTAAATGTTAGGATGGGTTACAATGTCAAGGTGATAAAATAATTAGTAGTTCATATTGAAACAAACTTAACACAAGAGAAACTCCATCAGCAATTATATTTCCCATGTGTAACTGGCCAGGAAAAATATGAGACCTAAGAAAGCAGAAAAGAAACTTCTTTGTACACATCCATTAAAATGGAATGTTGGAACATGAATGCACCCTTTAGTATATCATTATTTTTATGCACCCTTTTATCACTCTGAAGCAAGAAAATCAATCTAGGGAAAATGCGAGAGAGAGTTGGCATTTTGAAATGCGCTGAGAAATTCTAAATTATGAGAGGTACTGACAAAGCTGGTATTTATAGCTCTATCAAGGATTTTTATAATATTTACATCTATCTGGGCTATAAACACAGTCAGAGCTCACAATCCTATTTCAATTTATTAATGCTGTTTCCATCCTCAAAGTCACTAGATTAAAGTATCATGACACTCTTCTTGCAGCCAAATCCATGCAAGACAGAGTCACACTGAGAGGTTAGCTTGGATCAAGATTTAAAATACAGACCATTTAAAATAAAGGTCACCCAAGCCAGACTATGCACTTTGACAAGTTATAAATTGGATCTAAATTGGCATCATCAAGGACATACATTTTTTAACTAATCAGCTTAATTTAAGATTCAAGAGATATAGCTTTCATATTCATCTGCAAGCATAAATTCTTACAGCAAAGTCAGACATTGCCCAGGCATGTAAAATGTCCATGGAGCTGAGGGATTTCTGATTCCTAAAACTGTGGCAGAGTTTTCTCTAAAACCCCACCTTCTTCAGATTCTGTAGCTGGAGGAAACATATTCAAACAGGAAGAATTAACAATTGGCTTCCTCTTAGCACCTCTGTTCATTTCCCCCAGGTCTTAATTTCCCCTTCCTTTGGTGAGGTCTTCCATTTCATTCATTCATTTATTGATACATGCATTTGTATATTGCATTATTTATCTGTTGTGATATAACAAATTACCCCCAAGATTTAGGGGCTTAAAACTGCACATATGTATTTGTTTTCAAATGTTTCTATTATTTATTTATTTTTAAAATTTAATTTAATTTTAAGTTCCAGGACACATGTGCAGGATGTGCAGGTTTGTTACATAGGTAAATGTGTGCCATAGTGGTTTGCTGCACCTATCAACCCATCATGTAGTTATTAAGCGCCACATGCATTAGCTAGTCATCCTTATGCTCTCCCTTCCTCCGCCCCCGACAGCAGGCCCCGTTATGTGTTGTTCCCCTCCAAGTGTCCATGTGTTCTCACTGTTCAGCTCCCACTTACAATGTGGTGTTTACTTTTCTATTCCTGCTAGTTTACTGAGTATAATGGCTTCCAGGTCCATCCACATCCCTGCAAAGAACATGATCTCATTCATTTTTATGGCTGCATAGTATTCCATGGTACATATGTACCACATTTTCTTTATCCAGTCTATCATTGATAGGCCTTTGGGTTGATTCCATGTCTTTGTTATTTAGAATAGTGCTGTAATGAGTATACACATGCATGTATCTTTATAATAGGATGACTTATATTTCTTTGGGTATATTCTCAGTAATGGGATTGCTGAGTTGAATGATATTTCTGTCCCTAGGTCTTTGAAGAATCCCCACACTGTCTTCCATGATGGTTGAACTAATTTATAGTCCTACCAACAGTGTAAAAGCATTCCTTTTTCTTCCCAATCTTGCCAGCATCTGTTACTTTTTGACTTTTTAATAATCACCATCCTGACTGGTGTGAGACAGTATCTCATCGTGGTTTTGAAGTGATGCCGAGCTTTTTTTCTTACATTAGTTGGCCACATAAATGTTTTCTTTTGAGAAATGTCTGTTCATATCCTTTGCCCACTTTTTGATGGGGTTGTTTGTTTTTCTCCGGTAAATTTGTTTAAGTTCCTTGTAGATTCTGGATATTAGACCTTTGTCAGATGAATAGATTGCAAAAATTTTCTCCCATTCTGTAGGATGTCTGTTCACTCTGATGATAGTTTCTTTGGCTGAGCAGAAGCTCTTCAGTTTAATTAGATCCTGTTTGTCAATTTTTGCTTTTGTTGCAATTGCTTTTGATGTTTTCATCATGAAATCGTTGCCTGTGCCTAGGTCTTGAATGATATTGCCTAGATTTTCTTCTAGAGTTTTTATAGTTTTGGGTTTTACATTTAAGTCTTTAATCCATCTTGAGTTAATTTTTGTATAAAGTATCAGGAAGGGGTCCAGTTTCAATTTTATGCATACGGCTAGCCAGTTTTCCCAGCACCACTTATTAAATAGGGAATCCTTTCCCCATTGCTTGATTTTGTCAGGTTTGATGGATGTAGATGTGTGGTCTTACTTCTGAGTTCTCTATTCTGTTCCATTGGTCTATGTGTCTGTTTTTGTACCAGTACCATGCTGTTTTGGTTTCTATAGCCTTGTAATATAGTTTGAACACTGGTAGCATGATGCTTCCAGCTTTGTTCTTTTTACTTAGGATTTTCTTGGCTATACGGGCTCTTTTTTAGTTCCATATGAATTTTAAAGTAGTTTTTTCTAATTCTGTGAAGAATGTCAATGGTAGTTAAATGGGAATAGCATCGAATCTATAAATTACTTTGTGCAGTATGGCCATTTTCATATTGATTCTTCCTATCTATGAACATGGACTCTTTTTCCATTTGTTTGTGTCCTCTCTGATTTCCTTGAGCAGTTGTTTGTAGTTCCTCTTGAAGAGGTCCTTCACTTCTCTTGTTAGCTGTATTTTTCGGTATTTTACTCTCTTTGTAGCAACTGTGAATGGAAGTTAATTCATGATTTGGCTCTCTGTTGCCCATTGTTGGTATATAAGAATGTTTGTGATTTTTGCACATTGATTTTGTATCCTGAGATTTTGCTGAAGTTGTTTATCAGCTTAAAAAGCTTTTGGGCTGAGACGATGGGGTTTTCTAGATATAGGATCATGTCATCTGCAAACAGAGACAGTTTGACTTCTTGTCTTCCTATTCGAATACGCCTTATTTCTTTCTCTTTCCTGCTTGCCCCGGTCAGAACTTCTAATACTATGTTGAAAAGGAGTGGTGAGAGAGGGCATCCTTGTCCTGACTGCACATATTTATTGTCTCTCAGTTTCTGAGGGTCAGGAATCTGGGCGCAGCTTAGTTGAGTCCTCTGCTTTGGGGTCTCTTACAAGGCGGTAATCAAGATGTTGGGATCTCATCAGAAGGCTTACTGGGAAAGGATCTGCTCCCAAGCTCATGTGGTTGTTGGCAGAATTCAGTTCCTTACAGGTGGTTGGACTGAGAGCTTCAGCTTCTCCCGAGGGCACCCCCATTTCCTTGCCGAGTAAGCTTTCCCAACACAGCAGCTTGACTCTTGAAGCATGTAAGCCAAGAAGGTAACTAGCAGGATGGAAGTTACAATCTTTTGCAACCCAATAATGCAACTGGCATACCCTCAACATCATCATATTCTAAAATTTAGAAGCAAGTTACTTAAGGTAAGAAGATTACACAAGGCTGTGCAGACTAGAGAATGGGGATCACTGGGAGTCATCCTAGAGGTTGCCAGCCACATGTGTTAAGAATTTATTCAGCATCCCCTAGCTGCCTGACACTGCTGGGTGTTGGGACTGTAGTGATAAACATCCTGCTCTTATCAGAACTTGCAATAAAGCTGGGGGAAGGGAGGAGACATTAAATAGATTATTGCAATTGTGATAAGCACACTAAATAAATACAGGGAATAAAAGACGCCCATCGTTGTCTAGGTTGAGGAAGATAGAATGTTAGGCAGGGAAATTTCAGTGGAGACTTGAAGGACTGGCCTGACAGGCAGAGGGAATCCGGAAGCAAGAAAGATCATGCTGCAATTGGCAGAAGAGTTGCTGGAATATAGTTTGAGAGTGGGAAGACCAAGAGAAGGAAGTGGGGCTTATCTGCTGCTATGTTAAGGTGGGTGGTCCTGAGAGGTGACATAGAAGTCCCCTTTGGCCACCTTTCTCCTTGTCCTGCAGGTCATCTCTCCGCTGGCCTCTGGACTGACTGCTAGTCCTGAGGTTGTGACCATGCTTGGACACTCCTGACTCCTCTTTGTCCTGTAACAATGTCCTGCTGATATTGTACCAAATGATCCCACATGGCATAGTATTATAGCAGGACAGGTTCTTCCTTCTACATATCGTATTTTTTGAACAGTTTTCAAACAAAACTAGACATGATATACCCCTAATATATAAAACAGATAAAAGCAGAGCCACTTAGATCTGAAAGTTACAAGAGGAGAAGGGCACTCGGGAACGTGTTCCCCCACATTCCCATGGTGGTCCCCAAGCGACCCCTCTGGAGCTCTAGGACTCTGCAAATTCTCATTTGAGAGGCACATGTGTAGGCCACAACATTGCCAATGGTTGCTCTCAATGACTCATTCATTTGATTACTTGTATTTAATCTTTATGATGTGTCAGGGATGAAGTAGGCACTGAGAATACAAAGGTGATTAAAACAGTCTCTGCCCCTCTGTAAACTCACTGTCTAAGGAGGGATTCACACGGATAAGTGAATGCTGTGGTGTGAATGTGTCCCCCAGAAGTTTCTGTGTTGCAAACTTAATTGCCATTGTAACAGTATTAAGAGATGGGGCCTCCAAGAGGTGATTAGCCCATGAAGACTCTGCCCTTATGACTCACTGCATTATAAAGTGATGTGCAATTAGAGAGGTTTGAGCAGCAAACAGTGGGCACAGGAAGATGTCACAAGCAGAGAAGGCTTAAACAAGAAGCCTGGTGGTGCCTGTCTTTGAGGATTTTTCTCTTGCATCTGAAATTCCTCCGTTACTCTGCCCATTTCAGACCACGCCATCTAGATGGCTTTCTGGAGCCGTTTCTCACTAGGCTAAAACAACTCTCCTATGCTTTTTTTTTTCTTTTGGGATGGTGTCTCACTGTTGTTGCCCAGGTTGGGCTGCAATGACGTGAACTTGGCTCATTGCAACCTCGGCTCACTGCAACCTTCATCTCCTGGGTTCAAAAGATTCTCTTGCCTCAGCCTCCTGAGTAGCTGGTATTACAGGAGCCTGCCAGCATGTCTGGCTAATTTTTGTATTTTTAGTAGAGATGGGGTTTCACCATGTTGGCCAGGCTGGTTTTGAACTCCTGTCCTTAGGTGATCCACCTGCCTTGGCCTCCCAAAGTGCTGGGATTACAGGTGGGAACCACTGCACCCAGCCAACTCTCCTATGCTTTAAGTAGAAAAGCCTCAATTGCTCCCCTAGGTTCTATAACAACCATGATGTTAGAAAGTTTGTATTAGATTTTAAATTTCTCATAGTTTCTGGATTGGAATAGAAAATGAGCAACTTTACATGGTTCTGTGCCCCAAATTGTCTTTCTTCACTTACAGGAAGGAAGGAGTGAGAACACTCCCTGTATCCTACCCTAGTATATTTCCTGCCTACCAGGGCTCTGCACAGATGAGGAACTGGCAGCCTTTGACCTCCTATCTGATCTCTGAGTCTTAGCCGTGAGGTCACCTATCAGGTCTAGCATGTTCTGTTGGTCTGCTGGATCCTGCCTCATGTATTTGACAATCCAGAATTCTAAGGTAAAATGGCTTGCATTTGCTGATTAATTATCCAGGGATTTGGCTAATCCTTCATGATGATGAACTAAAAGTCCCTACCAGTCCTCAATTAAAAAAAATATGTAATATTATTTAAATAGAGATGAGATCTCGCTATGTTGCCCAGGTTGGTTTTGAACTCCTGAGCTCAAGTGATCCTCTTGCCTTGGCCTCCCACAGTATTAGGATTACAGGCGTGAGCCATCTTGCCCAGCCGACACCAGCACTCAAACAGTAAATTCAGTAAATTTACAGCCCTAAAACTGTAAAGGACACAATGGTAGGCTGAGGTTATACAAGATCAGAACAACTGGGGCATTCAGAGAAAAAGAGTTCAGACCGGATGTTGGGTTGTACAAGCCAGGCAGTCTGTTGTTTAATTGTTTTATCTCTTGGTGACCATTTGGCATCTTTTTGCTTAGCCTCAAGGCATGTTTAGATAATAGCAAAATAATCCAGCCCAGCTCTCTCCTCCTTCATAAGAGCTTTCTTCCAACAAAGAGTGAGCTCTGTCTTTGTCTTACAAACTCAGATCACCTCTGGATTTTTCCATATCCTGTTAAGTAGTAGTATAGTATCTTGGGATACTTCTTAAAAGGTTTCATTAAAATTTTACACTGTTTTCCTTCTCCCGTGATGCACTTTGTCTGCCAGAGTAGATTGTAAGCTGTTTTTGGGCTCTGGCAATGCTTTACTCATATTGGTATTTCTTATCCTTTCCTATCTCCAGAATATTTAGCGCAACGTCATACAGGAAGTAGGCACCCTATAAATATTTGTGTATGAATGAATAACCATGGCGCTTTCCTCAGGCATTACACAGCCAGTCTCAATGACAGGAGGGTGACCTGTGGGTGCATTTGTGGGGGAAAGGAGTTCTGGCAGGCAGTCTGTGTGGGCTACATATGGTTCACAGCTGGCACACAACCTCTGTGGACCCCAGGTAGAGTATGTGTGAATGTCAACATCTCTATGCCCTTAAAAATATCCTTAATTAAAATTGTATGGAGGGCAATTACTATTCACTTAACCCCAAGTTGAACTACACATATCACTAGGCTTCACTGGAGCCCCTTCATTTTGGTGTCATCTAACCATTTGTGCCACATTTCACTTATTTACCCAAGTAAGCATTCTTTGGAAACAACCAACCTGAGGATTCTATTAAGAGCAGCATGGTTTTTATTTCCTTTCACTATTGCTGTTTACCTAGATGACAGGCAATTAGTTTCACCTCCTTCAACCTAGATGAAAAGTTGAAGAGCGAATAATACATCCAGATTGTCATGATGCCCTTATTCAAAGACAGGATTTGCTTTTTAGTGCAATTATAGAGACTGTGTGTTCTTAGCCTTGGATAATCCTGCCAGAAGGGGTTTAGACTTCTGTTCTTAGGATAGTCCTTCCCGGTTTTGTGACTGAGTGATTCTCTCATTCATCAGGCAACTTTCCTCCAGCCATTAAAGGTGAGAAGGACGGGTAATATTATGAATTGTTTATCAGGCTTATGGACATTATGAGAATGAATTGCTTTTGGTTTGTCCCTTTTGGAAAAAAGATACACCGTAAAATATGGATTTGTAGACTTACCATTTTCCCAAATTGGATCCTGTTCCTATTTCCTTTATTTCTAGCAATAGAAGCATTTTCTACTTGACAACCTTCCAGAGGCAGCCAGTCGACTCTTAACTAAGTCTTCCTTTTCAAAGTCTGTGCATCTGTCCTTTTTTATGTACCTCATTTAGTCACCTAGTGACTACTACAGAGCACGAGTGAAATGCAAGCCATTGTATTGGTTGCAAGGGATAGAAATAAGAATAACACTTGGTCTCCCAATTAGGAAGCTTGCAAAGCTCCGTCAGTGTCACAATTATCAGCTATATTCTCAAAATTTTTCCTCACACCCGGGAAAGTGAAGTTTCAAGTGTCATCTCCCTCCTGCAATCTCTTATTAATTTTCTCTATCAAGCATTCTACTGACAAACTAATATTCTTAAGCAAACATTTTAATCATGTCATTTCATGGATTGAACACATGGACACAGGAAGGGGAACATCATACTCTGGGGACTGTTGTGGGGTGGGGGCAGGGGGGAGGGATAGCTTTAGGAGATATACCTAATGCTAAATGACGAGTTAATGGGTGCAGCACACCAGCATGGCACATGTATACATATGTAACTAACCTGCACATTGTGCAAGTGTACCCTAAAACTTAAAGTATAATAATAATAATAATAAAAGGAAACATTCAATAGCTTTTCACTGCTCACAGGATCAAGATCAATCTCTCTTTCCTTTTTTTTTTTTTTCTTTTCTGAGTTGGAGTCTCACTCTTTCACCCAGGCTGGAGTGCAGTGGCGTGATCTCAACTCACTGCAACCTCCACCTCCCGGGTTCAAGCAATTCTCCTTCCTCATCCTCCTGAGTAGCTAGGATTACAGGCGTGTGCCACCATGCCTGGCTAATTTTTGTATTTTTAGTAGAGATGGGGTTTCAGCATTTTGGCCAGGCTGGTCTCGAACTCCTGACCTCGTGATCCGCCCACCTCGGCCTCCCAAAGTGCTGGGATTACAGGCATGATCCACCGAGCCAGCTAAGATCAATCTCTTAACCTGAATGTTCAAGAGTTTCTAAAATCTAAGATAACCTTATTTCCTGAATTTACTTCCCATAACTCCTCATTATACATTTTCTGCCTGGACAAATTGGTCAGATTACTACACTAAAAATATACCTCCATTTTTTTTTACTCCAGTCTATTCATCCATATATTTAAGAATGTACTGGATGCTGGGCATGGTGGCTCATGCCTGTAATCCCAGCACTTTGGGAGGCCGAGGTGGGCAGATCACTTGAGGTCAGGAGTTTGAGACCAGCCTGGCCAACATGGTGAAACCCCGTCTCTACTAAAAGTACAAAAACAAGCCAGGCATGGTGGTGTGTGCCTGTAATTCCAGCTACTTAGGAGGCTGAGGCATGAGAATCACTTGAACCAGGGAGGCGGAGGTTGCAGTGAGCCAAGATCACGCCACTGCACTCCAGCCTGGGCAATAGAGCAAGACTATGAAAAAAAAAAAAAGAATGTATTGGATGCCTTCTATGTGGTGGTGCTGTGAAAAAATATGGTGCATGGTTTCTGCACTCAAAGAGCTTATTGTTTACTCAAGGATGCAGACAAGTGACTTGAGCATGGCAATGATAGAAGGAACACTGGATGTAATGAAGCACTGGATGTGATAGGAGCCCACAGAACTGCACCTAATCCAGCCTTGGAGAAGTTAGAGAACACTACTTAGAGAAAGTGATATCTCATGTGAGACACACAGATTGAGTACGGGTTAGACAAGAAGCTGAGGAAAATGTACCAGAGCAAAAAACCAGTGTATTTAATGGCCTGATGATTAGAATCCAATGGATTGGAATAACTGAGAGAATTTGAATCAGAATGGAATGTGGAATACGAGAGAGACAGAGAGACAGCGTGTGTGTGTGCGCACGTGTGTGTGTGTGTAGGGTATAGGTAGGGCAATTTCAGGAGGAGCGGCTGAAGAGAAAAGCAAGGCCACATCATTCAAGGTCTCATAAGCAAGGCTAAGAGGTTTAGGCTGGCAGGTTTGGAGCAGCAGAGTGTCATGACCACATTTGGCTGTCATCTGACAAATACCACACACTGGTCCTGTAAATCAGTGCTGTACCTGTCAATCTTTTTTATTTTCTCATTATTTATACAAATCTTTCCCACTTGTCAAGCTCCAGATCAAGCCTCTTTTAACCATTTCAGCATACAGTCATCAATTTTTGTTTTTTCATAACACCATCTAACTATTAATCATATGTAGGCTTGTATTGACATCCAACTTTGTGTGCATGACTTATATCTGCAACAAAATTGTAAATCATGTTAAGATAGAAGCCATCTCCATACATCTTTTTACAGGAGTCAGCAAACTTTTTCTGTAAAAGGCCAGAGAGTAAATGTTAAATTTAAATTTTGTAAGCCACATACGGTCTCTGTCATAGCCATAGGAAATAGATAAACAAATGGGCATATTCTGATAAAACTTATTTACAAAAAGAGGCAGCGGCCAGATCTAACCCACAGGCAGTAGTTTGCTAACACATGCCTCATAACATCCACACAGTACCTAACATAGAATATGTGTTTAATAAATATTTGTCAGATAAATGAAGAGGCAAGGAATTGATGTTTTGGAGAATTAAGTAAGGCCTTGCTTTTCAGGATCATTATTAATGATCTTCTTAAGATGTCTGCAGTTTCCCTGCATTAGTCTTGAAAGTATGAGAAATGCAACTGAATCATTCTTTGAGAATTCAGGCCTTTGTAGGGTCTTAGAAGAATGATATGGAAGATTTGCCTAAATCAACACATGACAAATATATCCCCTGGTGGCATTTCATACCAAATTCTTGCCTTAAAGATAATAGGTACCACTTGGTTGAGTGCTCACTACATGCTCTTATATTAACTTATGTGAGGTATGTATTAGTATACCCATTCAATAGACTTGAAAACCCATTCTCAAACAGTTATGTGATTGGCTTGAGGTCTTGCTCATTATGAACAAGTAAAGCTGAGACTTAAGCCTAGATCTGCTTGATTTCAAAGTACAAGTAATTTTAAGGTCTTATTTAGTTAAAATTTTTTCTATATTAATCAAAGGTATTTTAGGATCTTTCCCTTCCATCATAATTTCTCCTAACTCCAGATGTAGAGGCTACTGTACTGTGTCTGGGGTGGGAGATATAAATAAATACACATAGCACTGGATAAAGAAATAAATTAAGGAGGGATACTCCAGGGGAGATGGTGAGGGGTATTTTAGGGCGATTCATACTGCTGAGACATTGGAGAGCAGAATTTAAACTATGCAAAATAAGTAGGACTAATGCTTCTCTCACTAACTTCAACTTCAATTCAAGCCCTATGGTAATAACTAGTGGGTTGGAGTGAAATTGCTTCTTTCCTACGGCCCATTTGAGAGGTATAATGAATGGTTCCTTACATAAGGCTCCCTTGTATGGTGTGATCAAGTACACAAAACTGAGTCCTCCAAAAACAGAGGCCCGTGTCCAGGTTTTAAAACCACCAACCAACCTGCATCCAGAAACAGTCATTTATTTAGATTTGCAGGAACTGAACAACTTCAGAAATGTTCCAAGACAAACGGCACAGGGTAAAAAACAAACAGCAACAGCTTGCTCGCATGATGTTTCCAGGAATCACCCTGCCCAATAAAGAAAACAACTGCCCAGATCTGCATGTTAACCCATTCACATCTGAGACTGTAACTCTGGGTTTCAATACTATTTTAAAGTGCAAAAAATAATAAAGATCTCACGTCTAAGACCTTGAAAATAGGTTAGGAACTCAATGAAAAATCAGAATTTCTGTTCTATCACCCTACTGCCTACTCTAGGGAGCAAATATGCAAATGTTTACTATAACATCGCATGGGGCCAGAAAAAAATTGGAAACAACCTCAATATCCATTAATGGGGAATGGCTAATAAACTAGTGTAGTCGTATTTGTAGAATATCATGCAACAAGAAAAAGGAAGTACTAATGAGTACTAATAAGTACTCAAATGGACAGTTCTTATCATCCAGTTGAGTAAAAAAAGTAAATTGCAGGACATTATGTAGTTTGACAATATCAAAAAATCAAAATATCAAAAAAGTACCCAAAAATAGAAAGTAAAGCTAAATTTCAGCAACTCTATGTCTTTTCTGAGAGTTAATGTATTGGAGAAAGTTATGGAAAAACACACAGCAAATTGATGAGTCGTTCCCCTGGAGAGGAGAATGGGATATGGGCTGAGGAAAAAGTGGGGACTTTAGTTTTATTTATAATATTTTATTTATTTATTTTTTATTTTTTTGAGACAGATTCTTGCTCTGTCACCAGGCTGGAGTGCAGTGGTGCGATCTCGGCTCACTGCAACCTCCGCCTCCTGGGTTCAAGCTATTCTCCTGCCTCAGCCTCCTGAGTAGCTGCGATTACAGGCATGCGCCACCACACCCAGCTAATTTTTGTATCTTTAGTAGAGACAGGGTTTCACTATGTTGGCCAGGCTGGTCTCCAACTCCTGACCTCAAGTAATCCACCTGCCTCGGCCTAACAAATTGCTGGGGTTACAGGCATGAGCCACCATGCCCCTGCCCGGCCAATATTTTATTTTTTTACAAGGAGATGTATTCATGCATTAGTTATATAATTATAAATTAGTAATAATTATCAAATTGATAGTAGTAACAACTTGAAAAAACGAGGCTTCTTGGTTACTAATATGAGGATCCCACCTAGATATATGCCAAATTCATGTAAGAAAAAACAAATCTCGAAGAAGAAATTTAGACTTCTCAAGGAAGAACTTCCATTATTAGTGTTTTGAGACTATAAAACAGATAACCAAATGAAACTGTGAAGACTTTCCTATGAAAAGCTTTGTTATTAGGAAATACTTAAGGAGTATAATTGAAGAGTAAATAAGGGGCCACCCCTCAAATGAAGTGGAGTAAAATACCCGAAGTTATGCTCAGTTTTCCAATATCCAAGCAATTATTGATTAGAAGACTCTGATGAAAACGATTATGTGTATAATAGCACTGGAAAAACATAAAACATCCTAGAAAGTACAGGATCTATATGGCCACAACTTTATTAAGAAATATAAAAGAAGATTGAGATTAATGGAGAGAGAATGTTCCTTGGTGAGAAAATGAATTGTAGTAAAGGATAAACAAATCATTTCCAAATTAATTTACAAAATTAAGTCCATCTCAATAAAAAATCCCAGTGAAATTTTATTTTATTATTAGAATTTGAGAACATGATTCTAATTCACTTGGAAGAATAGACTGAAGAGAAACATCAAGATTTTTTTTCTTGTTCTACTATATGTTAAAATGAACTATTATACGTAAAATTGTAGCACAGAGCTTCAATTTTAAAAATTTTGTGGTATCAATACAATAGTCAAAATAGGAATTAATGTAAAAGAATAAGTCTAAAACAGATAATCTATATACCTCTCTCTATATATGTGAATGAAATATCACAATCCAATGATGGAAGAAAGGATTATCAGTAGGTGATTTTTTTTTTTTTTGAGATGGAGTATTACTCTGTCACCCAGGTTGGAGTGCAGTGGGGTGATCTCAGCTCACGGCAACCTCTGCCTCCGGGGTTCCAGCTATTCTCCTGCCTCAGCCTCCTGAGTAGCAGGGATTACAGGTGCATGCCACCACACCAAGCTAATTTTTGTATCTTTAGTAGAGACGAGGGTTTCACCATTGTTAGCCAGGCTGGTTTTGAACTCCTGATCTCAGGTGATCCACCCACCTTGGCCTCCCAAAGTGCTGGGATTATAGGCATGAGCCACCGCGCCCAGCCAATAGATGATATATATATGTTTTTTATACTTTAAGTTTTAGGGTACATGCGCACAACGTGCAGGTTACACATAGGCATGGGCAAGGACTTCATGTCTAAAATACCAAAAGCAATGGCAACAAAAGCCAAAATTGACAAATGGGATGTAATTAAGCTAAAGAGCTTCTGCACAGCAAAAGAAACTACCATCAGAGTGAACAATAGATGATATTTTTAAACAAAAGATTATATGAAAACAACAACTAAGCCAAACTTAATTTCAGTGTTTTGACTTCACAATTTCCATACATCTTTGTATCCATTGAAGTTCAGAAAAAAATTTCTGTATAAACATAAGATATATATTTTTATTTGAAAATGTAGATTAAGATATTAATATTTATAGAGAGGAATATTCTAAGCATAAACAAAGAAAGAGGTCATGAAAGAAAATATTATATTTCGAGCATGGAAAAAAGTAAAACTGATTCACGGGGCTTCTGAGTTCTACAATTGCAGGGGAAGGATGGGAACTCCTGGAGCCTCCATACGTCTTGCTTCTGTAGATCAAAACCCAGCATCATCCCAATTAAATAGAGGCACTTCCTCAACATACATGACAAAGAGATTTAGACAGAGTGGTTACTTATCACACAGCAGATCACCTCCCTCCTCTATTCAGATCCTTTCAGTAGCTTTCATCACACTCCAAGTAGAAGCCGAAGTCTTTCCAGTGGCCTCAAAGCCCTATGGCCACCTCTTGGACCTTGTCTCTTTCTACACTTTTCCTTAATGACTCCACTCCAGCCACACTGACCATTGTACCTGCAACCCATCAGGCACACTCCTGTTCCTGGGCCTTTGTTTTTGCTGCTCCTTCTGCCTTAAGGCCCTCTCCACTTTCTTCAACCCTCTCTGTTTCTTTTTCAGCAGGGCTGCCTCTTCCCTGGCACTTGCTTTATTTTCCTCCATACTACTAATCCCCACTGACACTATATGTTTACTCATTCCTCTGTTTTTTGTCTCCCTGCCTCTGGAATGTAAGTTTGAGACAGAGTCTACTTTGATCACTCCTATATTTCCAGCATCTAGGGCAATGTCTGCATATGGTATTCAGTATTTATTGTTAAATGATTGAATAAATATACTTATTAATTAGTACTTTGATTTCCAAGTAACAGAGAACCATTTGAACTAAAGTTGAAATTAGCTAAGGGTGGAGAGGGAGCTGGACCATAGAACCAGGGACTGGAGTGTTATAAGCATCTGAGGTTATTCTCTTTCTCTGTTTTCCACTTCATACTTGCCTCTCTCCATAGAACCCCATCTCTGTTTCTCAGAGCACATGGTGAACAAAGGGCCCCAGCAGCACTCAAGTTTTACCACAACTGGTCCAGTTACCTGGGGAAGAAATAACCTAATTCTGTTGATTCTCATTTCAAGTCCCTGGGGAGGCTGTGAATGACAGTCTGGACTGATGCCCATCCAGGAGCAATTGACTGTGGTCAGGGTGAAGGTAGGGGTGGGAATTTCATTGTGATCCTATGGCTGCCCCTCTGCAACCATGCATAGAGGGGAGGGCAATTCCTAACAAGGGGTATTAGGCAGGCAAGCCAATAGGCATCTACTATAACATAAAATTAACTCTTTCAGTTCAATTATAAAAAAATGCCAAAACCTAACTTAAAATTGGAAAAGATAAGAACAGATAGTTTGCCAAAAAGGAAATACAAATTGTTCAATACATTTTAAAAAGTAGGTTGGGCATGGTGGCTCATGCCTGCAATCTCAGAACTTTGGGAAGCCACTCAGGAAGATTGTTTGAGGCAAGGAGTTCTCCAACTATAACAGCCTAGGTGATATAGTGAGATCCTGTCTCAAAAATTAAAAAAAAAAATAGCTTGGCATGTTGGTGTGTGTCTGTAATCCTAGCTACTCCGGAGGCCAAGGCTGGAGGACTGCTTGTGCCCAGGAGTCTGAGGCTGCAGTGAACTATAATAGTGCCATTGCATTCCAGCCTGGGTGACAGGGTGAGACACTGTCTCTAAAAATAAAAAAAATAAAGTGTTTGATCTTATTTATCATTCAAAAATACTTTATGAGGTGGTGGTGTACTATAAAGTATTGTGATACTGGCATAAACACAGACATGTAGACCAACAGAACAGAATAGAGAGCCTAGATATAAGACTTCATGAATATGAGATGAAGTGATCTTTGATAAGGGTGCCAAGGTCACACAATTGGGAAAGGACAGGCTCTTCAACTAATGGTGCTGGGAAAATTGGATATCAACATGAAAAAGAATAAAATTGGACCCTTACCTTATACCATATACAAAAATTAACTCAAAATTGATCAAAGGCTTAAAACTGTAAAACTCTTAGAAAACATAAGGGCAAAGCTTAATGACAGTAAATTTGGCAACGATTTCTTGAATATGTTGCCAAAAACACAGGCAACAAAAACAAAAATAGACAAATGGGACTATATTAAAATGAAAACTTTTGTGCATCAAAAGAAACTATCAACATAGTGAAAAAGCAACCTACAGAATAGAAGAAAACATTTGTAAATCATATATCTGATAAAGGGTTAATATCCAGAAAATATAAAGAACTCCTACAACTCAACACAACAAAATAAATAATCCAGTTTTTTTTAAATGGGCAAAGTACTTGAGTAGATATTTCTGCAAAGAAGATATACAAATGGCCAAGAAACATGACAAGATAATCAACATCACTAACCATTAGAGAAATGCAAATCAAAACCATGTGAAATATTATTAAGTTGCTGCAAAAGTAATTGCAGTTTTTGCCATTAAAAGTAATAGTAAAAACTGCAATTAATTTTGTATCAACTTAATATCTGACATCCACTAGGATGGCCACTATCAAACAAAACAAAACAAAATAACAAGTGTTTGTGAGGATATGGAGAAGTTGGAACCTTTGTGCCCTGTTGGTGAGAATGTAAATTGGGTAGCTGCTGTAGAAAACACCATGGAGGTTCCTCAAAAAATTCAAAATAGAATTACCGCCTGATCCAGCAATCCTACTTTTGTGTATATACCCAAAAGAATTGAAAGGAGGATTTCAAAGAAATATTTGCACACCCATGTTCATTGCAGCATTATTCACAATAGCCTAGAAGTAGAAGCAGCTCAAATATCCATCAAAGGGTGAATGGATAAACAAAATGTGATCTATACAAACAACGGAAAATTATTCAGCCTTTCAAAAGAAGGAAATCCTTTCTCATGCTACAATATGAATGGAACTTGAGGACACTAGACTAAGTGAAATAAGCCAGTCACGAAAAGACGAATACTATATGATTCCACTTATATAAGGTACCTGGAGTTGTCAAATCCATAGAAACAGAAAGTAGAATGGTGGTTGCCAGGAGTTGGGGGAAGGGAAAATATAGAGTTGTTGTTCAATGGGTATAGAAGTTTAGTTTTGCAAGATGAAAAAGTTCTAGTGATATGTTGCACAACACTGTAAATGTATTTAATACCACTGAACTATACTCATAAAAATGATTAAGATGGTAACTTTTATGTCATGTGTTTTTTACCACACAGAGGAAAGAACCCTATGAGGATTTGTACATGCATTGAGGTTTGAGATGCTAATAACTTTGATACTTAGAATTTCAGAGCTTATAAACTCTTAAAAATTATTTTATATACATTATCTGGAGAATATAACAAAACGTGAACAAAGCAATGAATAAGATGGGAGGAGATAAGTTATACCTTTCAAAAATAGTGTCCACCAAGGAGATTTAATGTTGTTTTACAGATACAGAACAAGTAAGGCCTTCCCTCATTGACCAGAGTGCAAAATTCCAATTGTTAAAAAAATTGTATGGATGGTCAGATAAAGAAATTTGGTGATCTCTGTCTTAGGCATAGCAACCCACTTGGTAAGAAGAAAGGAAAAAAAAAGATATACTAATCCCATCTATCAAATTGGTAAATATAAATATTAAAATATAAAAATATTGAGAAATAATATGCATACGGTAAAGGACAAAAATAGTACATGTAATAGTCAATAAATTTTCACACACACACACACACACACACACAAACACACACACACACACACACACACACACAGTGAAACCAAACTTCTAACAGTCTAGAATCCTTTCTCATTCCCCTTTTCAGTCAACCTCTCTTGAGAATGTTTTAAAGATAAATACTAAGTATTTGTTGTTTGACATGCACTTTTCATACATCATTAATAGAAGTGTAATTAGTGGAAGCTTTCAATAAAGCAACTTTATAATATTTTTAAGAGTATTAATTATACAGAAATTCTTTACTAAGGAATTAAGCTTCTTGGAATATATCCTAAACAAATAATCGGAGATGCAATAAAACATATACATATAAGGATGCCTACCACCACAAAAATAGTATCAAAAAATTGGAAATAGCCTAAGTACCCATCATGAGGGAATCCTAAGATTAAAATATATTCACTTGGCAGGGTGCAGTGGCTCACACCTATAATCCCAGCACTTTGGGAGGCCGAGACAGGTGGATCACTTGAGGTCAGGAGTTCAAGACCAGCCTTGCCATCATGGTGAAACTCCATCTCTACTAAAAATACAAAAATTAGCCAGGCATGGTGGGTGGCATGCACCTGTAATCCCAGCTACTCAGGAGGCTGAGGCAGGAGAATCACTTGAGCCCGGGAGATGGAGGTTGCAGTGAGCCGAGATTGCATCACTACACTCCAGCCTGGGTGACAGAGCAAGACTCCGTCTCAAAAAATATATATATATACTTGATGAAATAGTTTGCAGACATTAAAAATTAGGCTTTTGCTGAAAACAAGCAATGGAGAAAGGACTCCCTATTCAATAAATGGTGTTGGGATAACTGGCTAGCCATAAGCAGAAGATTGAAACTGGATCCCTTCCTTATACCACATGCAAAAATTAACTCAAGATGGATTAAAGACTTAAATGTAAAACCCAAAACTATAAAAACCCTGGAAGGCAATACTATTCTAGACACAGGAATGGGCAAAGATTTCATGACAAAGATGCCAAAAGCAATTACAATGAAAGCAAAAATTGACCAATGGGATTAATTAAACTAAAGAGATTCTGCAGAGCAAAAGAAACTATCAAGAACAAAATGATGACCTACAGAATGGAAGAAAATATTTGCATACTATGCATCTGACAAAGGTCTAATATCCTGCATCTATAAGTAACTTAAACAAATTTACAGAAAAAAACAAACAACCCCCTTAAAAAATGGGTAAAGGGCCGGGAGCGGTGGCTCACGCCCGTAATCCCAGCACTTTGGGAGGCTGAGGCGGGTAGATCACGAGGTCAGGAGATCGAGACCATCCTGGCTAACACGGTGAAACCCCATCTCTACTAAAAATACAGAAAATTAGCCGGGCATGGTGGCGGGCGCCTGTAGTCCCAGCTACTCGGGAGGCTGAGGCAGGAGAATGGCGTGAACCCACGAGGTGGAGCTTGCAGTGAGCCGAGATAGCACCACTGCACTCCAGCCTGGGCGAAAGAGTGCTTCTCAAAAAAAAAAAAAAAAAAAGGGGGGGTGGGTGGGGGGCAAAGGACACAAACAGGCACTATTCAAAAGAACACATGCATGTGGCCAACAAGCATATGAAAAAAAAAGCTCAACATCGCTAATCATTAGAGAAATGCAAATCAGAACCATATGAGATACCATCTTACACCAGTCAGAATGGCTATTATTAAGAAGTAAAAAAATAACAGATGCTGGTGAGATTGCAGAGAAAAAGGAACGTTTATACACTGTTGGTGGGAATGTAAGTTAGTTCAGCCATTGTGGAAAGCAGTGTGGCAATTTCTCAAAGACCTAAAAACAGAACTACCTACCATTTAACCCAGCAATCCCATTACCAGATATATACCCAAAGGAATATAAATTGTTCTATCATAAAGACACATGCATGCATATGTTCACTGAAGCACTATTTATAATAGCAAAGACGTGGAATCAACCTAAATGCCCATTAATGGTAAACTGGATAAAGAAAATGTCATACATATATACACTGTGGAATACTATGCAGCCATAAAAAAGAACACGATCATGTCCTTTTCAAGAACATGGATGGAGCTGGAGGCCATTGTCCTTAAAAAGCTAACACAGAGGCTGGGCGCGGTGGCTCACGCCTGTAATCCCAGCACTTTGGGAGGCTGAGGCGGGTGGATCACGAGGTCAGGAGTTCAAGACCATCCTGGCCAACATAGTGAAACCCCGTCTCTACTAAAAATACAAAAATTAGCCTGGCATGGTGGTGGGTGCCTGTAGTCCCCGCTACTCGGGAGGCTGAGGCAAGAGAATCACTTGAATCTGGGAGGCAGAGGTTGCAGTGAGCCGAGATGGTGCCACTGCACTCCAGCCTGGGCGACAGAGCAAGACTCCATCTCAAAAAAAAAAAAAAAACTAACACAGAAACAGAAACTCAAATACTGTATGTTCTCACTTAAGTGGGAGCTAAATGATGAGAACATATGGACACATAGAGAAGAAAAACAAATGCTGGGGTCTACTTGAGAGCAGAAGGTGGGAGAAGGGAGAGGATCAGGAAAAATAACTAATGGGTACTAGTCTTAATACCTGGGTGACAAAATAATCTGTACAACAAACTCCCATCACAGAAGTTTATGTATATAACAAACTTGCACATGTACCCCTGAACTTAAAATAAAAATGAAATAAATAATTAGGCTTTTGAAAAATTTGTGACAGGAAAAAAAACTCATTATGATTAGATATTAATAAATAATGAAGAAATAAAATAGTAAATTCAATGTGATCCAAATTTTGAAAAACATTATTTTTCATAGAAAAATTTACTATCTTGGTATTATCTTAAATTAATGGCATTATAGATAACTTTAATTTTGTTCTTTTGTTTTTTGTATTTTTCAAAAATTTTAAGAGTCACATGTATTTCTTTTATAATCAGAAGAAAACAGTTTTTTTGAAAAAAAACAAGGAAGGAAAAAGTAAATGAATCACAATTGGTTCAGTTCCTTTGATAATGAAATAAATGCCTTTCCATGGTTGATCGCAATTTCCATACAATTTACTCTGGAGACTAAAATAAAGGAAACAACAAAATACAGAAGAGATCAAAAGTCAAATGGGTACTTCTATGAAGAATCTCATGACACACCTTTTTTTATAGACAATTCATAAAGGCTCATCACTGTGATGTTTTGTCAAAAGGAAAAGACCATGAAAGTTGCATAAAGTTCTGTACTATTTCTTCCATGGAAAGAGAGTGGGGAGATAAAAGAAAAAGCCAAACCCTCTGTAACAGCTCATTTTTATCTTCTTTCTGGAGTTCATAGGAGAGGTCAAAATTAATCCAATCTGGGATCTTCTGGAGGGAACCCAAAATCCTTCTAACACCCACATAACATAGATTACATGCACAAGCAAACATTTAACCTGCTCTTTAATAGTTTTGAGTTCCTTACCAAAGAGCAAAATATGAGACCAGAAACTTTGTATTCCCTGGTGGACCTTGAAACAACTCCCTGCTTCATTTTTGCTGGAAGTTAGAGGGGGAAAAAATAAATTTACCAGCCTCTGTACAACACAATCCATATGGATGGAACAAGATTTTAGAGTTTAATTTATATTTATTTTTATGTCACCCTTTAATGTTTTCTATTCTTTCTGTGTACAGAATATATAAGCACAATGGTACATCTACATACTTTAAAAATAACTCTCTCTATATATATATGTATACACACACACACACACACACACACACACACACACACACAGTGGGGTGTGTATGCTTGCATTTTTTTTAAATGATGGGGGCACATAAAAAGCAAATTGGAGACCCTCAGTCTATACCAGAGGATCTCAGCCTCAGCCTTCAACTGTGAAACACGTTGTAATTAATATTTTATTGATAATAGGGAAACACTGTATCAGTTTAGGATCTTAAACAATCAGAGCAGATCCAAGATTATCCCTTTCATAGAATCACTGTCACTTCTTACATAGTTTGTATGCTTTCTTCAGTGGAAAAGATAAGCATACATCTTGCCCAATTTTCTCCAAAGCCCCAAATAAGACCTCACTTCTGAGGTACTATTAATAATTAAGAAAACTGAAAATCATTGTAATGCATTGTAGTTTCTCATTTCTTTTAAATGAGAAATGTAGATAGATGTATAACAGGAATAAAGGAATAGGCAAAAGATACATAAGTGGTTAATTAACAAGAATGATGCCATGAACACTTATATTAATAATAACACTTATCATTACTAAACCAAAGCAATGATATGAATGAAATTTGCATTAATGCTAATTAAATTAATGCTATTACTTAAAAATTCAACAGATGGCACATTAAAATAATTAAATAACTTTTGCCTAAACTTATTCTTCAATCATAATACTTCCTTGCCTGATTAATATACCTGTAGAGAAATGTACTGAAAAACAACTAGTCATGATTTTTAAAGTTTAAAAATTAGACTGGTCCTGTGTTTTACCATGTTTTTGTAGTTTTTGAAATTCTAAATGACTGACAGATATGATGGATAAAATGCTTTTATGAACACCAAATCAAGAGAAAAGATCTGGGGTACTATTTTCTTATTTTTTCTATAAAACATTTCTAGATTTTTTCAGTATTTGGATAGACCATGAAAGAGTGTCATGCTTGTGGCATCATCCATCATTTGCATTGCAGGAGGAAAAAGACAAGAATCTCAGGCCTATTTTTCAGTCCCATCTGAAGAGGTAATTTCTCCATCAGTATTCAGGAAATCCAAATTGCTTCTCCAGCTCTAGGTAGTTTATGTGGACTAGAATTACACAGATGCTGATGGTGTCAGAACCTAGAGAGGCCCAGAGGTCAAGAATGGAAAGGGAGGCCAGGTGTGGTGGCTCATGCCTGTAATTGCAGCACTTTGGGAGGCTGAGGAGGGCTGATCACTTGAGGTCAGGAGTTCGAGACCAGCCTGGCCAACATGGTGAAACCCCATCTTTACTAAAAATACAAAATTAGCTGGTGTGGCAATGTGCACCTGTAGTCCCAGCTACTTGGGAGGCTGAGGCATGAGAATTGCTTGAACCTGGAAGGCAGAGGTTGCAGTGGGCTGAGATCACACCACCGTACTCCAGCCTGGGTGACGGAGCAAGACTCTGTCAAAAACAAAACAAAAAAAATAGGAAAGGGAGAACTGTGGAATCGGGGACAGACCATGGCCACAGATGGATCAATGTGTTGATGTTATTCAAAGCTTATTCAAAGACAGACTGGCAGTTGGTCAGAATAGCATCCTAAGTCAACACCTCCAGCTACTCATGGTCTACCTTTGCCATTAATGGGATCATAAAACATGGTATTAAGGTGACAGGTCATTTCATTCCATTTAGATCTCATAGTGGTTTTGCCAAACCTAGAAAATAGTATGTGTCAGAAAGGCAAAAATCAAGAACCAGAGGAAAAAAATCAATCTAAACCAAATCAAACCCACCAACCAAACAACAACGAAACAAATAACAGGAGCTTTCTAGTCTTTGTACTCAAAATGGTGAACAGATGTTCCTCAGATCTACTGAGAAATGGCCTGAAGTTATAATAATGGGAATTTAGACAGATCATAAATTTGGTACAGATGGAATGAAGAACCCAGGGGGTTAAAAATCTCATTATAAATAGGAAAGCAGAGGTAGTGGGTTGGGGAAGGTGGGTGAAGATGTTTTCAGAGGAGAGTTAGTTAACATGGGAATGGGTTACTGATGGAGATTGTTCAAAGAACATTTGCTCTTAGCAGACATTAAAATAAGATGGACTCTCACCTCTCTGGAGCAGCATAAATAAATTCTTAGGCCTCTCAAGATTTTGCAACTCTAGGATTATCTGTAGGGTGTAATTAAATATTAGTACCAGAGTTCTTTTTATGAAATGTTATGAAATGGACATCTCTCGGAAGTAGGTCTTCCTGGTCAAGATAAACCCTATTTCCCTGTCCTTAGCAGGACCACATATGGACAGATTACCTAAGATTTGTGATTTTGGGGACAATGAGAAATGCTCCTCATCTTTGGGAACTTAAGCAATGGTCCTCAACAATGGCTGCATATGGTAATCGCCTGAAAAGCTTGAAAAAAAAATTGATGCTGCAAGACTTATACACTGAAAACTATAAAATGTCACTGAGAGAAAATAAAGAAGGCCTAAATAAATGGAAACATGTCATGTTAATGAATTGGAAGGCTTAATATTGTTAAAATTGCAATACTCTCCAAACTGATATACAGATTCAGCACAACTCTGTACAAATCCAGGCTGGCTTTTTTTTTTTTCGGTAGAAATTGACGTGATCCTAAAATTCATAGGGAAATACAGGGACCCAGAATAATCAAAATAATCTTGAAAAAGAACAACAGGTAGGGCGCGGTGTCTCATGCCTGTAATCCCAGCACTTTGGGAGACCGTGGCGGGTGGATCACCAGAGGTCAGGAGTTCAAGACCGGCATGGCCAACATGGTGAAATCCCTTCTCTACTCAAAATACAAAAATTAGCAAGGCATGGTGGCCTGTGCCTGTAATCCCGGCTACTTAGGAGGCTGAGGCAGGAGAATCACTTGAACCTGGGAGTTGGAGGTTGCAGTGAGCCGAGATCACACCAGCCTGGGTGACAGGGTGAGACTCCTTTCAAAAAAAAAGCAAAGTTGTAAGTCTCACACTTCTCAATTTGGAGCTTAGTACAAAGCTACACTACTCTAGACTGTGTGGTACTGGCATAAGGATAGAGATAGATCAATGGAATAGAATCAACAGTCCAGAAATAAGCCCATGTGTCTATGTGGCCAACTGATTTTTGACAAGGCTCCTTAGACAATTCAACAGGGAAAGAATAGCCTTTTTAGCAAATAGTATTGGAGCAGTTAGAGAATCCACATGCAAAAGAATAAAGTTGGACCCCGACCTCATACCATATATAAAAATTATCCCAAAATACACCAAAGACATAAATTTAAGTGGTAAAACTATAAAACTGTGAAAAAGAAAACATAACAGGATTCTATGAAATTAAAAAAAATTCTATGAAAAAATATTGATGCCTAGTCTCCACTCAGATTAATCAAATTCAGATGTCTAGGAATGAGGGTTGGGCATTTAAATTTTTTATCGCTTCCTGGTGATTTAGAAACACCACGGGCTTGCAATAAACCATCAACCTGTTTTGATTGTGTATTCGTTGGCAGAGATTAACATGATTTTTGACTCCTATTGCACTAGTAGTTAATTTTGACTGGGGACAGACAGCCAGAAAAGGACTGAAGCAATCCTAGCTAAATGCCAGAATTCACCAGTACCGTTAACAGAGGAATATGTTGTTACATTATATCCTAATGTACTTTTTACAAATAAGTTTTCCCTAGAGCTAGCTATTCAGTTGGCGTGTTCCCTCATTCTCCGTATTCCCTCATATTCTCCATATGGTAAGGTTTTTCAAAGGATGTAACATTAATGTCACATTATCCTTAATGACAGTGTCAATATAACAATATGTAAGTTCCTTCTTTTAAAATTTACTCCTGCTTCAAATTTCCCACTGGTATAGCATGGTAGACCCTAGCTGTCACCCCTAGCTCTTCGGACCCAGGAGTAGGATGCAGCCTTCAGACCGTAAGTGGTCCAAATGGTGAGGTGGGAGTACTTTAAGTAGTAGAGCCTAAACTCTTTCACTTAAGTGAAGGCAAGAACTACAACTGTCCAGTGGTTTTAAATTTTAGTTTATCATTTGTTTAATATTCCCACTTAATTCCAAAAAGGAAGTTGAAGCAATCTATTTCATTGTTTGAGAAAGCAGATTTAGGCTCAGAGGAGGCCTGATAAGCAAAATATTAGGTTTCCAGCATGGTTCCTTATGCAGAGAGACTTGAGTCTAATAATTCCCCCTAACCTGGATATTATATATCATTTTGGAAAGTGATTGTTTTCTACAGGGTCTAATCCTATGACGAGAAGCAGCAGGGACAAAGCCATGCAGAAGATACAAACATAATTGCAAAGTTCTAGTGCACGCCTACTGGGAAACACCTTTTTTTCTGATAAAATGCCGGAATCATACACACATATGTTTTTTGTTAGAAAAGTTTTGTATATTTAAATGATAATCTTTCTGAAACATGTAAGTCTCTAAATAATGGGTTTCAAATGTTTAATCTGTTGTTAATAAGCATAGTGAATGAGATGCAAAACATACTCCTGGGGCATGTCAGAGTTACATAAAATAACTCTATCTGTAACTTTACTACTTTTTATTCCATATAAAAAAGTATATTAAAATTGAAGTAAAAGTAATGTTATTTATTAATACTTGAATCTAGGTAGTAGGTATAAGACTATTGTTCATTGTACTAGTCTTTGCTAATACTGAATTGTATAGTTATATGAATATTTAATTTGGGGGTGGATTCAATAGAAATGCAATTAGTATAAACTATTGAGGTAGTTTCAATATTGGGATAATATTGAATCTGTTGAATCTAAAATTACCCTAATAATAATATCAACTTAAACAAACATTTTACTAGAGACTTCTGGCCTAGTCATGATGGAGTAACTAGTACCAGACATCCCTCCACTCTCAGCAACCACAAAACCACACACAATATATAAAATAACTATGATAAGACACTGGACGGCATTCAGGGAGGACTGTGATTCCTTAAAGAAGGGAAATAGGTAATCTATACATACAAAATGGCTTCACTGATAAATTATCTCAAACATTTAAGGAAAAAATAATAATTCTACAACATTCATTTTAGAAACACTTAAAAGCTTAAAAAAAAATTGAGACAGAGTCTCACTTGATCACACAGCCTGGAGTGCAGTGGCACAATCATAGCTCACTGTAACCTCCAATTCCTGGGCTAAAGCAATCTTCCAAATAGCAATCCTAGCAAGTAGCTAGGACTACAGGCAGGCGCCACTACACCTGGCTAATTTGTGTGTGTGTGTGTGTGTGTGTGTGTGTGTAGAGATAGGGTCTCACTATGTTGCCCAAACTGGTCTTAAACTCGTGGCCTTAAGTGATCCTCCTGTCTCAGCCTCCCAAAGTGTTGAGATTATAGGGACGAGCTGTTGCATCCAGCCAACAACTCATTTTATGAGTCCAAAACTATTCTGATATCAAAACCAG
Organism: Homo sapiens; assembly: GCF_000001405.40. Lineage (NCBI taxonomy): Eukaryota > Metazoa > Chordata > Mammalia > Primates > Hominidae > Homo > Homo sapiens. The sequence continues at coordinate 52,632,753 of NC_000006.12, forward strand.
AAAAAGACATTACAGAAAACTGACTAATATCGTCATGAACATAGACGCAAAAGTCCTTAAAATTTTAGCAAATTGAACCCAATGACATAGAAAAAGAATAATGCATCATGATCAAATGGAGGTTATACTAGGAATGCAATGTTAGTTTAATGTTTGAATATAAACTGATGCCATTTAATAGAATAAAGAAGAAAAAGCATATGATCATCTCAATAGATGTAGAAAAGCATTTGACAAAATTCAACAACCATTCATGATAAAACCTGTCAACAAACACAGAAGAAAACTTCCTCAACCTGATAAAGCAGTGGTCCCAACCTTTTTGGCACCAGGAACTGGTTTCATGGAAAACAGTCTTTCCACGGACATGTGAGGTGGGCGGGGTGGGGGGTGGGGAGTGGTGGTTTCATCAGGGCATTAGTAGATTCTCATAAAGAGCATGCAACCTAGATCCCTCTCATGCGCAGTTCACAAAAGGGTTCACAGTCCTATGAGAATCTAATGCCACCGCTGATCTGACAGGAGGTGGAGTTCAGCTGGTAATCCTTGCTTGCCTGCCGCTCACTGCCTGCTGTGTGGCCCGGTTCCTAACAGGCCATGGACCAATACTGGTCCACGGCCCAGGGGTTGGACCCCTGTGATAAAAGACACCAATGAAAACTTTATAGCTGACAACCTATTAATGGTGACAGATTAAAACATTTTCCCCCTAAGTACTGGCCTTGATCAGGGCCAGTATTTCTACTTTCACCACTTCTATTAGAGGTCTTAGACACCTCTATTAGATGTCTTCAACAGCACAAAAAGACAAAAATAAAGAAGAGGCACAAAACCATAAAAGAAAGAGTAAAACTGTCTTTATTTGCAGATGATATGATTACACAGAAAATTCTAAATAACTTAACATAAGCTACTGGAGCTAATTAGTAAATTTAGGAAGATTGCAGGATATAAAGTTAATATATAAAGTTCAGTTGTATTTCTATATGTTAGCAAATGAACATTTGAAGACTGAAACTTAATACCATTTAGAATAACACCAAAAACTCAAAATATTTAGGAATGCACTTAATAAAATTTGTGTAAGACATACACCTTGAAAAATTATAAAATATTGCTAACAATCAAAGAAGAAAAACAAATGGAAAGACACTATCACTTATCGTTAAGATGTCAATTCTCCCAAAATTGGCCTGTAGATTCAACACAAGCCCGATCAGAATCACAGAAGCCTTTTCTGTAGAAACTGGCAAATGGACTATAACATTTTTCTAGAAATTTGAAGGCCTTAAAAGAGGTAAAGCAATTCTTAAAAAGCACCAAAAAAAAAAAAAAAACAAAAAAAAAAAACAAAATCAAAAGCAAAAAACCAAAGTTGGAGGATGTATACTATCATTAATTTCAAAATTGCTATAATGCCATGGTAATCAAGACAATGTGGTATTGACATAAAGACAACCAAATAGATCACTGGATAAGAATACAATATAAGAATAGTCCCATATATATTGATTTTTGACCAAGATAGCAAAGAAACTAAAAGGGGAAAGGAAACACTTTCATCAAACGGTGTTGGAACAACAAGCTATCTATGCAGAAAAAAACACTTGAAATTCATACCTCACGCTAAACACAAAAATTGATTTGAGATGAATCATATTGCTAAACACGAAAGCTAGAACCATAAAGCTTCTAGAAAAAAAACACAGGAGGTTATTTTTACAACTTACAGATAGGCAAATATTTCTTTTTCAGCACACACAAAGCACTAATTGTACAAGAAACAAATTGAAGAAATGAACTTTCATCAACATTTAAAACTTCTGTTCATCAAAAGACACTGTTAAAAATTGAATAAACAAGCTGCAGATGGGAAAAATATTCACAGCATATATATTTGACAAAGGACTTGTATCCAGAATAAAAAATAGCTCCTGTGACTCAATAATGAAAAAGACAAACAATCTAATTTTTAAAAAGCCATCAAGGAAATTTCTGCTTCCAGAAAAATTGAGTAGACGTACTTTTCTCTTATACTTTCTGCCAAGGACAGCTAAAAAAACCCTGTACATTTTATATAAAACAAAGAAAAGAAGACTCTGAAAGGTGGAAAGAAGGCAGACCAGCAGTTGACCTCGGGATCACAGAAACAAGTGGGTGAGCTCCCTGGGCTTTGTTTTTGCTTCATATACATATATCCCAGACTAGTTGCTTGAGAAGCCAGCAACCTGGAAATATCAATGGAAACACACACACACACACACACACACTCACACAATCACCTAGAAAAAGCCTGCTCACTCTTGCCAAAGGATCAGAAAGGGACAGCTTAGGGAGACAGAAAACTATTAGACAATAATGACTCTACTCCAGCTAAACACCACAGAAAAATCTGTGATCTCACCCCCGTCCCTGCCTGCTAAGACCAACTGGGGACCGTACCCTTGTGAGGTTATAATGAGGCACCCTACGCATCCTTCCTTCCTGCTTCCCCGCTTAAGGTGGTGTTAGAAATCAGAGAGCTGGAAAAAAAGTCCTGGCTTCACTCCACTCTGATTTCAGTTGTTCAACTTTTTAAAAAAAACCTGCTATGAGTTGATGAATCACCATTTTAGCCTAAATAACTTTAACTAGATTTAACTGAGAGCTCTAATTCAACTTAAAACTCTTTTTGCTAAGATCTAAACTCTACGTACTCTCTTATCTCAACTTTCCATCCTTTCATGCTTCTGACTACTTGATTCTTGTTTTGTCTTTAATTGCATCAGCCATGCTTGCCCCACTTCCTTTAGTGCCCAGTCTATATCCTATACTGCATCTCCTCAATGATGCTTTTTGTTTAAATGACTTTTATTGAGCTATAATTTGCCTGCATTATTCAGCCCCTTAAAATGTATAATTTGTTCAAATGTCTTATCATAAAAAATGATAGGTAAGCAAGGTGAGGGATCTATATATAAATATATATATGATACTTTTTTTTTTTTTGAGACGGAGTCTTGCTCTGTTGCCCAGGCTGGAGTACAGTGGCATGATCTGGGCTCACTGCAACCTCTGCCTCCCGGGTTCATGCAATTCTCCCTGCTTCAGCCTCCCAAGTAGCTGAGATTACAGGCACCCGCCACCACAACCGGCTAATTTTTGTGTTTTTTAGTAGAGATGGAGTTTTGCCATGTTGGCCAGGCTGGTCTTGAACTCCTGACCTCAGGTGATCTGCCCACCTCGGCCTCCCAAAGTGTTGGGATTACAGGCGTGAGCCACTGTGCACAGCCAGTGAGGGATATCCTAATTGTCTTTATTTAATCATTCCACATTGCATACACACATCAAAACATCACATTGTACTCTGTAAGTGTATACAATTATGTACTCTGCAAGTGTATACAATTATGATTTGTCAATCAAAAGTAATATTAGTAATACATTTTTAAAAATGTAAAACGCCAAACACAACAAAATATACAATTTCATGAGTTCTAAGGCATGCAAATACAAGTGAAACTACAGCTACAACCAATATATGAGTATTTTCATCACCCTCAAAAGTATTATCTTGCCTGTCATCAGTCCATCCGTCCCTCCACCCTCAACCCCAAGTTTTTGTGACTGTATTTGCATTCTTACTATAGTTCGTATTTACATTTTTATGTCTGGCTTCTTTCACTCGTCAGAATGGTTTTGCATGCATGTTGCATTTATCAGTAGTTTGTCTCCTTTTCATTGCTAAGTAGCATTCCATTGTACAGCTAGACAGTACATTTTGTTTATCCACTCACCAAGTGAAAGGCATTTGGGTAGTTTCCAGTTTGGGTAATTGTGAATAAAGCTACAATGAACACTCATGTTTTTAAAAATGATGGCACAGAAGAATATTTAGTGATAGGGAAAGATGTTCATGACCAATTGAATTGTTAAATGAAAAAGGTTACAAAATGAACCCTTTTTTGTAATAAATATATTGGCATAAATAAGTAAATACACAGAAAAAGTCCAAGACGTTAATGAAGGTTATGGCTGGGTGTTGAGATTATATGATTTTTAAGTTAAAAAACGAAGTGGGCAAAAGAGTTGAACATGCACTTCACAAAGGAAGATGTGCCAATAAGCACATGAAAAAGCACTCAAAATCACTAGGCATCAACGAAATGAAAATTAAAGCACAATGAGATACCACTACTCATAGCAACAAATATGGGCAAGGATGTGGAGCAATGAGCACTCTCATCCATTACCGGTGGGGATGTAGAATTGTGCAAGCACTTTGAAAACTGGCCTGGCAGTTTTTCATAAAGTTAAACATGCACCTACTCTATGACCTGGCAAATGCACTTCTAGGTATTTACTCAGGAGAAATGAAAACATCTGGAAACAGAGAAGACTTGTACATGAATGTCCATAGCAGCTTTATTCATAATACTGAATACTCCAAGAAGAAAATTAGATTTCAAAAAATGTTTTTCTTTTCTCTTTTCTCTTTTCCCAGCCTTGGCCTCAACAAAAATAGCAACAAACTAGAAACAACCCAAATGTCCATCAGCAGGGGAATGAATAAACAACATGGATATTTACATACAGCAGAGTTCTGCTCGGAGATAACAAAAACACAATAGCTCCTGATACATACGACACATGGATAGGCCTCAGTATTGCTATACCGAGTGAAAGGAAGTCAGGCACAAAAGGGTACATATTGTAAGATTCCATTTATATGAAGTTCTGAAACAGGCAAATGCAATCTATTGCAAAAGAAATCAGGACAGTGGTTTCAAGTGGGGCAGGGAGTGGACAGAGATTGACTGGGATGGCATGATGGAAATTTTGGGAGTTATGGCAATATTCTATATCTTAATGGGATGTGGGTTATACAGATGTATGCAACTGTTGAAACTTGTCCAACTGTATATTTAAGACCTGTCGTTTCACTATATAAAAATTATACTTCAACAAAAATAAGGAAAATTAAAAAGAAACAAAATCTAAATCTTTTTATTATGAAAGTTTTCAAGCACACAAAAAAGTAGAACGTATACTGTACTGAGCACTCAGTCATATTTGAGTAATCACTTGCTAGCTTCAGTTATTGGTAATAAATTGCTTAAGACATAGGTCCCAACAGTTCCCTACATGTTTGTGAGCCAAGAATGATTGAATGTTCACTTTCTAATGAAAGGCCTTTCTTCTCCCCTTGACAGGTCTCATGATTTGGTAGCATTTTCTTGCCTTCTCAGGGATTTCAATGGAATATCAGAATTTGACTCATTGAGATCTATTGAATAAATTTGGTCATTTTTAAATATCAGCGGGGCGTCATCTTTTAGGGCTTTTCCACTAGTAAACATTGCCTTTTAGAAGAAGATACCCAGGACTAATTATTTATTCTAAAATAATCTCAATATTTTTGCTATTTCACCAAGCAAAGAATTACAGCGATAGTTTATACTAATACTTCTCTGCATCATGTTTTAGAAGATAAATGAATAGAGAGAACGAGGCAGATTTAGGTTAGAATACTGTTTTTACCAATTGTTTTCTATGTGACTCTGAATAAGTTTCTTTTCTTTTGTTTTTCTTTCTTTTTTTTTTCTTTTTTTTTGAGATGGAGTTTCACTCTTGCTGCCCAGGCTGGAGTGCAATGGTGCGATCCCAGCTCACCGCAACCTCTGCCTCCCAGGCTCAAGTGATTCTACTGCCTCAGCCTCCTGAGTAGCTGGGATTACAGGCATGTGCCACCATGGCCGGCTAGTTTTGTATTTTTAGTAGAGGCGGGGTTTCTCCATGTTGGTCAGGCTGGTCTTGAACTCCCAATCTCAGGTGATCTGCCCGCCTCGGCCTCCCAAAGTGCTAGTATGTCCAGAATTGGTTCCTTCAGGTGGGTTCTTGGTCTCGCTGACTTCAAGAATGAAGCCGCGGACCCTCGCCGTGAGTCTTACAGTTCTTAAAGATGGTGTGTCCGAAATTTGTTCGTTCAGATGTTCAGATGTGTCCGGAGTTTTTTCCTTCTGGTGGGTTCGTGACTTCAGGAGTGAAGCCACAGACCTTCGCAGTGAGTGTTACAGCTTTTAAAGGTAGTGCGGACCCAAAGAGTGAGCAGCAGCAAGATTTATTGTGAAGACCAAAAGAACAAAACTTTCACAGTGTCGAAGGGGACCTGAGTGGGTTGCCGCTGCTGGCTCGGGTGTCCAGCTTTTATTCCCTTATTTGGCCCCACCCATGTCCTGCTGAATGGTCCACTTTACAGAGCGCTGGTTGGTCCACTTTTTTTTTTTTTTGAAACAGAGTCTCGCTCTGTTGCCCAGGCTGGAGTGCAGTGGCACGATCTCAGCTCACTGCAAGCTCCGCCTCCTAGGTTCACGCCATTCTCCTGCCTCAGCCTCCCAAGTAGCTGGGACTACAGGCGCCTGCCACCACGTCCGGCTATTTTTTTTAATATTTTTAGTAGAGACGGGGTTTCACCGTGTTGCCAGGATGGTCTCGATCTCCTGACCTCATGATCCGCCCACTTGGGGCATTTTACAGAGTGCTGATTGGTGTGTTTACAAACCTTTAGCTACACAGAAAAGTTCTCCACGTCCCCACCCCACCCAGAAGCCCAGCCAGCTTCACCTCTCACTGGGACTATAGGCATGACTACTGTGCATGGCCATGAATAAGTTTCTTAATCTTTCTGACCCTCAGTTTCCACATCGATAGGCATAAGAATACCTATCTCAAAGTGTCATAAAAAGGATTAAATACTGTCTGTGAAAATGTCTCATGTCTGTAATCCCAGCACTTTGGGATGCCAAGTCTGGAGGATCCTTTGAGGCCAGGAGTTCAAGAGCAGCCTGGGCAACTGTCTCTACCAAGAAAAAAAAAAAATTAGCTGGGCGTGGTGATCCACCTGTAGTCCCAGCTGCGTGGGAGGCTGAGGCAGGAGGATCACTTGAGCCTAGGAGTTGTAGGCTGCAATGAGCTATGATTGCATCACAGCACTCCAGGCTGGGTGACAGAGGGAGACCTGTCTCAAAAAACAAAAAACAAAAACAAACAAACAAAAAACAGAAAAAAAGAAAATGTCTTGGTATATGCCAGGAACTTAGTAAATAGTACTACCTTCTCTTAACTCCTTAACAGAAGGTAAGAATGAAGAACATTCCTTCCTCTGTATTTCAGAAGTAGGTACACTCTTTGGGGGAATTTATACAAGTCCAATTTGAACTCTTTTACAGGTGAGGTTGGGAAGGATGGGTCAAGGTAGGTGGGGATGGGTGAGGGGTGAGATATCCTTACCTTTTATCTCCCTAGAACATCATGAATATTTTATAACTACTAATGATGAAAATATTGTTTGTACTCTCTATTTTTCTCTGTGAAAGGGTGTTTGGAAAGTCATTTCTTGTTGTTATGTTTGGTTTCTAGTGCTCCCTGGGAAGCACTGATCTTGGATTTGGCTGCTGTGTGGGAGACCAGTGTTCCTCTTAGCTGATGGTGGAGACTCACGTCAGTGCAGGCTGCAGCGATGACTCTCAAACTGTGAACAATGCTCCCCAGTGTGTGCACGGGAGGGCCAGCATATGGAGACCTCGCGGAGAGCCAAACGCGGGCTCTCTGCACTTCCTTCAGTTTTGTTTAAATACAGGATCCGGTTTGCCTTTGTCACCCGCTGTAGCACCACCAGGCTTCATTCACTGTGAAGCCTTGCCAGATCTCTGTAATAAATTACCTGGGAGGCCAAGGCGGGAAAAGAGGAAAGAACAAGGTAAAGCGCTTTGAAATCTGACTTTCTCCCTGGAGTGTTCAGTGTTGCCTATTTAGAAGGTGCAGGGTTGTGCTAAGGTGTGTGCTGGGAGCTTTGTAGGCTAAAGTTTGTAGAAAAAGTTTGGTTCATTTCAGTCATCACTTACAAATTTTTTCTATTAAGTGTTTAAGATTTCCAAACTTAAAAAAAAAAAAAAACAGGTTCAGAGTATTTTTAAAAAGGCATTGGTCATTTGTACAGCTTACATTTCACTAAATCTTTACAACAATTTTGAGAGGTAGGTAATACTAGTATCCCTCATTTTATACTGAGGAAACTAAGGCTCAAAGAGGCTCAATGCTTGTCTGGTATCATATAGTCAGTAAGGAATAAAACCAAATCTTGAACCCTGGCTTCCTGGCTCTGTGTCTTTTCCTAGCAGACTGACCATCAAGGCTGGACATCCCTTTCAGTTCTTTTGAGAACAGACTAGTTGGCTAGATGTGAAGAAAACAAGCTTTGGAGTAATCTTCCCTCTGCACAGCCTGTGATATTGGGATCCAGTGAGTGACGGTGAGAGGTGGAGATGTATGAACGAGACCTGAGACGTTGGACCTGAACATCACAGCAATCACTTGCAGGGCTAAGATTCAGGGCCAGCTGTCCATGGATTCTCCCGAGTTGGATCGTCTTTCACACACCTGCTTCCTGAGGTTACATCTCTTTTCCAGCCTAGGAGCAACCAATAAAGAGCAGAGAGCAAAGAAAAGCAGACACACAAATCATCTCTAGACTATGTCAAGGGTATCCCCAAAATGGGAAAGAAATTCATGAATGTACACACAAAATGTCACGTATTTTTGTTTTACATTAAAAACACTGTGTCCCAGAAGTAAGGAGTAGAATGGTGGTTGCCAGGAGCTGAGGGGTTGGGGACATGGAGATGCTGGTCAAAGGGTACAAAATTTCAATATGCAGAATGAATGAGTTCTGGAGAGCTAATGTACAGCATGGTGACCATAGGTAATCATGTGGTATTATATTGTGACATTTGCTGAGAGTAGGTTTCAAATGGTCTCACCACAAAAAGGAAAATGGTAACCATGTGAGGTGATGTTTATGCTAATTAGCTTGATTGTGGTAATCATTTCACAACATGTATGTATATCAAAACATCTCATTGTACACCTAAATATATACAATTTGATTTGTCAATTGTACATCAATAAAGCTGGAAAAATGTATTCAATCCTATATAATAGATTGGGAAATTACATAGCCATATCTGATTATGAATTCAGCAAAGCTTTTAAATATGTTTTTATTTTACTATTCACAAGAGCACCTTGGTGCATTTGAAATTAAATCCTTCAATGTGGAGAAAACAAAACACTGTCTCACTGAGCACAAAGCTTGTTCAATATTTTTGTCAGCGCGATGTATTTTTGTTAGCAATGTTGACCACTGAAATGATTTCCTTAGCAGATAATTTTCCAGTAAACCTCCCACATCATTGCAAACTTCCTGTTCCCAGCTGCTCTTCCTCTTCTTAAGCCCCTCATTATAGGCAGTAGGAGAGCTGATAATCAGCAGAAAATTAAGCTGGCAGGGTGTGTGCTTAAAGGCGTCAATTTCCAAGGGAAGGAAGTGTTCATTTTGTTTTGTTTTATTTTGTTTTTATGAAGCATTGCTTTTTACTTGTGTTGTGCCTTTTGAACTTAAGCATTATTTTTTGACAATGGAGACTTTTGGTTTAGTGCAGTTCTCTGTAACTGGACAGTACTCAATAGAAATTGTTGAATTGAATGTTTAACATATGCTTCTCTTTGACCAAATAAGGAATATTTTATGGGCCATTTTTCATTTTAGATGAGCTTATAGGAATAGGCACTCTTTGGAAATTGGAGAAATTAATTCTTAGGGAGTGTAGTCCAAGTTTAATTCTGGGTCTTTGAGTGATACTTTTAAAACAAGTGCCTTTGACCCTTGATTAAGTACAAAATAAGCACATAGCTAATGTAAACCTCTTAAATCAGTGGTTATCAGGCTTGGCTGCACAGTGGAATAACCTCAAGTGGGATGTGTGGGAGAATTAAAAAAAAATACTGCTGCCCGGGTCTCAGACTCAGAAATCCTTATGTAATTGGTCTAATCTACAGCCTGTCTTCAGGGTTTTTAAAAGCTTCCCAGGAGATGCTAATGGATAGCCAAAGCTGACAACCATTGTCTTTAATGAATGAACACATTTAATCAGCCTGTACTAAG